>NC_000007.14:126256779-126881779 GCF_000001405.40 Homo sapiens | reverse complement strand
ATACAAACTGAGTATTACTCTTATATTAAAGGTAAGGAAATAGCTTCTAACTAAGCAAAGTTGCTCAAAGTGACACATAGAGTGAGGTCTGTGGCTGTTCTCTTACTCCAAATGTGGGATATCTCAGAAATTGCCATCCTCCAGAAGGCTACAGAGTAGCTCAGACTGTGCAAATTGTTCTCCATTTGCCATGCCCCCATGCACTCAACACTATTCCATGTCTTCCCTGTGCTCTGCGAAGCTGACCCTTGTCATTTGCATGACTGGGACTCTCTGCTCTCTGTGTTTATCTTGGGTGGGGCCTATGGAAGGCTCTAGCAGGATATTGGAGGGCAGGAAGAGAAAGAGGTCAGGATATTTCTTCTTCATGTCCTACTTCGGTCCTGTGCGCTGGCCGTGATCATGTCCTTTCAGGATATAACTCCCTTCACCCTGTTCTCCTCTGTACCTCTTCTGATGCAGGGCTCCTAAGGAAACACTGCTCCTTTTCCTTGACTGTTTATCCCTAAGGGTAGTATTATATTCTCACCATTGCTATCCTTTGGGTGCCCTGCCATCTTGTTTGCTCCTTAAGTCTGTCTACAATTTATGCAAATAACTCCTTTATTAAAATCTCTTTATTTGAACACTCTGGGATGAATTCTATTTTTTTTTCTGGGACCCTGACTAATACAGAGGCCATATGAAAATATATCAAAGATAATTTTCAAAGCATGTTTGAAAGCTCTACATTAGGATCACTAGCACTAGCATGCCAAAAGGCACAGATAAGAAAATACAGGGCATAGCAAAATATTGTTTCTTCTTAATAGGGAATCTGCCTCAGGGAAAGACTAGGCTGGTGAGAAGGGGGAAAGACTTTAAGAGTCTTATAGACCAGGCATTAGAGAATTGTGATAGGTTTTTGAGCCTGTGATAAAAGCTGTGTTTGGGGAAGATTTTTCTAGCAACCATTTGTAGGAACAGTGGAATTAGGAAAAAAGGGTGACAGTAAGGAGAACAGTTAAAAGGCTTTTAAAATAAGCCAGTGTAAAGTGATTGGAGGCAAGTTCACAAAGTGGCAACAAGTATGAAAAATAAGGAATGAAATAAATAGTGAAAGAAACATTATTACTATTGGAATTTGCATTCTTGCCCATGTGATGCATTTGCTTTAAATTGGTGTAAGCTCTTCACATGCAGAGGGCCCATATGCCTTGATGTAACATTAGATCAAGTGGCAGAAGCTAAATTTGGAATTAAGGCAATATTTGATTGTAGAGAACATCATTCTCATTTCTAGCTCTTGGACTTTATGTGGAAGCACTTTAAGTCCTAAGAGGCTAATTTTAGTTCAATCTATTTAGTTAACAATATTTCAGATCCTTAATTTTTAGTTTCCAGATGATCAGACTCCTCAGCTTGAAATCCAAGGGCATTATAGACTTCAAGCAAATTGCATGTGCATTAAGACTGTTGAACTTGGGACAAGTAATCCTATAAAAGCGAAATCATTGCTGAAGCATTTTTGTAATCATGTATTCCTCCTGCATGTTCATTTGAAAATGTTCTCTTTTGGTGTGGAGGCACATGAGCTGATTATATTGAGCTCCATCCACCAATTTATTTATTCATCTAATAAACATTTTAATGAATGGGTATCAGGCACGTTTATGTTTTACCCAAGAGACTTATTTAACAGTCATTCAACCATTTGGTCATTAATAGTGAAAAGGTCATAGGCTTTGGCATGAGGCAGGCCTGGGTTTGAAACAGATCTTCACCATTTCCTAGAAAGGTTGTCTTAAGGCAAATTATTTTTTTAGACACCTTTTCAGTTTTTCTGTTAAAGGAAAAAATTGTTTGTAAAGACTGCATTGTGACTGAGAAAGGGCACGCAAACTAGATGAGTTTAATCCTCCTATCTCTCACCCCTGACTAACCTTATATGTCTACACAAATATGCAATGCTCCAAGTTGGATGTGAAACAAATGGTAGTATAATACTCGCCCTTAAATATAATTTCAGATAGCCACAAAATATAAAACCATTTAAGGATGTGAAAAAATTAGTATAATAAAGAAGAAAATACAGTATAACTTTTTCTTCTGTTATTTAACTGGTGTAAAATTAATTCCTTGACTCTCATATTTTGTAAACAAATATGATAATGTATGTGGTGATGTACGGCTTTGCCTTGAGAAGGAAAAAATATAGCCATAAAATATTTAAGAAAATTCTGGAAATAAGGGTAATAGAATTAATTTTTTCAAACATTTCCCAAATGTGTTTTAAATGGCTTTCCTGAAGGAGAAAGAGAGAGGGAGAGAAAAAAGAGAACATTTAGATATAATTACAGATAAGACCTATGCATAATATTAGTGGACTTAAAAATAATCATGCATATTCATAGCTAAATTGCTAATTAACATTCTCAGAATTTTGCTTAATGTAAGCAAGTTATCCTAATAGGGTTAGGGCAAAAACAATATGATAAAGATTGAAATATGTGGCTATTTAAAAGCACTGAAAACTTGAATAAATTGCCTCTTCCCCTCCCTTAGACATAAACCATTAAGCCTCATCATGTTTTTTTTTTTTCTTCCTCCCTGCCCCCTCCCCCGACCCCACCCCAAGACAGAGTCTCACTACTCTGTGGCCCAGGCTGGAGTGCAATGGCGCCGTCTTGGCTCACTGCAACCTCCACCTTCTGAGTTCAAGCAATTCTCCTGCCTCAGCCTCCCGAGTAGCTGAGATTACAGGGGCCCGCCACTGTGCCTGGCTAATTTTTGTATTTTTAGTAGAGACGGGGTTTCCCCATATTGGGCAGGCTGGTCTCGAACTCCTGACCTCAGGTGATCGACCTGCCTCCACCTCCCAAAGTGCTGGGATTACAGGCGTGAGCCACCGTGCCCGGCCTCATCATGTTTTTTAAACAATAAAAAGGGCAAGTTTTAGAAGACAGTATCTCAAGGCTGGGTGCAGTGGCTCATGCCTGTAATCCCAGCACTTTGGGAGGCCAAAATGGGTGGATAATTTGAGGTCAGGAGTTCGGGAACAGCCTGACCAACATGGTGAAACCCTATCCCATCTCTGCTAAAAGCACAAATAAATTAGCCAGGCATGATGGCGGGTGCCCATAATCCCAGCTATTTGGGAGGCTGAGGCTGGAGAATCGCTTGAACCCGGGAAGTGGAGGTTGCAGTGAGCTGAGACGGTGCCACTGCACTCCAGCCTGTGCGACAGAGCAAGACTCTGTCTCAAAAAAAAAAAAAAAAAAGAAGAAGACGACGATATATTAAGATACAACAACTCTTTAAGCCTTTGCTGATTGTTGATGAGTTTTAAACTCACAGAAGGTTTTGAAGAAAGGCTGGCAGAACTTGAAGGCAGAACACACAGGCTGAAGTCCTGTCTATGCCTGTTACTAAATAGCAATGTGAGCTTCTGGAGGACTCTGAACTCTCTCAGCCTCTGTGAAATGGAGATAACATTTCCTATGGAGCTGCCTCAGAGATGTTGGGGAAATCATATGGAAATCAAGTATGGCTGTCAACAAGTTTTGTGAATTGTAAATGACCATAAGCATATAAAGTATTAGTCATCTATTCACTCATTCACAAATGGAGCATGCCTAGCGTTAGGTGGTGGGGCTGTGGGGTGGTCATTAACATGGTGAATGAGATCTCAAGAAGCAGTGTGTTCCCCTGGGTAAGGGCATGGGCTTTGGAGTTAAACCCACCTAGAGTAATTCAGGGCTCATCACTCCGTGACCTCCTGTCCTGAGACCTTAATTTGTCCAATGTTTCATCATTGTAAATCCCAGTTTCTTTAACGTGAATATGAAAAAACATCATATATTTCACAGGGGAGTTATGAGGATGTGAGAAGTATGATCAAGCACTTAACTTCTCATGTTCAAAGTGCTCAATGACAGTTGGCAACTATCAATCAACTCTTCAAAGATTATATCTCTGATCAAGGAAAGCAGGCATTTGCACCAATAATGACAGAACAAAACAACATGGGGAAGAGCAGTAGTATAAACAACTTTGAGAGTTCATAGGTGGGCTGCCATACTTTCAGCTAGAGTGATAAGTAAAGACTTTGGAGACAGGTAAATATTAAGAATAAATCTTGAAGAACAAGTCATATCTGAATAGGAAGAGATATGGTTGGTGGACCGCATTTCAGGTAGACAGAGAATAGAATGAGCTAAAGTGTAGAGATGAGAAATTTGAGTAGTCCAGTTGTCTAGACTAGCACTGTCCAATAGAACTTATGTCCATGAAGGCAATGTTGTATGAACGTTCTGTCCAATATGGTAGCCACTAGTGGCTGTTGAACACTTGACATGTGGATAGTGTGACTGAGGAGTTGAATTTTTTATTCTATTTAATTTTAATTAGTATACATTTTAAAACCACATCTGACGAGTGCCAGCTCAAACCGTAGGATACATGGAGAGGTGTTTAGTGTGATAAGATCCAAACAGATTGGCAAACTTTGAAGAACTTTACTGCTAGGCCAACAAGTTTAGATTCCAAAATAGAACAAACATATTTAGAAGCAGGCAAAACAAAAGAATACGTTTATGAAGGAGACCAAAAAGTTGCAGAGAGAGAAAGAGGAAGGCCAGGAATCCAACAAGGAATGGGCATTGAAGAAAGGCTTGTCTCATACTGTTAGTTAGAAGCCAATGGGTATGGGAAAAAAATTTGTTAGATTTGGTAATTCAGAGCTTCTTTGTGACTTTGAGAAAAAAAGTTTGCCCTGAGTAGTAGAGGTGAAAAGAATATTGCAGGAAATTAGGAGTAAGGTATGCTGAATAGAGGCAACATGGAACAGCCTTTTTTTTTTTTAAAGAGTTTGTATTCCTAGAGTTATAGGATAAAGCATTACACAGTAAGTTAGTCTCAGCAAGTACTGTATATTTCCCAAGTAAGTGGAGTTCTTGCAGGCAAACTAGGTAGTTTCAATGCCAGGTGTGAAATTTTAGTGGTTTAGATAAAATTTTGAAGCAATTCTACGAATAAGTACTCTGAGTCATGACATTTTTAGGCCACATTGAAAACGCTAGCTGAAAGAATACAAACAATGTTGAAATCATATCTAAGTCCCTTGCTGAGTTTATATTCTGAGCTAAGGATAGATTAGCCTCATGCCCTTATATGACGAAAAACTGTTTTGTTTTTCTTGCACAGCACAGTTAGGTATCAGATAAAGGGGGAGGAGTATCCTCATGGATACCTCAAAAACAAGTAACCCGTAGACAGAGGACAGAGAAATTTCATGCAAAGACAGATTTTCCTATCCGTTATGATTAAATTCTCTCAGTTTCCTCATTATGAAAATCATTTGGGATACTTGATAAATGTACAGAATCTTCTGCCTCAATTCATACTGGTCAATATAAATCTTAGCTTGGGGATCTGAATTTTTAATTAGCACCTGAGCGATTCTTAGTATCAGGCAATTTTAGGAAATGTTTATTTATTCATCCTTTCAACAAACACCAATGGAGCGTTTTTTCCATATTGCAGACATTCAGATACTAGGCCACAAGATAATTAAGACATGGTTTCTAGCCTCAAGAAATTGTTCTGGGAGAGGAGACAGTAAATGCCATGTAAGAAATGGCTTGGCAGCTGTTGCAAAAGGAGCACAGAGAAGGGCAGCTCAGCATTGAGGAGATCATGGAAAGCTGTGCTTGGGGAAGGTAAAGTTTGAGTAGGATATTCAAGGATAAGCCAACCAGATATACAGGGAGTGTGAGAGAAAAGCACTCTTTTCAGGATAAACGTCACATTAAAGACAAGAAGAGATTGTGTTGGGTCTATGAATACTACTGAATTCGACACAGCTGGAAAACAGGTTTTCCATGAGATAATGGCCTGTGTGGCAACAGACAAAGGCATTTTTGTACCAGAGCACAAAAATAAGTGCCTAGTTATTTTCAAGGTAATGTGAAATCATTAAAGGGTAATCTGGGATTGGTGAGATTGGAGATAGGGAGACCCATTAAAAACTTAATACATTAATTCAGGTGAGAAGTGATGGTGTCTGACCTAAGGCAATAACCACAGAGGTAGAATGGAAAGAACAGTTTTTGATAAATAGTTGGTGATTTATTGTGTATGACATAATTAGACGATAGTTCTTTTGATCCTTTTATTAATATTGTCTCAATGAAATGAACTGAATTGCTGAATAATTGATTTTGTAGATGGCTCACAAGATACATTTAGCCATGATGGGGAACATATAATTGTTTGCTATTCATACCTATGGTGACTTCTTAAATTGGATTGCTATTGGACAAGATTTTCAGTATTTATCCCATTGATTTAAGGAGACACCAATGCGGAGGATGGTCTAAGAGGTTTTCACAGTCCCTTCTGTGGGTATCCCAAACTCTTTGATATTATATAGGTGAGGAAGTATGTATTGCTTACTACCTATTTAAGTTCTTCCTAGTATTCTGGCCCTTTAACAGTTTATTCTGTTTGTTTTTTTTTTTCCTTCTTTGATTACTTACAGTTGTAATACCTTTTAAAGACATTTGATATCTCTTCCTTGACTTATTCCACATTCAAGTTAATATATAGAATATGTATATTTACAAAATATGTTAACTAAATGAATTATTTTTGAATTATTTTGAGACTTTCTAAATTAGTTTGAAGTATCTTGAGTTGTCATGAAACTAACTTTGAAAGGTGCTGATTTATAGTGACAATATTTGTGGCCATGCAAGAAAAGAGGCACTGGACATTTTAATAAGCAGTTTAATAGAATTTAAATATATGACATCCAATTACTGACAGAATACAAAGCATCATAAAGTATGCTTTGCAGACATATTTTATAAATTGGAAAACCTTAAGGATTCATAGCATTTGTGTAAAAAGTGTGGTCATTTACACATTTTAATACATTGATTCTATTGTGGAAGGTCCTGCAACATGGACTGTTAAACAATTAAAATGGTCAAATGTACTTCCATGTTTATGTAATTTGCATTCATAGGAAGAAAATGGGCAATGCAGAAGGAACATTGGCCTAGAGAAGCTTACTGAAGCAAGGGAATTTGGAGTGAGACAGACATGGTTTGGGATTCTGACTCTTCTAGCTTTGTGAACCTTAATGAATAGGTTCACCTCCCATAGCTTCCCTTTCCTCAATTGTAATATGGGAATAAAAATGCTTACTTACAGGGTCGTGTTGAGGATTAAATGAGATAATGAAAGTAAAATGTCAGTATGGCATCTGAGTCATGGTATGCCCAGTGGAAAAATAACAGCCATCATTATTATTTAAAAAAATCAGGATTAAAGATTCTAGTTGCAGTCCAGGTACAAATTCATGATGATCTGGAACAAGTCACAGTTTCTGTCAGGATCTGAGCCTCTTCGTTTGTAAAATGAAGCTAGTAGACTGGATGAATTCCATATTTGATGACTGAAATTAGGATTCAATGACTTATATAAGTCACATCTGAACTTGTGTCAGAAAATTTATTATTTAAAAAGTTTTATTTTACCCCAGTCATGCACCTCCTTTATAATCATTGAGAATGCATTTAATCCAAAATGATTTAGAGGCTGCAGGAATGTTGATTCTGAAAGCATGATGGGTATCCAGGTGAAGAATTCCATCAGGCAGTTAGAGAAGAAACTCAGGAAAGAGGGCAAAGCTAAAAAACATGGGAATTTGACAACACAAATGATATTTAAAGAATGAAAGTGACTAACACTTCTTCAGAAACAAAAATGTATGCAGGCAAATTTTACATTTATATATATTTTTCCTAATATTCATGGCAGGGGTAACCCATTAAGAATAACACTACTTACTAATTCTAAAATATTTACAAAATATTGACTTAGAATATAAAATTTAAAAAACAATTGAATGTCCACATAATTCTGTCATAATTAGCAGACTTTTTATGCATTCGGGATAGGTGAGGCCAATTACTTTTTGAGATCATGGATGCATTTTCTATCTGTCTCAGCCCAATAGGTTGCCATGTTGAGAGCCTGAACATAGAATATGGCTCAAGACAAAGAAAACTCTAGAAAAGGTAAAGCCAGGTACTTAGAGATTCACATTTTTGGCTTATTCACCCTCAATTACATCCAGTTAATTTGAACTAATGATATTTTCTGCTTATTCTCCTCTACATGTGCTCATTCTTGAGAGGTTGTATAGGATAGGGATTGGTCATTTGATTTTGGAGCTAGATTTCCTGGGTTCAGGTAACTTTAGGGAAGTTATTTTACTCTCTGAATGGTAGGTTACACAGGCAGGAATTAATATTAGTACCTACTATCTTAAGGGTGTGTGAGAGTTAAATTAGATAATATAGATATGGAACACGTAGGCCAAAATCTGATACACAGTTTATAAGCATCAACCGTTTTTTCCTTCAGTTATTAAAATAAGTTTCGCTTCTCTCAAGCCTAAATTTTAAAAAGTTCTTTAGTTTTAAGGGAAACTAATATGCTTGGTGGATTTGGTCATGTTCGGAATAGAAAAAAATTGCAATGAATATGGTTGTTTTTGAATTGACCTGTCAATTTCATCAGAAAGCCACATTGAATGTACTGTGCAGACACAAGTTAAGTTGAAAAGTGCTCCCCAATGAAAGTTATCAAAGGTGAAGCAATAGTAACACATTCCAGAAGAGGAAAAATGCATCTTTAAAACTGTATGTGTGTGTATGTATGCGCAGGTGTGTGTTTTAAACTGGAGTAGAGAGTATGAACACCTAGCATAATACTGGGAATTTGCTAAATTCTTTTTATTAATATAAAATAAATGTTATTTATAAGTTGAGTGCTTTGTAATTGTGTTTATAGGAAAAAAAGACATTTCACAAAAGTTATCTTCTTTTTCTTACTCTGAAACTATGACATATGCCTGATGGATATAGATTTTCATTTTAAAAATTAAAGAGCGGCTCAAATGAGTTTATTTTCTTCGATGATGAAATGCTGCCCGGAGGTGGACCAAGAGGAGTGATAAATCTTTGATGCACCTGTGTAATATATGCAGTACACTGCTGAGAGTATCTGGTTTTGAGGTTTCAGTGGCAGAACACCAACTGCAGGGAATCTGGATATTCTAGCATAGTTCTGACCTTAAATGTATTATCTACTGAAAAGAATAATGCACAGTTTCAAAAATGTTAACATGGTCTCAAAAGAAGGTGAGTGTTATTTTCCATACTTTAAAAACACTGTACCAAACAGCTTAAAGTGCTAGTGTCCCTTTAACTTTAAAATAGAGGCTTCATTTATTTCGATGACTGCTATTTAGGGTACCCTAAACAACGTCTTAGTAGCGGAAAGAATTAATACTCCTAATATTCCTTTTGGTGGTGGGAAGTGGCCTCTGGGTAAGACAAAGAGGTCTGGGCTGATGACACAATGGAATGTGAATGGCTTTTTCCCTATGGTTCTAAGCATGTGTCCTCCAGCTTCTCAAACGTTCTTAGCACTTCAGAATGAAGAGGAAATGGGGAAAGGTTAGGAAAGCAGAAAATAAGAGATAGGGCAGAACAGCCCTTTGAAGAGTTTGCTCATCCTCAAAAATAAAGACATAGAGTTGAAGTTCTCCTGAGAACAGCAGAGTCCCTTCCCTTCCTTCCATCCTATGCACATGCAAAGATCAAGAGCAGGAGTAGCTTTCATGCCAAGACACAAGCCAAACACCCAGATCACTTATAGACATACACAAGTTTACTCTGTGAGGGTCCCTGGGTGTGGGCTGGCAATATCTGCACATTCTTCATGCAAATGATAAAATATAAAGGATGTTTAGAACCGGCAAACGTAAGACATCTTATGAATCATATATATTAAAAGTATTTTAGTTTATGATCAACCACAAAGTTGTCTCTTTTACTGAACACTTTGCTTTTAATTTAACAGTTCTAGTATTTACTATGTGTACAAGTATCTATAATTCTTAGAGATGGATTTAATTTCATATTCTCAAGTTGTTTTCAGAAGACAGTCTTTACCATATAACGCAAAATGTACAAAATAGTTTACAAACTCTACTTTGGTCATATATTGGCAGGCTCTTTAACAACTAGAAAGACAAGATGTTGTAAAATTGACTCATTTGTTCATTATGTATACCACATAGAGAACAAAGTAAAATAAAATGCACAGAACATTCAGGATAAGATGGCTAATCTTGGCTTACTATAAAATGACTGGCATGGAGCCTTTTCCTCTTCTTTCTTCTGCCTTGTTCCCTGAACCAGTGCACACATACAATGTATACTGCTCAGAAAGGTGATTTGATTATTTCATTTCCAAAAGACAAATGTCGTATGAATTTTATCAAGGTTATTCATAAAATGTGCTCTTTTATTACTACCTTAAACATGTATAAGGCACTCCGGAACGTCTATAAAGACTCAGTATTTCAGAAAAGTACTTAACATTGTTAACTATTTGTACACTTATTAGGAATAAAATGCATACACAGAACAATGAGTATAATAAGAAAATATCTTCAAAATGTGACCAGCTTGGCATAGGCTTATAGAGAACGATTCTATTCATTTTTGTGGACTTTTCCATCTCCTCTAAAACCCAGTGAGTGAACATGGACTTGTGTGTCTCTTGGTGTCACTTCTAGAGATGGTCTCACAATTCCATATCCAAAAGTCATTTTCAGAAGACATTTCTTTCCTATGATTTCTTCTTTCTTCCTCTTTTTAAATAAGACATTTACAAGATGTGGGATTTTCTAACATACCTTAGAACTTCTTTACATACAGAAGGCCAAGATATAGCAAAATAAGTTTTCCTCTCAAAAAATGGGGGGAAACTTGAGTGCAGCTCTTTCATATGCTACAGGCATGCCTTGTTTTATTGTACTTTGCAGTTTTTGCATTTTTTACAAATTGAAGAGCTGTGGCAACCCTACATCAAGCAAGTCTATCAGTGCCAATTTTCTAATGGCATGTGCTCACTCAGTGTTTTGATTTCACATTTTGTTAATTCTCACAATACTTCAAACTTCTTTACTGTAAAATCTGTTACAGTGATCTGTTTTCAGGAGTCTTTGATGTTACTGTTGTAATTGTTTGGGGGCACTACGAACCCTATCTCTGGTTGAGAAATTTTGTGTGTGTTCTGACTGCTTCAGCAACCTGCTGTTCCCCCATTGCTTTCCCTTTTTTCAGGCTTTCCTAGTCCCTGAGCCACAATAATATTGGAATTTGGCCAATTAATAACCCTACAATGACCTCTAAATGTTCAAGTGAAAGGAAGAATCATATATCTCTCACTTTAAATAAAAAACC
Source organism: Homo sapiens (assembly GCF_000001405.40). Lineage (NCBI taxonomy): Eukaryota > Metazoa > Chordata > Mammalia > Primates > Hominidae > Homo > Homo sapiens. The sequence goes on along the minus strand of NC_000007.14, from coordinate 126,870,470 downwards.
AGAAAAGATGAAGCTTAATGAGGAAGGCACATGGAAAGCTGATGTAGGCTGAAAGGTAGGCCTCTTGCGCCAAACAGAGAGCCAAGCTGTAGATGCAAAGGGAAAATTCTTGAAAATTAAAAGTGCTACTCCAAGGAACAGGCAAATGATAAGCAAGCGAACCATGCTTACTGCTGATATGGAGGAAGTCTGAGTGGTCTGCATAGAAGATCAAACGAGCCACAATGTTCCCTTAAGCCAAAGCCTAATAAAGAGAAAGACCCTAATTCCCTCCAGTTTCTTGAGGGCTGATCGAGGTGAGGAAGCTGCCGAAGAAAATAACTAGCAGAAGTTACTTCGTGAGGTTTAAGTAAAGAAGTCATCTACATAACAGAAAAGCACAAGGTGAAGCAGCAAGTGCTGATGTACAAACTTCAGCAAGTTTTCCAGAAGACCTAGCCAGGAGCATTGATCAAGGTGGATACACTAAACATTAGATTTTCAATGTAGAAGAAGATTCCATCTAGGACTTTTTTTTTTTTTTTTTTTTTTTTTTTTAATCTATGAGGAAAAGTCAATACCTGGCTTCAGAGCTTCAAAGGACAAGCTGATCTTCTTGTTAGGGGCTAATGCGGCTTGTGACTTTAAGTGAAAGCGTATGCTCATTGACCATTCTGAAAATCATAGGGCCCTTAAGAATTATGCTAAATCTCCTCTGCCTGTGCTCTATAAATGGAATAACAAAGCCAGATGACAGCACATCTGCTTACAGTGTTGTTTACTAAACACTTTAAGCCCACTATTGAAACCTACTGCCCAGAAAAAAAGGTTTCTTTCAAAGTATGACTGCTCATTGACAATGTACCTGGTCACTCAAGAGCTCTGATGGAAGTGTACAAAGTGATTAATGCTGTTTTTGTATCTGCTAACACAGTATCCATTCTGCAACCCATGGATCAAGGAGTGATTTTGACTTTCAAATCTGATTATTACAAAAGTATATTTCATAAGGCTATAGCTCCCATACATAGTGACTTCTCTGATGGATCTGGGAAAAGTACATTGAAAACATTCTAGAAAAAATTCATAATTCTAGATGCCATTAAGAACAATCATGATTCATGGAAATAAGTCAATATATCATGGGAGGAGGGCAAAATAGTCTTAAAAGAAATTGATTTCATCTCTTATAAATGTCTTTGAGGGGTTCAAGATTTCAGGGGAAGAAGTAACTGCAGATGTGGTAGAAATAGCAAGAGAACTAGAATTAGAAGTGGAGTCTGAAGATGTGACTGGATTGTTGCAATATAATTATCAAACTTGAACAGATGAGGAGCTGCTTCTTATGGATGAGCAAAGAAAATGGTTTATTGACATGGAATCTATTTCCCATGAAGATGCTATGAACATTGTTGAGATGTCAACAAAGACTTATAATTTCCTACAAACTTAGTTGATAAAGCAGTGGCAAGATTTGAGAGGATTGAATTCCAATTTTGAAAAGTTTTTCTGTAGGTAAAATGCTATCAAATAGCATTGCATACTACAGAGAAATCTTATGTGAAAGGAAGAGTCAATCAATGCAGCAAACTTTGTTGTCTTATTTTAATAAATTGCCATAGCCACCCCAACCTTCAGCAACTACCACCCAGATGATTCAGCTTCCATCAACATGGAGGCAAGAACCTCCACCAGCAGAAAGTGACTTGCTGAAGCTCATGCTGAAAGCATTTTTAGCAATAAAGTATTTTTAAATTCAGGTATGCACATTGTTTTTCTGATATAATGCTATCACAGACTAATATAATACAGTGTAAACGTAACTTGTATGCATACTGGGAAACCAAAAATTTCATGTGTCTCACTTTATTGTGGTAGTCTAGAACAAAACGTGCACTATCTCTGAGTTATGTGTATATACACTGGTCTTCTATTAATGTCTACTTAATCTTCCCAAAGGATGGCAGACACATCCTGTTGGCCAAGTGTGGCACAGTGTTCTACCATTTCTCTCTTCCAACATCAAGGTCTGGTGTTGATTAACCAACTTTTGTAGTCTCAGCTCATTTTCTAGGCCCCTTAAGGGACAGTACAGAGTGGCATCTTGTTCACTAGGGACACAGTGGTCACCTCAGATCTGTGATCTGCACAGCTCCTTAGCCTGAGGCTGAGCAGCTAGAGCTCGAGTCCACACTGGCCCACTCTTTCAACTCCTGATGCCCCTGTTGGGTTGGGGTTGCCGTGTTCTTCCCAGCCTTCCATGCCCTTCACACAGTAGTGTTGTTTACTCTGGGCATGGTGGGGGCCCAGCTGTGGCCCAGTGGGTCTGGCTTGGAGAGGTCACAGGCAGGATGGGGATTGCTGCCATCAGGGTCTAAGCCTGGCCCTGTGCCTGAGAGCACTCAGCTCACCCACCAGCCTGAGAGCTGGGGGCCCAGAGGGTACCAGCCAAGCTCTATGTCTTACCATGCTCTCTGCTAGAGTTCACACCTTTATTTTCACACTTCATTTTTTCTCTGATTAACATTTTATGATAGAAAGTATCCTTAGGTCCTGATCATATATTTTTTTCTGCTGTAAGCTGTTACTAATATTGAGGTACTTTATAAATACTTTTAGATTCATTATGGATTTATTACTTTGCTTGAATCCCACTTAAGACCTTGGCCCTGGTTCAAACACTGCACACTTTTTAAAGCAGGTAGATGACAACATCTTTTCCTGGGTTTCTTGTCTTGTCTCCTCCTTTCACCTCTGTCCTCTCATTTCTGTTCTTCTCTGGCTTTCCTCTGCTTTTTTCACTCCTCTCATTTCTCTGTTGGCATTATTGTTATTTTTTGTTCCAACTGACCGTTTTGATAGGATCGTTTTCTCTCTTCCTCCTTTAATGTCTCATTTTTTTGATACTGCAATATAGAAAGAAATGCAGACAAGAATTACTTACTGGGATTTACCATGTTATAAAGCACCTCTGCTTTTTCTTCTTTGCTGGTGATTCATTACTTGAAAATATTGACATCAATTTCCAGAAATTTATAAAAGTCTCCAGTCAATACAACTAAATGTCAAATAAACCTACAGTGGTTTGGGTAAGAAAGTGCCCAATTTACTACTTTTTTTCTTTTCTTGTAAATCACAACAGCGAATGTTTGGAACAAGGCTGCATCGGGGCAGTGTAAGAAATTAGCCTATGTAAATGAGTTTTTTATTTCCTCAGAGCCCTTCATACTAGTGACTCAGATTGGTGAGAACTCGCTGACCTGTTTAGTTCTTAGTGGGACAGCACTACCTCCTTATATCAAAATTGCCACAATAATGTCTCCTTTTAGTTCTGTTAACCATAGGAAAACACACACCTGGAAATATGTAAGAGACCAATGACTTTGAACTAAGATTTTATAATTCCATGCTTTTTAAAGAGATCGAAGTATCAGGAAGGCTGATGTCTCATATCCCCTAATATTGCTGTGATACCAATTATGCATAATACGCCCCAAATCATGTCATTTTCTTGTCAGATCTTTAGTTTAGAGAAGACTGTTACAGGTGATAACCACTTTAAAAATTACCACTGTGTTCAAACCATATAAAAATTGAGTCAAGGCAGGGCGCGGTAGCTCACACCTGTAATCCCAGCACTTTGGGAGGCCGAGGTGGGTGGATCATGAGGTCAGTAGTTTGAGACCAGCCTGACCAACATGGTGAAACCCCATCTCTACTAAAAATACAAAAATTAGCCAGGCATGGTGGCATGCACCTGTAATCCCAGCTACTCAGGAGGCTGAGGCAGGAGAATTGCTTGAATCGGGGAGGCGGAGGTTGCTGTGAGCCGAGATTGCACCACAGCACTCCAACCTGGGTGACAGAGCAAGACTCCGTCTCAAAAAAAAAAAAAAAAAAAAAAAAAAAAATTGAGTCAAAGTATATTCAAGACTTGAATGTAAGATCTGGAGCCATAAAGCTCTTAGGAAAAAAAGTATAAATCTTTGTGATGTTGGATTAAGCAATGGTTTCTTAGACATGCCACCAAAAAGCATAAGAAATAAAAGGAAAAAATAGATAAATGGGACATTGAAATTAAAAACTTTCATACTTCAAAGGAAACCACCAAGAAAGTGAAAGAACAACTCACAGAATAAGAGAAGATATTTGCAAATTACATATCTGATAAGGCAGTTGTAGCTAAAATATAAAGAACTATTACAACTCAATAAAAGACAACCCAATTAAAAATGGATAAAGGATTTGAACAGACATTTCTCCAAAGAAAAGTATAGAAATGGCCAATAAGGACCTGAAAAGATGCTCAACACCATTAGTCACCAGGGAACTGAAAATCAAAACCATAATTAGATACCACTTCACACCCACCAGGATGGCTGTTATAAAAAAGACAGATAACGAGTTTTGGCAAGGATGTGGAAAAATTGGAAATGTCCTACGTTGCTGGCAGGAATGGAAGATGCTATAGCCACTTTGAAAAACAGTCTGGCAATTTCTCAAACAGTTAAGTAAAGTTACCATATATTCCACCGGTTCTACTCTTAGCTGTGTACCTAAGAGAATTGAAACCACACATACACACAAAAATTTGTATATGAATATTCATGACAGCATCATTTATATTAGCCAAAAAGTGGAAACAAGTCGAATATCCATCAATTAATGAACAGGCAAATAAAATGTGGCATACCCATACAATGGAATATTATTTGGCAATAAAAATAAATTACTCATAGATGTTACACCATTGATAAACCTTGAAAGCATGATGCTAAGTGAAAGCAAACAAGTCACAAAGGACCACCTGTTATGAGTCCATTTATATGGAATATCCAGAATGGGTGCATCTATAAAGAGGAAAAGTAAATTAGTGATCGCCTAGGGTTGGATGGTGAAGGGACGGGAACAGGATGATTGAAGAGTGGTATGTAAGGGGAATAGGGCTTCTTTTTGGGTAATAAAAACGTTCTAAAATTGGTTATGTTGATAGATGAGCTGTGCTATGTATATATTAAAAGCCATTGAATTGTTCATTTTAAATGCGTGAATTGTGTGACATGTGAAGTATATCTCTATAAAGCTGTTACCAAAATAAAAGTTCTTTCTTGATTAGAAGAATAAAGCCTAAGGATGATCTTTGGAAACACCAAAAGTGATATGAAGAACTGATGTGACATCAAAGGTTCTTTGTTCCATGCCAAAATTATGTAAACACTGGAAAAAGCATGATATTAAAAATTCCAATACCAAGAAAGGCTAAAACTAAGATAAATCACCAAGTTTTATAAACAAAGAAGAAACTCAGTGAAGAGAGCTCAGGAAGTATCAAAAGTTGACATGGGAAATCAATACTGGATGCTGAAGCTGGGTTTGGAATTGGAGCCAAGCTCCTTGAACAAATCTCAGAGCTAGGATTCTGCTTAGCTCACAAACACAGTACTAAAAAGTCTCCACAGCCTTAGGAAGCTGAAAGAAAACTGGTTATTTGTCCAGGGCTATGGGTTGGCAAGACCACATCTGTGCCCTGTACCAGAGTAGGCTCTGAATTTACACTATGCTCACAATAGTGTGTAGGAATCCCAAACAGAGAAAATAATGCAAAACTTGGCCTGTAACTGCTACCATATATGGGGTCCCAGCAGAAGAGACCACTGATTGTACTATAGAAATGATTTCTTGTAGGGATGGTTTCATGCAAAACAACTGCCAAAACAAAATAAAAACACAACAGCTCATAGTAAAAAAAATTGCAATATCAGAAAATGAATCAGTCTGAAGTAGAATCAGCAAATAATCAAGTCTAGAAATATAGAATAATCTGAGACATTAAAAAATAAATTTGATATCTTAAAAGGTATAGACTTAAAGCTATATAGGCATATATATATAGGTATGTATACATAGGTATATATGTATATAAGTATAGACTTAAAGGTTCGTAGGCAGTTATGAAGAACTAAAATGAAATTTCTAGAAATAAAATTATCAATAGATTGGACAAACAATGGACCAGACAGCTAATTAAGTAATTAGTGAGTTTGAAGTTAATTATAAAGAAATCACCCATGATGGAATACGTAGACCTAGAAATATGGAAATAGAGCTGTCGAGGATAGAATAAAAAAAATCTAAAGCAGGAATTCCAGAATAAGAGTATAGAAATAATGAAGGAGAGGCAATAGCCAAGTAGGTAACTGTATGTAGTAGAGAAGTGAATTCCCAGACTGAAGGAACAACCAGGCCCACTTAGAAACATCACAGTGAAACTGTGAAATGGATAGGAATGAAATGGGAAGGTAATCTTTAAAGGTACTGATGTCCTGGGCATAGTGGATCATACCTGTAATCCCAACACTTTGGGAGGCTGAGGCAGGAGGATTGCTTGAGGCCAGGTGTTCAAGAACAGCCTGGAAAACATAACAAGACTTTGTCTCTACAAAAAAAAAAAAAAAAAGCCACACATAGCAAGATAAAGTAAGTTAACCAAGTATATATTTGTATATGTTTATATATATAATAATTAAAAATGAAAAATGATATACCAGGTAAATTAGAACAAAAAGAAAAAACAGTGGTATAGTAAATTAATATCAGACAAAATAGAATTTATAGTTAACCATTAGTAAAGATAAAGAGAAATATTAATAAAGATATCAAATATGCATTATGAACTAAAATGAATGTACAAAGCAAAACATTAACAAAATAAGATGAATCTATCCAAATAGGAGATGTTAACACCTTACCTCAGAAATTAATAAATTAGATGAAAATATTTAGAAAAAATATAGAAGACTTCAATAACTCACTGAAGCTGATATGACAGATGCGTGTATGACTGCATGCTCTGAAAACGCAAATATCCATTTTCTCGAGCACACTAAATTCAGAGGTAGGTTTTTTTGTGGTGGTTATAGGAGCAGACTATGGGTTTGACTAAGCTTGTCTTAGCACTGCCGCTTGCCAGCTGTGTTACTTGGTTAAGTTACTTTATCTTGCTATGGCTCAGATGCTTCATTCGTAAATTACTGATCATCATAGTACCTTGTGCGTTTGTGAGCTTTAACAAGTTAAAACATATTAACTGTTTAGAATAGTGCCTAACACATGGTAAATACTTGAAAAATGTTAGTTGGTATTATTACTCTAGATGACTGCAAAAGAAGAAGCACAAAATTCCATGAAATAAGTTTAATAAAATGTGGCACCAACTATAAAAAATAGCCCCAACTTCCCCATATAGCTGGAAATTTAAAAATGGACTTCTAAATAATTCATGAGTTAATGAAGCAAGTTAAATAGCTATCAAACAATATTTGTAACTAAATCAGTGAACATAGTATATATAAAAACTTGTGGCATACAGCGATCACTTCAATTGAAGTTTCCAAAAATGAATGTACATATCAGGAAATAGATCATTTGGAACTAAATAAAAGAAGGTTCAACCCAAGCAGTTAGAGGAGGAATAGCAGAGAACCTCTAATGAAAGTGGGAAGGGGAAAAGCATACAAGAAGAAGCACAAAGTAATACAATAGCAAACAGAAAGAATGGAGAAATTACTAACAAAATACAAAGGATGGATTTTTGAAAAGGATGTTAAAATAGACAAGCCCATGGCAAAATCGATCAATTTAAAAAGCACACATTAACACATACAGGCAATATGAGAAATAAAAAAAGATATCATTTCAGATCTAGTGAAGATTTTTAAATTCTGAGAGAAGAATTTGAACATGTTATGCTAAATAACCTGAAATCTTAGACTAACTGAACGATTTTCTAAATATAAATTTTCAATATCAACATAGGAAGAGAACATCTAAATATACTAATATTATAATTTAAAGCATTAAATTAGTAGTAAAAATGCTGCTTTCTTCCACAAGGATGCATGCAGTCAGTTAATATTTATTGTAGCTAGGTCCTAGCCTATGCAATAAAGTTAAGAAAAGTATGTAGGGAATGGAAAATAAAGAACAAAATGGTTGCATGAGTATGTACATAGAAAATCCAAGAGCACTTACTGACAGATTTTAGAAGTAATAATTTTGTTGTATATAAGAATCATTTAAGAATATTTTTGTAATACAGAAGCAAAGAAAAATATTACATTCAAAAAAATCAAAGTAGCAATAATAGCCATAACATGCCTATAAGATATCTAGTTATTATTTTTGTACCTTTATTACAAAACAGAATAGAGATCTCAGAAACTGACCATATAAAACATCAAATTAATGGGATGGCATTAAAAATCAGTGAGGAGAGGATAGATTATTGTTGACATTGAAGTAATAAGTTGTACAAATACAAAGATAAATTGAGTTTGTAGCTGACATTTAAAACAAACTAAAATGCAGACAAATTTAAACACATAGATATTGAATCAAAAATAGTTTAAATTTTGTAGAAAATATAGGGGAATCTATACATATATATTCTGCCTTGGAATAGCAAGAGAGTTCTTTAAAAGCATACAAAAACAAACAAACAAACAAAACCCAAACAAAACAAAACAAAAACAAGCCAAAAGGGAGAAGACAGATCAATTTAACTACACCACAACCACTTAAAAGCTGTAGTATATCAAAATAAAAAGCTAAAAGGCCAGTTACAGATCAAAAAATGATAATTGTGTTATATATACTTGAGTCTTTTTATATAACAAAACAAATGAAAATAAAAAGATTAGGTTCCAGGCTTATAACTCCAACGAATTAGTAAGAAATGAAAACCAATTGATTGAGTAGAATAAAAACTCAAGAATGGGAACAAGGAGTTTATAACAAGGCATAAGAAAATGGCCAATAAATAAGAAAATGTTCAAGCTTACCAGTAATCAAGATCATACAAGTTTAAAAAAAAATCAAGGGCATAAAATTTTATGTCTCATCAGGTAAGAAAAAAAAATGAAAATATCTGGCCGTACCAAATATGGGAGAAGTTATAGGGAATTGGAAATTATCAAATACTAGTGGTGGGAGAATAAATTGGTCAAACTACTTTAGAGGGCAGTTTAGCAATATCTAGTAATGTTGAAAATTTGCATTCTATACTAGTAATAGTAGGGAAATTCTCATGTATGTGCCATGGATGTTAATAGCTGCATTGATTTTAATAGTGAAAAATTGGAAACAATGTAGATTACCATTTATATATGACATATTATGTAAGAGTTAAAATAAATGCACTATATCTTCATGTACTAACATTGGCCAAATATTGAGAGCATAGTGGTGATAGAAACAAATAAAAGCATAGTATAATACACTCTTTATAAATAGATACATATGAGGGAAAATAAAAATATGGATAGGGAAGGATTCACAGCAACTTCAGTATTATAATAATGTCTGGGTAGGAAAATTAATTTTTGGTGGTACATGATCTAACAGCAGGAGAATAGCTAGCTGGTATGGAATGGGAAATGCATGTCTGAGCATGGCTGAAGGCCACAGAGGAAAATTCACCCATGAAAGATTTACAGTGATTGTGGGAGTCACAAACCATACAACAATTTTAATATGTTCACCATACGAAATGGATTCTTCATTATTTATAAGTTTTCTCAGTTATATACTAATATTCACAGGTCAAGAGAGTGATTTTATTTCCAGAAAAGCAACAGAACATGAATATATAAAAAGTATATTTTAAAAAGCAAAAGGACATGAATATATAAAAATGTGCAGTATTTTTCCAATAGTCACAATTTAAAAGCCATGTTTTGGCCAGTAAATGTGTTATATAGAATGTAGTAGAATATTTGAACTCATTATGCTTGCAGTTTCCATAAATAAATCTGCCGCTGTTTAAAAGAATTGGAGTTAATATCTACAAACTGGGTAAAATATTAGCACATTTTTAATGAGATTTTGTTTATGCTTTTATTGTAAAACTATTTGTTCTGTAACCATTTTAATTAGTAATTGTTTCTTTAGAATGGATAATATGTTTTAATTTCACAAATATATCTATATTGCAAGTATCTTAGTAGAGGCAATCATCTTCTAAATAATTTTTACCAAAATACATTTCTTAAGAAGGTATAGATTCTTATTCATATAAATAATTATATTTTACAGACTCACCACCAATAGTCTATTAATAGCTTCTATAGCAGACTTTTCCTTAAGGATGTTAGATTAAGGAATAGGAAGGAAGCCAATGTGGCTTGGATAAAAGTAGCAAAGGGAAGAGCAACAGAAGACGAAGTCAGAGAGTTGAGGAGGAGGTGTCCAGATCATTAGTTAAATGAAAGAATGAATCAGCCACTTTTAAAATATGAATATGTAGTATAAGATTCAGAAAATGAATTTATAATCTGGATAGGAATCTAGGCTCCATCATAAACTTCTTATTTGTAAGTTATTTGTCCTTTTGTTCCCTCAGTTTTTCAGTCTGCAAAAATGGGACTCACAGTCTTACTGGATTGTTTTTATAGTTAAATGTGATAACTTAATTCTGTAATAAATAAATAAATATGAGAATTAAATTTGAGAAATAAATTCCTCAGAACTTGCATTGCAGAGTGCTGGATACATTTTCGTGTCTAACACATGTTAGTATTCCTTCCTTTCACTCTTCCCAGTTAACATATTCTCTTCAAGCTATAAGGGCAGTGGGGAAGTTCAAATTGCTTTAGGAAGAGCTATAAACAAAATCAATGACCCAGGATTTACCATGAAAGAAAGTGGAATCTTGTTCACATAGTAAAATAGAAGGACGATTTGTTTAGGATCTTCAGGATGCATAATGGATAGGTTTCTGGAGGCCCATGCCCCACTCAAATTGTATGTAATTATCTTTACGTATATGCATTTCATTTAGATTTCTGTCTAAACTTGCATCAGACTCTCAAAGTACCCATCTCCTCTGAAATATTAGCATGCACTGGCTCTTAAACATGAATGGTACATCCTTTATAAAACAGAATGATACTGAGGATCATCCAGGCTACTTTTCACATTTGGATAAGCGCATTTGCTTCACTTTCAAAATGTGAACTGCACATACACAAAAACTTCTTGTTCCTTTCTCTTTCCCTCTCCATTAAGTTGCAAATAGCTTGGGGAAAGTGCAACAGATCTGATCTTGGTCCATCATACCTCAAGATGAGTTAATTCCCTGGGAATCTGGGGTGGGGTGATAAAGGGCTTCTGACATGGAGTTGACTTCACTTTGTCAAATTTAGTAGGGGCAAGCCCAACTTTTATCTATTCACGTTTAATAAATTTCAATGAAAAACCTACTGTGTGCCACAAGCTGTGCCAGGTACTCGACCTGTCGTGGTGAACCAGAGAGGGAAGTAAGCAAACAAACCAGCAAGGAGATTTTAAATTACAGGGGCAGGGGACTGGGGGTGGGCACAGGGGTGTGGGGATGTGTAGGGAGAGGTATATGTGCCCTGATGGAAACCAACCCTGCTGCCTTTAGGGAGGCTGTTTTATCATGTGGTGGTCTGGGAAGGTCTGGGAAGGTGGTGTGTGTGGGGTGGGGGGTGGAGGGACACATTAGACTGGGACTGCCAAGAAAAGAGCAAGGAAAACCAATAACAAGGCAGAGGCCTCAGGTAAATGGGAAAAAGTATGTCCTGTTCAAGGAACAGAAAGGAGTGTCAAAAGACAAAATTACAACAAATTTAAAGACCTCAATTGGCTTTATTTGTGAATCTAGAATCCATAAAATGTAAGTGTTCCAATGAGTTGATCAGAGGGGGTTAGTTTTAACAGGACTGGAAAAAAGCAGAAACAAGGAACATGAAGTAGAGGGTCATTTCAGCGTTGCTTTTCTTGCAGGGCGGGAGTAGGGAGACAGAACAGTGGAAACATAACTTAAAGCAGAGGGAACTTCATTATCATGCCAATGGAAGATTGAAACTGGCCTGTTTGGGAAATTGGTTGTTTGGTGACAGAACTTTGGTGTGAGTTTTTATCTTTTAGCCCTTTATCTGTTGGAGCCAAGTGCAGGATCTTAGTTCAAAACAATGGACTTCTATAATTTTTATTTAACAGAAGCCAGTGTGGCTTGAGCATCCTGTGTGAGGGAGACAGGTAAGCAGTAAGGTTGGAGGGGCAGGCAGGAGTCTGATCATACCAATGCTTATAGGTCAAGTTTGGGAATTTGGGTTTTTCTGTAAGAGAAATAGGAGTAAATTTAAAAATTCTGAGTAGAAGGAGTGACCTGATTTAAGTGTTTAAACTATGACTCCCAGTGATCCTTGGAAAAGGGACTGTAGGGGTCAATGTAGATATAGGGAGTCCCCCTAGATCAAAACCACCAAGATATCTTGCAAGTTCTATCACTTCCAAATGTATATCTCAGATCCAGCCTCTTCTTTGGCAGTGTAGGGTTGAAGGGAAGTGGTTAATTACCAAGTTCTTGGCTTGAATAACTGGGTGAATGGGGTTATTATTTTCTTTGATGAGGAAGACTAGGAAGGCTCAGATTTTAGTGCGTGGAGAGTGGAAAATTGTTTCTTCCTCTCCCTCCCTTCCTCTCTTCCTTCCTTCCTTTTATCCTTCCTTCCCCTTCTTTAGACAGGTTCTCACTGTTTGCCCAGGCTGGAAATGTAGTGGCAGGATTGTAGCTCACTGCAGCCTTGAACTTCTGGGCTCAAGAGATCCTCCCACCTCAGCCTCCTAAGTGGCTGCGACTACAGGCATCTGCCACCACAGATGTTCTCTATTTTCAATGTATCAAGTTTTAGGTACCTAGTAAACATCCAGTAATATAATAGAACATAGGAGTCTAAAGTGCAGAGGAACTGTGCAGCCTTGAGATGAAGATTGAGAATCAACAATATACAAAGGCTATTTTAACCACAGGATGAATAAGACAGAGAAGTAAAGAAGACCTGGGTAGGCAGTTCGTCTCACCTGACACGTGTTGCTCCAAGAGAAAGCATAGAAATGATTTTGTAGGCACAAGTGGGAGTTGAGTCAAGCTTGGGAGGATTTCTTTTCTTTTTTTATTAAGGTGAACTTTTTTTAGAACACATTTGTTTATGAATGGAAGTGATCCAGTTTTAGGGAGCAAATGATGATGCCAAGAGAAGATGGCTCACTGCAATTGTGAGGGTTAAGGGTTGAGACATGTCTTCTACCCATAGGTCAGATATTCAACTTCCTTTCTTTACCTGGGTAACTCAGTGGAAAATGGTTGCTTAAAATGCAGCTGCCACCCCTGCCTGCAGAATCACAGGCAATAACACCATTTGGTTAAGAGGTTTTATAAAGCTTAGACAGACTCCTCTAGGCATTAATAAAAGCAAAGATACCCTCCTGTCTAGTTGTGGTAGTACACAGAATTTTCCCTATTATTTGAATCTCTCCCTTGTCCCTTCTAGAATAGGCATAGTTTCTCTAGTGAGTAATTATGTCAATTTTTAAGATCCTTTGCGTAAAGATCTTCCTATTCATGGAAAAGAATGTTTATTTTGCTTTTGCCACAGAGTAAATGTACCATGCAATTACAAAGAACTTCTTTATCATTAAGACCTTTGCATCAAGAATCTAGTCTCAGAGAACTTTCTCAAAGGACTGGAAGAAAGGTATGCTAATTCCCCAAATGCCACAAAAGAAGAGGTAATTGTCTTAGCCAAGAAGTCTGCCACCTACAGGGCAGAAGGAAAGAATGCACGAATCTTCCAGTGGATAATATGTCACTTTGATGGGTATTCCCCATAACAAGAATTAAACAGCAATGTGTAACTTACTAACTTTTCCCTGACCTAAGGGCTTCAAAGTTTTATCATTGCTTGGTTTAGGTGATGACTTAGCATTGTTGTATATTTGCTCCCATTTCCAATTCCTTGCATCAAGAAGTCTCCCCCAAGTGAATTAGCTAAAATATTTCCTGCTTTATCTACATCATGGGACTAGATATTATGAATTTATTCAGTAGTCTGATTGACTTCTAAACTTAGTTATATAAAGGAAGATATCACGATGTAACAGAACTCATCCCCAAGGCTACTGCAGACAAAATTAGGAGAATAACAAACAAATGCAAATGAAAGTCATGTAGAAATGGTACTGTTTCCCCTATAAATTCTAATCACTCAAACTGTATGTCCATATTTCAACTGCATCTACTCAGATCCTTCAGAACAGATTGTTAAAAAAAAAATGTGGCGATGTTAGTTTTGTTATTTGATTTTTTAATTTATAAGCATTCCCTGCAGATATCACAGTGACAGCAAATTTATAGAGTGCTAATAAAAAGGATGCACTGGATGGAAATATTTTAAGATATGATATTTCTTCAAGTAATTACTTGAACCAGTAAGGTCTGTAGTTGTAACATTTTGCATATAAGCCTGTTCTTTTATTAATTATTTGAGTTCAGGAATAAAAAAAAAAGACAGAATTTACTTTTGGAAAAAAAACGTAGATTTTTAGTAATATATGAGAAGAAGTACAAAAAGCTGATGAAAGTTCATGCTTCTTAATCATTGAAGCCACTTTTCTCCTTTAAGGAAAGACTCTCCATTCTCACAATCCAGCATCTGGCATACAGCTTCACATGGCAAATGGCATCAGGAAGCCAGGAGTGTTTTCCTGGCAGCCTGGTTGGGCCATCTTCTCCTGGACACCTGCTGTGTTCCAGGGACTTTATCACCTCTTTGATTGCTGGCAGTTCACTTCATGATCAGTGTTAAGTATTTTCTCCATGGGAAGGAAGTGTGGGATATAAAAAATCATAAGAGGGCCGGGCATGGTGGCTCACACCTGTAATCCCAGCACTTTGGGAGACCAAGGCGGTTTATCACTTCAGGTCAGGAGTTTGAGACCAGCCTTGCCAACACGGTGAAACCCAATATCTACTAAAAATACAAAAATTAGCCAGGCATGCTGGTACATGCCTGTAATCCCAGCTACTGAGGATGCTGAGACAGGCGAATTGCTTGAACCTGAGAGGCAGAGGTTACCATGAGCCAAGATCACTCTATTGCACTCCAGCCTGGCTGGGGGATAGAACGAGACTCTGTCTCAAAAAAAAAAAAAAAAAGATAAATCATAAGGGCTGCCCTTTACAAATTCTGGTTCTGTGACTTCCTACCGTGACTTTGGACAAGTTTCCTAGCTGTTCTGAGACTTAGTTTTATCATCTGTAGAATGAGATTAACAGTATGTATCTTCAGGGTTGCTGACAGAATTTAAAATAAAATATGCAAGTTAGCTAGCACAATGTAGATGATCCAAAAGTGGTATCCACTCACCTCTTCACAAACTGTAGTTCATGGACCATGTAAGTCAAGAATTAAGGTACAACTATTATGAGTAAGAAAAAAATAAGAAATACTCTCCAGTTTCCTATGAAAGGATTCATATTTCTTAAGGTTATGGTCTACATCTGTAATTCAATTAAAAATATATAGAAAATATTCTTAAGGTAATAAAAGCCATCTATGACAAACCCACAGCCAACATTATACTGAACAGGGAAAAACTGAAAGCATTCCCCCTGAGAGCTGGAACAAGACAAGGATGCCCACTTTCACCACTTCTATTCAACATAGTACTGGAAGTCCTAGCCAGAGCAATCAGACAAGAGAAAGAAATAAAGGGCATCCAAAACAGTAAAGAGAAAGTCAAAATTGTTGCTGTTCACCAGTGATATGCCTAGAAAATATTTTTGATATGCACTATGGATAATGCAAAAATAGGTAAGTTATTATTACCCTTAAGGAATATTCACTTACAAATTAATTGTAATGCAAGGTAGGTAATGGTTTAAGAGAATTCCAACTAGCTACAGAAGCACAGTAAAGACAGAAATTACTTTTGGTTTAACAGCTAAGGAAGACAAAATAAGACATAGCAGCTAAGAATGAAGTAATCTTAACATTTGCATAAATGTAGATGCGTGGAAGAGCACTCCTGAGAAATTAAATTTCTCAAGGCATGATCCCAGCACCAGCTGCTTCTACATCACCTGGGAATTTGTGAGAAATGTAAGATTTTGCGTTCCACCCCAGACCTAGTGAGTCAGAAATTCTGTGGATTCTTCCAATGATGTGAGTTTTAACAAGCCTTCCAGGTGATTCTGATGCATACTAAAACTATAGCCACTAGATTAAACCATCCAAGTGAAAGTAAGAGCTGGGAAAGATAAAGCCATTTCAGGAGATGGAAGATAGTTCAATTTTTCTGGACTTCATGGTGTAAGAGAGGCAGTGGCAAAAGAAAAAGCTAGGTTGATGTAATCTAAATGAAGGATTTCCCTGTTACATTTAAGCTAGTTTTGGCTTTATTCCACTGGCGGAGGGGAACCATGGAAAAGGCTGTTTAGGGAACAGGGACAAAGGCACTGTGAGAGATTTTAAAACTTGGGAGCAACTCATTTTCTGCCCACTAAAAGGCTCACTGAACCAGAAAGAATTACAGTAGACACATTAAATGGTTTTCCCGGTTCCCTTTCTGGGAAGCATCCACACCCCACCCCCAGTTCTCCTACCCTGATGTTCACATACCAGTCTTTACAGCTGTGAGCCTCCTTCCAGCTATGTTTTCCCAGTTGACCACAACTTCCACTGATGGGCAAGCATGGGTACCTGACTCAGCCAGAGCCAATAAGGATCCATTCCTTTTTACTGCATAGTGAAAAGCAGATTTTATAACTGGGAGAAAGCAAAGGAGAGAGAGGAAAGAGGAAAAGCAAATAACGGAGAAGTTGGAGAGCAAGTGAAGAGAGGAGTGGGAGAGAACAGGAGCACACCTCCAGGCATATGGCCCCTGGGTCCTGCCCATTCCTGAGGCCCAGCACCATTCATAGGTGCCTTAGGTTCCAGGTACTGCCACTGTATCCTTATAGTAAAGTCCCTTTTTTGCTTAAGCTACTTGTTGCTCATCAAGGTGCAATGATATCGAATTTAAGTCTATATGTATACATAATCCTGTGTCAAAGATTACTTATGTAGAATGGGTCATGCATAAAACGACTTGGTTCAATTGTATGTTTTTCTGGGTCCAGGAAGAGTCCTAACTGCTTCATAGGTTAAGTCAGAAACCAGGCTTCCTGTCTCTAGAAGGCAGCCTCTGCAAGACTTGTCCATTAGAGGCTCACCTATTCTTTCTATGACCTGGAGCCTCTTAAAGTAAGTGCAAAATTTAACACAGCAAAATAAAGAGAACAAAGACTTAAAAAAAACAAACAAAAAAAACACCTTGCGACCTCCATCATCTGTTATTACATGTTACAGATCAAACAAAACACTAGTAACTGATGATGCAGAGAAAAGCAGATGCCAAATTCAGCATGCACTGTCTCCAGTGGTCTGATTCTTTCATCCTCTAAGGCCAGTCAAGTAACATCACTGTTAACATAAAATGGCTGAAAGAAACGGAGGAAGCAAGTACTACTGGTATTATTCCATCTGATACATCCTTCTTTGAAAACCCTGGACTTGTGGCCTATATTTATGAAACATTCCATCCATCACAAAATTGTTTTCTCTGAACTTTGAAAATAATGCGGATGCTAGCAAAGTTACTGTTTACTTCTAAACTGCTTGGAGCAACACTAAGTCATTTGAACAAAACTAAATTAAAAATGTTAATCTATTATGATTATTATGATCAAGGACAATCCAAAACTTAAAAATACTCAAAAAGGTAAAATTTTATCCATTTTTTATAAATACATATATTTAAGCATACAAATATATGAAAATAAATATACAGAAATAAATATAAATATATGAAAGTATATAACACACACATATTTTGATCAAAGATTAATTACACAGGCTGGATTTTGTGAGGAATAAGTCACACATCACTAGATTTTGCAAATACAACACTTGAAAATTCTCTTAAAGAAAATACTCTCAATACATTTTAAGATTTCTAAGAAGGTTTATTAAATGTTCCAATTTGGCACAAAAGCAATTTCTAATCTTTCTAGTTCAGTTCTATAAACCTATTTACTGTCAGCTCTTTCTTTTCATTTATTCCTTTTGTTAGGACTAGGATAATTTAATTAGGATAAAAGAGAAGGGTAATGATTACCGAATACCATCCTGCTATTGACAACCTGTGGCCCTTCCAGCTACTAACTGAGGAACTGCTACTGTCTTCGATTTTTGTGTTTGTTTGTTTGTAATGATACATTCCTCCAACTCCCTAGCTAAGCTTTTGTCTAATGATATCTAAGAAAGGAAAAACAACATGTCAGGCGCTGCTGTCTAGCTCAAAGCACAATGTTATGGCTCATGCTGGGCCTGGCTGCCTAGGATCTGGGATACACAGAAACAGGCACATAGAATGGCTGGAGCGGGGCACTCTCTGGGCAGGGAGGGATGACTCAGATGGATACAGTGCCATTGGCTTGAGCATACACGACAGGTAGACATCTCCATCCACGAATGAGATCGGAACCAGAAACAGCATCACACCTATGCATATTTAACACCAACCCCTCCAGCCAGTGGAGATGTGGGCCAGACTGCTCTGCCAGGCAGCCATCCTCCTCAGTCTCAGTATCTACTCTCTCTGGCATGGCAATACAGCACTCGAGCAACAAATACGTACTGAGTACTCTTTATACAGCTGTGAAAAAACCAAAAGTCCTGTCCCTATGGGGGTTAGGAGAGAAACAATTCACTAAAATGGTAAATATATAGTATATTAGCTAGAGAGTAATGTAAGTGCTAAGGGGAAAAATAAAGCAGGGTAATCTGGAGGGGAAATGTCAGGCGTGGGAGGTTACCATTTTAGACAGAAAGGCTGGGGAGGAACACCCTGAGATGACATTGGAGTAAAACCCTGGGGGAATGGAGGAAGGAATACATGGAGATAGCTGGGGAAGAAATTTTCTGGGCAGAGAAGACCATTGCAAAGGCCCTGAACAGTCATCTGGGCAGAGAAGACCATTGCAAATAGATGATTTTCTAGGTGTTCAAAGGACAACAAGGAGGTGTAGCTAAAACAGTGTGGGTTAGGATGGGGATAACAGGAGATGAGGTCAGATAGAAGATCCAGACCAAGCACATCATAGAAAGGCTCTTGGCTCTCTTACTTTGAGATGGGAACTTATTCGAGGGTTTTCCACAGATGGGTGGCATGATCTGACTTATTTTCTAACAGGATTATTCTGGCTGCTGAGTTGAGAATCGACTTAAGTGGAGAAAAGGTAGAATCAGGGTGGGGGCAGTTAGGAGTTATTCCAGTAGTCCAGGAGGGGCATGATGGTGACTTGGAACAGAGGGATAGCCCTGGAGAGGTGACAAGTTCTCAAATTCTGGGTACATTTCGTAAGTGCAGCCATCAGGATTTGCCAAATATCAGATGTATGATAGATAAAGTATATACGAGTCAAGAAAGGTTTGGGGTCTGAATAACTGGAAAGGATGGAGTTATCTAAACAAAGATGGGGAAGTGTACCCCAATAAGCAGATTGGGAGGGGACCATCAGGACACTAGATTCAGATATGTTCAGTATGAAAAGCCTTGTAGGTGAAGACTTTTTGGCTGTCATGGCCATTCATGGCTATAAGAACTAGGGATATAAATTTGAGAATATTCAGTATATTGATGGAATTTAAAGTCATGGGATTAGATGAGATTAGACAAAAGCAACCCCTGACATTCAGGAGCCTGCCTCGCACTGTTACCTAAGCCCTGGTGTTCCCCTGTTGCCCATAAACAATTGCATTGAACACCAACATTGGGCAAGGCCACTCTGACCACAATGGATCAAGAAAAAATAGACACAGACAAAACATGAATATTTTTTAAAGAAGATCAACTATCTTCCTATTTCGATTATTAACTGTTGCTTCTTTGCTAGTTACAGTTGTAGCTTTGCTCTAGTCTGCCCTTCTCTATAGATAAGATTTATTGAGATAATCATAGAAGTTTCAGACAGCACTCAGTCCACAGTGAAACTTCCCTTCCTTGGACTCTCTCCAAAATCATCCAACCAAATCCTAAACCTTGTAATAATCCTTTCTAACCTCATCTTACTAAAACTATCATGGTTACCTATGTATGAGTATGTGTTCTCCCTGTTGTAGTGAGTAATAAACCCAACTTTCTCAACTACAGGTGTGTTCCAGGTGTGTTTGGATGGAAGGGATTGACTTAGAAAATACATAAACAATATAAGAGCTCTAAGGACTGGGCCCTGAAGCACTCCAACACATAAAGGACAGGGAGATGACAAGGGGTCAATTAAGGATATTGAAAAGAACAGCCAGGGGCATAGAAGGTAAACCAGGAATGTATGCTGTTCTGGAAGCCAAGTGTAGATGAAAATGACCAACTGCATCAATTGCTTTAGAGCGGTCAAATAAGACAAGGACTGAGAGCCGGTTTGGCAACTTTATTAGTGACCTTGACAAGGACAGCTGGATGGTGGAAATTATGATTGATGTAGATTCAGGAGAGGATAAGGAAGAGAAACTGGAGGCGGCATGCATAGACAACTCTTTTAAAATATCTTGATGCAAAGGGAAGAAGAGAAAAAGCAATAACTGGAGGGTGAAGTAGTATCAAAAGAGGGCTGCATTAAGATGGGAGAAACAGCACTTTTCTATACTGATTGGACAAACAATCCAGTAGAGAGGGGACATTATGGTGCAGGAGAGAAAGTACTGTTGGGGCCGTGTTCTTTTTCGAATGGAGCTGGGACCTATTGTACAAGTGGAAGGGTTGGCTAAGTTGGAGCATGGTAAAGGGAGAGGAGATGGGTATGAAGGTATGCAGACCAGATGAGGTGGGTGGGAGCAAAGCTTAGGGAAGAGGTTCCTTCCCTTGTAATTGCTTCTGGTTCTTAAAGAATGGGGATGCAAGATCATCAGCTGACAGTGAGGATAGGAGAGGAAATATTTGAGGTTCAAGGTTTGAAGAGACGGAAGGAAATAGTTGTTTAGGAGAACGAAAGTAGATGGGGGTTTAGGGAAATAAAGAATGTTTGCTGAGCAGCATGAAGAACTTTCTTAAATTAAGCAAACATTAATTCATTTTCCATGTACTTATTCTTTCAGTAAATATTTACATAAACATATAATAGGAAATGTAGGAGATGAAGCTATGAACTCCTCTGCTTATTACCTTCTCTACTCTTTAATTGTGAGAATTCCTAAGATTATCTTCTCAGTTCCTCTTTTTTCCCTTTTAAAATTCCCTCCTTTGAGACATCATTCAATCCCATGCTTTCAGGTATAGTGTAGAGCTAGGGTAAAGTATTCCCTATATGCTTTCTCATCAAAACTAGACCAACAGTCCAGTAAAATTATAATGGGACAAGTATTTATCATTTTAAATTTTCTTTTCTTTCTTTCTGTTTTTTTCTTTTGAGACAGGGTGATATGGTTTGGCTGTGTCCCCATCCAAATCTCATCTTGAATTCCCATGTGTTGTGGGAGTGACCTGGTGGGAGGTAACTGAATCATAGGGGCAGGTTGTTCCTATGCTGATCTCATAATAATGAAGAAGTCTCATGAGATCTGATGGTTTTATAAGGGGGAGTTTCCCTGCACAAGTTCTCTCTCTGTGCCTGCTTCCATCTATGTAAGATGTGACTTACTCCTCCTTGCCTTCCACCATGATTGTGAGGCTTTCCCAGCCATATGTAACTGTAAGTCCATTAAACCTCTTTCTTTTGTAAATTGCCCAGTCTTGGGTATGTCTTTATCAGCAGTGTGAAAACAGACTAATACACAGAGTTTTGTTCTGTTGCCCAGGCTGGAGTACAGTGGTGCAATCTTGATTCATGGCAGCCTCGACCTCCTGGGCTCAAGTGATCCTCCTACCTCAGCTTCCCATATAGCTGGGACTACAGGCATGCACCACCATGCCCAGATAATTTTGTATTTTTTTGTAGAGATTGAGTTTCGCCATGTTGCCCAGGCTGGTCTCGAATTTCTGGCCACAAGTGATCTGCCCCCTTGGCCTCCAAAAGTGCTGGGATTACAGGTGTGAGCCATCATGCCCAGCCTGTCATTTTAAATTTTCTAGCAGCCACATTAATAAAAGTAAAAAGACACAAGGTAAAACTAATTTTAATATATTTTATTTAACCCAACTATCTGAAATATTATTTCAAGAAATAAGATAAACAATATTGACATATTTTACATTTTTTGGTGCTAAGTGTTCAAAATTCAGTGTGTACTTTTTCTTAGAGCACTTCTCAATTCAAACCAGCCACAGTTCAATAACACAATAGTCGTATGTGGTCTTAATGAACAGTACAGCTCTAGACTCTCATTTTCCAATGACCACTGGACACTTCTGCCTCAACATTCCACAAGAACAACTGAAAATTTTCTAAGCCAAATTAATCCTGTCTGCTCAGATCTGTTCCTCTTCCCGTCTTTATTACATTTCTATTTTATTTTCTCCTCTCTCTCATTTTCCATTGAGAAAAGGGTCAGAACAAGTGCTCTTGGAAGTCTCCTTTCTGTTCCTATCATCACACTAGTTCTCACCATGATAATTTCTACCTTGACAATTGCAATAACCTCCTAACTGGTCTCTCCATTTGTAATCTCCTCTCCATTTTATGCTTTGCTTCAGGAGAAATCCCTCTTGATCTCAGGTTTCATGATGTCACTTTAAGTCTTGCTGGAAGGACATTGGTGCAGATTTTAGTTCCCAAAGTGGATCCACCAATATATCTATCCCACATTTTCTCCTCATGCAACATACAGTTGATACTTGTCTACGTGGAGATGAGGTCCATATTCTCTCCCCTTGAATCTGGGAAGGCTTGTGATCAAAACAGATGCAAAGTTGCCTAACTTCTGAGTTAGGTCATAAAAGCAGTATGGCTTTCACCTGATTCTCTCTCTTGGGCTCATGTCTTGGGATCCCTGAGCCAAAATGCAAAAAGCTCAGCTATTCTGAAGCTACCATGTAGGAGAAATCATGTGGAGAGACCACCTGGAGACAAGAGATGTCTAGGGATCCCCAACTCTAATACTATTTGTTTGGTACTTCAGATGACACCAGCCCCTACACCTCAAGGGGCATCAGTGGATGCTGAGTGGAACAGGGATGATCTATCTACTTTACATCCTACCCAGATTGCAGGGTCATACGCAAAATAAATTTTGCTGTTGCTCATTCAGTTTGGGGCATTTTGTTACACAGCATTAGATATCTAGAACACTTGTCACTTCTCACTTTTTATCTTTGTATATCATCCACCTGCCTAATCCTAGGAGGTTCATTATGTACTCAAGGTGATAAGAATAAGTCTTTGGCACACACATACAAAAACTGGAAAAAGCTAGTGTTGTTCTATAAGAACAAATTGATTAACAGTTGCCTTTTACCTCATTCTAGTCTCTTACTTGTGTTGCATAGAAAATGAGGCTTGGGATATATTAGACAAAGTAAGGATAGCTTCTGTGAATGTCAACTGAACTGTGAAAGATACTATCAATTTTATATTATTTACCTTAACAGCACATCCAAAGTAAACTCATTTTAAAATATAAAGAATGCTGCAAACTAATTGTGTAGAGATAATTTTAAAAATAGGCATAAGTCATGCCTTTCTTATGATTATATTTAATAAATGGAGAATATGGTTTCTTGCATTTTATACTGTGGTGCAATAGGAAAAATACCAGGGTAGGAATTGTGTTTTTGATGTGTGTTCTGGCCGTGGTCCACACTGGGTAACATGAGAGAGTGAACTCAATAATTGATAAAGCTCTCCCTCTCCTTTAGAACTAAACTGCTATAGTCTTTTGTTTCTACTCTCTTTTATTTTAACCTTCTTTCTTCCTTCTCTCTTCCTTCTTTTTTTTTGCTTTATAACATATTTGTGGATTTTTATATTTTTTGTTAATAAATAGTTGGGAAGTCAAATGTCATGGTATTAATGTCCACAAAGCTGAATCTCTTATTGAATTTTTTGAATATCAGCTATGTACAAATGGGACATATTATTCAACTCCAGGGTTACAAAGTTCTGTGCTTACCAGAAAACTCATTACAGAAAATTTTGTTCTTTTCTTAGAATAGCATAGCCCTTTGGGCTATATCTTTCAGTAACCAAAGTTTCCCTCCTATAATGTTGCTTAGACAACGTTCTAAAGGTAAGATACCATTACACTTAAGTTCACACTGTGTGATTATTTTGTGGAGGAAATGATTTTGTCACCTCAGGTAGGAATTTGCAGTGGATGAGAGGGAATCATCTTCTCCTACATTTGGTTTTATTGATAAATGCTTTTGCATCTTATGTAGTCACATTTTTGAGTGAAGGAGTTTAATTTTTAGTTTGAGTTTTAACAGTAGATTTCCAAAGTTTCCTTGACAAACTCTTAAATCTAGAATGTCATATTCCACTTCTGAATTTGCTGCATTTCCTGGCTCCACATTTAGTATCTATATGACTTGTGCAACTTAACTGATCTTACTGAGCCCCAAATATGTGTACAATATTTGGAATTTTTATGAAAGATATATTTTATACTATTATATATATTTTATATTGCTGGAAATATAGGAGTTAATTATTTCCATTTTTTATAGGAAGAATAGAGTCAGTGATGATAATCTACCCTCCCCAAACTCCATCTAGCCCCACTCCCCTGCACATTTTTTCCCCATCTCCTTCTCTACATCACTCTAAGGGATTCACCCTGACCCTCTCTCCCACACATACCTTCCCTGACATGATATCTAGACTTCAAACCCTAGGACAGGAACTCATCCTTACAAAAAGATATTTGTTCCTTGTTTTAATGGAATTTCCTTCTCTCCATGATCTTATGTAAGTAATATAATTTTTGTTGTGTATATTATTTTTGAATATATAAGTTCCCAACAAAGATACAAATATTTATACATTCACAAGAAGTGGTTCTTTAAATATATGCTTTTTTGACTTGACTTTGCCTTGCTATTGGTATGAGATTGTACAAATGTGTTTTAATATTTTTCTTTAAGCTTTATTTGTTTTCTTATCAGGCTATGGTGTGTAAAGGAAGTTTAGTAATGAATGATTCATTTCTGTGCAGATTGTGAGATGGAAAAATGCTGATAAGTATCCTTTATTTTTACTCCTTTGGGATAAAAAAAAGGATAAGACTAAGTTGGCCTAGGTTGAGCTAAGGCATCTAGCATTGAAAGGGAAGATGGAAGAGCTGCTCATAGAAGCATATGTAACCTCCTGAGCCTTGTCCAATACCCTCTCTTAAACTGCTGAATATCCTTGTCTGGAAGGGATTTCGTGAACTATTTTTCTCCATGAGCACAAATATGTCACTAGTAATAAAGTTGCAGGAATAAAATAGTCATAGTCACCAGATATAAGGCAGCCCTTAAAGTTTAATGAAGTGATCTGATTACATTAAAGTCAATTCTCAGTTAATGGAAGACTGAATATTCATCTAACCAACCTCCATGCCTCTGTTGCTGAGTAGCCCATCACTACTTCTTGCTAATGGCCCAGAGGGCAAGAGGGGCAAGGTAAGGTAGAGATGGTGTGGGCTTGGAGTCAGGGCAATTAGGGTGCAAATCCTGGATCCCACTTACTATTTGTGATAGGCAAGGGCTAAGGACTAAATTCCGCCCTCTCTCACAAATAAGTTCATATGTTGGAGCCCTAACCTCCAATGTGACTATTTGGAGATAGAGCTTTTAGGAGCTTATTAAGGTTAAATGACAGTATAAGAGTGAAGTCCTAATCCAATGGTATTGGTGGCTTTATAAGAAGAAGAGTAAGAGAGATCATTTTCTCTATCTCTCCATGCATGTGCAGAGGAAATGCCATGTGAGCACACAGCAAGAAGGCAGCCATTTGCAAACCAGAAAGAGAGCTCTCCCCAGAACCTGACCATGGTGGCATCCTGATGTTGGACTTCAAGCCTCCAAAACTGTTAGAGAATACACTGCTGTTCTTTAGCCACTCAATCTATAGTGTTTTATTATGGCAGCCTGAGCAAACAGACAGCAAGTGACTAAACCCTTTGTCTCTTTGTTACAATAGAAATAATAATACCTACTTCACAAGATCATTGTGAGGACTAAAAGAGATCATGTACATAAGGACTTGGACATTTAAAGAAAAGAAGAAAAGTTTCAGCAAAAATATTGTCCATATTTATATACGATTGCAAAACAAGTTTGGTTACATACCCCTCACCCCATGGCTCAGACACTTTCAGAATGCTTGTTAAAAATACAGATTCTTGGACCCACATTAGACCTAAAGAATTAGGATCTCTCTGAAAGGGCTAAATAATTTGGATTTTAACAAATTCCAGATGCTCTTTTGTACACTAAAATTTAGGGGCACTGCCCCAAAGGAATGGTACAATAATCAGTGTCTCAAAATGTTGTTCTATAAATGCTTAATGCCAGGAACTCAGATTAAAGCAATTTATGTCAGTAGATTCCAATTGACAAGCAGAAGATTAACAGAAGTTCTTATCTGAAAGCTACTATCTGAGTCTGCTTGGCTATTGTTAATCAGCACATTAATTCTTTAGATGTACTATAAAGGACAGTGAGTGAGTGCTGGTTGTAAAATTAATTAAGATAATGTAATAACATCCCTGTGCAATTTTATAAATTGCCACCCTATTTAAATATCACTTTCTGATCAATAATAGATGAGAACACAGTGTGTTCAGGAAGAAAAAAGAACTGAAAGAAGTTACTGCTCATGATTCTTTATCTGTGCTGTCTTGAATAAAAAAGTAGCAGGTGAAGTTGTCTTTCTGTAGGCACATGTAACAGCTGAGCAGAAGGAAAACAGCAGCGCTGTTCCTCCCTGGCTCACAGAAATATTGACTCCTTTTTTAGTGATACTAAGTCTCATCTAAATGATTAAATCTTTAAAAAGAATGCCAAATACCCAGCAAATGGTAATTACAATGCCTAATCCACCTCCTCACTTCTTCGTGCAAGACAATATTTACTCTGGGTTATGTGTTTGCCAGAACAATCACAGCCCAGCTTCAGCTGGTGGGTGTTCAGCTGTATCTTTGCCATGCATTTTTGCAGGATGCTATGAAGACCCAACTGAAACTAAGAAGCTTCGTCAATGGTTAAAAATGTCTCACTAGAAATGTATTTGCATTTCACTTGGATCTCAATTGGATTTCTTTTTTTATTCCAAATAATTTTAGCTCTCTTCTCTCTTCCTTCCTTTGCTATGTGCCTAATCTCACAAGCCATATGTGATAATGAGTTTTTTTTTCTACTTTATAGTCCCCTTTAGTTTATATAATGGATTTAGTCCTTATTGAGCTTCTACCATGTACTAGGCACACTGCTAGTTACTGAAGTCCAGATCTGCCAAAACTGACATGAAATGAAACAGGAAGCTGAAATCCCAACACTTCATAGAGCATATTTGTCATGACCCTCACAGGATTATGTCAATCATTATGTGTTATGGATAGTTATCTTCTTTCAGGAAAGTTATCTTCTTTCATTTGTAAGATATTTTGTAAGTCTCATTATCATTTTTATCATGTTTGAACAATTGTTTGCAAATTAAATGCTTTAATTTTTTTCCTTCCAATTCCCCTCATTTTTCACAATTGTATTAGTTCCCTATTGCTGCTGTAAAAAATTACCACAAATTTAGTGTCTTAAAAGAACACAGGCGTATTGTCTTACAGTTCCGGAGTTTAGAGGTTTGAAATGGGTCTCTCTGGATGAAAATCAAGGTGTCAGCAGGACTGCATTCTTTTCTGAAGGCTCTAGGGAGAATCTGTTTTCTTGTCCTTTTCAGCTTCTAGAAGCTGCTTGCATTCATTGGCTTATGGACACCTTCTATCTTCAAAGCCAGCAATGACCAATGGAGTCTTTCTGATTATGCCTGCTCTCTGGTCTGGCTCTTCTGCCTCCCTCTTCCTCATTAAAGGAGCTTTGTGATCATATTGGGCCTTCTGAGATAATCCAGGGTAATCTTCTTATTTTAAATCCAGCTGATCAGCCATCTTAATCCCATCTCCAACCTTAATTCTCCTATGCAACATAATACATTCACACGTTCAAGGGAGAAAGACATGAACATCTTTGGTGGCAGGCATTAGTCTGCCTATCACAAATATGTAGTGATTCTTTCCTGTTTCAGAAGTTAAATGGTATTTAGCAAGTCTTTTTCTTCTTACTATATAGTTTTGGGTGGGAGTTCCTCTTCTCTTCAGCAGTTTGTAACTTAGAAATCACTTGCTTTCAGGGTCAGCTAAAGAAACTATAAAGACTCATCTGGTTTGCAGTATCCTATTGCCTCTTAAACATCCCTTTCTGGTATCCTTCTGCTCAGGACCATCCTGTTGTCCTCCTGGATCTACAGCTGGCTGTGCCTTTGTATTTTTCTCTTGCTATTTGACCTTTGTTCTCTTTAGTGAGTATTCTCTTCTCTATTCCATTTTATTGTAGGCAGAGAAACCATATTTAAATTTTTTCTTCAAATTATTGTGTTCTTTCTCTGGCAAAAACGTTAAATGGTTTAACAATTTATTGATCATATCTAACTTTTTCTGCCAATGTAGGTGTGTGAGCTTCTGTTTTATTCCACACTGTCATATTTATTCCTCTCAACAACATTTGTTTGAAAATAAAGGCTGGGGCCGGTCACGGTGGCTCACGCCTGTAATCCCAGCATTTTAGGAGGCCGAGGCGGGCAGATAACGAGGTCAGGAGATCGAGACCATCCTGGCTATCACGGTGAAACCCCATCTCCACTAAAAATATATTTAAAAAAAAATAGCCAGGCTTGGTGGGGGCGCCTGTAGTCTCAGCTACTCAGGAGGCTGAGTCAGGAGGATGGGGTGAATCCGGGAGGCGGAGCTTGCAGTGAGCGGAGATTGCACCACTGCACTCCAGTCTGGGTGATAGAGCGAGAGTCCATCTCAAAAAAAAAAAAATAATAATCCAATAAATAAAAATAAAATACAGGCCAGACTTCATTCAGATTTCTTTTATTTTTACCTAATGCATGTTCATTTTCTGTCTTGGGATCTATGTTACATTTAGTCAGTAAATGCAGTGGAAGTGACATTCTGGGACTTGTGATGCTAAGTCAGAAGACTTATACCTTCTATCCAAGACTCTATGAAAAGATACCCCACTCTCTGAGGCCACCATATCAGAGGGGCTAGCATAGGTGCTATGGTCAATTGTCCTGCTGAGCCCATTCTTCTAGCCATTACCACCAAGACTGCAGAAATGTAGGTAAAGCTGACTTGAGCTCTCTGGAGGAGCCAAACCACCAGCAGAATACCTCCAAGTGACTTCTGTTAATGCCATATGGCACAGATAATTTCTCAGGCAGGCCCTTCCTGAATTCTTGACCCACACATTTATAGCAGATGATAAGATGGTTGTTGTTATTATAAGCCACAAAATTTGGGGGTTATTTTGTTATATAGCAAGACATGACAAGCATTGCTGAATGGCTTTCTGGTCCTGATAGTGAATCATGCAGGAGAAGTTAAGGCTCATTCTATGTCAATTTTAAAGCTGGCATACTGCCAATGCATGCATTATTCTAGTACATTAAATAAAGGACTTCATTTTTAGGCTCTGTCAGAGCCTTTAATCTTTATATACATGTCTATTTGCACAAAAATGAAATATATCTTCTTTGTTACATTTTCAGATCTTCCTCTGATAGGGGCAAGAGTAATCTAACAAACATTGTTTATAAAAACAAGCTCTAACCTCTTTTGTGACATGAAATTGGTGTATAATTTCTACCGTTAAAATGAAAGAAAATTATTAAATTGATAGGAAATTATCTTTCTTTCGAAAGTAAGTATTCCCTTTTATTTATATTAGAAACTTATACAAAGTTCATTTTATTTTCTTGGTGTAAATATATTCATTAGCAAGTCATGCTATGGTGTGGAATTTGGGAAAGTTTGCACAATAAAAAAATACATAGTCAACAATTAACTTTTAAATGAAAAGTCCAAAGACATAAGTATTGATATAACATTAGTGTCTGCATATCTTTATAAGCCACGTGGTTATGATAACAATATAATGAATGAGAAAAAAACTATGCTTGAAAGTAGCAATAAATTCTTTTCCAATAAAAGATGAAAATACTGTATCATCAAAGTGTTAACAAATTTTAGAGTGGATACTATGAAAGTCAGTTATGAAATACTGTAATACAAAAGGAAGGATAAATAGTAGTATCCAGTTAGCTTTTAAATAAAAAGGTAATAGAGCTAAACCTAATTAATTATGATAACTTGATTCATGAATGACCTGCAGTTTCCCTTTCTATTATGGAAACAAAAATATTTGCTTGGAAATTTGGATAATTTAAGACTGCAGAGAAATGTTTAGCCAATTTCAGGTTAAGGGAAACTGTTTTCAAGATCAGATGCAATTTGCATGGAAATAACATTTTAATTACCTATCAGGCTTGAATACCATCAAAACTGATCCCAGATGGATACCTGATGGATTAATATAGTTTGATTTATTATATATGGTGGTGAAAAAACAACTAAAATTGCATTAAAAAAATTTCACCCATACAGATGTTTTCATTTATCAGACTTAGTTAAGCAGTTAGTATCTCTAGAAAGCTCCATATTGGGCTGATTGATGTAAGAACTTGAAGAATAAGTATGTACATTCAGCAAAGGGATGTCTGGATATGGAGTGGTTGGTTCATGAGAAAGTGATCTTGTGAATAATTCAATTAAGCACTCTTGAGCTCCCCAGTAAGGTTGTCTGATATCAAGCACCACTTCAGGTGAGCCGAGAGTTTTGGGAACAGAGTCAAAACTCTGTTCAGTTTGGCTAAGAACTCCCTTAACCAAACTGAAATGGACAAACCAAAATGCACAAAGTGTGTTTTAAGCCCAATTTCTTTTCCCAGTGGCTCTCTTCTATTCCCTTACCAGGTATCTCCTTCCTCTGTTATTCCCAGGTCATCGTTTTCTCGTCTCAAATTTGTAATTCTCAGTATCAGATTTTCTCAGCTGATGAAAAACTTGGTCCTAAATGTGAATGTATTCAATGTTTTACATTCT
This sequence comes from Homo sapiens, assembly GCF_000001405.40. Lineage (NCBI taxonomy): Eukaryota > Metazoa > Chordata > Mammalia > Primates > Hominidae > Homo > Homo sapiens. The sequence continues at coordinate 126,839,505 of NC_000007.14, read as the reverse complement.
TTAGATGTCTTGCATCTTCAGGAAGAGCTGACTATTTTAATATCTGGATCTTTGAGCTAGAGACCCCTGAGTTTGAGTCTGAGTGATTCCATTTACCCAAAGCACTGCTTCTCAATATTCATGTGCATATAAATCACTTGGATATCTTATTAAAATCCAGATCCTAATTCATTAGATCAGGGACTTGAGCCTGAGATTCTGCATTTCAGACAAGCTCTCAGGTGATGTTGTAGCTGCTATTCCATGGACCATGTTTTGCTTAGCAGAAGCCTAGAACATCTTACCTGCCTCTGTTTTCTATCAACTGAATATAATAATGCCCCTACTTTCTACAGTTGATGCGGGTGTTACATGTGTGCCTTATGTAAAGTGCCTGGTATAGTTCCCGGCCAAAAATCATGCAGTGTATGGTGGTAGTGGTGGTAGCAGCAAGTAGTGTGGAGATAATAAGAGTTTTAATAATATATTGGGAAATTTCAGGCTGAAGGGCTTGCAAGTAATTTGTAGGTATAGGAACTTACTCAGATACCAAATGCCGTTCTTCAGAAGCAGCCATTCAGTCACCTGCACCTAGGGCTTTCCCCGATGGGCAAAGCGTACACCTGAATAGTTCCTTAGTTGTCCTCCAATAATTTAAGACTACAAAGGCTTCTGAGAGTCCATGGTAATCTTTTAGGTTTTGTGGTCTAGTTGCTTATATGATGTGAGCCGTGAGTTAACATTTTCTTTCACAGCCTGACTTAGATGTTTTAAATGGCAAATTCAGGAGAGAACAATGTATGAGTCTTTAATTTTATTTTGTTTGTTAGTAACTACAGATCTGGAATAATATTCACTGAGTGTTTCAGAAAGCAGAGAATTAAAAGGCAACATTACAGTGCTTCTTAGCATTAATAAAGTAGTATGTGGGATATAGAAGAAAAGCATAATTTTCACCTCACCTTTACCTCTAGGGGCCTTCAAGAACTTGAAATAAAACACTTTCCCCTTGATAAAGAATAGTAGGTGGGGAAGGTTATGAATCACTTCTTTAATGTCTTTGGTTGCTTACATTACTCTTTAATTCCAGGAAACTCTGCATATAAGTGCAAAAACCCCAGAGTTTCAGTACCTCAGTGTTGAATAAGCAGAGCAGAGAAACAAAAGAAGGAAGGTGATATTACCAGTACTTGGCTATGTCACTGGAGTCTTACTGCCCATGTTTTATTGGCTGATGTTTCAGGGAAACACTTTTTTTCTTGAGTCTTTTTTTTCCCCCAAGATGCTATTTCTAAAAGGTCAGTTATTTGTCATGTAACTATTACTGCATATTAAAATGCACAATGCATCAAATTAGAATAAGCTAAAAATACTCTAGCAGTTCATGCAGTACATATTTTAATGATATTATTTTTAAGATTAGTGTGTTTAAGGGCACAGGTAGTATTTACAATGGAGTATCTATCAAGATTTTCAGACTTGAGGCAATGGTTATCTTTCATAATCCATTTGAAATAGGCTTCACAGTCTCTTTAACTTTAAGAGGATATGTTTTCCTTCTCAGATTTTTTAAGGGAAGCACTACACGTCTTTGATTTTCTGCAGTACTGCTTGAAAGATGAAGATGTCAAGATGGATGACAGCTAATGAACTGGATGCTCAATAGTTCATCACCTTGGTTTTTCCTGAAACCATTTCTTGTCCTTGCCTGGTAAATTGAATCACTTGACTTTGTTGCAATACCTGACAGGAGTCAAATCCCTAAAATATCCAGGCAGAAGTAAATTCTTTTAGCATCACAAATCTTCTGCTGTCCAGGCCCGTTAGGCCAGTGGGTTAAGGTGAAAAAAGATGAGACCACAGTCATGTTCATCTGGCACTTGTTGGCTCCTTTCACTTAGATAAAAAGTGCTCTAGACATAGATCTCCTCACCTTGTCATTGGAAGAGGGAATGAAGTGAGAATTGCGTGTATCAACATGAATGAATTTCCACTCTTGGAAAAATAACTTAGACAGTAAGTCCACTCATGAATGGCCATTTGTATCATCTTGGCTTTTAAAGTATATTTACAGTTTTCTTGTTTATTCATACAGTTGTCAAGGCATATTTGCATATAAAGTGGCATGTACCCTACATCTTTTCTAAATTGCTAAAATAGTCCATATAAACAGAACAACTAAATAATACCAGTTGATTCCTTTTTATGTAACATGGTAGCATAAACTTTATTAAAGGAAATAGTCTTAACGAAGATTTTGATATACCTGATGTGGCATCAACTTCAGTTGTAAATTACAAGGAATCATTGTTATTCATTGTCTATAATATTCCTTAAACACCAAGCTTTATTAGTACTAAATGTGAGGCCTTTCTGGATATGCCTATGCCGACTAAATGAAGACTATAATGATCAATTTAAAAGTTCTTTGGTTCATAATCTTGATGTAAGAAAAAAAAATAATGTCTTAAATCTGAGTGGTGCTTTCCAATTTGCAAAAGTGAATATATTCCTATTATGTTAAAATATATAAAATTATTAGATTAATGCCCATATTTATAGATAAGAAAATAAAGCTCAGAGAAATTGGATGACTTACCTAAGATAATATAATTGTCAGAACTGGGATTTCATTAATTTAATATTATTTGTTTAGTTTGTACTACGTGCTAGTTACCATGTATAAGACTTCAGAAATCTTATGGTCTAATGAGGGAAAGAGTAATTAGATGAATAATTACACAAATGTATAATCATCTGTGTTGATAAATGTTTCAAAGGAAGAATAGAGCATACTCTGAAAGAAAATAGAGCACCTGATTCAGAATGTGGGGCAGGCAATGACTGAATTTAAGGAGTGACATGCAGTCTGAGACCTGAAAGATGAGCAGGAGACAGCAGGTGAGTACGAGGCAGGGGAGGAGCCAGAGAGTGCTAGATAAGTAGGATGAAGCTTGCTGAACTGGAGAGATTGAAGGGAGGCCAGTGTGAATGAGGAGGAGAGAATAGGTGATGAGACTGAAAAGAGAGGCAGGGGGCAGCTCAGCAGAATATTGTGGGCTATGTTATGGAATTTGAATTTCTTTTAAGTGACACAGAAGGTAGGAGAATGGCATGATCCACCTTGAACCAGGTATTCAGCTGCAAGTTCAGTGGCTATCACCAACATACATCATCATTCTTCTGGTGGTGCTCCCAGGAAATTTTTGTTTTCTTTATTTATTTGTTGAATGTTTAAATACACCATTTTCTTATATACAATGAGTAAATGAGTATTTGATCTGTTGGCTGCCATAACTGATGAGTCTTGCAATTTTTTTTAACCTTCGAGAGGACTTAATTTTGGCCAAGAAATTAATATAAGGTTCTAGAAAAACTGTATTTCATTCTCTGTGAGCTTCAGTAATGTGAAATTCATCTTATATTTTGAGATTTTTTTTCCTTATGTTAAACAAGTGGTTGCATGATGCTTTTGATCAAAATGGAATGAACTGACCAAAGAAGGAATTTTTTAAAAATATGGGATGATACCCTTGACTGATTGTCAGCTTTTTCTCTTACTTCCATTCTCATTCATCAGCCTTAGCAGCCTATATCTAGATGTTGAACAAGTATTCTGCCCTTGAAGATGGCCTGACCCTTTTAGAGTTTCTGTGTGTATTTTAAAGGAGAAAAATGTACTCACTTTGAAGTTGTTTGCTTGAAAACAACCTACACTTCTGTCCTTTGAATTAATTTTCTAAAGTTTTTGAGAGACAGGACATAGAGATGGGATTATCCACATAATTTTAGTTTTCCTGAGGGAATCAATTTGTGTGCCAAATGGCATTCTGAGGCTGGTACTTACCAATCACCTGAAACCAAAATCCATAATAAATCTTAACCTTTGAAAAACCTTATGGCTTTAAAGAAATTAAATGGATTTTAAAGATGAAAGTATTCAATTTAATTTCAACAATAGTTAATCATTTATCACTACAAACTTTTTTTTAATGCTTATCAAACTGCTCTACAATGTGCCAGTGATGACCAGTTCCTAGGCACTTGGAACTTGGCTGACAGATTTTTATTATATTTCCTGAGTCCCATCTTTACTGAGGCATATTTCACCGGAATCATTGACACAGGCAATTTCAGTTGGTATCAAGAAGGTCCTCATCTTTAAAGAAGAGTGGCCTGTAGGAATTATGCATTATTTTCTACTTGCTTATTCTTTTAGTAAAACATAGCTTGCATAAATCCAGTATGGAAATAGCTTAATAACAAACAGTGCTATGAAGACATTCATTTTTATTTTACTTGAAACATCAGTAGTTTCATGTATTTGTATTTAAAGGACAACTTGAATTTTTGTAGGGAAATACGCTACATGGTAAAAGTAATTTTAATTCTCAGTGTTATAATTCTGTTTTATTTTTCTTTTCTTTTCTTTTTTTTTTTATTTTTTTTTTGAGATAGAGTTTTACTCTGTCACCCAGGCTGGAGTGCAGTGGTGCAAGCATGGCTCACTGAAGCCTCAACCTCCTGGGCTCAAGCAATCCTCCCACCTCAGCCTCCCAAATAGCTGGGAATACAGGCACACACCACCACACCTGGCTAATTTTTTAGTTATTTTTCAGAGACCGGGTCTCAAACTCCTAAGCTCAAGCAATCCTCTCAGCTTGGCCTCCCAACGTGCTGGGATTACAGTGTGAGCCCCAACCCAGCCTATAATGCTGTTTCTTTTGCTGCTTCCTTTTTAAGCTTATAAACAATAATCGTTTTTAAAATAATCATTATATGTTTGTTGCAAAACACTTTGAAGCTGTTGAAGTTTGTGATTTCAGTATTTAAAAAGTAAGCCCCAGAAGTTAAATCTATTAAAGCCTTGTCAATTCAGGGTTTTTAATCTGACTACACTGCATTATCTTTAGGACAACTGAAAAATCAGTTCTCCTGATGACTTTTTTCTGAATGTTATTGTTTTGTTAGTTGAAACCATTTACAACCATACATTTTCCTTCATGTTTATCACAGAAGACAAAAGGAACTGATAAATGGAAAAACACTACATGGACTTCAATATAATCCTCATAGGATTGTTATTGTTATTATTACTATTATTGTTTATTTCAAAAGACTTTTCCTTGTTATCATATTGTAAGGGAGAGGCCCTCTTTCTCAGGGTGAGCTCTCATTGGCCAGAGTGACTCCATTAGGATATGCACAATTGAATTCCCATGTATTGTTTCCCCTTAAAATCTATCTTAAAATCTTATTTTTAGATTGGATATGAGGATTCTAGCCAGGTGTTTTCCTTTTGCCTCTCTGTCAAAGATAGTTTTCTAAAGGCCATGGCAATGGGGGAGAGGATGGGAATTGGACACTGAGTACATCTATATTACCTAGCACCATTTGGTTGACATTTATGTGGGAGCACCTCTGTTGGCACCTCCTGGTTCTGGCTTTTACCATCCGTAGGACAGTCTGATCTCTGAATACACTTCTTTCAGTCTTTGAGGCACAGCACAGGCACTTTGCAAGCAATCCCTTCTGCTTGAAGCTAAGCCAGGACAGAATTTCTCACAATGTGGCCAGTGGACCCTTACATCAGAATTTCCTGGACTGCTTTTGAAAGTGTTTTCTGTCCGCCTCCCAGATGGAATGAATCAGAATCACAAATGTTGAAGGATTAGTAATCTGCATTTTTACTAAATCTCCCCAAGTGGTTCTTAGGCACCCTAAAGGTTGATGACCATTGTTATGTACTGAATGTTTATGTCCTCCCTGATCCCAAATTTGTTTGTTGAAGCCATAATCCTCAATGTGATAGGATTAGCAGGCAAGGTCTTTGGGAGGTTTAGGTTTAGCTGAAGTCATGAAGGTGGGGCTCCATGATGGGATTAGTGTGCTTATAAGACGAGAAAGAGACACACGGGCTTCCTCTCTGTCTCTCATGTGATAAAGCAAGAAGGCAGCCATCTGCAAGCTAGAAAGAGCAGATCAGGTTAGAGCCTGACCATACTGGCACCCTGATTTTGGACTTCCCAGCCTCCAGAACTGTGAGAATTATATGTCTGTTATTTAAGCCATCTGATCTATGGCATTTTGGTATAGCAGACTGAACAAACTAAGATAACTAGTATCCTAGGCAAAACTACCTGTATCTGGACATAGCTGGAGTTAACTTTATTCTTGAGGGTGGGAATAAAGACCTGGGGTGCAAAGAATGATTACTCAGATGATAAGTTCTCGCAAATAGTTGTCTAAATTTTTCTACTGCTGTGACTGTTGCCTTTTATCAGCTATCTTTGTACCGCCTCTTCCTTACCCTTTGAGTATCTCTTTCCACCAGCTGCATTTGGTGCAGAAAAGTTTTCAAAGCACCCTCAGGTGTTGGATTTAAACTTGTAAGTGTCTTCATTCCTCATTTGCCCTTGGCTAGCCAAGAGACTGATTGTTCAAGACTCCTTATGTTTCTGCAGGGTTAACTAAATTTGCTTTACCATTAAATTTGAGAATACCATGTGACCTCCCAGTACACATTAAAATTGACAACATCCCTTTAGTCTTCAACATAAAATCATGTCATTATTTTTGAGATTCCGCAAAATTCATGAACTGTCATTGAATTTTCTGAAATTAAAACAGCATGTTAACAAATGGCAGTAAATGTGATTTATGGTGTAATACAGCTATTCAACATATGCTGTAGCTTTTAATTCTTGGTTATTACTATTAGCCAGGGAATAACTGCAAAATGCTTTAGAAAAATAAACTAATAGAAGAATGTTTTATGTAAAATAAAAGTACCAAAAGTGCAGGTTTCTACATTCTGTTGAGAAGGATAGTCATGTGGTTTAGCAAAATGAAAGCCTGCAGCTACTCTCTCATCCCTTTTTGTAACAGTAGTTTTATACTGAATCTCTTCTTAGTACTATGACTATGTTTGATGACATAATGTGTAAGTCTAGGTTAAACAATTTTTAAAAAGTAGGCAAACATATTAATTGTAGTATAGAAAAAAGTTGCTATTTTAACTCAACTTTATAGTGTTTTATTATGTATATTGGGGTGTTTTTTTGTTGGCTTCATCTGAATAGAGAGTGAGTTTAGATACAGAATATATAGATAGGTTTAAGTGTGGCTTAAATGAATTCAAAGAAAAGGCATTTACAATGAGTTGTTAAGACAAGTAAGACGATGTTTGAGTGCACATTCCTAGCTTTATAAAATTGATATCATAAAACCATCATTTCTTCCAGTATGTACTATTGTCATTCTAGATCACAGGCCTGAGTAGATAAGGGATCTAGTCCACTATGGCACTTCTTTCTTTTCTTTCTTTATCTTTTCTTTTTCTTTTTTTTTTTTTTGGAAGATGGCACTATGTTGCGTACTAACTCTTGGACAATGATCTGAGTTCTAGTCATGATTCTGTCCCCAAGCTTGAGGCACACTGAGCTTTTGGCACATAGTAGGTACACAATAAATACTTGAAGATACATTTTTGCAGTTATATAAGTCTGCACTTATTTATTGATATGGCTTTCACACTTGAAAATGAAAATAGAGGATATATTCTACCAAACTTTCAGAGATTTAAACTCTTAAAATGAAACAGAAAACAAGCTTAACAGCTCAAATGTGTAACATTCAAGAAACTAATTTACTTATAGACATGTTATTTGCCTATAAGAGTTTCAGTTTCAGAGGAGCCAAGATGGCCGAATAGGAACAGCTCCGGTCTACAGCTCCCAGTGTGAGCCATGCAGAAGACAGGTGATTTCTGCATTTCCATCTGAGGTACCGGGTTCATCTCACTAGGGAGTGCCAGACAGTGGGTGCAGCGCACTGTGCACCAGCTGAAGCAGGGCAAGGCATTGCCTCACTCAGGAAGCACAAGGAGTCAGGGACTTCCCTTTCCTGGTCAAGGAAAGGGGTGACAGACGGCACCTGGAAAACTGGGCCACTCCCACCCAAATACTGGACTTTTCCGATGGGCTTAGGAAATGGCATACCAGGAGATTATATCCCACACATGGCTCAGAGTGTCCTACGCCCACGGAGTCTCTCTCATTGCTAGCACAGCAATCTGAGGTCAAACTGCAAGGTGGCGAGGCTGGGGGAGGGGCGCCCGCCATTGCCCAGGCTTGCTTAGGTAAACAAAGCAGCCGGGAAGCTCGAACTGGGTGGAGCCCACCACAGCTCAAGGAGGCCTGCCTGCCTCTGTAGGCTCCACCTCTGGGGGCAGGGCACAGACAAACAAAAAGACAGCTGTAACCTCTGCAGACTTAAATGTCCCTGTCTGACAGCTTTGAGAGCAGTGGTTCTCCCAGCACTCAGCTGGAGATCTGAGAAAGGGCAGACTGCCTTCTCAAGTGGGTCCCTGACCCCTGACCCCCAAGCAGCCTAACTGGGAGGCACCCCCCAGTAGGGGCAGACTGACACCTCACACGGCCGGGTACTCCTCTGAGACAAAACTTCCAGGGGAACGATCAGACAGCAGCATTCGTGGATCACGAAAATCCGCGGTTCTGCAGCCACCGCTGCTGATACCCAGGCAAACAGGGTCTGGAGTGGACCTCTAGCAAACTCCAATAGACCTGCAGCTGAGGGTCCTGTCTGTTAGAAGGAAAGCTAACAAACAGAAAGGACATCCACACCAAAAACCCATCTGTACATCACCATCATCAAAGACCAAAAGTAGATAAAACCACAAAGATGGGGAAAAAACAGAGCAGAAAAACTGGAAACTCTAAAAAGCAGAGCACCTCTCCTCCTCCAAAGGAACGCAGTTCCTCACCAGCAACAGAACAAAGCTGGACGGAGAATGACTTTGACGAGTTGAGAGAAGAAGGCTTCAGACGATCAAACTACTCCGAGCTACAGGAGGAAATTCAAACCAAAGGCAAAGAAGTTGAAAACTTTGAAAAAAATTAAGACGAATGCATAACTAGAATAACCAATACAGAGAAGTGCTTAAAGGAGCTGATGGAGCTGAAAGCCAAGGCTCGAGAACTATGTGAAGAATGCAGACGCCTCAGGAGCCGATGAGATCAACTGGAAGACAGGGTATTAGTGATGGAAGATGAAATGAATGAAATGAAGCGAGAAGGGAAGTTTAGAGAAAAAATAATAAAAAGAAATGAACAAAGCCTCCACGAAATATGGGACTATGTGAAAAGACCAAATCTGCGTCTGATTGGTGGACCTGAAAGTGACAGGGAGAATGGAACCAAGTTGGAAAACACTCTGCAGGATATTATCCAGGAGAACATCCCCAATCTAGCAAGGCAGGCCAACATTCAGATTCAGGAAATACAGAGAATGCCACAAAGATACTCCTCGAGAAGAGCAACTCCAAGACACATAATTGTCAGATTCACCAAAGTTGAAATGAAGGAAAAAATGTTAAGGGCAGCCAGAGAGAAAGCTCGGGTTACCCTCAAAGGGAAGCCCATCAGACTAACAGCTGATCTCTCGGCAGAAACTCTACAAGCCAGAAGAGAGTGGGGGCCAATATTCAACATTCTTAAAGAAAAGAATTTTCAACCCAGAATTTCATATTCAGCCAAACTAAGCTTCATAAGTGAAGGAGAAATAAAATACTTCACAGACAAGCAAATGCTGAGAGATTTTGTCACCACCAGGCCTGCCCTAAAAGAGCTCCTGAAGGAAGCAGTAAACATGGAAAGGCACAACCGGTACCAGCCGCTGCAAAATCATGCCAAAATATAAAGACCATCGAGACTAGGAAGAAACTACATCAACTAATGAGCAAAATAACCAGCTAACATCATAATGACAGGATCAAATTCACATATAACAATATTAACTTTAAATGTAACTGGACTAAATGCTCCAATTAAAAGACACAGACTGGCAAATTGGATAAAGAGTCAAGACCCATCAGTGTGCTGTATTCAGGAAACCCATCTCATGTGCAGTGACACACATAGGCTCAAAATAAAAGGATGGAGGAAGATCTACCAAGCAAATGGAAAACAAAAAAAGGCAGGGGTTGCAATCCTAGTCTCTGATAAAACAGACTTTAAACCAACAAAGATCAAAAGAGACAAAGAAGGCCATTACATAATGGTAAAGGGATCAATTCAACAAGAAGAGCTAACTATCCTAAATATATATGCACCCAATACAGGAGCACCCAGATTCATAAAGCAAGTCCTGAGTGACCTACAAAGAGACTTAGACTCCCACACAATAATAATGGGAGACTTTAACACCCCACTGTCAACATTAGACAGATCAACGAGACAGAAAGTTAACAAGGATACCCAGGAATTGAACTCAGCTCTGCACCAAGCAGACCTAATAGACATCTACAGAACTCTCCACCCCAAATCAACAGAATATACATTTTTTTCAGCATCACACCACACCTATTCCAAAATTGACCGCATAGTTGGAAGTAAAGCTCTCCTCAGCAAATGTAAAAGAACAGAAATTATAACAAACTATCTCTCAGACCACAGTGCGATCATACTAGAACTCAGGATTAAGAAACTCACTCAAAACCTCTCAACTACATGGAAACTGAACAACCTGCTCCTTAATGACTACTGGGTACATAACGAAATGAAGGCAGAAATAAAGATGTTCTTTGAAACCAACGAGAACAAAGACACAACATACCAGAATCTCTGGGACACATTCACAGCAGTGTGTAGAGGGAAATTTATAGCACTAAATGCCCACAAGAGAAAGCACTAAAAGCCCAAAATTGACACCCTAACATCACAATTAAAAGAACTAGAGAAGCAAGAGCAAACACATTCAAAAGCTAGCAGAAGGCAAGAAATAACTGAAATCAGAGCAGAACTGAAGAGACACAAAAAACCCTTCAAAAAATTAATGAATCCAGGAGCTGGTTTTTTGAAAGGATCAACAAAATTGATAGACTGCTAGCAAGACTAATAAAGAAAAAAAGAAGAATCAAATAGATGCAATAAAAAATGATAAAGGGGATATCACCACCAATCCCTCAGAAATACAAACTACCATCAGAGAATACTACAAACACCTCTACATAAATAAACTAGAAAATCTAGAAGAAATGGATAAATTCCTCGACAGATACACCCTCCGAAGACTAAACCAGGAAGAAGTTGAATCTCTGAATAGACCAATAACAGGATCTGAAATTGTGGCAATAATCAATAGCTTACCAACCAAAAAGAGTCCAGGACCAGATGGATTCACAGCCGAATTCTACCAGAGGTACAAGGAGGAACTGGTACCATTCTTTCTGAAACTATTCTAATCAATAGAAAAAGAGGGAATCCTCCCTAACTCATTTTATGAGGCCAGCATCATCCTGATACCAAAGCCGGGCAGAGACACAACCAAAAAAGAGAATTTTAGACCAATATCCTTGATGAACATTGATGCAAAAATCCTCAATAAAATACTGGCAAAACGAATCCAGCAGCACATCAAAAAGCTTATCCACCATGATCAAGTGGGATTCATCCCTGGGATGCAAGGCTGGTTCAATATACGCAAATCAACAAATGTAATCCAGCATATAAACAGAACCAAAAACAAAAACCACATGATTATCTCAATAGATGCAGAAAAGGCCTTTGACAAAATTCAACAACCCTTCATGCTAAAAATTCTCAATAAATTAGGTATTGATGGGATGTATCTCAAAATAATAAGAGCTATCTATGACAAACCCATAGCCAATATCATACTGAATGGGCAAAAACTGGAAGAATTCCCTTTGAAAACTGGCACAAGACAGGGATGCCCTCTCTCACCACTCCTTTTCAACATAGTGTTGGAAGTTCTGGCCAGGGCAATTAGGCATGAGAAGGAAATAAAGGGTATTCAATTAGGAAAAGAAGTCAAATTGTCTCTGTTTGCAGATGACATGATTATATATCTAGAAAACCCCATTGTCTCAGCCCAAAATCTCCTTAAGCTGATAAGCAACTTCAGCAAAGTCTCAGGATACAAAATCAAAGTACAAAAATCACAAGCATTCTTATACACCAATAACAGACCAATAGAGAGCCAAATCATGAGTGAACTCCCATTCACAATTGCTTCAAAGAGAATAAAATACTTAGGAATCCAATTTACAAGGGACGTGAAGGACCTCTTCAAGGAGAACTACAAACCACTGCTCAGTGAAATAAAAGAGGATACAGACAAATGGAAGAACATTCCATCCTCATGGATGGGAAGAAAATATCATGAAAATGGCCATACTGCCCAAGGTAATTTACAGATTCAATGCCATCCCCATCAAGCTACCAATGACTTTCTTCACAGAATTGGAAAAAACTACTTTAAAGTTCATATGGAACCAAAAAAGAGCCCACATCACCAAGTCAATCCTAAGCCAAAAGAACAAAGCTGAAGGCATCACGCTACCTGACTTCAAACTATACTACAAGGCTACAGTAACCAAAACAGCATGGTACTGCTACCAAAACAGAGATATAGATCAATGGAACAGAACAGAGCCCTCAGAAATAATGCCACATATCTACAACTATCTGATCTTTGATGAACCTGAGAAAAACAAGCAATGGGGGAAAGGATTCCCTATTTAATAAACGGTGCTGGGAAAACTGGTTAGCCATATGGAGAAAGCTGAAACTGGATCCCTTCCTTACACCTTATGCAAAAATTAATTCAATTAATACAAAAATTAAACATTAGACCTAAAACCATAAAAACCCTAGAAGAAAACCTAGGCATTACCATTCAGGACATAGGCATGGGCAAGGACTTCATGTCCAAAACACCAAAAGCAATGGCAACAAAAGCCAAAATTGACAAATGAGATCTAATTAAACTAAAGAGCTACTGCACAGCAAAAGAAACTACCATCAGAGTGAACAGGCAACCTACAAAATGGGAGAAAATTTTCGCAACCTACTCATCTGACAAAGGGCTAATATCCAGAATCTACAATGAACTCAAACAAATTTACAAGAAAAAAACAACCCCATCAAAAATTGGGCGAAGGACATGAACAGACACTTCTCAAAAGAAGACATTTATGCAGCCAAAAGACACATGAAAAAATGCTCATCATCACTGGCCATCAGAGAAACGCAAATCAAAACCACAATGAGATACCATCTCACACCAGTTAGAATGGCAATCATTAAAAAGTCAGGAAACAACAGGTGCTGGAGAGGATGTGGAGAAATAGGAAACTTTTACACTGTTGTTGGGACTGTAAACTAGTTCAACCATTGTGGAAGTCAGTGTGGCGATTCCTCAGGGATCTAGAACTAGAAATACCATTTGACCCAGCCATCCCATTACTGGGTAAATACCCAAAGGACTATAAATCATGCTACTATAAAGACACATGCACACGTATGTTTATTGTGGCACTATTCACAATAGCAAAGACTTGGAACCAACCCAAATGTCCAACAATGATAGACTGGATTAAGAAAATGTGGCACATATACACAATGGAACACTATGCAGCCATAAAAAATGATGAGTTCATGTCCTTTGTAGGGACATGGATGAAATTGGAAATCATCATTCTCAGTAAACTATCGCAAGGACAAAAAACTAAACACTGCATGTTCTCATTCATAGATGGGAATTGAACAATGAGAACACATGGACACAGGAAGGGGAACATCACACTCTGGGGACTGTTGTGGGGTGGGGGGAGGTGGGAGGGATAGCATTAGGAGATATACCTAATGCTAAATGACGAGTTAATGGGTGCAGCACACCAGCATGGCACATGTATACATATGTAACTAACCTGCACATTGTGCACCTGTACCCTAAAACTTAAAGTATAATAATAATAAAAAAAAGTTTCAGTTTCCTTTTTTTAACCAATGTTTAGGTTTTTCATATTGTAAGTTGTCAATTGAAGTTACAACTTTTTTTCTTGGTAGGTTATCTTATTTTACCCAGTCCTTTAACACTATTAAGTACCATTCCTAAAGCATAGCCTTTTGCAATATTCTGAGGCTATTCATGGTGGAAACTCTGGACTTGAATTGAGAAATCTTGGTAATCTGCCGCTTATTAGCTTTTGACCCTGAGCAAGTCATTTAATGTCTCTACACCTTAGATTTCCTCATTGTTAGTTAGGTATAACAATAGTAATAAGGAAAATAACACTCATTGAGTTTTTGTGCATTTTAAAGAAGTATATGTTTGGGGCCGGGCATAGTGGCTCATGCCTGTAATCCCAGCACTTTGGGAGGCCAAGGTGGGCAGATCACAAGGTCAGGAGATTGAGACCATCCTGGCTAGCATGGTGAAACCCTGTCTCTACTAAAAATACAACAAATTAGCCAGGCATGGTGGTGTGCATTTTTAGTCCCAGCTACTCAGGAGGCTGGGCAGGAGAATCATTTGAACCCAGGAGGCGGAGGTTGCAGTGAGCCGAGGTCACCCCACTGCACTCCAGCCTGGGCAACAGAATGGGACTGTGTCTCGAAAAAAACAACAAAAAAAGTACATGTTTGGATACTCACTTTGTAAACGCTGATGCAGCAACAGACACCAAACATTATCCCAAGTGGCCTTCCCAAATTTTCTGTTTTCAAACTACTATCCTGAGGAAGAGAGGCTCTTTGAGAGAGTTTTGGAATATTGAGGTTTTCATGACCAATGGTCATTCAGCCTCCTTTCCTTCCTTCTTTAATTTTACCACATATGAGTTAGGGAGGAAAGAGCCAATATAATGGGACTGCTAACAGTTCATGAAAGCCAAAAGATTCCAAAAAATTTATTAGTCACTAACCAAGAAGGTGAAGAAAATAATTTTTAAAATCTTATATTCCTATTTTTGCTTAAAAAGATACTTCCATTGGTATCTCAAGCTGTATTTCCTGAAGAATCATATACTTTTGGGATGGGTGCCATTAGTGGTCATGACTGTGACCTGACAAATAGAAAGATAAAATGATCCACAGCTTGGAGCCTGCCATGGGCTTAGCCACAGTTGGTAGGACACATAAGTATACCAACACTGTGAACACAGTTCTGTAGGTAGCATACCCTCTTCTCCACTCACAAGGCTCCCTTCCCCCAGTCAACAGGAATGGGCAGTGGGGAGAAACCTGCCATTATTAGACACTAATGACTTCCTGGGAAGTGGATCAACAAAGTTTTAAAGCACAGTACATTTTATTTATTGGTTTCTTATTTGCCATTGACTTTGACTCTTTCCTTTCTCATGTGCACTTTGATACATACATAAAAATATATACTTTTTTTGTGACACAATGCTAAGGGAGTAATTGAAACAAACTTGGCAACATCCCATTGCTATAAATTCACCCAGGCTGTCTGCCACTGGAGAACATGAAATGACTAATTGAAGGATAAACAATGCTTATCTCAACCTAAGAAATAATAATAATAACAGTGATGACCATATTTTAATATGAATAACAGTTTCTTTAGTTTTATGTAAAAATGAATAAAATAATTTTTAGATATCCTATATTTATTGACTGGTAACATGGAATCTAAACAAAAGTGTTATTTTTATGCAAATACAGATTTAAGAGAGATTGCCTTCTCTCTCCCTGAACCTCTGCTTTGACACACACACACAAACACATTATCTTATATATGGAAATATGGAAATCCACCAGCCACCAAATTTGCAGCTAGGAGAGAAGGCAAATTTAGGACCTGGAATGTGGTTGCTTGTTCAACTCTTGTGTACATTGAGTTAAGGTTTAAGCTGCTGTACCATAAATGCAGTCTCTCTACCTCTCAACTATTCAAGTGAGCCTACTGAGCCCTTGAAATGTGGCTGCTCTGGATTAACATATGTTCTGAGTTTAACATACACATTGATTGCAGAAACGTAGAATGAAAAAAAGAATGCATAATATCTAAATATTTTTAATATTGATAACATTTTGAAATGATAATATTTTGGATGTATTGGCTAAACCAGATATGTAACTGAAGTTAATTTCACCTTTATTTACTTAATGTGGCAATCAT
Source organism: Homo sapiens (assembly GCF_000001405.40). Lineage (NCBI taxonomy): Eukaryota > Metazoa > Chordata > Mammalia > Primates > Hominidae > Homo > Homo sapiens. The sequence continues at coordinate 126,823,557 of NC_000007.14, read as the reverse complement.
AAATTTTAAAATTACATATGTGGCCCCTATTATATTTATCTTAGACAGGGTCACATCTAGATAATGGCCAGGGACCTAGATTAAACTGCAATACTATGGATAAAGAGAAGAATGGATTGAAGGGACAACTAATACTCTGCCTCACTTCTGTATCTCTAGTAGTGTTTGCTCAGTGTATCTTAATTTAACAGCTAGTTGGATTACTGCATTTGGATCCCAAATTATGTCAGACTGGAATGAGGACCAAATTAAACAGAGTGATGTAGCATGTCCTAAATTTTACCCATACAATTACAGGATTGGAAAAACAGCTACGGCTATATGTTTATTTTTAAAATAGAAGCTTTTCTTTTGTGGTCAGCTTATGTGTCAGTTATATGATGTGACTATCACAAAATCTAATTGCAGGCTTAGACTGCATTAATAAAATCTTATTTCAAAGACCATATGACATTCTTTACCTACTGTCTACTTTGTTGTGTTTATATGTATAAGTGGCTTAGTAGGTTTGGTGGCATAAAATAAATCATATTTTAGAAGGCTCAACTTTAGAATCATAGTAGAGTTGGTTGGGGGATCTGTTCCATTTGTAATTCCTGTAGGCTATCCCTTAGAGATGTTTGGAATACAGTTGTGTATATGGGATGAAGACTAGGAGACAGAAATGTGTTGAAGGCATTGATGTGGGAATTGTCTGCATCTGGATAGCAAGTAAAACCAGATATGTAGATGCATTAATCTAGGAAGAATGTGTAGTCAGAGATAAGCACTCTCAACGTTCAGAGGTAGTTTATCATAAAAGGAGCCAGGAAAGGGGACTGAGGAAAGCACTAAGAGATAGGAGTCTATAATTCCAGATACTTTGAGGCTGAGGCAGGAAGATCACTTGAGCCGCAGGAGTCTGAGGCTGTAGTGTGCTATGACCATGCCTGTGAATAGACACTGCACTCCAGCCTGGGCAACATAGTGAGATCCCATCTCTAAAGTAAGGGAGAGAATGAAGGAGGGAAAGAAAGAAAGAGAGAGACAAGGAAGGGAAGGGAAGGAAGGAGAGAAGGAGAAAGACAGAGGAAAAGAAAGAAAAATAAAAGAGGAAGGAAGGAAAGGAAGGAAGGAAGGGCCTGAGTGCAGGTAAGCACTCATAAAATAAAAAATCAGTGGTAAATCATGCAAATGTGTTGTGGCAGCTAAATGCATGTGTAAAGAAGATAGTCCTCAGCAGTGTCAAAAATACTATGTGGTCTAGGAGTAAAGGCTTGAGAAGTTTCTTTTAAAGAAACTTTAAATGACAAGAGAGTTCTTGGTGTCCTTAACCAGAACAGTTTCAATGGACTGATGGAGACTGAGGCCAGTGAACAGTAGATTGAGAAGCAAGAGGAAATGAAATGGAGTCAGTGAGAGGATATAATTCTTACAAAACACTTTCCTGTGACATACTGCTATCATGATCTCTTGATATGATGCCTTGAGAAGGACACAGTGTCAGCTCTGTGGCATTCTTACTAAAAAATGTAAGTTTTCAAAATTTAATAATGAATAAATATCAGACAAACCCCCAATGAAGAAGAGTCTACCAAATAACTGATTAGTTATTTTCAAAGGTGTTGAGATCATGACTGGGAAAGAGAAAGGAATTGCTATGGATTATAGGAGACTAAGGAGAAATCACAGTTGCAATGTGGGATTCTGGACTGGATCCTGGAATAGAAAATTACATTATGAAAAAACTGGTCAGATCCGGAAAAGGCCTGTAATTTAATATAGTATTGCACTGATGATAATTTCCTAGTTTTGATAATTGTACCATGGTTATGCAATGTATTAGCTTTAGGGGAACCAGGATAAGGGGAATATGGGAACTCTTTGTAGTACCTGGAAACTTTTCTTTAAATCTAAAATTAGCTAAGAAAAAAGAATTGCTCTGAAAGGAAGGAGAGTGATGGGGGATGGCTGGAAAGAATATGAAGCTGAGGAGAGCTCAAAATCATTTCAAAAAGTGAAAATGATTGCTGATGTTTTCCAAGAGGTTATCATATGCCAGGGACCATGCTAAGTGCTTTGTGGAAACTTTTTCATTCCCTGTTCGTAACTATACTATGGATGGAATGTTGTTGTTATTCCACTTTTGTAGATACAGAAAGGGAAACATGACAGGGGCCAAACATGATCACACAGCGGTAATGGTAGAGCTCGGATTTTGAGGCTGATTTCCTAAGGCACTGCAGTATGTGTCTTTTCAAAACAGGAGAGAATTTGGTATATTTAAATGCTTGAAGGATGGGTGCATTAGATGAAGAGAATAGAAAATACAAGGAAAAGAGGAGATAGGAAACAAAGGGTGAAATCCAGCAAATGGTGAAATAAATATTGACATTGCATCTGTGGTAATAGTTGGGGAAGTTTAAGGGATCAGTAGAAAGGTAATAACTGTGTGTCATTTATACTGGTTGGAGATTGAGACAGAGTCTTGCTCCGTCGCCCAGGCTGAAGTGCAGTGGCACAATCTCAGCTCACTGTAACCTCTGCCTCCCAGGTTCAAGCAGTTCTTCTGCCTCAGCCTCCTGAGGTAGTTGGGACTACAGGTGTGTGCCACCATGCCCGGCTAATTTTTGTAGTTTTTGCAGAGACAGGCTTTCGCCATTTTGCCCAGGCTGCTCTCAAACTCCTGGCCTCAAGCGATCCGCCCACCTTGGCCTCTCAAAGTTCTATGATTACAGGCATGAGCCACCGTGCCCTAGGATGGTCTTTAATTTCTTTGTGAAGCAGTGGTGAGGCCTTCAGCTCATAGGAGGAAGATGGCAGGGTTGGAAATTTGAGAGAGCAGAAAGGGTTTAAGCAGCCAGTGTGGAGAAACAGAGAGAGAGAGAAAGAACTGGTAAAGAACATGTAGAGGATGTCCAGGCTGTGCTGAGAATGAGGTGGCAAGACCACACCTATCCGTGGTTTTACTGTCTCATATGGTTTTCTATTATGTGATCTCTAGTTCATGACGTGGACTGTTGAATTTATCCAAGGTTCAGTTTTTGTCAGGTGGGTGCCAGAAAAATAATTGATTAAGGAAGATAAAGATGTTGTTAAGAAAAGGTAGAATGGATAGACTCAAATCTAACCAATGGAAATGAGGTGAAGATAGGGTGGTGCTGAAGAAGTGACAGCAGTCAGTATATTGTTTCAATTTGGATTTCTTTGATTAGTAGTGAGTGGTGAATGCTTTTCATATATTTATTAGCCATCTATATTTCTCATTTTGTATATCATCTGTAACTATTTTTCCAAAAGATAATTTTTTGAGGAATTTGTAAGAACAGTTTATGTTTTGAAGATATAATGTATTTATTCAATAGGTGTATTTCAAATATTTTATTTTCAGTTTTGTGGTTTGCATTTTTACTTTCTTTCTAGAAGATTTTATTTAAACTGATAGAACCACACTGTTCAAAAAATAGCCATTAACAAGTGGCTATGAAATTTAAATGTAATTTGAATTGTTTAAATGAAATAAAATTCCTAAAATGAAATAAAATTAAAAATTTAGTTAGGAAGTCTTACTAGCTAAATTTCAAGCATCCAGTAGTTATGTGTGGGTAGAAGCTACTGTATTAGACAGTGTACCTATAAAATTTTTCCATCATTGCTGAAGGTTATATTGCTATAACTCTGCTATGGAATTTTTTTTTAATTGAAAAAGCTGATATTGCTTTCTTTTTATTGATGGTTGCCTTCGGATTCATGCTTAGAAAGGTCTTTTCCATTCCCCAACATGATATAAATGTGACTTTTTATTTCCTACTAGTATTTCTATAGTTTTTTTAAAAAATCTATTTACATTGTTAATATTTCTAGAATGTATTTTGTTGTATTGAACGAGCTAAGGTCTTACTCATATTTTACAAATTTTAACATAAATTCCAATAAAATTAAATGAAGTCGAAATGGCATCTTTAACATTTAATGAATACTTAAATATTCATAGTTTATTTATTGAATATTTATTATATTACATTGATTTGTTAGAATTAGTTTCGCTTTGATGAATATTTATCAAAGAGATTAATATGATGAAGACTAAGACACGATTACTTCCCCCATGAAATTCATAGTTTAGCAGAGAGGCAATAGACACAACAAATATTTACAATGCTTTGTGAGTGTATTTGTAGGAATGTGAAAATGAGTCCAATGTGGTTTCAAAGGTTATTAAAGTGGCTCTATATCTGGGAAGTTGTGAGATTAGGGTTAATGTGGAGTTTGCGCGTGCACGTGTGTGTGTGTGTGTGTGTGTATGTGTGTCTGTCTGAATAGGAAGGGAGTGAGAAAGGGGAGAGTGAGGGGACGATAATATGATAAACTATGGTGAAACTAAATTGTGAAATATTTTGTGTGTGACTCTCTTGCTTGTTTGCCATCCAAAGATTTGTTCTCTGGGAAGACAGATCTCCTGTTCAGTTAAGGATCAATTGCTGGCTGGGTAGACACAGAAACGGGAGATCCCTCAGATGGCCGCCCTAGTTGCAGTTCAGGTGAGAGCTGAAGGGGGCCTGAACTGGGGTATTAGCAGTGGGATGGATTAGAGAGACTCTCAGAAGGTGGAAGTGACAGGGGTTGGTAATAATTGGATTTGGAAGGAATCCCTAATTGATTGATATTCCAAGGTATACCTGTAGACTGAAGTATGCCTCCAGTTCTGCCAAGAATGAATGGGTTTGCTGACATGGGACAGCTGAGTATTAGGCAATGAGTCATTCACCTTACTACTATCATTTCCTTGTCAAAGTTTTAATAATTAGATGTGATATCCTTATGTTTGAACATAGCTGGAATTTAGCATAGAAGAGAATCTTAATGCTAGAGAAAAATTACTTACCTTGGTTCATCACAGTGCCAAGATTAATTCTGGTAAGAGTGATGTGGTTACAACTTTTAAAATTTTAAATGTATGACTCAGAGCATTTTCGCTTTTACAGATTTTATCTGAGGCAGACTGAATAAACCAGGAAAAATAAAATTATTATAGCTGAAAGATTTGACATTTGATTTTTTTTATTGCATTGAGGGTCTAAACCTTAATTTAATGACAGTAAGCAAGAAGAGGTTATCCTTGTCTCCTGCAATTATATCTTCTGGTTTTCCTTCCTGGAAAATATTTAACAGAACAGTTGATTTTATTCACTTAAAGAAGATAATCAAACCCTTAGCCAATACCACAGAAAATTAAATTTAGATTTAACGGGTTTTAGGGCATGCTTTTACTAAATATCTCAAGTTACGTTTCCTAAGATTTATGGAATGAAAATATCTCGTCTAGAAGCCAATTTTATTGTTTGACTGGTACAAATGAGACATTTCTGTTAATATTACATTTGACTAATATATGTTCTATTAAGATATTAAAGAGTCACAGTTTTCTTAGAAGATTCCTTTTCCTTTACCATCTTCCTTTTTATCCAGTTGGAAACAAATCCTTTAATAATTTTTTGTTTAATTTCACTGTTCCTGCTGTTCACAAAAAGAGTCAAAGAAGTTTAAGACTTATGTGCAATAATTCACTAGTTGAATGTCCTTTGATTCTAAGTGTTGTTTTTTTAATTCCATAAGGCTTGCAAAAATTTTTGTTTGCTGTGGTATTTACTATAGTTTGGGAAAATAAAGTGTGTCCAGAGGAAATTTTTAAAAATAGAAAATCTAACGATGTAACTATACAGAATGAATGTATGATATTTTCATTTTATCCTTTTAAAAGGACATTTTACTTACCTCAGTGAAATTAATTCTTTTTCATTGAGGTGGGTTATTGACTCATAAAACAGCAATGCTCAAACGACCTCCCTTTCAGCCACTCCCCTCAAATGTCTGCTTCTGAAAATCAATTGCTCAAAACTGATGATAGCAAAAGTGGTTAGGATGTGTTTAGAGGATGATAAATGATAGGGAAGGACTTTTCGTAAATATGCAACCTACAGGATACTTTCTAAATTTACTGGTAACTGTACATCGATAATCCTCAGTAAATAAACTGAACCTTACAAATGAATCAGACAAGCAAGAACTCATCACCCCTCAAGTAAATTATTTCTAAGGGAACTGGTAAATATTTTGAAAATATTTAAATGGATATTTATGACATTGATTAAGTGAAGCCCCATGCATATTCTCCATAGTATCATTTTATTGTAATTCCTTCACTGTACTAGAAGGAGCTAAATAGTAAATATTACACAGCCTACTCTAGGTTGTTTAGATATTAAAATAGCAAGAAATTATAAGATATAAGGAATATTCACCAAAGGTAGTGAAGGTAGGTATTAATGGAGACAAAATTCAGTTGTATTCCAAATTCTGCCCCTTGTCAAAAATATAGAAGTAATCCAGTTAGTAACCATACATTTTTATGAACACCATTTTAAAGAAAAATAGAAATGAAGAAAAGGAGCCATAAATGTGTGGAAACAATTGAAGTGTATATAAATCAATGTTGAACTTTTCATCATATTAGATTCATAGCATGAGAAATTGATATTAGATATTAAGGATTTTTAAAGGAGTATAATAATGTGGTTATATTTCATAAGAGTCTTTATTTCTTAAAGATATATAATGAAATATTACAAATGAAATAATGATGTTTGGGATTTTCTTCAAACAAAATATAATGGAAGCGTGAATAGAAGGACTATGGATAAAAAAGATTGCCCATGAGTTGATAATTTGTGCAACTGGGTGATGAATCCATTGAGATTTGTCATACTATTTGTGTACCTCTGTATATGCTTGAAATTATACGCTACACTACACACACACACACACACACACACACACACACACACAAAATCATATACTATCTCACATTAGGTAGCAAACAGCAAGACACAGTTACCATCCCATCTGAAGAACATAGCTACTACCAGAAACCATCATCATCATCATCATCATGACATTTAATCATTACACCAAATCCATTTAGGTGATTACATTACTCTTATTTTTCAGAAGAGGAAACTAGGACTTAGAGATATTAACAATCTTTTCCAAGGTTAGATATATATTGAATATCAGAACTGGTGATTTTAAGGTCTATTTACTTTCCTACATTATGGGTACACTTGCTAGAGTTTAGTATTCTGGGTTGCCTGTGGACATTGTACAAGGATGTGTGAAAATAAATTAAAACTACCTAAATGATAACAAACTATTTATTCAGAGTTTGTTATAGTTCCACATACCATCACTTGCACTTTTCAGAGATTCAGAGATAGGCAGGAGGGTGGTAAAGCCTTATATTGAATTTAAAAAAGCAAAGATACTATACATGCTCTGATAGGACATTCTTGGCATGGGAAAGCTGGAGGTAAGCCATCTGGAAGTGGGGCATCTTACGTGTTTGGTTTGGGATGCATATTTGGATTTTTCTTTTGGCCCTGAGTTGAGACTAGGGACAAAATGTAGGGAAGCTGTCTGAAGCCTGCAGACTGTGGTTTGGTTTCCCAGGCTCATTGCTGTGGAGATTGTGCATTAGAGTGCTATTTTCATATATTGTGACTATATATATATATATAAAAATCTGGCCTTTGTGTATTTGTATGTTTAGTCTCAGTCTCACCTTTGCATCATTCTCATGGAAGGCTTAAGACCTTCACCATTTACGGATTGTTCAGTTGTACATATAGTCATCATTTCCCAAGATCTTGACCTTTTTGTTGTGTTATCATCATGGCTATCATCTGATAAGAGAGTGGCTGCACAGAAGTATCTAAGACTCTAGATAGCATGCAACAGATCAGCATCATGAGCACTATGACAAAAAGAAGAATAGTTTATAGTCCTTATAAGATGTTTTGGGTCCAAGAACCTAAATTGCCCAATTCAGGCTGTGAGAAAAATTTCTACAGGGCATGAGGATCACCTTAGAGATTTAGGTAGCTTTTTCATAAGGTAGCATATAGCCTGTACTACCTTGCCTGTTTTATTAATTCATGTACAGCAAGAAGTATTACTATTGGCACAGATTCCACCATGGCTAGCCAACAAGAAATTAGAGCAATGATATTATGCATTACTACTGCTGATGAGTTAAGACTGATGTGTATTACATCTAGGGCAGAGTTGGTACTGTTAATAACTTCTGTTAGAGTTAATGTTAAATTTCTTAGTCTTTTCTATGTATACGATTTCTGGTGTTGGGAACACTGTTCTGATTATTCATATAAACAATGAGTCAGTAATTCTCCCTGATAGAATGCTTCAAAGGTGGCCTCATTTTGGAACTTGTATTTGAGTCAGAATTTCCAGCCTTGATGATTTATAGAATCAGGGCCTCTGTGTACCAAAAAGACTTGAGGTGTTAGCCTGAGGCAGATGAGACCAGGAATTTTTGTCACGAACTGGACAGCCATGGACAAAAAGAATTATTCATGACATGAGGTTGGAACCAAGGCCTCACATTAGCTGAGTTTACCTATTTGAATCTCTATTACTGTCTTCCTGGCATCAAGTAATTGGCCCATTGTCCAGTGAAGATTATGGAATTCAAATTTAGAATTATATAGAGTCTGATAAACAGGCAGTAAGAATTGGTTCTTTTTCTGGTATAGAGAGACAACAGCAAAGTCTTAGGTTGATTTGTTTAAAGTCATTTGTCCATGTAGGTACAAGTGGAAATGTCACTGATTATAATTTGCTGGGGTATCATTTGATGAGACTAGGATTGCTCAGAGGTTTTTTATCAGGGGTTCTGGTTCTGGTTGACCTATACAGCAGTCTGTAATATTGAGGGCAGTGGCTTATTTTTGAAAAAAAAAATATAAGAATGGCATTAGAATGAGTATGTTCTGACTTAATTATAATAGACAAAAAAAAAAGAGAAAAAGAACCATTATTAGTGGATGACAATCAGAGCTCTATGGAAAATAAGGAGAGTGGTAACAGGTAAGAAGATTGAAAAACAAACAAGAATGCAGGGGTTTTAGGTTGGATGTATTGGGTGCAAGCTGTCTACTGTCCAAGATCATCTTTTTCTGGAGGTTTTGGATCAGCCATCTGCTTCTGAAGACCAACTATTTCTATAATATCTCTAAGAATTCTGTTTAAGTTTTTCTGTTGGAGTAGCCTTCCAGTTGTATAGAATATTGAATTGCTTCTTTAGTTATGAAACATGAATCCAAGGATTGATCTCTGGAGTTTCAATGATGTATTTGTTGTTAAAAGTATCTGATAAGGTCCCTTACAGGGGAGGTTCAAGAACAGTTTTTTCTAATGTCTGTTCTAATAATCAGGATCTCCTGTTGAAGATCATAAAGAGGCTGTGTAGGAAAGGATTGTAAACAAGTTAAGAAGTCAATCTTAACTTATTGGTGATAAAACTGAGTATACTACATGAGCCTCTTTTGCTATTTTGTCATATTTTTGTGTAGCAGGGTAGTCTAATACTGTAGGTGGTGTCCATAAATGAAGGGGCCTTCCAGTTACCAGTTCATAGATAGATAACCAGTAATTCTCTGAGCAGGTGGACCATATGGCCATAAGTGCTGGTGGAAATAACTTTGGCCTCCCAAAGGAGGCTCACGTCCTTCAGAAAGCTTGCTAATTTTAATGATGCTAGTGGTTCTTGCAACTTTTCTAGAAAATTGTGAGTAATAAAGGCAGTGTCATTTTTGAGTAAGGGACAATGCATTACAAATTTCTTTTACAATGGCTCCCATAAAACATGAGCCTTGGTTACTTGTTATAAAAGTTGGTATGCCCCAAATTAGAAATGCATTATCAAGGAGCTTTGTACTGATTGTGAAGGCTGTAGCTTTTCAGCAAGGAAATGTTTCAACCGATCCTGAAAATAGGCATACAAGTTTCATGGAGAATGGAAATTGGACAAAACCTATCTGAGGGTGTTAAGGGTTCTTGAGGTTTCACATCCACCTTTATAGTTTCTCCAAGATGCTGTTGGGTTGACAGGTGACACATGATCTAAAAATAGCCTCATCAGTCCATAAATCTTCCCCACCAATGATGATTTAAGATAGTAACCAATTTGTCTGTACCATGATGAGTAGTTTTATAGAGAAATTTTGTTCATATCCATTGGAAGTTATTCATGTCTCCAGTGTCCTCATTGGGGGTGCCAGAGATGATCTGTGTGAAATGTGCAACCAGAGTTTTTCCATTCTTCCTTTTTAGGACTTTTTAGGAACTTAACATTGATATTTCATAACGGCCTTTTTGAATATTTCAAGGGATTTATTCTTTGAGAGTTTAATTAGGCTCATAACCTTGGTGAAGCCTGCTTATTGGCAGAATGATCTGCTATAGCATTTTCCCCAAACTTTCATACTATCAGTTTTTGTATGGGCTTCAACCTTTGTAATAGTCACCTCCCTAGGAAGCATCTAAAAGTTTCTTTTTTTAAACTTTTAAGTTCAGGGGTACATGCGTAGGTTATATAGGTAAACCTGGGTCATAGGGGTTTGTTGTACAGATTATTTCATCACCCAGGTATTAAGCTTAGTTCCCTTTAGTTATTTTTATAGATCCTCTCACTCCTCCCACCCTACAACCCCTGGTAGGCATAAAAACACATACAGGTAAATGTTCACTGCAGCACTATTCACAATAGCAAAGCTATGAAATCAACCTAAATGCCCATTGGTGGTAGACTGCATAAAAGTTTCCTGTCTGTTTTTGATGGAAGTTCCAGCAGAGATGAGAAACCTCCTTGGTTGCAAAGCATCCCAAAGTCATGTACTACTGCAAAAGCATACCTGCTCTATGTATGCATGTTTACTTTCTAGGGTTTTGTTAGATTGTAAGCTCTAGTAAGCATAATACGTTCTGCCACCTGAGCTGATGGTACCTCAGTTGGAGGAGTATAGAGTGTCCTCCCTTGGTATCTGCTGGGGATTAGTTTCAGGACTCCTCCTACAGATACCAAAATTCAAGTACACTCAACTTTCCTATATAAAATGTAATATTTGCATATAATCTACACATATCCTCCTGTATGCAGTCATGGGCCACATAACAATGTTTTGGTCAATGACGGACTTCATTTGCAACAGTGATACCCTAAGATTATAATACCATACTTTTACTGTACCTCTCCTATGTACTTACCATTGTGTTACAATTACTTATACTATTCAGTATAGTAACATGTTGTATATCTTTACAGCCTAGGAGCGCTAGGGTGTACCACATAGCCTAGTTGTGTAGTAAGCTATACCACCTAGGTTTGTGTAAGTACAGTCTGTAATGTTCGCACAATGATAAAATTATCTAACAATGCATTTCTCATAAAGTATCCCCCTCATTAATTAATGCATGACTATACTTTAAATCATCTCATGATTGCTTAAAATACCTAATATATGTAAATGCTATGCAAATGGTTGTTTACTGTATTTTTTATTTGTATTATTTTTTCTAATTTTTTTAAAAAGCTATTTGTATAAATTTATGGGGTACAAGTGTAATTTGGTTACATGGATATATTGCATAGTGGCGAACTCAGGGTTTTTAGTGTATCCTTCACCAGAATAATGCATATTGTACCTATTAAGTAACTTTTCATCTTCACCCCTCTCACCCCTCCACCCTTCAAAATCTTCGTTGCCTATCATTTCTTCTAAGAACTGGAACAATACAAATATGCCCACTTTCACCACTCCTATTCAATATAGTACTGGAGGTCCTAGCCACAGCAATTAGGCAAGAAGAAAGAAAAGACATTCAAACTGGAAAAAAAAGGATGCCAAATTATCCCTATTCACTGATGATATAATCTTACATCTAGAAAACCCTGAAGACTCTACCAAAAAACTAGATTTGATAAATGAATCCAGTAAAGTTTCAGGGTACAAAATCAACAAATAAAAATAAGTAAACTTTGTATACACCAATAATCATCTAGCTGAGAATCAAATCAAGAAGGTAACCCCATTTATTATAGCCACAGAAAACCTCAAAATACCTAGGAATATATTTAACCAAGGAAGTGAACGATGTCTACAAGGAAAACTACAAAACACTAATGAATAAATTGTAGATGACATTAAAAAATGGAACAACATCCTATTCTCATGATTCAGAAGAATTAATGTCATTAAAATGACCATACTACCCAAAACTATATATTCAATGCACTTCCTACCAAAATACCAGTGTCTTTTTTCATGAAATTAGAAAAAAAATCCTAAAACCTGTATGAAACCAAAGAAAAAAAAAATCCCGAATACCCAAAGCAAGCAAAAAGAACAAAGCAGGAGGTATCACATTACCTGAATTCAAATTATACTACAAAGCTATAGTAACCAAAACGGCATGGTACCAGTATAAAAACAGACATATAGATCAATGAACAGAATAGAGTAGCCAGAAATAAAGCCACATACTTACAGCCAATCAATCTTTGACAAAGTCTACAAGAACATACATTGGGAATGAACACGCTTTTCCATAAATGATGCTGGGAAAATTGGATAGCCATACGCAGAAGAATGAAACTGGGCCTCTATCTCTCACCATATACAAATATCAACTCAAGATGGGTTAAAGACTTAAATGTGAGACCTGATACTATAACAATACTTGAAGAAAACCTAGGGAAAACTCTCCTGAATATTTTCTATCTGTGGTTGGTGGAATTCTTGGTTGAGGAGCCTACAGATGTGGAGGGCCAAGTGTACTCTAAAGGAGACCTTAAATTAGTGAGGGATAACATATCCTGTTTGATAACCTCAAGTTTCTGTTTTGAGACATCCGCCAACAAATCATATTAGGTGAGAGTTTCCAATGGGAATCTCTAACAAATCTGAGTGAGGTACATAAAGTTCCTTCACTTAGGTAAGATAATTGTAAAGTTTCCCTTCTTTTGGTAGGAGCAGGAGAGTGGGAGGACTTAGGGTACTGTAGTGGTGAATTTTAGTAATGTGGGAGGGAGACAGTAACAGAGTCTCATAAGAGGTTAACCAACTGGCTGAAAAGCATTGTTTGCTCTTAGTCAGTAGTAATGTCTGTACTGTGTAAGGAACCATGAAGTCAAGTGGGGAGCTAAGAACTAATTCAGCAGAAGCATTGACAATTTTTGCAGCAGTGGCTATTGTCCTGAGACAAGGAGGCTAAGTCTGTGCAACCGGGTCATGGGTGCAGTTATAGTAAGCAGTGTGTTTCTGATGCTTCTCTTGAATTTGAGTTTAAACCTCAACCTGTCCAGATTACTCATGCACAAATAGATAAAAGAGCTTTTTGTAGTTAAGGGTACTTAGAGAAGGTGAGGCTCTTAAAGAGCCTTCTTTGGATTACAGAAGCCCTGTTCATGTTTTTCCTCTTAGAGGAGAGTATCTTTTATTGAAGCCCTAGTCAATTCATAAAGAGATGTTGCAATCCCAGAAAAGTTTGGCACTCATTATCTTCAGTATCAATTAAACTTAGAATTTCTCTAAGTTGTCATTTATTAGAGGGCCAGGACAAGTTGAATTGTCTTTATAATGAGAGTATGTTTTCCCCTTTATACATAGGTCATACCCTAAATAATTGACTCTATTTTGACATAATTGTAATTTATTTTTTGAAATGTTATGTCCTTTTCTGCTAAGACTGAGAGTAAGTGGAATTCCTCTTACAGGCTTTGTTGTCCTGTGAACAAAGTAAGAGATTATCTACATACTGTATCAAAACTGAATCAGAAGGGAAACCTATGTCTTTTAAGTCTTATTTGAGAATCTAGGAAAATAGGAGGGTCTTTAGTGAACCCCTAAGGCATGACTGTCAGAGTATATTGTTGCACTCCCCAGGTGAAGGTATAAAGGCATTGACTTCACTACAGACACTCTGAAAAGGGCAGAGCAGAGATCTGTCCCAGTGCAGCAAGTGGCTGGCATTTGGAATTGATGAGAGGATGGTAGTTAGGTTACATTCTATGGGGAAATTAAGGATAATAATTTTGTGGATGGCCCTGAGGTCTTGAACAAATCAATATTCTCACTTCTTTGGTTTCTTTACTGGCAGAACGGGAGTGTTACAAAGGCTAGTGTAGAGTATGGGAAGGTCTTTGATATAAGGCTTTTATCTATAGGTTTAAGTCCTTCCTTTGCTTTTGGATATTGGGGGAGTTTGGATAACTGTCTGGTAGAATCTGTCTGAAGTTTAATAGATTTCCCTCTAATTATTTTTCCTATATCAGCAGAAATTTTAGCCCATGCAATGTCAGGTAAAATGTTGTGGTAAGCAGAATAATAGCCCCTCAAAGATGTTCACCTCCTACTGACCAGAAACTATGTCATCCTATATGTCAAGGGGGTTCAGTTTGTAGATGGAATTAAGATTGCTAATTAGTTGACTTTTACATTATCCAGGTGGGCCCAATATAATCACAGTGGTCCTTATAAGTAGAAGAAGAAGGCTTGTGTTAGAGAGATTTCAAGATGCCCCACTGCTTCTTTTGAAAGTGGAGGAAGAGGCCATGAGCCATGGAATTTAGGTGGCTTTTAAAAGATAAAATACGCAAGGGAACAGATTCTCCCTGTGAGATTCTAGGACTAATGCAACTCTGGTGACTCTTGATTTTAGCCCAGTTAGACCCATTTTGCACTTATGACCTACAGAACTGTAAAATAATAAATATGTGTTGTTTTAAGCCACTATGTTTGTGGTAATTTGTTACAGCTTCAATAGGAAACTAATCCATATATCAGGAGCTTTATCTGTGGTAGGCATCAAATGTAATGGAGGAGGCAAAGACATACCAGAGCAGACACAATTTGATAATGAATAGAGGAGGACTCTGGAACCTCAAGAAATAGTTCTTCTGGTTTGCATTTCATACTACAGTTTAATTTGCAAAGTAAGTCACTTCCTATTAAAATTTCAGGGATTTTATCACAGAGAAGGAAGGAATGTTTTTTACTCAAGAGCCCAAGGATTACAGTTAAAGATTGAGATATAGGAACAATCTGTGCATTATTTGAAAAACCTACCACCTATGTTGTATGTTTGCTCTAAGGAAGAGGCTGAACAAAGGTAACAGGGTGTAATGAAGACAGAGTAGCTCTTGTACCTGCCAGCAGGTTGACCATCTATATTACAGTTAATTCATCTTGAGTGTTTACAGTAAGGTAGGATATTGGGTGCTTTTTCTTTCTTCAGATTACCCTCACAGATCTGAATTGAGAGATTTTTCTTTGACTTGGTGTTTATTTTGCATGATGGGACAATCCTTTTTTCCAGTGTCTCTTCTGTTTTTAATACTTGCAAGTATCCTTTTCGGTAGGTGATGGGTCAGAAAGTGAGCTACCTAGCTGTTTGATCTGCAGGTCTCTTAAGTTTATTTTGGGTCTTGTCTTGTTTGGGTTCTGAAGCCCTTTAAAAATGTTCTGTATGATATTGTAACTCAGGTAAAAGAGTCTACTTCTTATGCTAATTTCTGTTTCTAAATTGAGTCTCCAATTTCACATGTAATCCATTGACAAATATCCTATAGTGTCATGTTTTCTCTGTTTGCATGATTGAATTATAGCCCAATCTATTTTTACTGTAGCTGTTTCAGGACTAGGATATTTTTTTCTACCCTGAGGTTTATTGTGGAAAGAGGGATCATCTAGGTCTCCTTTTTGAGTCATTCCGGTCCATTTTTGTCATTTAGGATTTAGTGTCTGAGGTTCCAACCAACATACATTTAAGTTGTCATAGGTCAAGTATCTATGGGTTGTAGGCACTCAAAATAGTCTAAATTATTCCATGAGTACGTGCTAGTCTTGTGTGGAGTTAGGAAAATCCTTAATTATAGCTTTTAATTCAGCTCAGATCTGAGGCCTAAATTCTAGAATTGCCTACATGCCTGGGACCACTTGGGACTAGGACGGATGGGTCTTTAGAGGCAACTGGGATTTTAGGGTTTTAGGAGAATCATTTGGAAAATGTAGGGAGTCCAGACAAGGAGAAGTGAAGGGAGGAGATGATGGAAGAGTGGCAGGAGAGATAATATAATGAAGGGGGAAGAGGCAAAAGGGAAACCTGGATATAAGGAGGCAACTGAAGGACTAGGAAAACAGGGATTTACTAGGGAAATGCATCTCGCTTGATTTTTAAGTTTGTCAAACCGAGGGTTAGCCTAGACCAAAGCATCTTTTAGTGAAGAAGTTTTAGTGAAGAAATCAGAATTTCATTTGGAGACCTCTGCACAAGAGAAAAACGCTGCTCCTTAGGCCTGAGAAATCTTATTCCTTTTTTTTCCTAAGGCACCTCTCAAATGAACATTTTTTTTCAAGTCGAAGTAGCCTTTGGTCTCAATATTTTTTTTTGTGAACTTGTGCCATTTAGAGAGCTATGCTCAAGAGTTACGACTGCAATGACAGTACATAAAAGAAGCAGAAGTTTTTCTTGGAGGAGAAGACCTAGTCTTAACCTCATGAGACCTGCCAAAACTTAGTCAAAAGTAATGCTTGTGTACTTCATGTCTCAGGTCCTCAACAAGTCAGCTGCCTATAAATGCAGACCTGACAATGTATATCCCCTGGTAGTGAGAGGTGACAACATGCTAGCAGCCCTCGCTCACTCTCGGTTCCTTGTTGGCCTCGGCGTCCGCTCTGGCCGCGCTCGAGGAGCCCTTCAGCCCACCGCTGAGCTGTGGGGGCCCCTCTCTGGGGCTGGCCGAGGCCAGAGCCGGCTCCCTCTGCTCGCGGGGAGGTGTGGAGGGAGACGCGCGGGTGGGAGCTGGGGCTTACGGGTGGCCACCGGCGCGGTTCCGGGTAGGCGCGGGCTCCGCAAGCCCCGCACTCAGCGGCACAGCCGGCAGGCACCTGCTGGGCTTGACTGGGGGGCGAGCTCCCTCTGGGCTGCCAGAGTGGCTGGCTAGGTGCCGCAAAGTCCCGCGACGCATGCCAGTGACAGGTGAAGCCGGCTGGGTTTCTGGGATGGGTGGGGACTTGGAGAACTTTTCTGTTTAGCTAAAGGATTGTAAACGTACCAATCAGCACTCTGTGTCTAGCCAAAGGTTTGTAAATGCACCAATCAGCACTCTGTCAAAACGGACCAATCAGCTCTCTGTAAAATGGACCAATCAGCAGGATGTGGGTGGGGCCAGATAGGGGAATAAAAGCAGGCCAGCTGCGCAAGCAGCCACAATGCACTCGGGTCCTCTTCTGGACTTTGGAGGTTTTGTTCTTTCGCTCTTTGCAATAAATCTTCCTGCTGCTCACTCTGTGTCCGTGCCAGCTTTCTGAGCTGTAACACTCATGGCAAAGGTCTGCAGCTTCACTCCTGAAGGCCGCGAGACCACGAACCCACTGGAAGGAAGGAACAACTCCAGATGCGCCGCCTTTAAGAGCTGTAGCACTCACCGGGAAGGTCTGCAGCTTCACTCCTGAAGTCAGCGAGACCACGAACCCACCGGAAGGAATAAACTCTGGACACATCTGAACATCTGAAGGAACAAACTCCGGGTGCACCATCTTTAAGAACTTTAACACTCACCACGAGGGTCTGCGACTTCGTTCTTGAAGTCAGCAAGACCAAGAACCCACCAATTCTGGACACAGTAGGCTGAACATCAGGGACAAAACTCTTGTCTGAATCAAAGCAAAACTTCAGGACCCCAAAAACAAAATAGAATAGAAAAAAGACCTCGTCCAGTTTTGTTGGTGACTCACAGCAAAGTTTGTACAAATGGAAACTGGTCTGGAGAGAACCGAAAGTCTGTGAGACCAGCTCAAACTATAGGCTTATAGGACTCATGCCTGTGCTCTACCCTGGGATTCTCATTCTAATGATAAACGCTTTCAGACAGTCCGACACAGAAGAATGAAATAAAGCAAAGAGGGTGAGTAGGAAAGGCCTGCCAAGGATGTCAAACAAATGGGAGACAATAACAAAACTTGGGTACCAAACAGAATAAACAGCCAAGGGACTCAGTGAAAAGATAGCTGAGTTCAGACCTCATGCTGACTTTCCACATCTGCATGGATGCAAGCCACAAGCAGCAAGCTGTAAGAGGTATCCATGGGTACTGCACCTGATTGAAACCTAGGGACAGAAACAGTGGGTGGTGCAGACCATGTCTCAGTGGAACCTCTAGTAATACTGGGGGAATAACAAAGACTATTCAAAGCAGAATAAGTGGAGGTATTCACACACAGCTTGCTACAGCAAGGGAATCAGCCACCATCACTTGCCTAATTCCAAGACAGGCAGGGGGATGCGGAAGCTTTGTTCAACAAATACATACATGTTAAATAGTTCCAGTTGTGCTCTGATTGGACATTATTGCCATGGGGAAGCTGAAGGTAGGCTAACCAGAGGTGGGGCATCTTATGTGATGGGTTTGGGGGATCATTTTTGGCTTTTTTGGATTGGTCCCAAGTTGAAAGCAGAGTGGAGACAAAAAATAGGGAAGCTGACAGTCATTAAGAAGGTCAAGTCCTGACCTTTCTGAGCCAATTTCTTTAGGAGTTACGGTTTGGCTTTCTAGGCGTATTATTATAGGGATCATGAGTTAGAGTTCTATTACTATTTATGGGCTGACCATTGGGATTGGTATACTCAGCATCTCAGATGGAAGGAAAGTGTCAGAATAGGTTCATGGAGAATATTGAGTGGTAAGAGGACCACAGTCTGGGCAAGAAATTTCACCCTGCTGTTGATTTATTTATTTGGAGGGGAGGGTGCAGTTTCTGGTAGAATAGTTTCTAGCAGAGCAAGATAGAGTTGGTTAAGATTCTGAAAGTCCTACAAATTATTAACAAGCCTCAGCATAGGTAGAGTAAGTCATAACAGAAGCTAGATGTAGTTAATTCCATCTCATATCCTTTGTTATAAACATACAGAGGCATACCAACTACCACAACCAAGTTGCTGTAATCAGCCGTAAAGAAAGGGGCACTATTTGTAGTTCAGGCTGTAATGTTTTCAGCTTGTAGCACATCCTTAATGAGGATAAAATGCAGGTGTCTTCGTTGAATGGATCTTGAAGTGGAATTATAACTAGATTTTCTTTAAGCTGCATCTGTTAGATAAAGGTGGAAGCAGGGAGAAGGATGCAGAGAAGAGACAGGAGAGGAGGGAGCTCTCAAGCCAGGTTTTTCACACAGAAAGTTCTGCGGTCAATAGGTTAATGGCAAAATGTTTACTTCAACTGGCTGCCTGACCTGGCCAATTATGGCAGAAGAATAAACAAAGGAATGAGACAATGAAGCGGGATAGAGTTGGAGGGGATTTGTAGAAAATAAAATGATTGTGTGCAGTCATTTCAGTATATCTTGGTTATGTTTGGAATATTTGGAAAGATAACGAAAAGAAGTGATCCTGCTAAGTAAGAGCTTTCCTTAAAGTAGTAGAGATAAGGGAAAAAAGCTAAGCTGCCAGACAGCTGCAGGGAAAGCCAAGGGGCTGGTGAATCAGGCCAATGGAATACAACATTGATAAGAGCTGTAATTGCAAAAGTGCAGACTGAGAGGACAGTTAGGAGAGGAGATTGAAATCAGTTTTAGAAGAGAGAGTGCATCCCTTTGATAATTACCCTTCTGCATCTTTTGTGATTAGTGTACAAGCAATGGTAAGTTAACTATTCCATTTTTAAAATCTGACCATTAAAACAAAAGAAAAGGTACTCAATCAGTCAGGGACTTGCATTAAGTCATGATAATAGTATTAGTGACGATTTACTATGTGCCAGGCATACTGCCTTAAACTTAGCACTTTAAACACATGATCTCTCATTTAATCCTATGAGGCAGGTGTATCCTTAACACTATGTTATAGAGCAAGACAGTTAGGTTTAACGAGAATAAATACTCTGCCCAAGTAAGTGGTGAACAACTTAAATTCATGGCTGTTTGATACTGGGGCTGGAGTTCTTGACCATTGTAGTCAGCACCCTTGCTTAGAGATAATTAAGGACTTTGTTTACTTGGTTTGTGGAGTCATAGAACAATGCTTAAATCTCACAATAACTAGAATGTGCAGGACTGGAAGAAAGGCAAAGATCATCTCTGAGGATGTGGAAGAATGTAAGCTCTGATTATAGAATTTATGAAAACATTGATAATAAGACAGCTAACCATGAGACTCAAACTACCTATAATTTTTTTTGACTTTGATTTATATTTGAAAAGAGAACCTTGCTTCTCATTACCTTTCTATATAAGTATATACGTTTATGATTAGAGTTCCCTCCTCTCAACTAAGTGCTGGAGGCTGTGTAAGTAGTTTTGTATTTTGAAAGAATTAAACTAGACATCTTAGGGAGAGTATCCATGGAGCTACCCGCAGTCTGTGCCCACACATACCTGTGATGTTACTCAATAAACCAATATTGCCACCTGCTGGTAGCTTCTCTGAACTTCAGACACAAGGTTCCAAAGTCCTTACTAGTAAAGGATGTGTTTTAAAGGGAAATGAAATCATGACACCCAAAACATTTACAATGAAAAGCCAGAATAATTTGGGGCCTCACAGGCACCAAGAGAATCACTAATTTATTCAAAGATGATTTTCATTTACGAATAGATAAGTGACTATTTGGAAACTGATCTCTTTGACCTGCCTCTGTTAAATCAGCCTCCATCTCACTTTCAAGGTCAGTAAATCCTGCTAAGAACGACCTGTACATTTATGCCTGTTCACCAGGTTTGTGGCCCACAGTCTATTAGCTTATTTATATGATGCTGTGATTATGTGAATGAACACCATTTCCTTGAACCAAGTGGTCATTGTCTCCATGATATTCTCAGTGCATTTTGACCTTTGTGCTTCCAAAGGATGAAGATTTTTCTTTCCTAATTTAAAACTTTAATTTTGTGGTTTTATTCCAGTTTGTGGCATGGCTTCTAGTGATTCTGCCATTTATGCTGCAGCTCTTAAGGAAAATAGGCATGGTTAGGATAATGTGTTCTGATGGAGTATTCTGGAAGGCCAAACGAAGAGGCTGGCCAGAAAAATCACAGGTGTGGGGTTCACTCAAAAGTTCTTCTAACTTATTCCACTTATCAAAATGCCCTTCAGGCTCAACTATGTTATTTCAAATGACAGGAGCTCCTTTTTTTTTAAGGCTGAATATCATTCCCTTGTGTATATATGCCACGTTTTCTTTATCCATTCATCCATTGATGAACACTTAGGTTAGTAAAATAAGCCAGGCACAGAAAGACAAATACTGAACAATCTCACTTTTATGTGGAATCTTAAAAAGTTGAGTTCATAGAAGCAGGAAGTTAGAATAGTGATTACCAGAGTCTGGGAGAAGGGAGATTGGGAACATATTAGCCAAAGGATACAAAGTTAGATATGGAGAAGTAAGTTCAAAACATCTATAGTACATCACCCTGACTACAGTTAGAAGCCATATATTGTATACTAGAAAATTGCCAAGAGAATAGAGCATATTTTAAGTGTTCTAACCACAAAAAAGACATACATATGTGAGGTAACGCATGTGTGAAATAGCTTCATTTAGCCATTCCACAATGTATGAAATACCAAAACATCATTTTGTACACCATAAATATATAGTTTTTATTTGCTAATTTTAAAAAGTGCTTCTAACATAACAAGGGAAACGTAGAGCTATCACTGTTCTTCAGAATATTGCATCAGTAATATAGTGACACATTACTTATGTTAGTTAAATAAACCATTAGGCAACTCACTTGCTGGCAGTCCAATGTGAGCAATGTTGATGTTTAACTCTTTTTATTAATAGTTCCTTGTATAGTTGAGAAAGTGTACAAAGCAATAAAATCTGACTCGAAGCAAAGGAGACAGACAACCCACTATGGCCTCTCTTCCCTCTGCAACTAGTCGCTCTGAAAGGGTGAGCCCTCTCTACTTACCTTCTTACTATGAGAGGGGACCCCTTCCGAATATTTTGTTTGCTGACTCTCTCCCTCTCCCTCCCCTCTGCATTGTAAATATTTACATATTTTTATTTTTAACCAACATGCATTACAATAACTAATACATACGTATTATAGAAAATTATATAATACAGAAAAGAAAATATTTAATTAATAAGCTATTAAATACCAGCCACATAGTAATACTATTTTGGTGCCCTCTGCAAACATAAGCATATCATCATTTTCATTTTACCCAAAATAAATTATAAGAAAAATACTATTCATTAAACTTGTTGTTTCTGATATAGCAATATATCAACAACAACCTTTAAGTTAATAATTATAGATCTAGATCATAAATTTTTATGGTCACAAAGCATTCCATTATATACATGTTCATTATTGTTGGTTGCTTTAATAGACGTCACCTCTACCCCTAATTAAGATATGTTTCTACAAGTGGCATTGCGGCATGAAGCATATACACATTTTTAAAGTTTTTTTAAATGTTGGCAAATGGTTATCTAGAGAATGGGAATCAACTTATACTATCACTAGCAGTATATAGGACATTAGTAGGTGAAAAATAGGTGTTATAGCATGGCTTTGATTTGTATTTGTTTGATACAAGGGAGGTTAACACTTTTCGTATGCATATTGGTTGATTGTGTTTCCTCTTTTTTGAATATCCTATTTATAAGCTTGGCCATTTAGATTTTAAAAATTTATTTCAAATATTTCTCATTTTTCTTATTTATTTTAAGCAGCTTTTTCCATATACAATATTACATGTTTATTCATCAGATATTACAAATATTTATTCAAGATATTTATTTGCTTTTTAATAGTACTAATAATACATGGCTTTAAAAATATTTTACAAGTTTTATATTTTTATTCAGTTAAACATATTAATCATTCTTTTTAAGGCTTCTGACTAATATTATTCCTTAAAAGTCTTTCTCAAGGCAGGGAAATATTAGCGCTCTATTTTCTTTTAAACACTTTATTTTAAACGTTAATTAATCTAGAATTTATTTTGGTGTACATTTGAGAAAAGGATTGAACACTTTTTCTCCCCAAATTATTGGCTGGGATACCACATAAAGGATCCTAGAGGGCTGGATATTCTTTGAAACTTCATGCCCTCCAAGTGGCACAGTTGGGATGATGTGAGCTGCAAGCTCAGAGGCTGGTCAAAGAAACAAATTAGCGTGTAGCAAGAGAGACCAACCTCTAACTCACTAATGTTCTACATTTCTTTTTCATTGAATATAAGAAGAATCACTATTGATGAACTAGGGCATGGCTGCATTACAGTTATAAATATTTAAATGGGAAAAATGGGGGGAAAGTCTACTGAAGGCAGCACTTTCATAGTACAGGAGTGAGAAGGAAGCCTGATGGGTGTGCAGATGGACTTCTGAAGGGAGCGTAGACTGCATTAGGAAGGACACTTTGATGAATGATAGAGGCTGGTCTCCTTCCTGGGTCTGTACAAAGCAATGCATTAGGATATGATGAGATTCGTAGAGCTTGTGGTTTTTAAGGAACCACAAAGTAATTTGGCAAGGTAGAATATTTTCATCAGCATTCATCATTATTAATATCATTGTCATTTTAAAAAAAACTTGAAAGTTAGAGCTTGTGTTGGAGGATAACCATGTCATCATACTTGAAAAAAGAGGATGTATACACTTTCTGATTTTGTAAAGTAAGTTGATTATTCCTATTCTAACTATCTTCTGAAAAGGTAATTGGAACTCATCAGCTCCTTTTCCTGGCTTCAGTCTCCTTGGGATGAGAAGGAGGAGATTACTGGATTCTGAAGTTTTGTGCTGATTTGCCTCAAATCCAGGCCTGTCTCATCCAGGTTCTTAGAAGTCTCAATGAGCTAAGTAAACCCAACTTAGAGGGAGCAAACTGGACAGGTGAGGAGGCATAGCAAAGGTATTAGTAATAATTGCTGTTATTATAGCAACAACATGAACCACATTTATAGAATGCCTGCCACACTTCAGCCACTATTTCTTGTACTCTATGAGCAGTACTTCGGTTACTAATAGCTGAGTGCCCCAGCTGGGGAATCTGCTTTCTACAGTCCAGGGATGGAGGAAGAAGGAATGGAGGTACTATCTTTGGAATGAATTTTCTAGGTACAAGGAGGGATTCTTGATACTTAATCTATCCTGTGTTCCTGTGTGCCAAGCTGAGAATCAAAGAGGTTGTTTAAAATCGGTTGTCTGACCTTACTCATAAATATCATCATGTCTACATTATTGTTAGTGTATTTTAAATGATTGCTGCTTGTCTCTTACATCCATCCTACTAATCTTCATCAGACCAACATGCTCCTCACTACTGATTGGTATTTGCCATCTTCTTATTTGTCTCACGTGGGATGTTTGTTGAAAATGGAGATTCCTGAGCGTGCCTTCAGTTTTAGTACCAGGTGTTTCCACTAAATGCTGGAGTGGTACTTCTCCAATTATCAGTGTGTTCAAGAATCCTATGGGGATCTTGTCAAAATGCAGAATCTGATTCAAGAGGTTGGAGTGGGCCCTGAGAATCTGCATTTCTATCTTTTCCCAGATGATGTTGATGCTGCTGGTCCATAGATCACACTTCGGGCAGCAAGAGATGAGAGTGTCTACACTAGTTACTATGGCATTTTAGTCCCTCTATGTCTTTGGCCCATTTTCAACTCCCCAAATGACTTCTCCAAGCTCCTTATATAATGTCTCTGAGGCAGTCAAACCAGGCTCTGGAGTGTTCTCCAATAGTGCTACCTAGGTTCTGCCTTGGAACTTTTGCTCCAAGTTATTATCACTGTTGTTCTTTCTGATCCACATTCGTTGAACACAGACACTTCTTGGGAGACTTTCCCAGTCTCATCTCATAGGTAAGGCTTTTTCCAACAGCCCCAGCCCTCTAATGGTTCCTGCTCTCTGACCTCCTGTGCAAATGCCAGTCATCTGTCCTCAGTGATGTGTCAGGAGCAGCAAGTCCCAGAACTTCACTCTTGGACGTATGAGAAGTTTAGTTTAGTAAAACGTCTTGTTGAAGGAAACTGTCCCATTTTCCCTTTTGATTTTCTACAAAGGCCCGCTACTAGGCAAGAGCCAAGGCTGACATGGAGACAGCTCAGCCCTATTTCAAAAGCTGAAACTCTCTTTACTATCCCACTGGATGCACAGGATGCTCTCACTGGCCCATCCCTGTCATTATCTCAGATATGTGCTGATGATTCAGAATGATCCTGGGTGTGGCCTTAAGGACATGTTGAAGCACCCCTATCACTATGAGGTGGCCATGGCCATGTCTTCCTCCCTTCTCTAAATGTAAAGAAAAATATTTGTATTTTTACCTAGTTTTTCTTTGCCTTAGACTTCTGGACTATTTCATCTGGATCTGTAATTTTTGCCCATCAGGACTCTCCTTGATGTCTTTGTTCTATCTTGGTAAAATGCAAACGTTGAAGCCTTTTTTCTTAATCCTGAGTTATACACTTTGAATCTGCTTTGGGGCATTCTCTTTGCCCCTATGAAGGTAATGCACACTACACAATGGAAAAAAAAAATGCTCTAAGGTATTAATCCCAATATAATGGAAGACAAGTTGAAGACACTGGACTTGGCAACGTGTAAATATGGGAAAGAATTCTGAGACTTTCTTTAGTGCAGAATTCAGAGCATCTTGATGTCATTTGGCCCTTCTCTTAGAGGCGTTCTCTTCTTGCAGTTTTCCTGGGGTTGTAAACTTATCCCCAAATAAGACAATCTCAAATCATTTTTCAAATACTATCAGTTCAATATTTGTTGTCTCCATCTTACTTTTAATGGGAACATCAAAATATATCTTTAGATAGTATTGGGCTTGAGCCAGACAAAAGTTCATGTTGCTATGAGGGAGAAGAGAGAGAGCAGTCAATTTTGAGTTCCTTTGTTGTTTTACACAATCTTAGTCCTAGGTACAGATTTTAGAATAGTATTTCATGTTCTAAGAGTAGTTTTTATACAATGATTAGACCTTTAAATTTTTCAACACTCTCCCCCTAAAGTTTTTAAGGTCAAAAATCATGAATAAATCCATGCTTGATAGACTAAAAGGTTTTGGCTTCAGAGAATTGTCAGTAGACTTCAAATTGGAGCAGCCTTTCACTTCTGTTACTTGAGAGTTATTGATAAATTTGCACACTGCTGGCTGCAGTCCTAATGAATATATTCATGGACCATGGAGCATGGCATGGTATTTAGAGAAATCCAAAATATGATTTTTTAAAAAAAATAGAGTTGGAAATGTTATTGGTGATTTAATATTTTAAAAAATAACAAGAATATATGCTATTTTGCTTGTAATTCCAGATTAAATGTTAAAAATGTAAATAATAGATGATAAACCACAAATGATGTTCTTAGGCCATTCAGTTTAAGCCACTTTTACTAATGCTATTCACAACACAGATGAAGTATTTATAAAAATTAAGAGGTTTAGCGTGGTAACTCTTATTAAGTTGTAACCTTTATATTGACAGAAAAGCTAGGATAATTATAAGCCATGAATATCTCAAGAATTAATGAACTGCAAGTCTGATAATAACTCATAGGGTGGGGATAGGAAGCTTTCACATTTAATGACCATTTCTGTAGTCTAGAGTTCAGTTTGAACTTTTATTTTTATTTTCAGTAAATGGATTATAATTGTAAAATGTCCAATTAGACTCTCCCATTCAAAAGGAGAGAACAGCGCACTTCTGATCCTGAAATTTGAATTTAACTGGGCATCGTGTATATTTATTTATTAAATCTCGCAACCCACATTTATTTATCCTAAAGAGAGATAAGATGATGAGCTCAGTGTAGGACTGAATTTTATAATGCCTAGAATTGAGACAAGCCCCAGTGGGTCCTCCAAAATTGTTTCTGGGAATAATGATATTTATTTGCTAATAATGAATATAATATCCATGAGAGGAGGGCTCTTCTTTTTGGAGGGTGCTTTAACTAGAGGATCTTAGCCAGAGGAGTCTATGTCATGCATTCACAGAGGGCTAGTGTTCTCCTAGACCAAAAAGGGAGGAATGGGCACACTGTGAACCTCAAATGAGGTGGCATCTTGTGCTTAGTTTATTTTTAATTTAAAGGGATTTAGTGTGTAAACACTAAATCACCAGGTTCCTATGAGCCACTCCCCTATCATTATATTAGTGAGAAATAGTTTGCCAGGAGCCATGACAAATGGTCATTAGGAGTGCCATGTTAACTCAGTGAAGGTCATTTAAGTCATCCACTGGTCATTTATGTTTCCCTCTTTGGTAAACACCACATTTTAAAGAAGTGGATTAATTATCATCAAAATCTAGAGCTATATGCTAATAGATATCAAGGTAGTTTTAGAATTTCACTTTTTTTTCAGAAGCAAGATGATGGCTAAGTGTTTGATATGATATGATATGTTGATGTGATACTGGGAATATACCTTTTAAGGAAATTTCAGGAAATCTGAAATCATGGACAACAGAGATAAATTATATAAAAAAGGCTTAAATGGGCGTGTACTTTTCTCATATTAATTAATTTGTGTTCTTTCTTCATTTACAAAGGTACGTTATGAAGATATATTCTTGTTAAAATTTATTTAGTAACTCCTGAAATCAGTTATCTGATTAGAATTCAGCTTTGTTTAAATTTCATCTTTAAAATCTTAACTCATGTATATTAAGGAAAATTAGAAGCTGAAATTCTTCTTGAGAAAATGTTATTTTAAGGTTCATATATTGATGTTTTATTTTATTGTAAATTATTTTTATGTGTAGACTATGTTGATGTTTTAAATGTGGGGTGACCATAATGGGGAAACTCTGCCTTTCCAAAAATTTTGGGCTTTTTTTTTTTCCAGTCTTATTTTATTCTAACTTCACTGGCTGCAGCAACATACATCCAGTAAACTTAATCTTCTCCCTTACTGTGTAAAACTGTGGATGATTTTGTGCCTGCGTTTATCCACATGGATCCCCATTCATTGGACAATTGGATAATGTCTAAAGGCTCCTAACTTTTTCGCAAGGAGGAAATGCTGTTAATTTTCTGCTGCCAGGTGAACGCTTCAAGGCAGACTGAATGGCATTGAGAGAGGTGGTTGTTACTCATGACTCCTCTCCTAATGGGAATTCTGGTGATCCAAAAAGAGGGATTTGTGACTGTAGAAGCCAATTTTCCAATTATAAAAGAATTTAGCTGATCATGGACACCAACTTTTTGGAAACTCTCATTTTATTTAGTATTTTCTAAGTATTTCCTAAAAATGATGTTTTATTTTAAAAAGATGAGTCTTATGTTGATACTTTTCATTTATTATAAACTTACCTAAAAATCAGTCAACACCTGTAAAATTTTGGGGAAAACAAATGAGTATATGAGATAGTGGAGCTGTGATGGGTACTTCACTTTGCTTCTGAGCTAGATTGTTTCAACTCTGCGCCTAATGCCTGAGAGTTTGTGTATAGTCATATCTTTCGATATCTTTAGAGCCTAGGTTTAGTATCAGTTGTTTTCAATCTCAACTGTCCAGTTGACTCAAAAAGGAAAGCTTTTTAAAAATCTTGCTGTGCCTGAGCTTTATAACTTGGGCTGCCAAATGTAATAAATAAGAACATGGGATGTTTAGTTAGATTTAAATTTCAGATAAACAAGAATTATTTTGTTACTATAAGCATGTTAAAGAAATACCTTCTGTATTTTATTTGGCAACACTGCCCATGGCCGATAGATTCTGGCTTAATTGCTCTGGGCTGAGGTCTGACCATTGGTGTTTTTATAAATTTTCCAGGTGAGTATAATGTACAGCCGACTTGGGAACCACTGGCTAGCTTGGCAGTGTTTCACAAACTGTAGTGTGCGCAGGAATCACCAGAAATCTTTGTGAAAATGCAATTTCCAAATTCCCCTCCAGTTAATTCACTAAGATGGAGTTACAGAACGTTAACAAGCATCCTGGTTAATTCTAGTTACAGGTGTGTGAACCACCACACTTTGACAAACACCGTTTTAGGGCATATTAACAAGCACTGCTATTTCTTTTATTTTTAAATTAGTGTTGTGGTCTTGTTATTTTTTAAAACTCAGAATAATAAAATACCAGGGTACAGCATAATGCACTGGTTAAGTATGAACACTATTTTTATATATTAGAATAAATGATATTGATTAGGAAGATGTTTTTCGGAAGAAAAATCAATATGAATTGTGTCCTGTTGTTTGCTATCATTTCTTAGGTAGCAAATAAAATACATTTATCTTCTGAATTGGAAAATGGGTCTGTGATGACAGTATGTTAACTTTAAGGACCCCATTTTTCTGAGGACTCTAATCTTTGGTAACTGGAGAAAATTACCTTTGGAGACACTAAACCTGGGAATTGCCACTAACAATTTAGGACTGGTTGTAAGCTCCTGCTGAGCAAAATGGCTGTGAGAATGCATTCCACAAGGTTAATAGGCAGATTTTTTTCAAGATTGTATATCAGGATAAATAATGTGGATAATTGACACTGCTAGTGCTAAGGGCTTTTTTTTTTATTTTATTTTTTATGTGGTTTCAGTAATAGAGCAAAGACATTCTGTCTGATTTTAGCCTCTTTGTTTTTGTGATTTCTGAGTTTCAAATCGATATTTTTCTTAAAGAAAACCCAGGCAAGTAAATATTATGTGTTATTTTCAAGGGCCATTTAAATTGATGGAAATCTCTACTGCTATTAATGATCCAGAGTAATTCCTTACTGGTGTGATTATTTCCCATAATCTATTAAGGCATTATTGATTAACCACAAAGCCCATTTTATATTAGTAGACATTTCCATATGCCATCATTGACCTCACATGGTTCTTTTAGTTAGTGTAGTCTTTGGTGTATTTACTCCTTTTGTTCCAATTTCCTTCAAATATGGAAATAACTTAGGATATATTTTCTAAGTTTCTCTGCTTTAGCAAAACTGAACAATTACTATTTGCTTGTTATTACAAACATTTACTAGCTACTCAATTGGATCAACCTGTCTAAATTCTTTGTGGCATTGTGACTCTATAGGTTAAAAGGCTACTATTATTCTAAGGAGACTTGTGATTGCTTTCAAGTCCTAGTTCTGTTTGTTTTGTTAACTTTGAGTCTAGTAAATCCTCGCAGAGAAACTAGGAAATCAGGTTTATATAACTCTTTACAGTTTTCACAATGACTTCACATGCATTTTTAAAATTTGGTCCTCTCAGGAGTTGTGTGGGGTCTGCAGGGCAGGAGTAATCATGAATCCCACTTTTCAAATCAGGGGACTCCAGCTTTGAATTTTAAGTGGCCTGTGCTGATAAGTCTGGAAGTGCTGGAATTTTTCCTTAAATGTGGACCTTCTGACCGCAGTGCCCTTTCCACTCTATCATAACCTTCTCTTATTACAGCAAACCGAACTAAGCAAAACAATAAAATGCAATTGGTAGATATTGGTTCACACGGCAATGATTACTTAATTTTTTTAAAGTATTGATCAGAAAGGAGGTAGAAAAAGAGGAGACTTTATCACAAGTAGAAAAAGAAGACACATAATGAAGTAAAGATTTGTAAACAAGCTGATAGGAAAACTCATGAAAAATCTTCAAGCAGCATGATCATGTTCAACACATTCTTCCAACTCTTTTCTGTTTCTGGCAGGGAAAAGAAGGTACAGGGGCTTAGCACAAACATAAAAGAGTGTTCTGCAGTTTAAGTTGTATTGCAGGGAAGAATCTGATGTACAATCTTTACAGTGGACTTCAGTAGAGAAGGAGAAAATGAAAGAATGTTGAAGGAACATGTATCTTTTGTAGCCGAGGGGCAGTGCAGAAGGAGCCAAAGAAGAAATGGGATCCTGCTGTGGCCAGTCACCATACTGATGGTTTGCAAGTGTTCAAAACTGTTAGAAAGTGCAGCTACTTCTGTTTCCCATAGTCACAGAAACAGCTTCGACAAAGTGAATACACTATTCATGCCTGGGATGGAAAAAAAGCACCCCGTAACCTACACAGAGGCCTTTTTCTCTTTCATTGGAAAAACAATGGCTTTATTTTCTGGAACTGTAGATGTGTTGCAGATTGAAACTGCTTGAATTGCAGGGCTGTGGTAGTGAAGTCAGGGGAGACAACCAAGTTCAGATTAATTCATGATTAAAGCTGAGAGTAATTTAGAGTAACAGTACCTAATTGCTTACAGTTTAAGCCAGTGGGCCCTCAAACTTTAGGAGAAATCAGAATCACTTTGTTAAGAGTATAGACTGTTGGGCCCTAGCCAAGAGGTTCTACTTAAGCAGGGCTGGGGAGAGACTGGAGAATTTACTTTTCTAATAAGTTTCCTGACAAGGTGATGCTGCTGTTGCTAGTACAGAGACCACACATTGCTAACTTTTGGTTTAAATACTGCTTTGATTACTTTAGGTTTCCAGGAGCAATAGCTATTGGTTAAAAGAGAGCACAAGCATTCACCGTGATGTTCTTTTAAATATCCATCAAGAATACAAAGAGTGACCAGATATGGAGAGGCCACCCAGGACTGGAGCAAGCTCAGATCCTCTTGCTGACCTCTTCTAGCATTTTTTGCTGAGGGGCATCCTGGGACCATGGGCCTTGCTCTCCAGGTACTGGGATAACAGCAGCATTTTGCATGTACCACAAGCATTTAAAATCACCACTCTGAAACCATATCACTTATAATCTGTGACCTTCCATTGAAAGGATGTTTCCAAATACCAGGCACTCCTGATTTCAGAAGCAAACTCAGCATCAGTAAGCCCACGTTCTCACTGAGGAACACAGAGTGCTCAGGTGTGCCTGTTTGGTGTATCTGTCTCCATTTCTCCATCTTTCCGAGAAACCTGTTTCACTGCAAGTACATGTCCAGTTTCAGTATAGAGATTAATAGCCTGATTAAAATTGATGTTTATCTGTTTTAGGGTTGCATTTTTAAAAAATGGAATCCAGTTAACCACCTCTATGGTTCTTTTACCCACAAGCTGTGACCAAGAGCTATTTCTTCACCTGATGGCAACAAAATAATGACTATGAGCAAATTACTTTGAAAGATCATTTAAGGCCTATGCTTTTGAACACAGTCCTGTTGCACTTGCAATAGACATTACAAGTCAGTTTCCCCTTCAGATTTCCTAAGCAAGGGAAAGAGAGAATGCCTCCTTCTCTACTCTGTGGTTGAATGTGTGCAGAACCCAGAGTGTGAGTCACTACCTCAAGTTGGCAGCCTACCTGGTTACAGCAGGACTTTACAGAAAATCCAGTCTGGGAAAGCTGCCTCATATAAGACAATGTAGACAATGCTTTGCATTTAAAATATGAAAATAGTGCAGAAGGTAGAAAGATTATAGTAACTCTGAAAGAAGGTCTGTGTTGTGAAAGCAAGTCACAAAATAAAGGCAAAGAATGCTAGTAGCAAGAGAAGATATATCAATTATCTAAGCATGACATCTCAAATTAAGTGTTTTTTAAAAAAATGTAGTAATGTAATATTCTTAAGAACTGTGTGCTATGCCTGAATAGGTCCCTGTCTCTCTCCCTGGTGTAATAACTGCATGTATGAGATGTACAAGTCATTATTGCACATTGTCTGGGTGGGAGTGACACTCTATTCATAAGCTAGGCACTTTAGGATGTACATTTATTCCAACAGATGCTTAGACTCCATTTAGAACACTGGCACTGTCATTTATCAAATGGCCCCCTGGTGGTATCAAAGAGTTAATGAGGATCTGAAATTTCCTACCAACTGCCCCGCAGGAAAGACATCTGACTCCCATTCTTCAGTCTAGTAGAGCAGTTGGCACCTTCTGACATTCATGCCAAGTCATCCTACCCAGAGCCCTGGATTCTCACCGACCCAGTCACCAGGCATTACTGTCTGCATCCACACTTTACGGAGCATCGCTGCTGCCCTTCCTCATTCACCTTCACTTGTTTGGACTCTGGATTGATTTTATCATATGTTCCTGCTATCATAAGTGCAGCCCTGGCTCCAGGGCTGGTCTCTGACTTGGCAAAAACTTCTTCACCCTCTGACTGCCTTGGCACGACCGTAAGAAAACAAAGCGGATTCACCTCTAGGACTTACAATCATAATCCTTAATGAAAAAAAGTAAACTTTTAAATAAAATGCTAATACAATGGCTAATGCAGTGACATGAATAATTACAAATACAAAACAAAATTCCTGACATTTAATTTAAAATGTTGGTGTGGATGGGTGTATTATCTATTGCATCTTTATGAAGCTACATGAAGGTAAACTTCTTGGGCAGTAGAGTTATCTCTATATTTATCAAATGACAGAAAATTGCAATACAAACTTATGCTAGTATTATGCATTTTTTAAAAAGCAGAATATCTTTAACAATGTCATTAAGAATGTGTTCTTGGCCACTTGTGGTGGCTCATGCCTGTAATTCCAGCACTTCGGGAGGCTGAGGCGGGTGGACCACTTGAGCCCAGAACTTTGAGACCAGCCTGGGCAACATGGTGAAACCCTGTTTCTACTAAAAATACAAAAATTAGCTGAGCATTGTGGTGCACGCCTGTAATCCCAGCTCCTCAGGAGGCTGAGGCAGGAGAATCATTTGAACCTGTGGGGCAGAGGTTGCAGTGAGCCGAGATTGTGCCATTGCACTCCAGCCTGGGCGACAAGAGCGAAACTCTGTCCAAAAAAAAAAAAGAGAGAGAGAATGTGTTCTCACATAGAGACCAGTTCTGGAATTAAGCAAATAAAATAGTTGGATTTCATAGTACAACATGCCAGTTGGAAAACAGTTTAGGGATTCAACTCTGAAAAAATTAAGAGAGTCTTTGTTGTTCTCCTTTTCCAGATATATCTATACCTGAGAATATACGACATAACTTATATAGCAAACCTTCTATAGAAAGGAACTTAATGGAAAACATAAATGGATGGAGTAGCAAAAAGCAACTTGCACTTTCTATTTTACTAGAATGAAATAATTTTTACCAAGTCACCATTATCAGATAATATCCATATATTTTTTGGAGAGCATTTTTCGTATTTCTGCAGGCTTGTTATTTGTCACTGGCAAATAAGAAGCTACTTTCTCCTGTTGCTGAGTTTTAGATGTTTATATTTTAAACCTGTGTTATTTGTCATGCTCTATGGGGTTTTAACATTTAAAAAAATAAATTAGCGGCTGTGGAACATTAACCTGTACCTATGGATGCTGGTACTGATGAAGGCAACAGTCACCTAAGAATTGTGGAGTCCCTGTCGTCTGTCGGGGCAGCAAAGATAAAAAGCTTTAAGATACCATAAATTTATAACATGGAAGCTGAGGAGGAGTTTCTTACTGTTTCTTTATGTGTTGCCTTGTTTGCTGGGCCATAATTATAAACTGATTACAGCTACAGGAAAAAAAAATGCCTTTGTTGTTCTTTCCACAGAATAGTAATTACTCTGTATTGTGCTTCATTGTGTGTTTTTTTTTGGTTAGTCTTTTGAACATTATTAGTGTATCTTGGATTTCAGTATGGCTTCTGGCAAGCAGGAAATGCAAAATAAGTGTAATATACATAAGATGTTTATAGTGATTATCTTATTGCATGTTATGTATCATACTGTAGACAAATTAAGTCTATGCTAAGAAAAACCATCTTGCTTTCCTGTCTATAGTCATTTGTGATATGTTTGATATGGTCTTTGCTATTTGCTCTATTTCTCCTTTCTCTTCCTTGATAATATAGAGGTAGCTCAGAAAAAGTCATATCAAAGTTAGAATGCCATATGTTATAAGATTTCAAATACACTCTGAGCAATATGAAAAATCTATTCTCTGTGAAAATAGCTTATCTTTCATTAAGGCTGAATTTACATCAGCTGAAGACAAAACAATGGACCTTTTTTTTTTTCTGTCTCTGAGGTTTTTTTTTTTTTAACTGACCAGATCTACCTCTAATTGCTTTCTCATAGGCACAATCTGTGAACTCAACTCCTAGAGTCTAGGTCTAATTAAACGCTCTCGTGGTTTGCTGCTAATTGTATGTTCAACTATAAAGTTATGATAGAGTCCATTTGTAGAGGAAACAGAATTCATTCTTCATGTCATTTAACACAATTGTATTTTATTTTACCATTTCAAAAGATGGGGGAAGAATCACATTCTAGGGCATAGGAGATATTTGAGTGACTCTGAAAAAAAGAAAATATAAAGAAGATGTAGTATAAGTAGGATGGGAGGTGTTAAAAAGCACATACAATTTTGAGTGAACAAGGCATAAATGTTAAAGATATCTGAAAGGGTTTTTTTTTTTTTTGAGATGGAGTCTTGCTCTGATACCCAGGCTAAAGTGCAGTGGTATACTCTCGGCTCACTGCAACCTTCACTTGCTGGGTTCAAGCAATTCTCCTGTCTCAGCCTCTCGAGTAGCTGGGTTTACAGGTGCCCACCACCAGGCCCAGCTAATTTTTGTATTTTTATTAGAGATGGGGTTTTGACATGTTGGCTAGACTGGTCTCAAAATCCTGACCTCAGGTAATCCTCCCTCCTTGGCCTCCCAAAGTGCTGGGATTACAAGCATGAGCCATCGCACCGGCCAGATTGTTTTAATGATAGAAATCTACATTTTTCAGGTAACTCATCATTTTTGTTGGATTTCATCAAAGATTCACTGAGGAAAATAAAGGAGTTGCATTTTTTAATGTGGTACTTTCAAATAGAAATAATTAGATGGAGATTTTCCCCTTTAGCCATTTGTGATATATTTAATTTTTAGGTGATATTTTTTGTCTAAGAGAATGAAACGGATCACAAACGGAAAGTTTTAGGAATTTCTCTGAATATTAGTGAAATTAACTAAAAATTACATTTCAGTAGAATTTACCCTAGTTAATGAATTTTCATATTGAGGCATGATGATCTACAAATATGTAAGATGATATTGAATATCCAGAAATAGAAATAAAAAAAAGATATCGACCACAGCAAGTCAGGGCAAGAGAAGGTTATGAAGAAGTAAGAAAGAACAGAAACATAACAGCAAATAAATAAATAAAATGGGATGCTATTTGGAAAAGTGATCAAGGAGAATAGAAAATACTTTGTAAATATAATAGGAAAAGAGGAAGTTTGAGAATGTTTTCTCATAGGTTGAGAAAGAATTGATTTAATAATATTTTTCACATGTATTTTATAATAGAAGATTTGTACTTTTGAAGAAAGACTTTTCATTAATAGAGTAATACATAGCAAGTTGTTTTAAGGGTAAATGAGTTTTCATATTTAATTTCAAATGACTAGTATCAAAAGGAAAGTAGGCCTTTGCTACTTTGATAACAAAAGTAACACTATAGGATTTAGTTGGAATTATTATTACTCCCTCCCCTCTTTTTGTTGACTCCCAGAAATCTGAGAAAGGGGACTTTGGGATAGTTGAAATAAATGGCCATCTAAATTTGTTGATTGTCACACACATGAAACTTGTTGGTGACATAAATTCCAGAAGTGATAACATGTTGACAAAATGCACTCAGAGTGGTCACACCCGGGCATTATCAGTCATTAATATTTCTGTGTGAAGCAGTTTCTTTTGATGGTATTGGGCACTTGTTGGGCAGAGATGTGGAGAAAGAAGGATGGCTATTTAGAGGAGATAATGATCTAGAACTGCAAAAGCAAGAAGCACTGGAGACTAATTTAGCCTCCCTCATTACTAGGTTAGATGTGTACTACACATGGGTGCAGAAAAGAGCCAGCATTGTGACCCAGAAAAACATTTGCAAAATGAAAACAATATGATGCTGAAAATAACTCTGTGAACTTAACTAAGA
The DNA here is from genome assembly GCF_000001405.40 of Homo sapiens. Taxonomy (NCBI): domain Eukaryota; kingdom Metazoa; phylum Chordata; class Mammalia; order Primates; family Hominidae; genus Homo; species Homo sapiens. The sequence continues at coordinate 126,786,896 of NC_000007.14, read as the reverse complement.
GTAAAACAGTCATACAGTTCAGAAACGCTTTGTCAGATTAATCAGATCTTCTAAATTAGATTGGCACATCCAGCTGATGGACAAAAAGTTCATACATGGTAACTATAATAACTTTTGAGAACTTTTGAATTTGTCTTATTAATTTATAATATTATTGGAGTATAAGAATATAGAGTAGAACAACTAGTTCTTATTAAGGAACATGATAGGTTATAGAATTGTACTAAAAATAAAGGACAAGGGGATGCCATGAGGTGGCCTGTACAGGTAGGACATAAATCTACTTATAACTTTTTGTAACATGGCAGTGGAAATGACCCCTCACTGCAGGAATGGCAGACATAGAAGGTTGGGATAGAGGACACTCACATTTTTTGAGATGTTACCATGTGCACTGGAAATAAAATGATGAATGAAAATAAACATGATCCCTGCCCTTGTGAACCATTAACAAAATTGTCTTAAAATTAGATAGGAAAGCAAGATGAATTTAGAAACAACAAATAACAGAATACCTTTAAAGGCTTTTATTTTTTCCTTGTTTATTTTGTAAACAGTAATTGGTTCATTAAAAAGTTCGTTAATTTGGTGAGTAGGTGAAACTAGAAAAGAGGTACTCAGGTAAATAGGTATTTTAAAGTCAAATGTAAAAATTTTGAATCTTAAGTGACTTGTGTCCTGTGAAAAGGGGCACAAGAAAACTAGAAATTGTAGTTTTTATTTGATTGATTCCTTACAACACTTTGAAGTAGGAGGTCATTATTCTCTCTTTCACAACAGATGGAGACAGTGAAAGCAAAAGAGGTTGTTATTTGCCATAGATAACAGAGTTATAAGAGGAGAGATTTCTCTTATAAATTTTATGGTTTTCCTAGTGCTCCAGAAAACCTCAAAAGACTGGTAAAATTAAAAGTCAAAATGTGGTGGAGTATGTTTAGTGTCCTTGGGTTTAGACACAAGGAGATCATAGTTATATATCATATAAGATTGTGTCCAGCTAAAAGTAACAGAGAGTGGAAATAACATTTGTTTAAATGAGATAAAACCTCATTTTTGTGTCTGGTAAAATCTAGAGGAGGTGGTGCAGGAAGGGTGCAGCGGCACTGCTTTACCCAGGCTGTAGTGACCTAGGCTCCTTCTAGTTTATTACTCTGCTATCTCCACGTTGTGGCTCTAATTCCTCCTGGTTCCAGGTGACAGGTAGAGCTCCAGTGATTTCATCTGCCATTTAGGTGGCAGGATGGAGAACAGGATGAAAAAGGATAAAGAAGCGAAAGACCTGGGTCTTAAAAGACCCGGGTCTTTTAAGAAAGGTTCCTAAAAATTACCATACTGTACATTTGCCTACATCCTATTGGCAGCAGCTAAATTTGGCTGCAAAGGAGGCTGGAAAAATAAAGTCTTTATTCTGACCAAGTCATGCCTTCCTAAAAATCGTGGGTTCTAATACCATGTAAGAAGTGGTGAATTGGTATGAAGTACAACTAATGGTGTCTGCCTAGGTAGCATTGGTGTGTGGTTGGGATAGAAGTCAAATTGCAGCAGCCAAGATGTGCATTGCAATAAGGAAGTAGAAGCATAAAGGCTCTTCTAAAGAGCTTGACCGAAAGAGGGTGTTTTACCAGATTACTCCAATACCCGAGTCTGTCTTGTTCCTAAAAGTATTGGAAGACTATTAGAAAACTCACATATTAGAAAATGACACATTAAGCCAGGCACAGTGGCATTCACCTATAGTCTTAGTTACTTGAGAGGCTGAGGCAAGAGGATTGCTTGAGCCCAGGAGTCCACGGCTGTGGTGTGCTATGATCATGCCTGTGAGTAGCTACTACACTCCAGCCTGGAAAAGTCACCTCATATAGAAGCTGAACGCAAGCTTGTGATAAAAAGTCAAAGGCCAAATGGTTACTATGTGCTTACAGTACTAGTGTTAGTTGAAACTGGTCTTTCCTAGGATCTGGTAACACGTTTATATCTTCATCTAAATTCATTACACTGTACGTGGGCATGTTCTTTATTGTTTAGACCTGAGCTGTAATAAAAAGAGTTAGATCACTTTGAATAGACAGGCAGAGTTGGGATTCTTGGCTTATCACTTACTAAATCTATAATAATGGGCAGGTTATTTAACCTGAGCTTCAGTTTTCCTAAAAAACGGTAATAATAATACTTGCCTCATAGAGTGATTACAAGCATTATGTAACAATCTGTCCAACTTGTCTAGCATGGTGGTAGGCTCATAATAGATCCCAATAAATGGTTAGGTCTTCCCCTTTCAGCTTCTGTGAAGAAGGCTATTTAGGAACGTGTGTACATTTGTGCCATTATGTTTAAATGTTCTCTTTATCATACCTGTTTTCTCTCCAAGTCCTTGGTGCCAGTACCATAATTTGGGGAGCAAAAATAAATCACTGAGAAAAGCAGATTTGTTAGAAATAAGTTTAAAGTGCATCTCAGGCTATGATTTTCACATTGGTTCTAAATTTATCAAATTTCTATTTATAATTTTTCTCACAAAATATGTTTTGATATTCAAAGCATGCAACGAAAGTTTAAAGATGAAAATATTTTTAATTCTTTTTTTGCATGTGCATGCATTGAAAGTTTAAAGATGAAACTGTTTTCAATTTTTTTTTGTTTTTGTACACAAGGGTAATAATGAGAGATTTAATAGGTCATGCATTATCTCTCAAGGTGAAACCAGGGTTTGTTCCTTAGTGATTCAGTTCTTACTGGGCCAAAATTCCACTTCAGTTTTGGAATGTTTTCCAGGTCCTGATGCAGCCCACTAAAGCTCACACAAACCATGTGCTATAATTAGCTTATATGTAATGTTGAAGGACATCACATTTTATATTAGATTATTTTCTTTTAAAGGAAAGATGTGTTAAATTCACTCCCTTCTTATTGTAAGGTAGGTTTGTAGTCAAAAGCCACAGTTTTTGATCTGAGGCTATAGATGAGGTCTGCCTAATGAACACTGATGTTTTATTGATTGTATAGGAAGTGTTGAAATATAGCCACAGGTTCCTGATTTATGAGGGGTTTGAAATGAGCTGTCATGTGAGCACTTACCTCATCTTGGATCTGTTGTACCAACATTGTCTAATATAGTTAGTCTCAGATGATCTATTTCCTCTATTATGGAAATTATCCTGCCAGTCCATGTGAAGAGAAACAAAAAGCAGACACCCCATACCAACTCTACCTTTTATGTATATTTATTTGAACATTTGCAGTGTTCAATTTGTTACTATTTGCAATGAACTTGATTTCTACATGTTTTCTTTATTTTGGAAATACACTGTTTGTGACCAACCACATTGATTTTATTATCACTAATAGGCCATGGCCTATATGAAGCTTAGAAAAAAGCAGGTAGGGCTAGGTGCAGTGGCTCACTAAATATATGCCTTCAGAAATAGAAGGTATAGATTTAGTTTGTTTGACAATGTTTTCCTTACTGTACTTTACTGTATCTCATAATAGTTTCCTAGAGTGGCTCTTCACAGAATATTAAAGCAAAAAGATTTATGGAGAGCTAATTGGGATTATCTTACTTATACATCCTTCTTGAGAAAGAAATTCAGGTTAGGTTGGTTTAACAACATTGATATTAACCTAAGATGTATTTGGGTACCAGATTAGCCCCAGCAGGAGCTCAGAGAAGTTAGATCCGGCCCCAGTCTTCCATAGGGATTTTAGATCATTGGGGGAGAAAATAATACCTGGAAACAAGCTGTAAATAAAAATGATGACTGGAAGATGAATCCTGCTTATTCATTAAACACAGTCTGCAGCCTCTGTGTTTACTGATTCCTGGTGAGGACTTGGAGCGAGTATACAGTTTGCATCCCTGAAGATGTCTGATAGAAGCAGAGGCTGATTGAATTAATTGGAAGGCAGCAAGGGAGGTCATCTTGTCTGGTCCCTGTCCCTATGAAGAATGGCACAGAAACTCTCCCAGACAGATTGCGACCTGCTTTAATCAGCCACTGGCACTATACCTATGCCTGTGCTGTGACCCCTAAAATTGGGAAGAAAAGTGAAAGACCTAGTCAGTCATCCAGAGGATTGACTGCATTGTACAGAGGCAAGAATTGTTTTCATTTTTCATTTGGGTGGTCCAATAATACACACAGACACCCTAAAATTTTCACTTAAAGGATATGCATCATAAACTTCAGGCACTTATGGGCCTTTATTTACAAATTTAAGTTTCTGTTATAAAATCGTTTGTGTTTAGATTTTTTTGGTTTTCAAAACCAAAAGCTGTGGTTCTTTGTTGTTGGTTTTCACTGATAGTTTCCCTTTGGAGTAAGAGAGAACCTGCCCATTACTCATACTTTCTTGTTATTCATTTATTTTCATACTTCATTATTCCTTCAATGCTTTTAATTCCTCATGGGCAAACTCATTCAGTGATTTCCTTAAGTTTTAGTTATCCTCAATAGAACTTAATTACAATGGGAGAGAAAATGAAGCTGAAAAGAGACATGATATAAAACAAGAGTCATGGAATTAAGTGATTAGGGTTCTATTCCTGGCTGTGCCTCTTCACAGGTTATCAGACCTGGAAAAAAATCACTCAGTTCCTCTGTCTCAGTTTCACCTTTGTGGAATACTAGAATTGGACTAGGTTAATGAGTTTCAAATTTTTTTTTACTTCACTCCAGATTAATAATATATTGTTTATGGCAATACAGTATACAAACCCACCTCTCAACTGAAATAAAGACTCAAGAAACAATACTTCCTGTTACTATTTGCAATGAACTTGATTTCTACATGTTTTCTTTATTTTGGAAATACGCTGTGTGTGACCAACTACATTGATTTTATTATCACTAATAGGTCATGATAGCTTAGAAAAAAGCAGATATGGCTGGGTGCAGTGGCTCATGCCTATAATTCCAACACTGAGAGGCCAAGATGGGAAGATTGCTTGAGGCCAGGAGTTTAAAACCAGCCTGGGAAATATGAGGAGACCCCATCTCTACAAAAAATTTAAAAATTAGCTGGTCGTGGTGGCTCATGCCCATGGTCCATTCTACTTGGGAGGCTGAAATAGGATGATGTCCTGAGCCCAGGAGGTCAAGGCTACAGTGAGCCTTGATCACACCACTGCACTCCAGTCTGGGTGACAGAGTGAGACCCTGTCTCAAAATAAACAAATAAATAAATAAAATTTTTTAGAAAAAGCAGATAGGATGAGATTATTTTAACATAAGCATTTCTATTAATTACAGGTTTAAGGTGTTATAACATGTGTTCCCGTGATAATACTTCATTGTTGACAAAATCTTAAAAAGATAATGGAAAGGGGAAATGTTTTACTTTTCTATGTTTATATTTAAAGCAGGTCATCACATTGACTATTCAGCTTTTTGTTTAAAAGGGAATACCTGAGAGAGTACTATTAGTAACTTGCAAATAGAATGATTGAAGTCAGTGTTGAATGATGACACATTCTTGAAAACAATTCTGATGCCATCTCTTTCTCTGTTCCTGGGTTGGAATTTATAACCTAGGGAGATTGTAAGTAATAAAAATAATGATAACGCAGTGTTGGAACCTTGAACTTGGACATATCCTACAAATAAGGCAGGTTACATTCTCAGAGTGGCAAGTGAGTATACAATTTTTAGGAGGTGCAGGCTAGTGGGATTCCCCTGACCTGTCATAACAGGAACAAACTCACTATGTTGACCATGCATTAGGTAAATGTGCAGTTATCTGGCTGGCAGGACATGCTATTTCTGTCCTAGACACTGTTGCCCATCTAATTGAGCAGCACTGGCATCTGTCCAGATACTTAAGCCGAGAACCTAGAAGTCACCCTTGGGTACCACTCTTTGCTATGGTGCCCATATCCAAATCCTGTTGTTTTTAATCCTGTTTTGTCTCTAGTGCAATCACATTTCTTCACTTTCATCACCACCTTAGCCCATGACACCGTATGCTCCTTTCTGAACTATAAAATCACCTCCCAATCTGCCTACTCCATTTACTCTTTCCTCCTTCCTATCTGTTCTCTTGACTCAGTGCTCTTTTAGAACTGGAAATCTGGTTATGTTACCTTTTGATGGCTTCCCTCTGCTTTTACAGAAAGAAGACAGATAGACTCCCGGTCATTTGCATTGTTCCATAATCTGGCCCTGCCCCCGTCAGGCCTCACCTGTGCCTCCCTCCTTCTTCCCCTGCTAAGCCTCACTGGCTGAGCCTCACTCCTTGTACTCTTCTGCTGCCCCCATCAATGGGCTTTTGCCACTGCTGTCATCCTGTGCTCCCCTCTACTTCCCTTGCCCACCTAATTCACTCCCATTTATCTTTCAGATCGTAGTCCCAGTGTCACTCTGTGACAGCAAGGAGTAGGTCAGTTTTTGTTTACCATTGTATCCTCCTCACTGCTTAGTATATCACACAAGCTCAGTGAATGATAATAATAAAGATAATAATAATATCATCTTATGTAGTGCCTATTCTTTTCAACACTCTTCTGACTGCCTAATGTATATACTAACTCATTTAATTGTCTAATATATATACTAACTCATTTAATTATGACAACAACCCTATGGGGGAGATATTATTGTTATCCCCATTTTACAGATAAGGTGCATAGGAGGTTAAAGGGCTTACTCAAAGCTCATAACTAGTAAATGGTGGTATTGAGATTTGAACCTAGGCAGATCGGAAGCAGGGTGGTTGGTCTCAATCACAGAACTAAATTACCTTTCTCATGCTTAGTAATTGAATATATGAATATATACTGAGTTTAACTTTCTGTTGTAATCTCTTTCATTTGTATAATTGAAAAAGTGTTGTATGTTATAGAAGGTTAAGTATTTTATAGCCTCACATATCAAATAGTGATGTTCATTTATTTACTACATAAGGTGCCAGATGCCTTACATTGTCTCATTTAATCCTCACAGCAGCCATGCAACATAGGTCATAAATTCCTATTTTATGAGTGAAGAATTCAGAGACTTGGAGGCAGAGCCTAAAATCTTAATCTGGTCTCAAAACCCATGCTATTTTATATTTTTCCGTGTTGTGTAGAAGAGGTAGGACTTAATCTGGGCTTGCTAGGATGTGTAGAATTTAAATGAGAGAAAAACGTTGAGTATTAAAAATAAATAGAAATTTATAAATTATACCAGTTAATGAAAATAAATCATTTTATAAAGCTACAAAACATAAAATATTGAAGAATTAACTTAAAAATAAATGTGCAAGTGACATATCTTTATTAAGGATTCCTAAAGAAGATTTGAATAAACAGACTCTATGTTAGCAAATGGAGGCTTAGTATTGTAGCTATGTTATGTCTTTCATAATTAATTTTAAAAATTGATATGACTAATAAAAGTTCTAACTTTTTGAACTGGTTTAATTAGTTATAAAGACTATTAGACTAATCAGAAATTTTTCAAAAGAGTATGATAGAGTACAGAATGAACCAATGGTATAACATAAACACATAATAATCATAAAAATGTAGCATTGGCATATTAAGAGAAAAATGGCCTAGGGCAGAAAATCCAGAGAGGTGTTCAAGAATATATAAAAATCTGATATGTTAAAAATAATGTTATATAAATTATTTGGGAAATGAATATACATGTAATAAATAACACTGGGAGAATTGGTTCACAATTTGGAAAATGAAAAACTTATGATCCTTATCTCAACCCAAATATCACATTGAATATAACAAAAGAATTAATTGCAAAAATATTAATCTGTTGAATGATTAAATATTAGATAAGAATCTTAATGAAAGATTAAGGACAAGATAAAAAACCATGCTTTTCTATAATATAGGGGAATTCTCATTATAGATGAAGTGAATAGAGCATATTAAAAAGAGTATATCACTTTAATGTTTAAAAATAAAGAGGCAAAGAAAGAAATGTAAGACGCCACACCAATATACAAATGGTCATTAAGCTGGGAGGCTAATAGATTTTTTTTTATTTTCTTCTTTCTACACTTTTATTTTCCATATTTCTAGTATTAATATGTATTACTTTTGTAATTTAAAAAATAGACTGTATTTTTAAAAGGTAAATCCTGAGCCAAGTCATAGGGTCTGAAATGACTGTAACATATTGGGGGTGGGGGTAGCATTAGAAGTCCTTTCTGCTGAAGTGGGAATTTCCAGGCCCAAATTTGAATTGTATGAGGAGGAGTGTCTTTAATATGCCTTAAAAAAGAGAAACATTAACTATGATATATCAAGTTTTATAAATTATTTTAAATCAAAATTTGTCTCTCATGTGTATGATCTAAGATAATTATGTAGAAAAATGCAAATAATTGAATTTAATCAAACAGGCTTTTCTTTGTTCAGGGACTTAGGGATATATCTATGAAATAATTTGCTTTTCTGAAAGTCTTTCTTTTAAACTGGTTGTTTTGCCTGAAGATACACTCTTAATCTTATTTGCCACTTACCTTAGGTTTTTCAGTGTTTTCGAAACTCTAGGGCATTGCATGGAAATTTTTAATACCTGAAGGGGACACCTGGCACCTGCCTGAAGCACTTTCTATTTCCTGCCAGGCACAAAGGAGAGATGTTATTGTGAACTGATCTAGAGCTCTTCAGTGGTTGATTTACAAGTGTCTCCTCATGTGTCCTCAGGCAGCTAAGAGCCTTCAGTTCTTGCTGCTACATTTAAATTACAGAAGAAGATAGCAGGTGATTTTCAGCAAAGGACCCTTGTCTTCTAATTTTCTCTGCCCTTTGTAAATAGATAAGGTAGTGGCTCAAATTACTTCATTAGTCCAATACATCTGTCTCTACAGGTCCTTGACAGAGCCAGCTGAAGAATCCACAAAGCAGAACCTTGGGTGTGAAATTCTCTTTTGAGTTTGATGTTATATTTTAAGAAAAATCATATAAAGGCATAGACTCAGACACACCACCTTCCAAGACTAAAATACTTTAGTCATTTTTATAAAGATAAATGTATAAGCTTTATTAGCGTTGGTCTTTATCACAAATGTCCAGTCCTTTTGCTTGGGAATTTCAGCCATTTTATGACAACTTTTCCATAAGTGGATGGCTGAAATTCATAAGAAGTTTTTTTTGTTTGTTTAACAGTTCAGAAAAATGCTTAAAATGTTATAGAAACTTTTTTCCTTTTTAAGTGTAGTTCAATATAAGTATTGGCATTTCTGTTAGTATTTGTTAATACTTATTGTCAGTATTTCTGTAAAAGTTTATATTTTATAATATTTTTTGACTCCTACTACACTATTGTCTTTAAAGATTAACACAAGTGCATGAACACATTACATGTAGAGAACCTGCATTTACAGTTAATTTAAGAGACAAGCTAATCATTGGTCTGGTGGGTGTAAGTAAAAGGGGAATTTGGAGAAGCAAAAGATAAACCTGAACTGGAAGAATCAAAGGAAATTTCACAGAGGAGAAGGAATAGCGGTAATGGCAGAGGTTTTGAGTCACGTAGACCTGATTTTAAATTGCCGTTTACTGCCATTACTTTGCAATGTTGGGTAAGTTATTTGACTTTTTGAATCTCAGTTCTTCTATTTGTACAAGAGGAGTAGTAATAATTTAGAATTAAAGGGATACTATTTGTGAAGTACTCTTACCATTTTAATTATTTGTATCCTCCCTCTTCCCTTTCACTTCTCTGACCTTATTTTCCATAATTGATTCATTTAGCCAGCATATCAGAAAAAGAAGAGACCTAAAATCTTCTCTTTTTTGAGGAACCAGATTTGTTCAATGGCTCTAAGTCTAAGAATAATGGAAATATGGTGACACAGTGAACCAAAACTCTGAATGCGGGAAAAAATTAATCCAGGTTGACATTTGGTATTTTTGTTAGTGCAGAATTTCCAGGTCTCAGCAGTAGCCCAGTTACAGGATACTTCATACTGTTGTGGAGAATTGGGTTTAGTGGTATTTGTTCTGTCACACTTACTTGAAGATTACTTAAATAATCTTCAAGGGATCTTAGAAAGTATAAGGAGGAAGCAGTTAGAAATAAGAGAACATGCCTTAGAATCCAGAATTTCAGAGCTGGAGGGGCCCTGACAGAGCATCTTGTTCAGTTCTCTAATTTTTACTGAGAAGTAACCAAAAGCCAGAGAGATCATGTTTTGCCCAAGGCCACAAAGTTAATTGGTTGTGGTGTTAGAACCAGAATGCAAGTCTGGCTTCTCAGGCCGTTGGTTTTACTGCAACATTGCATAAGGTGCTCTACTCCAACGTAGCTTCTTTGATTATGCCAGTGTTGCAAATAAATGATCAACCACGTTATTGGTATGTGATTACTCTAAACATTTGGGCCTTTTATTCTTTTAATAATTAAACATCTATATAAAGTCTATACTCTGTTAGAGGATATAATAAATAGCACAGAACATTAAAAATCAGTCCTTTTAATTGAGGTCTTGATGCCCTTGGGGAGATATCATTAACCAAATCTTCACCTGATTTTTCAAACTGTTCATGGTGCCAATTTTCTACTACCTAGCATCAGAACCCTGAGTTGTTCATTGCCTCCTGACATTTACTGCCATATTTAATCAGATAGTTAGATTCTGTCAATTTGGCCTCTAAAACATATTTTCTCTCATTCCTTTGTTTTCACTTCCCTGGGTTATCCTGTTTCCACTTTCTGCATAACCTGCCTCCCAACTTATCTCTACCTTCAACCTATGCTTGCTTCAATTGATTTTACACATTATTCTCAGCAATAATTTTAAATATTGATCATAGTTCTCCATTTCAAGTGAACAATATTCAGTATTTAAGCCTAGTATTTAAGATGCTCGATGATCTAATCTAGGCGAAGTTTGGGAAGAAAATCATTAAATATTAACAAATTTGAGGTGACATCTCCCCTGAGGCTTGGAAACATCTAGGCAAGGAATGAAGAGAGTGAACAGCTGAATAAAGGCCTGCATTTGGAGATCTTATGTAATATTCAAGGACCTAAGAGTGGAGCAGAGAGGTGTGTGGTGCAGCAGATGAAGCTGGAGGGATGAGGAACCCCATTACAGAGGTCCCTAAGAGTGGCAATGCCAGCTGAAGGCCCAGGATTAGTGACATGGTTCAGGAAGGTGTCCAAGGCCACTCGCCTTCTAAGCTGTCCAGCTGGGACCTGGATCCAGATCTACCTGACTGATCCTCTCTCTCCCCTAGCCAGCTGCTTCTATCAGTCAGTTTGCCTTTCTGTCTCATCTCAGGGTTCATATTTTCATCTGTCTTCAGTATGGGAGGTGCACACTTTCATGTGTGGATCCTAGTGCTCTGGAGATATTCCTGTATAATTGAACATGCTTGTATTTCTACCTTATGTTCCCCCTATTGTATCCTGGAACCCAAATCAGTTTAAATTTAGTAAAAAAAAAAAAAAAAAAAAAAAAAAAAACCTATTTGTCAGCTTGATAGCGCTCACTCTTTAGTGTGTGATGTGGTTCTTGGCATGGTTCTCATGGATTTAAAAGTCACTGCACTATGCAGTAACAATATATCTGTGTCACATTGGGAAAAGCACAATGTAAAGCATGACAGTCTTATTCCTGGTTATCAATAGGCAGAGAAGCTCCTGTGAAATTCAGAATGACTTCTAAATCTGGGCCTAGATGCATAAATGTATTTATTCATAGCAGGTTCACAAATTCCCTTCTTCCTCTACCATTCTCTCCAGAGCAACTCCAAGAAACTGACTTAATTATTTAAAATAGTTGCTTCATAATTCAGAAAAATTCAGGGAGAAACTTTAAAAAATACTTCTTAATCTACAAATTTAGATTGTGGGATTATTTATACTCCAAGCTGAGATGGTTGTAAGAAAAAGGCAACCAATTGGATGTTTGATTTCCCCAGAATTAAGCAACTGGTATGACTTCCATTTGTTTTTTACTTGAATTGACCAACTGCTTATTGGACCATCATTGCATTGATATTAGAAGTTTTATATGCCTAATTTCAGGACAATTAAATTAGTCCTCTGACATTTTAACTTAAAAAACTGAACTTTATCCTGAGAAATGGGAAATTCTTAGAAAGCAATGCTTTGCAACCACAATGCATCAAAGTCTGAAATTTCTCTTAGGCTCACCTTAGGAACTTACATTGTAACATATACAATGTTTTGCCAACTTAAGTCAATTTGCCTTTTTTACTGAAAAGGAACAAAACCCAAGAATATATACCACAAAGTGTGAAAGACCTTAACTAAAGTATGTGTGATATTTCTTAGACCAGTAAGAATTTATTATTTTCCAGGAACTTGAGATCCAGTCACAAGATTTAGATTTCATTAATGAAGATGTAAAACAATCTTCCCATAAAATTTAGGAGGCTGACTTCCTCTCTCACCATGAAAACACTTTGCTATATGTTGTTAATTTTAAGCTATACACTAAAACACATCACAACTTTACAATCGGTGATATTTAAAATGGTTAGCTGACATAAAGCCTTTGACGATATTTAGCACTTTATAGCAATACGTTAACACTAACTTTAGAAACTATAGCATAATGAAATTTTACAGCCAATTAGGTTGATGAGTCACTGTCAGCTTCCTAAACTCCTCTTTTAGATGAATGAGAGAATCAAATATAGGAAGTGAGGAGCAAATTCTAGCTGCTGTAAAATCTTAAGTGTCATCATGAGGTTGAAGTGTTAAGGAACAGAAAAATACATTGTCTAAACAGCCTGAAAAGAAATCAAATGATCCACTTTTAAGTTTAGAAATGGTAATAGTATTCAGTCTTTCAGTTTGTCACCATATGCTTATGTTGATTTATGGGGAGATTCTTACAGTGTTCATTGATTCACATGTGGCACCAGTTACTAGGCAGACTTCTGAACTCTTTAAAAGAACAAAAATGTACAAAGTTGAATATGTTTAATCAACAGTCAAAATAATTGGAGTTTATAACTAGAAAAGAAAATGAATAATTTGAATAGTACAATTTTAAATATGTTTCTTTAATAAGATTATGTGTATTTGATTGTTCATTTAGACCTATTGGATATAAAGTTGAATTTTTAGTTTTATTTTTTGGTAGGGACAGGGTCTCACTCTGCTGCCCAGGCTGGTCTTGAACTCCTGACATCAAGCAATCCTCCCACCTCAGCCTTTCGAAATGTTGGGATTACAGCTGTGAGCCACCACACCAGGCTGTTTATTTTTTAAGAAATGCTGAGGAAGAGTATATGTATTAAATTGGAGCATGTCGATTATAATTTATCAGGAAATTATTGAATGCTGAGGAGTATCTTTATAAATTGACAGGGAGTTTGCACTGGCATTAAAATACAATGATAATATATAAAATAAAATGATAATATATTAAATTGAGGTTGCACTGGCACTAAAATGATAATATATTAAATCAAGAACATTTTAGGATAGAGTAAGTTTGAAACTATAAAACATTCACACATGTCTAGCTGTTACATGAATTCCATGGGTTGTAAAAAATTTCCAAATTCCTTAATGCTCTTGTGGTCATTGCTTCATTTGAAGCCATTTGGCTTAGGCATTTTCTGCCAGTTCTGTGTCCACTCTCCACCCTTCACCACCCTGCAGTAATGGAAACATGGAAGTCCTCCCTTTTCTTTAAAGCCCACAAAATAAAAAATAATTAGATTAAAAACAAATAATATTTACAGAAGAGGTATGTGAGGGGTGTGTGTGTGTGTTTGTATGTGTCTGCAGCAGAGTTGTTTAGAGAGCAGCAATACAAACAACCTGGAACGTTAGATTTCCCTCTGCCATTATTGTACCTTGGGCTCAAGCCTTTCTCTGTGTTGCTGCATCCTCCTTTCCCTCCTCTCTGTATCTTTTTCTTCCTACTGCTTTCTATTTTCTGTTTCCACCCTCTCAGGAGGAACACATTCAATTCCTGCTTATTGGGCCATCATTGCATTGATGTTAGAAGTTTTATATGCCTAATTTCAGGACAATTAAATTAGCCCTCTGACATTTTAACTTAGAAAACTGAACTCTATCCTGAGAAATGGGAAATTCTTTCTTATTTGCAGATCTTTCGTGTCTTTCTGGCTTCTACCCTTGTCATCAGCTCCAGGCCTCCCTGTGTGTCTAAGGACATGGTGGAAGCTTTGAAATGCGTAAATATTGGGAATTGTGTTCTTTGACTCTTCATCTAGTGAGAAAAGGGGAAGAATTTGATTAGATTTTCTTCGGGGTGTGCATATCATGAAAGAATTATTTTTATTTTCATACTTCAATACCATAAAATTCTCTAAACAATAGATCTATAGTGGTATTTTTGAGGATTGCTGTATGGAAGAGCAGAAATTTCCTAAAGCTGGCCCACAGACTCAGCTGGTTGCACCAGAATCTCTTGGCGAGTTGTTGAAATGACAGATCCTTCATGTCCCAAGTAGGGAGATTCTGACCCAGCAAGTCTGGGGTGGTGCTGAGAAATCTGTACTTAAGGAGAGACCCAAGTGTGGAAACAACTGCCCTGAACCTCACTGTCTTTATTTTCCGTTATCAAGTTCAGCGATGCAAAATAAATGAAACACAGGGATATCCATCCAGACCTAGGGACTGATCCTCAAAGTTGTTATTCAGTCTTCTCTCTGAAATTTCCTCGTCACTTGCCTCTTTGTTCATAAGCAACCATCCTGGTTTTCCGGGGGCTCTTCAGGTTTTGGTCCTAGGTCCTGAGAAGCCCTTCAGTCCTGGACTAAACAAGAGGGGATAGTTACCAGACTAGAATCTATACGGAAATAACAGCGTCTATTTGGTTGCTGTAACCATCCTTCAGTATTTACTTATGAATGATCTACTTTGTGGTTAAAGCCATGGGAGAGAAATTTTAGGCAGAAGTGGAAAGGGTTGTTTTCACAGGAAACTTGATGAATGATTCTGGGAACAAGCAGTGTTGTTCTAAGACTCAGGAGACAAAAGTATAACCTAGGGATAGGGAGAGAACATAGTCCCCATGTCTTGTGGATCTTAGCTTAGATCATGCAGCTAAGGGGTAGGTTGAAGGAGACAATATAACTTTTGAGAAGTAATCTTCCCTGTCTCTTTGTGCTCGCAAACTTGCAAAACTTTCAGTAGGATATTTTAGGGAATCCCCTGCAGAGATAGCCTTGTTTTACATATATTGTTTGATATGGAAGCAGCAGACTACGTAGAGATATGGTAGGCCATTGGAAATATGGGACGATAGCAGTTAGATGGCAAGAAAGGTTTAGAAAACTAATTTTCCAAAAAGCTAACTTCCAAAATGAAGTAAACTGATTATTATAAATTGATCTAATGTTCTGGATTCTGTAGTCAACATTTTATAGTCCGATTTATATTTCTAGACTGTAGAAATTTTAGTAGTTGACAAAATTGACAATTAGCAGATTCTGAGGTTGGGGATGAAGAAACTCAGCCTTGGAGAATGAAAAGTTGAGACATGAGAAAATCGGAAAACCTATGCCAAACAGGGAGGAGCAGAATTCAGCATCATGACAGACCACAGAGACCAGAATACCAACCAAGAGCATCTAAAAGCACAGAGTGTCACAAGTGATTAAGACCAGAGGAAGAACAAAAACAATAATTCGATGAATAAAAATAAATAAACTGACCACTATTTTTGTTTAGAAAAAAACTAGTTTTTCAGAGTGTAAATATACAAATATAAACCACGTTAATTCGACTCTCTAAATATGTAGGTTATATGCATTGATGTTCAGAAAACAAATATTTGTTGAATTTAAATACAATTTATTCAAGGTTAGTAACATCCATGGAAAGTTTAAAATACTTGCTTTTGTCTAAGTGTTACCAGTTGTGTAAGGGTTGGTGAGGGATGTAGAAGTGACAGGAGATCATTTTTTGTTCCCTTAATAAACTCTTGATGTCCCTTTCATAATTTTTTCTTGTATGCCCAACATTCTTGCCATCTACCAAATTTTTCTGGGGATTGAGAGAATATTGGGCTTGCAGTCTGAGACCTACGAATGCTTCCCACACCTGCCCTATGTACCCCATGTACCCCATGTAATTATAATCTCCATGAGTCTTAGTTTCCTCGCTTTCAAAATGATAATGTTGGATCATAGTTGATCTCTCATTTATATTTCATTTAAAATATATTTCTTTTCCATATTAAATTATAAACACCAACCTAAAAGTAATCTCCAGTGCCAATGAGCAGCCCTAAATATGCCCAAACACAGGTACATTTATTCTGAATGACATTCATTTTGAGGTATCTACATCTTTTTAACAGAAATTCTAAATAGAAAATTGAGTTCAAAAAGAAAACAAATTGAATGATTATTATAAAGATAACCAGGGTCACTTAAGGGAGTATTGTCATATAAAAGTTACAAAAAGGCTCCCAAATGGAGCACATTCAAAATTAGAACTGATTTGGTAGGTGGTGAAAGACCTTACTTTGGGCCACTAATAAATGACACTCCTGGAGCTGAGACAGATGGCAAGAATCACACACTGCACATTTTACTTAAAAGATCAAGCCACTACCAAAATGTTATGTAATTACTAGAATGCACAATATAATAGGACTCAATAAGGTGGAAAAAAGATAATGAAACTATACATCTTTTATTTACTTTATATCTTTTTGTTGCTAATGAAATAGTTTTACTCTTTCCAAATAAACTTAATATCCAGTTTAAAAACCTGACTCAGTAAGTATAGAATTAATCAGAAGTGAAATCAAATAGTCGTGTCTCATTAAGTGTTCCTCAAATGATGGAAATCTTAGCTCTAATGCTGTCTTTTATTGGAATCTAACATCAACTGATGGTTTTTACTTTTTTATTTTGCAGGGCTGGAGCGAATTGCTCGGGATTCATCTTATGAACAGGAAGGAAAGGTCCAATTTGTAATTGATGCTGTATATTCCATGGCTTACGCCCTGCACAATATGCACAAAGATCTCTGCCCTGGATACATTGGCCTTTGTCCACGAATGAGTACCATTGATGGGAAAGAGCTACTTGGTTATATTCGGGCTGTAAATTTTAATGGTAAGTTACAACGTGTGTGTGTCTAAATACATTAAAAGCGACAGGGTGTGTTTTTCCTCCTATATATAGAAGATACCCAGGCAGAGTGGAAAACACAGGATTAGAAGCAGTTCTCTTCTTTGATTAGAAGTGTGAGTTTTTCCACCTGCTTTTGAATCTCAAACATATTTTTTATGCTACCATTAATCTATGCGTGAAGGAGGCAAAAGTTTAAAATAAGCCTCTGTCAATCAAAATGTTTTACTTAAATATCACTATTGAAGAGATCACTTAGAAGGCTTATTTGAAACCATTGACATTAGATTTCTTTGAAAATGTTTTGTTCATGTCATTATTAGAGAAGAGATTGTAGACATTTTGTTTTGAAACTGATTTTAAGCTTTTGAAACAGTAGGTTGACTTGAAGAAAATGGATGACTTGGAGTTGCTGTATATTTATACTCAACGAGTGTTAAGTTTCTGTGTTTTCTGTTTCCTTATATTTTTCTCAATGACTCAGTCCTTCGGAAGCAAAGGGATGCACACAATGTAGGCAGGATTTTTATACTGTAAAAGCAGAAATGTTGTTTCTGTGACTGCCACGAGAAACTGATACAGAATATACTGGATTCACAGTATTTGATTGAAAATAGCCCAACTGCCTGTCTGAAGTGATGGAATTATTGAATGCTGCTGTTCTTTCATGAGAGTTGCAATGGTTGTTGCCCATGACTTTGATCATTATTTTCAAATGAAATGATAGAATGCTCTGAGCTGTCTAATACTTTTGGTTTGGCTTTAATCCATACAATGGACATGCCTTGAGACACGCACAGCACTGCACCGTCTATCATAACACACTCCAGTGACCTCAGTTGCCAGCGTTTCTCAGAAAAGCACGAGGTCATCTTCAATTTAGAATTCAAGTGGAAACTTCTTCTTTATTTTTTTTTTTTTTGCATTTTTCCTTTAAAGGCAACCTAAGACAGAATTTGGTTTAAATTCAACACACATCGTCTGTGGCAGAATATTTGTGAAACATTACATAACATTAATCTTTTTGTTGGGAATATGAACACTAACAGGAGTTTGAAAATAATTTTTATGCAATTATGAAATTGATCAAAAGAGGAATGTTGCAATACAAGGTTGTTTACCATAACCTGAGGTTGGGGAACACTTCCTTTATCTAATATTGCTAGTTAAGAAGTGGGAAGAATAATGCAGATGAGTGAAGTTTCCATAGAACTGAAGCTCACCTCCAGAAGACAGGGAAGTCTTTTAAAGAAGCACTAAAGAAAGCATTTTAAAGGCAAATTACTAATTTGTCTTTCATCTTAACCATGATCAAAACCTAACCCTTCCTTGATGACTTCAATTATTATAATTATTATACCATCCTGTAATATAATGATACTATTAAAGACTGTTAAAGAATATCTTAATGTAATGGCTATTAAAAGGATTTGCCTCTAGACTCCAATAATCTTTGAGTTCTGTCCACTTTTTTTTTTTTTTTTTTTTTTTTACATTATCAAAGTGTTGCTGCTGCTGTTGCTGTGCTTGTTTTTAGGACAGGTGCTGACGATACTTTACTGGGGAACATAGACAAAACATTCATGGCACTTCGAGTTTCCTGGAGAACTTAGGTATTAATCAAATAAGCACACAAAAATATAATTATGTAATCTGCAATGAGTGCTGAAAAGGGAGATATTCTGGATTTAGAGTTTATAATAGTGGACATTTCCCTAATATAGGGATTTAGGAACAGATGAAATCTGAAGGGAGTAGGTGTCTGAGATAAGGGTAGGGCAATAGGCCAGGCCATGAATACCATGTGAGGTCTTATAGGCCATTATTAAGGTTTGTTCTTCATCTCGAAAGCAACAAGAACCTATTGGAGCATAATAGAACTGTGCTGTGTCTGATATAAGGCAACATATAGCTCAGATGAGGGTTATGGAAAATAAATAAATCTTAGTATATGAACTTAAAAGACAATCTCTTTGAGCTCTTTGGAGATTGATTTTGCTGGGCTTGAGTCTTGGTTGTGTTCCAGTAGCTGATAATACAGGATAAGAGACCTGAAGATAAGCAAATGATCATAGAATACATAATTCTGTTGATTTTCAGTGATTTCCAGGATATTCATCACATTTTAATTTTATTATTGACTTATGTATTCATGTTCATTCTGTTTATGATAAAAATGACACACAAAGCTGTTCAAATAAAAGTACACCATCAAAACTACTAAAGGAGGAAGAAACAAATATGGTAAGCAGAATAAAGGATGAAATCATTAACTTTTGAGCTTCTTAAGCAGTCAAAGCATAAAGGGACCGACAATGTGATTTATAATTTTCATTATATGATAGAAGCAAGCTTACCTATTTTTCAAGAGAGAACACATTTTCTTGGAAATTATTTCCAAAAGAAAGGTGTCATATGCGACTTTGACAGCCAAATGAGCAATGTTATTTTACAAAATTTTACAGCAAAAGCAGAAGTCTTCTCTGGCTGTTTTGCATTTGTACCCACAATCAAAGTTAAGAAATGATGTAACTCTTATAACACTGAAAGTATAGTATATTTCATTAAAGATGTTTCCAAGGAGGAGGAAGATAATCATCCTTGATTTAGATGTATAACTCTTTTGAGCCCTGATGATACGGGGATGTACCATACTCTGAAGAATAAATGAAGAACATCTCCCTTATACTCTAGTTTTAAGACTCTATCTTCAAAAATATCCTACTCAGAAATCTAACATTTCAATCTGTTAAAAAACAAGAACTGTTAAGGGATTGGCATAGCCCTGGCTGGTCCACTTCCTTAGTCCTGCTTACTGGTCTCGGAAGTACCTTGAAGAGTCCCAGTGGCTCTATGAAGCACACATACAATCTGCAGACTTACACACATATCATTGCTCTTCGCAGGGATTTAATAGCAGCTGGAAGTAGACTTTTGGAGCTTGTGTTAGCTGTTAGGAACCTAGAAAACAGCTATGTTATGTTGTTAATTGGAAACCAGTTGAGTTGATTATGTTGGTGATAGCCAGTGTTCTCACCTGGTGGGACAGCTGACCCACCTCCCTAACACCAAAAGTGCAAGGAGGCCATTGGCCAAAACAAGGTTTGCTCAGGACCAATTTTTAATTTTCTGAAGAACCCAGATGTGCTTGACTAGAACCAGAGCTGCTTACTATACACGACAACAAAAAACATTATATATTAGAAGGTTTTTAGCCTAGCTATTGCCAGTTGTCAAAGAATGAGCTTTATAAGGCAACTGCCAAGTTTGTACAGTGTGGCCTTCTAGATTGTCTGCCAGGATCAGTGAGCTACAAAAGGTACTCTCAAGGAATTAAAAAAATTGACCCATTAGATGGAATTACTTAGTAATGCCCATTTAAAATTGAATAGTGGCTATCCCAATGTTTAATTTTTGTATAGATAAAATTGTTGTTAAATTAGTTCTTTTTGACATAATTAGATATCAGGATACATTTCTTTGTATGCTCCTTTTTAGTTTGGGATAGTAAAACCACGTTATCGGTGTGGAGGAAGATTCTGCTTCCAGTTTATAGGAGCAGAAGGTGAAGTAGCCAGAGCACTGGAAGCTCATCAGACAGTTGGTACAAAAATAAAGAGAACTGTTTGTTTCTTAAAATTTAATCTTTCTCACATTGTAACCAGGTATGTGGTATGCTTACTTAAGCAATGGTTTAAAGATATGTAAAAGATTGTGCTTCTTCCAGTGTATCATTTAATTGACAAAGCAAAGAATATGTTAGAATTTAGAGTGATAAATGACTAGTATTTCAGGCCAGAATTATTTCATTAAAAAATAACTAACTAAAGCTGGAATATTCAGTCAAACTGCTGAACTGTAGAGTACTAATTGGCATCAAAGACATAAGCTACAATGGTGGTTTAATTGAATGTAATCACTGAAACTGATTTTTTAAAATCACTGAAAAAAAGGTACCTGAACCATCTTCTGCATCTGTATTTTAAGCACATTCTGAATCACAGTGTATCCAGAATTACTCATGTTTTCCTTACAAGTTTTCTTAACATCTTCTGTCTACTTGGGAAGCCAGAAGGAAACAAAGACTTTCCTTTTAGGGTTACTTTTATTGCTGCTATCTGAACAAAATGTTATTTCTATAATTTTTAAACCCTAAGATTTATCAACAAATATAGAGAAAAGGAGGTTAGATATTTTAGGAACTTGTCAATTCCTTACTCCAGACTGATCTATAGGCAATAAAATATTAATTCTGTACATCTTGTATAGAATCAAAGATTTTTCTGTTGCTATGAGAACCTTATTTATCATAAAGAAAGTGTTGGATAGAATTTCAGAGCTACCTCCCTACTCCCTTGCCCTATAGCTGAGCTCATATCAGGGCAGGTCAAGCACAGTGGCATATTAATCTGAATTGTTTGATTGTATGTAACCAACCAACTTGAGAAACCAACTAAAACTTGCTTAATTAAGCTGAAATTAAGAATTTGTGAATGTGCATCAGGAAACCGCATAGCGGGAATAGAAACGAGTCTAAAGAAAGAACTGGTCCTAAGAAATAAAAACCTATAAGAAAAAAAAAGCATCTCTGTCTTTCTGTCTGTCTGCTTTATCTGTTTCTCTTTATATTGGTTTTCTCTTCTTCTAGGTTCACAGGATAGCAGAGGATCTCCATTTCCAGGGTTTAGCTATTCTTTAAGACACTTGTTAAAACTAACTTTTTTTTTTAAGTCTCAATGTCAGCTTCTTGGAAGCTTGAATCTCATTAGCCAAACTTAGGTTGTATGTCAGATCTGTTCCAGATTATCAGTGTACAGGAGGAAGTAGTACAAACTTGGTTGTCACAGACCACTCCCTATAGAAAAAGGTGACATTTAGAAAGTTTCTGTAAGTGCCTTATGGGGAAAGCTTAAGCAGGGAGTTGGAAACCTGAGAGAGGGGTGATGTCTAGGTATCTGAATCTCATTGCTTCTTTAGGTGGATGAGTTTGTGTTAGCCTGAGGGAGACAGGAATCAGGAAGGATCTGTGATAATTGGAGAGAAGAGTCAACTTCAGAATTTTGTAATGCAAACCCTTGTATTGGGGTTGAATTATCTGACACCAAGAGGAAGAAAGCAGCTTCCCTAAACTCAGCAGTGAGTTGTGATCTAAATATTTCAGTGCTCAATATTCCAAGAATAATATGGAAACGTTTGTTAGATTGTAGAGACCAGTACATAGATAGAAGTTATCAGCATCTTCTTTCCTTTAGAAACCTTATTGATTTCAAAGAGTTAATGCAAAATTTCCAAATATACAATTTGAGAGTCTCTGAACACTATAGTCTGATTTTGAAGGAAATTTGTTAGCATAAAATACCTTTAAGCTATCTGAAAGGAATAATTATAGTTTAACATTAGAAAATATACTACAATCATGCTAATAGGTCAAATAAGACAATAATAAACATTTCATAAGATTGTGTAAAGTCATATGATAAAAATATTAGCCTAATTTATGTTACAAATACAAAACAAAAAAACTAGAAATCGAACAAATATTTAACATGATAAAGCACATCTTTCTCAGTCTATAACATTTTATATTTATAGTTACTCTTATCAAGAGATGGATCAAACCTATTGCCACTATTATTAATATTCTATCAGTTTTAACCAGTGTGATAAACATGAAACAAAAATGACAAAGATTATTACTATAAGGGAAAAATTACTTCATGATGATTTTCAAATTATTTGATCTCGACAATAATTATATTAGAAAGATAAAATGTAACATTAATATTAGAACATTAAGACTTTTCTACATAGTATTAAGAAGTCATTGTTAATACATGGGAACTGGAACGCTTTTTTTCTTTGGCAAAAATTATTTAAAATATTTTGGAATAAATTGAACCTGTTTGAAGACAACTTTACTGAGAGACATACAACATATTTGAAAAAACGGAGAGACATTTCTTGTTTATGGACAGAAGAGCTAAGTATGGGAAAAACATTAATTCTTTCTGAATAAATCTGTATTCAGGCATGTTATAATTCCAGTAGAATAACTAGGGAGTATTTTCTGGAATTTTAATAGTATTTTAAATTTTAATTATGAGAGTAAATGAGCAAAAATAACTAGAGTGATTTTAAGGAAAAATATTCCTACCAAACATTTAACACTTAAGCATAATGTTAAACTACAATAATCAATCCAGTATGAAACTAATACCAGAATAGACATGTGATAAACTACAATAATCAATCCAGTATGAAACTAGTACCAAAATAGACATGTGATAAATGAAACCAAATAGAAATAGTCAGAAACATAGAATGATGATAAATAAGTAAATAATTCTACAATTGTGTGTGTGTGTGTGTGTGTGTGTATATATATATATATATATATATATATATATGAATTTATCATATGATAATGGTGGCTTTTAGAACTCACTGGGAAATAACATTTTATTGATTAAGAGTTTACAGTAGATTCAACTGAGATGATTTTTCCACATAAGAAAGTATTATCCATTTGAAATTTATTTTAGAATTATGTGAAAAAGAAGCAAAAGAATAAAAGAAAATGTAGGCGAAGGTTTATTTGATTTGAATGGGAAAGTTTAAAATCAGTAAAAGAAATTATTTTAAAAAATGCCATGTTTGATTCTTTAAAAATGTAACACTTGGATATTACAAATTATCATGAACATAATTCAAAAACGGAAATTATAAGGATTCATTGGGGGGGTGTTGTGTCAAAACATGAATATCCTAAACATTAAAAGAGCCACATGAATTGATATAAACTATGCAATCTCTAAGAGGTCAATTGACAAAACTTGTAAATGTTAATAAACATTTGAAAAAAATGTTAAGTCTCACTTATAATCAAAGAAAGTCCAATTCATCAATGAGAGACTGTTTTCCCCTTATCAAATTTATGAAGACTTAAACATTTATAGTTACTAAAATGTATTATATTGATCAGCATTGTTTTTTTGGAGATCATTTGCTTGGTACATATCAAATTCTTATTTTCTTATTTCTAGAAAGGTATTCTAAGAAAATTATTAACAGTAATTATATTTACAGTAATTCATTGAAAAAAACAAATCACAATTTCACTTTGTTTTTAACTAAAACCCACCAACAATATATTGTATAGTATAAAATCACTCTAGTTATTTTTGCTCATTTACTCTCATAATTAAAATTTAAAATACTATTAAAATTCCAGAAAATACTGCCTAGTTATTTCTACTGGGATTATAACATGCCTGAATACAGATTTATTCAGAAAGAATTAACGTTTTTCCCATACTTAGCTCTTCTGTCCATAAACAAGAAATGTCTTTGTTTTTTCAAATATGCTGTATGACTCTCAGTAAAGTTGGCATAACACTATATAATGGTGTTGACTGTGTATTTGGGATCCTAGGTTTTTTTCCCCTAGTTCTGCCATTTTTCTGTGTTGCGAGCCCATCCAAGCCTCTCAACTTCATCTTTTAAATGGAAAGATTATACTAAAATGATCTAATATTTGAGTTCTCTTCCAGGTCTGAATTCTCTACATAATCTTTTAAAGTCAAAGGCGTTCTTTACAAGAAAAAAAAAATAGATGCCTATCAGTGTTCTTATTGTCTTTCTTTAGTTTATGTTCATGTTTATCTTTCATAAATCATTTATTTATTTTACATATATTTTATTGATTCTCTTCTAAGGTACCTAATTTTTACAAGAGTGCTGTGTCTTTTAAAATTGAGAATACACAGATTAAGACAATGTGGTTCTGTGAGTTGTCAAATTTCATAGCTTAACAGTGGAGGTACAGAAACCTGTTACTAACAATAATTCAATTTGATAAGTGATATGATAGAGGCATGAGCATTTACAAACACAGTATAAGGTTGAGATTAAGAAACTACATAAGGGAAGCTTAAAGATTACAACACAGAGAGCAAGTGACATCTAATTTAAGTTACAAATAGAAAGTGACATTTCTTCTGGTGGTCGAGATGTGGAAAAGGTATTCATGACAGAGAAGGCAGTTTAATAATAGCTTGAAGACAGGGAAGAGCATTCACATTCTAAGAAAGTTGAGCATCCACTGTGGAAGAATGTAACACAGTGGTTGTGGGGGCAGTCAGGTGATGAGACAGTAAGATGAGCTTGGTCCTGGTTAGAAACCTGTGCCGAGTTTGGCTTTGAATTTGACACAGCAGGGAAAAAGGAATGGAGCTTTTTGAGCAGGACAGTGAAGTGCTAGGGTAAGTGTTTTAGAAAAGAAACTATGGCAGCAATTTGAAAACTGAAGCAACTGAGATTAAAGGCAGCGATGGTATGTTTAAGAGATAGTTCCAGTAGTCACAATGAGAAAATAGTATCTAAAATAGGAAAGTAAAGGTACATGTGAAATGGAAAGAAGTCAAAGATAGAGGAAGGAAATACAGAATTATTTGAATGATGACTCTGTTCTAGGTACTGTGCTTTGACTAGAAACCAAAGAAGTATCTTAACTTCCCCAATGATCTCTCTTTATAACTGTTTGTGACAACCTCATTACTGGAGATAATTCAGTATTTTAGTATATATACTATTGATATATCAACTTGACACTACTTTCTATTTCATCTACTTTTTTTTTTTTTAATTTTTTAAGAGATAGAGTCTCGCTTTGTCACCCAGGCTGGAGTGCAGTGGTGCGATCTCCGCTCACTGCAACCTCCGCCTCCTGAGTTCAAGCAATTCTCTTTCCTCAGCGTCCCCAGTGGCTGGGACTACAGGTGCATGCCGCCAAGCCGGCTAATTTTTTTTGTATTTTAGTAGAGACGGGGTTTCACCACGTTGCCTAGGCTGGTCTCAAACTCCTGAGCTCAGGCAATCTGCCCACCTTGGCCTACCAAAGTGCTAGGATTGCAGGCGTGAATCATCGAGCCCGCCCTCATCTACTTTTATAAGTAGAAAATGAGACAGAAATTCATTATATGGAAAAATTGACATAAAACATCATCTCTTGAAGTTATGGTGCATAATTTCCTTATGATTAAATTTACTTGTCTAGTAAATGAAATAAAGTCAAATATGATTGATTATCTGTTGATCTAAAAATAATATCCTTTAATAATTGTCTCATTAGAAATACAATTGAGGAAATTAATAATTTGGAAATATGTAATTCTTGAAGTCTCTGCTTATTGCTATATAATCAATATTACTGTATATACATTCACTTTTTAAAAATTTATAAATATTTTTAGAAATGAATAGGTCAATTCACAAGTAATTTTTTTGTTTCTGATGAAGGAAACATCAAGCTAGCTGTAAAGTATTAATCTTACCCATTAAATCACCATGAAATTTAGCACTGTAATTCTACCTGCCTCTGTTTTCTAACCGAGTGAGGTGTTAAACTGTGGGGTTTTCAAAGTCTGATTTCTTTTATAGTTTTGAAGGACAAGGTTTATCAATCTCTTATTTCTCCTTTAAAATATAAGGACTTACATGTGGGCCAAGACTGAGCCAGCATTGAAGAAAAGCTTGAAGCAAATCAGTTTTTACTCTAGCTCTTCCTAGAGTCCTACTCAACTTCATCCATTGTGTTGGGCTTCTTTTACTCATTCTTTATTTTTGTAATTCCTGGTCTTCTTCATCACATTTGAAAAAAAGCAGGATGAATGATAAATCCTGGAGAGAGGTGGAGTACCATGGGCTTAATAATTGAGGGCTGACCTTGGGTCTAAACTGGGATGCAGTAATGAGCCTTGAATGAAAAATGAGGAAACAGATGTAGGAACAGAGAAGATTTGAGGTGGTGGGAAAAATTTCTGAAGGAGTTTATGTCTAATAGTTTGTATTTTTTCTAGCGATCAGAAACACAAATTTTATACTCAGTTTGAATCTAGCTTTACAACATTCAACACCTTGTAATAGTGGCCAAGCAACAAAACCTCTATACATTTTTGTTTCCTCATTTATAAAAAAAGCTGATAAGGATATATATACTAATCTATTTTGGTTTCCTATGAAGTTTAAATGTAAGGTGATGATACATAGACAATACTTAAAAATATATAAACTGTACAATATATGGAGAATATTTAGACTGCTTGGGTCATCTTACAAAAATGATGAGATGAGTGGGTTGGGACTGAGAACTTGAGAATCTTTAGAAAGATGCAGACTTAGAAAGTACTACATATAAGGATTAGTTTGGGAGGTGAAAACAAGGCAGGAGTTGGAAAGGATGCTTCTGCCACAGCACCAACCAACAGGGTATTTTCAGCAGTGCCAGGTCCTTGGATATAGGAACAGAAATGTGAATGTTTTTATGACATTCTTAAGGTAAATAGGAAAGTACTTTACTGCTGAGATGGGCATCTAATGAATCTAGAATGGACCAGGTGGGGTTCATTCTTTCATTATTTCTTCTTGTTTCTTCAAAATTATATATTACTTTTTTTATTGATGGAACGTATTTAATGGAATTGCGCCCATGTTATTAGGGATAATTATTTTCTTAGCAGTAGCAGTATTTTGCTTCAGAAAGAATCTACTCAAAAATTATAATGGAGACTTGATTATTTTTTCTCTTTAAATCTGTTAACTTTTATAATTACATTAAGGTTTAAACACAAAATTAGTTTGAAAGTGAGGGACAGGGGCTGGGCGCTGTGGCTTATGCTTGTAATCCCAGAATTTGGGAGGCCGAGGTGGGTGGATCACTTGAAGTCAGGAGTTTGAGACCAGCCTGGCCAACATGGTGAAACCCCATCTCTACTAAAAATACAAAAATTAGCCCGGCGTGGTGATGCGCACCTGTAATCCCAGCTGCTAGGGAGGCTGAGGCAGGAGAATCTCTTGAACCCAGGAGGTGGAGGTTGCAGTGAGCCAGGATCCCGCCACTGCACTTCAGCCTGGGTGACAGAGGGAGACTCTGTCTCAAAAAGAAAAAGAAAAAAGGAAAAGAAAGAAAAAGTGAGGGACATTAATGAAAAAATTCCTTTAAATTATTGTGCCTAATTACTATGCTTAAGGGATTTTGATTTTCCCAGTCTTTTGGATGTGTTTAAAATGATTATAAAATAACTTTTGACTCATATAAACACCTTGTCTCTAGCTAAGCTAAGTGAACAATTACTCAATTTTAATTTAAAAAATCTGTAAGTATGTATTTATGGTATTTAATGTGCATATGTCAAAAACATTCATTTAACATTCATTAAATGTCTATTGTGTGCCCAAACTGTGCCATTTGTATTTTTTCTCTGTTCTCTCACTTCTTTTACTTCATCTTCCTTTATATCTTAAAATTCTTTTTCTCTCCTCTTGTCCTCTTTCTCCCCAGTATTTCTCTGTTTGCCCTTGTGATCACTCAGTAACCGAGAGAGTAGTAAGAGGCTAGGATCGTGAACTTTTCAGAGACAGACATGAGCTCATATCCTAGCTCTTCTACTAATGTTGTAAGATCTTGGATAAGTTATTTATATTTTATAAGCCTTTATGGCCTCATCTTTGGATGGAAAAAATAATAATACCTAGCTCATAGCTTTATTGTGAGCATTTAATGAGATAATTCGTGCTTAAGAACTTAACACGATGCCTGGCACAGTGTAAATATGCAATAAATGGTAACTATTATTTTTTTCTGCTCCTGACAATAAACCCTCAGTATATATTTACTGAATTTCAAGCATACACACATAAAAACTCACCAAATACATGCCCATCCACACAAATTCCTTTACATGCCTTAGATTTCAAAGCATCTGATAAATCTCCTGTAATCAGTAATATTGTGCTATCTGAATTTAATTTCTTATTTCTTCAAGGTGTTATTCATCTATTCCCAAAAGGTTTAGACTTTTTAGTTTGCCCTTTCTTTTTTCTCTTGCAGTCACCTCCTGAACCCTTGATTTCTTATTAGAACCTTAGGGTAAGATATGGGAGTAAAATGACCTAAAACCTATATGAATATATCTGGCCTCAAGTAAAAGGATAGGATAGATAAGAAGGTGGAGGTTGTTGGTTGAAAAGGTGTTCAGGGAATGTGTACTAGAATATAATACACCTCCTAGCTTAAGAGTCTCTTCAGAAACTTAGTCGTTGCCTGGGAAAGAGACCCTCTTTCCTTTGCAGAGTTAAACTGTTGCCCTTTGATCACACGCAACTCAATCAGAGAAAAGTCCTTGTAGCACTGCCCAGCTGACTCAGTTGTCCATGCTCACAGAACAGAGATAAGTGGATTCTGCATGACAGAACTACTTAAAAGTCATATGCCCTATTTATTTAAAAAAGTAATTCAAATAGAAATGAACATTTTGGCAAGTACAATTTATACTCAATCCTGCTTAAGAAAGCTCTAATTTTCCCCAGGTCTTGTTCGGCTTTTCGTTGTTGTTAACTTTAGAGAAAGTATAAAATACATACAGAAGAGTGCAGTAAATCTATAGCTTAGTGAATTTTCATAAATTGAAAGCACCCCACACAGAATCCAGAACACCAAAACAAACCCCCAAATCCTCAGCTGGCACCTCAAAATCCTCCTGGGTTCTCTATTCCTCATTACACCCTCGCCAAGAAGTCGCTCTCCTAACTTTTGATAGCACAGACTAGGGGTTCTTGCTTTTAAACTTTATATAAATAAAATTGTATAATCTGTACTTTTAAATGTCCGGCTTCATTTCACAGCAATTTTTAATAAAGATAAAATATATTTCTACCATTATCTGTCTCTATTAATGTTAGATTCAATTATTTAAATTTACTTTGTTAGACATTCAATATTTAATTTTTAAAGCTGAAGAAATTATTTTATGAAATAACATTTAATATCTATTAATGAGGTTTAAATTTATAAAGGTTTACATTTTAGTACAATACCCATAATTTTTTTGAAACTGGTAAAGAAAATATTACCTTCATGAACCTTCTCGTCTTGGTTTTGTTATCGTCATTCTTTTAAATAATAAACTTCATTTTGTAGAGCAGTTTTAATCTCACAGCAAAATTGAGTGGAATGTATAGGAGTATCCATAGTTCTATGTTGAGGTTCATTCTCTGACCTAAAAGTCCTCTATCCTCCACCTATCTATATTTTCTTCCCACCTCATCTCTGGGAACCATTGATCTTTTAACTATCTCCACAGTTTTGCCTTTTCCAGATGTCTTATAGTTGGAATTATACAGTACATAGCTTTTTCAGATTTGCCTCTTTCAGTTACTGATATACGTTTGGGTTTCCTCCATGTCTTTTTATGGCCTGATAGTTCATTTCATCTTACTATTATTGAGTTTTAAGGGCTCTTTGTATATTTTGATATAGTTGTCCTTTATCAGTTGTGTCTTTTGCAAATATTTTCTCCCAGTCTGTGGCTTGTCTTCTCCTTCTCTTGAATGTATCTTTTCTAGAGCAGAAGTTTTTCATTTTAATGAAGCCCAGCTTATCAATTCTTTCTCTTATAAATAGTGCCTTTGGTACTGTAGCTAAAAAGCATCCCCATACCCAGTGTGATTTAGACTTTCTTCTATGTTATTATCGTCTAATAGTTTTAATAGTTTTCCCTTTTACATTTAGGTCTATATGATTCATTTTGAGTTTGTTTGTTTAAAGAGAATAAGGTCTGTGCCTAGATTTATTTATATTTTTTTTGCATGGGGTTGTCCAGTTGTTCCAGCACTATTTGTTGAACCCATCCTTTTTTTTCACTTAGAGATTTGAGGATGAAACTTTTGCCCATACTCAATTGTTCAAATGTCATGAAAAGTGAAGTCAAGTGTTCTTTGTAGTCAGAATTGTGTGTGTATGTATCATTGTTGTTGTTATTTTTGTGATTGTTGGGACTGAAGGAACATAAATATTGTCTAAATGATGAAATAAATAAAAACTAATAAGGTTGAATTGAAGAATTACCCATGGAAAATATTACTGCATAGGATTTATTGGCTGGCTGTTGAGCACCTGATTAATCCATATGAATATTAAATGTAATTCCTGAAATATTTCATCTTCTAGGAAACAGCATTCTTACATCTGTTTCAGTTTCAATTGACACCATCAGAAAATAATCTAATCCCGTCAGTCTCTGTCCTAGGCACTGAGGAGAAAGAAGAAAATCATACTCTCCCAGCTAATTCTCTAGGGTAGTTCCAAAGTACTAAAAACATCAGTATAAGGTTACCAACTTTTTCTTTCTCTTAGCATGTAATTGTTTCATTTTACCAGGGAGGAAAACACATTTGCTTTTCTTCACTTAGTTGTTAACGACAGCTGTCAGAGTTGTCACACATACTAGAGTCAATAAATTCTAGAGTGCTAAAGAGACATTTGAGAAAACTGCAGTGTTCTTGATTGTACATTGCTCCTTTTTCTAAAAATAAGTGCTTTCTGATTTTTCTGTCCCCGTATTTATTCTGAAATGACATCAGCCGTCTGCAAAAAAAAGCTTTTGACTGACATTTCAGACATTTTTTCCAGGTAGTATTTAAATAAGAATTACTTGGGTATATCTCTCTGATCCTTCTAGATAAACTTCAGCCAAAACCATAAAGAGAATTGACACTTCTTATACACAGAAACTATCTTGGGGTGAGGGAGAGGAAAGGCATTTTCACTGTTAAAGACTGCAATTAACTAGTAGATTTAAATGAGAAAGTTTTTCTTTTCATCTTAAACAGTCTATGTGCATAGGCACAAACTATCAGATATTGTTTAAAAAAATGAGATTTTTATTGCAATGTATGCATAATACTTTCTTTTTATACCTTTACGGGTTATGTGCTTCATCAGTTTTGCACTATGTGAACCTTTCAAATGAGCTACAAAGTTTAAATGATACTACTTTGGACAATGATATGCTAATATATGAATAAACAAACACCATTTTGTGTTGGATTTTTTTTTTCTTTTTAGCATTATTGAAACCATCTTTTGGCTTTTGAGCATGATAGCAATGTGCTTTACTGGTACTGAAGCAGAAAATAACCAGTCCATAAATTTTCTAGCAGCCTCCAGACACAAAATGTTTATGAAAATAAAATAGCATATTTTGCAAACTCCAGAATGGTTTCAGCTGAATAGCTTTAAGTCCTACCACAGGTCTAACTAGAAAGTGAATTTATAATAACAACAGCTTTTAAGTTTACAATGGAGTGTGTGCACATAAACACACAGCTACCTCTCTTTATATAGAAATAGAAGAAATAAATAAAAAGAATAAAATGATATATGTAAAGAAAGGATATGTTTTCTTGCCAATGTCAAGATAAATTTTTCTAACTTCATAGAGATATTGAGTAAAAGTAGATTTTGAATTGCTTCATATCTTTGAACAGTGACTGGGATAAACCAAATGACATTTGAGCTTGTGTTAGCTTTTGGCTGGCATTTACCGAAAATGTTTCCAGAGCCAGTTCACTACCTATATTGTTATTATTGTTTTTAATCTTAAGAATTGAACAAGAATCAAATATGCTCAGAGTACTGTGGACAACATCTATCTACTTTACTACATTTTAAGAGCATCATAATTTAGGCATGATACTGTTGCAGATTAATGTAATGAGCTATTTTAAAACTTTAGCGATTTATTGCAGGTTTTTAAATACTGCATTCTGAATGGCCCCATGGGAAAGGTGTTTAATTGACATATACAAGTTTAGGTATTCTATTTGATAACACAAGGGACTATGCCAACAGATTCAATCTAACATAAAAAATTAACCCTGTGCATTTCAAGCGTTCCTTGAAATAATAATACCTGATTAGCCTATCCATTTCTAATGTTTGGTTTGAATTAGGAAAAAAAACTGTTAAATGCCATATCATTATCCGGCGGTGGTTCCCTAAGATTTTAAGTATTTCTCTTTGTAGACAAGGGAATATGAATACTTAATCACCGTGATTGAAAAGTCTTTGCATAGTTTCCTGGCAAAGGCAATGATATCACAAATACATAAAGATTGATGCATTCCAGTGTGGATTCAGATCACTTAAAATGTAGATTCGGAGGGGTAGAATAAAATACACTATATGGCACTTAGAAAAATAATAAATTGCTTTAAACTGCCTGCCTATTTTGTATTTTTTCCCTATCCCATGTTTGAATAATAAACATTCTTTCAGTATTTGAGGTGGAAAATAATCTCATCATTTGGGATTTATATTCAAACTAATGTATGTATATATATAAAGATGATAAGCTCCTAATAAGTACCTCAGGTTTTCTTATTTCAATACTCAGTGGAAAATTTCTTTGATGATAAATTTAAAATTTAACCATATTAAATCATTTTAACTGTTAATCATCTTGAATTTTTTCAAATTACAATAAAAATTTCAGAAATCTTAATGCTTTTAGTTTTAATATGTGTGTGTATGTGTGTATATACATTTGTGTGTACATATATGTGTGTATATATGTGTGTGTATATATACGTATATACGTGTGTCTATCTATCTATATATATATATGCCTGTGTGTGCGTGCGTATATTCTGTCATTAGCCCTAATTGTCCTGTGTAGTAGAGCAACTAAGAGTGTTATTATGCCATTTGACAACAGACATATATATATAAAATTTAAATATAGACTAAGTAATTCTTCAAGGTCTCAAATCCTGGCTCTACCACTTAACTAGGTAGGTGAACTAGATATATGCTTCACTATATTTAAGACTCACAGATAGTCAAGGAATTGGGACTAGATCCAAAATTTTCAATTCTATGTTCAATGCTCCAAGTATCAAAGGAGCTAAAAGAGGACATTGCTCTGACGATAGCCAATTAAAATTGCTAAATCTGCATCCATTCCTCAAGCTAGTCATTGAACAGATTATTAATCAGTGCTTACTGTATACTAGGCATTGTTAGGAGCTGAATGAGCAAACCACAATCCCTGTCCTCAGGAGGATGCAGTTTAGTAACACATATACTTAACAAGCAACTACAAAATGTAAAGTATTTCCATGCAGAAACAGGATATTGTCAGAGGAGGAGAGTGGGACTAATTAGGTAGGGAAGTCAAGGAAAGTGTCACCAAGATAGAGATATTTGAACTGAGTCCTGATTTGTGAGAAGGATAAGAGCCTAGGAAAAGCTGGTACAAAAACTTTTAGACAGAAAAGAGATTTGTGTAACCATCATAGTAAATTCTCTTCTGTCATGGGAGTCAGAGCCCTTTGTGCTAAAAAGTATATTATTTCCTGAAGTTCTCAAAGTATGATTTGCTCTTTAGAGTTAAAATGACACATCATCTAGTAAACACTTTGTAGAAACCCATGGAAATCCTTATGGCTATTCTCACAGTGTTTAGGGTCCAGGCATGTCTTCTACATGAGTCTGTACTATACCCTACTGTAGTTAGGAAGTACTGATTTTTAAAGTGTTTCCTTGAAGTTCACACTGTGAACATGACACTACTGAACACTGAAAATATTTTGTCTTGCAAATACCTCCTAGATTTTAATTGAAGCTTCTGGAAAGTATAGCATAGCAAACTACATCGGATAACAACTAGTCAAATGTTAATTAATTTTCATAGTCATTTTTTTTTAGAGACTTGGTCTTGCTTTGTTGACCAGACTGGAGTGTGGTGGCTTTTCACAGGCATACTATAGTGCACTACTGCCTTGAACTCAAGACTTCATGTGATTCTTCTGCCTCAGCCTTCTGAGTAACTGAGAATACAGGCACATGCCACTGTGACCACCAATATAGCCATTTTAATGACTGCTGTAAGCTTTTAATGGAAAGTAAATGCTCTCCACTTGATCTCATCATTGAATTCCTCCCACTCCATGCAAGGAGGAAGAGGTTGAATTGGATGGGTTAGATTTGAGGTTTAACTCTTTGCTGCTGGGTGGAGTCATCACCTGGCTAAAAACAAGTGAGCAAGGCTCTTGTTGGAGGATTCCCTAAAGGACCAGTGATAATGAGGTAGTGAGATGCTCTCTCTAAGCAGTTCAGGCCTCCTAGCTTTTCTTCTAAGGATGTGCTTTCTCACATACAGTGGCTGACCAAAGATCACTCTTCTGGCCTGAGAAGGCCTGGGGCAGATTGGTCCAGTTCAACTCAAAATTAGGCCCTGCTTATATAACTGAGTCACTTTTCTAACTGAAATAGGGGCAAGGAGCCCTCCCTATTGTCTGTTCTAGTTTATGAATTTTCACTATGGAGTTTCAGGCCAAAGTCATAGCTAGTAATAAAGTGCAATGGTGCCTTCCTTTGCCTCTTTTGTGTGTATGTTTCCTTGGAGACCTCCACAGGAGGAGGATTGGCTAAGCCAAGGAAGGACTTGGGTATTCCTAGTTTTTCTGTCTAAATAATGCAAGTTGCTTACACAGCTCCAATTAATGCAAGTCCTCTGAAGAGCCCCAAATTAACTTTAAGACAAGGTAAATTTAACTACATGTACATACATAACATGCACAAGGCAAACACACACACAATAGAAAAGGTAGTAATAGGTATAAGAAATATCCTTCTGAGAAATAATGTTTAAATTGTTCTCTCCATTGTAATACAGAGCAGAAACTTAAGAATGCAACAATATTTTCTTTTTTTTCAAAAAAGAAGCCATACAAAAAAGAGGCACAGAAAATGACTCTTCTGTTGACTATTGATGTTAAGTAAAATTCCTAGATTTAAAATCTCATTTTGTGGCCTTATTTAGTCACATTGGTTTTCTTTCATTCTTTCTGGAATTTCCAATGGAAAATGTGAGACTGATACAAGTGCTAACATTTATTGAGTCCTTATGATGTGTCAGGTAGATTTCTAGGCATTATTTCTATATTATTTAATCCTCAAAATAATATAAAGTAGGGATAATTTTTATCCTTATTTCTGCAGATGAGGAAACTGAAGCATACATCTAGTACCCATACAAGTTAAGTGGTGAAGCCAGGATTTGTGACTTTGAAGAATCACTTCACCCTTAGTTGTAGTCCTAATTACAGGGTGATTAAGGTAATTACTATGGTAATTAAGGTATACCACCTCTAATGATAACTGCTTTTGTAGAAGCAGGGGAAAACTTATTAGTGAAAAAAATATGTGTCTAAAAGAGAAAGCAAAGAACCTTTATAATTTAGACAGAACACTGGGACTAATAGAGTCAGACTAGTTCTCTCTAAGTGTGAGATTATGTGAAGAAAAGTGAAAACAGGAACTGAGGAGCAAAAGCCAAAAAAAGAGTCGTTTTAAAGAATTGGAAGACAGTGGCTAAAACAAATATGAAGTCAAGGTAAATCTTTTGAAAGTTTATTACAGTCATATTTGAGGCTTGGATATTAACATTCATGACTTTTTTGAGGCTGAGGAGTGGACATTAAGGTTCTTTCCAGCCCATTATTTTTTTCTTCGTCGGCTTAATTGAGGTAAAATATAGACACGGTAAAACCCATCAATTTCAAGTGTACAATTTGAGGTTTCATTTTTTTAACAAATATATGCAGTGGTGTAACCACCACTGCAGTTATGATTTAGAACATGTTTATTACCTCAAGTGTTCTCTCCTGTCTCTCTGCAGTGTCATGTCCTGAATCCCATTTCTTAGAAATCACTGATTTGCTTTCTATCAGTAGATTTTTTTAATTTAAAAAAGGTAATATGAATGGAGTTATATCTTTTGCAGATTTTGTGTTCTTTCTCCCACTTAGCACGAAGTTTTTAAAATTTACCTGTGTTGTGTCTATTGGTAGTTCATTCATTGCCCACCTCCCTTTTTGCATATCACAATTTGTGTATTCATTCATTAGTTGATGGACATTTGGATTGTTTCCAGTTTTCCCCGTGAAGAATAAAGCTTTTATGAAAGTTCAAGTACAGCTCTTTGTGAGGATATATGCTTTTGTTTCTCTTGGCTAAATACTTGGGAATAGAAGTTCAAGATTCTATGGTAAGAAGACATTTAACTGTACGAGAGACTGACAAACTGTTTTCTAAAGTGACCATACCATTTTGCATCACTAACAGCAATATATGACAGTTTCAGTTGCTGTACTCCTCTCCAACACTTGATATTGTCATATTGTCAGTCATTTTAATTTTAGCTATTTTCGTGAGTGTATAGTCATTACTCACTGTGGCTCTAATTTGCCTTTCTCTGGTCACTAGTTATCTTGTGTATCTTTCTATAAGCTTATTAGCCATTCCTATATCTTCTCTGATCAAGTATCTTCAAATCTTTTGTCTATTTTTAAAAACTGAATTATTTACAGCTTCCCCTTGAACTGTAAAAATCTTCATTCATTCTGAAAATCAGACCTTTATTAATTAAATATATGATTATATATATTTTATATAAAAATATGTAATATTTGTTTATATATTTAACAAATATTTTTCTTTTCACTTTCATAATGGTATCTTTTGAGAAACATTTTCAATTCTGATGAAGGCTAATTTGTCAACTTTCTAAAAATGAATCTTACTTGTCTTTCATAGCTAAGAAATTTGTGCCTAACTCAAGCTTATGAATTTTTTTTTCATTGTTTCTTCTCGAAGTTTTATAGTTTTAGCTCTTATATTTAAGTCTGTGATCCTTAGAAAGGTGATTTTATTTCATTATTTTTATTTTTTTGAGATGGAGTCTCACTCTGTCACCTAGGCTGGAGTGCAGTGGCATGATCTTGGCCCACTGCAACCTCTCCCTCCCGGTTCAAGCGATTCTCCTGCCTCAGCCTCTGGAGTAGCTGGGATTACAGGCAGGCACCAGGATGTCTGGCTAATTTTTAAACATTTTTTGGTTAGAGACGAGGTTTCATCATGTTGGCCAGGCTGGTCTCGAACTCCTGACCTCAAGTGATCCACCCGCCTTGGCCTCCCAAAGTACTGGGATTACAGGTGTGAGGTACTGTGGTACCTAGCCAGTGAAGGGTAATTTTAAAATATGATAAGAGGTGAAGCTTGAGGTTTATCTTAAAAATATCAATATTAATTGTTCTACTACCAGTATTTGAAAAGACTGTCTCCCATTGTATTATATTTATACTTTTGTTGTAA
This sequence comes from Homo sapiens, assembly GCF_000001405.40. Lineage (NCBI taxonomy): Eukaryota > Metazoa > Chordata > Mammalia > Primates > Hominidae > Homo > Homo sapiens. Next base: position 126,748,854 of record NC_000007.14, on the reverse strand, counting down.
ATCAGTTGAATACATATGTGTAAGTCTATGTTTGGATTTGCTGTCTTGTTCTAAAGGTCTATATGTGTATGCATATTCTAATACCCCACTGACTAGATTATTATAGTTTTATATTAGGAATTGAAATCAAATAGTGTAAATTCTCTTTGTTTTTCTTTTTAAAAATTACTTTGGTATTCTATGCCTTTTGCATCTATGTATGAATTTTATAATCCGTTTGTCAATTTTTACAAAAAAAAAAAAAAAAAAAAACCCGACCTGCTCTGATTTTAGTTGGTATTGCATTGAATCTATAGATTTGGAGAGAATTGACATCTTACGGTTCAGTCTTCCCATCTATGAACATTATCTTTCCACTATTTAGATGTTTTAAAATTTATCTCCACAATGTTTTAAATTTGCAGCATGTAGGTATTCCATATATTTTGTTAAATTTCTCTTTATTTCATATTTTTGATGGTCTTGTGAGTGCAATTATTTAAAAAATAACCATTTCTAGTTTGGTAATGGAAAAACTTATTTTTGTATGTTCACTTTGTGTCCAGCAATCTTTATTAACTCATATTTTTTCAGCTGCTTTTTGGTAGACACCTTAGGCCTTTCAACTTAATCATATTATCTACAAATGAAGATAGTTTTATTACTTCCTTTCCAATATGCCTGATGTTTAATTCTTCTTCCTAATTTATGCTACTGGTTAGGTCTTCCATTACAATGTTGAATTGTACTGGAAAAACACAAACTAAGACATCCTTGTCTTTTTTCTTATCATAGACAGAAATAATTACATTTTTTACTATTAAGTATGATGTACCAATATAGGTAAATCTAGAAAACATGAGTGATATAAGCTAGTTGTAGAATAGTGTGATAATATGACACAATAAAATAATATAAAATATATGAACATTAATACATACTATATGTTTTTGTAGATAGAAACTTATATGCAAAGTGAATACAAATATACACAGGAATAATAAATACCGAGGTAGTGTTTATCTCTGGAAAGCAAGGAGGCGATGGAGAAGAATTGGACTGAAGGAAAATTTATAATTCTTCAGTTGTATTTGTATGGTTTTATTACTCAAAGCAAAACTGAAAGAAAAAGTATCCATAGTATTTATGAAAGTGGAGAAAATAGGAAGAATATTATTAGCATCCTGAGAAAGGTAAGCATAAAGAAAATACAGTGAATACTGTATATATTTTTGTTAGTAATGAGAATAAGGTTGGTTAATATGTTAGCATCAGAATATGAATAGTATTAAAACCAAATAGAATAATTTAGATTTGATAGTGTAGGCAAAAGAGAGTCATTGTAGTTTCTTGATGTGTTACTAGGCTTATATTCTAGTAAGTCACCATCAAATGGATTGTTTGGTCTTGATTATAAAATCTTTATCCAAACCAGGGAATTTGATCTTCTTAGAGGGACTAGTCAAACAGGTAACATGAATGTGTAAAACTGGCAGAATGCATGACCACAGAGCATAATAGGGCAAGTGGCTAGGAATGCATACCTTTAAATGCCTGAAAATCAAATGTAAATGTGGTTTTTTTGTCCAACAAAATATTTTTGTAGTTGAAGTTATGAAGCATGAAACAGTAATAGCAAACTACAGACAAGTAGTCTGTCTTTGAGAAAGTAACGTCTATGTATACGGCTATCCTCTTGTAACCAGGCATTCCAAGGTAAATTGAAGTGTGATTTGACATTTAATGGTACTGAATATATGTTATGTTGAAAATAGTGTAATATAGTGTTGGGAGGGCACCAATGATACATTTGACTAACGCTTTGCCCTAAACATGAAAAAAATATATTTCAATTAGGAGTTAAGATACATACATTTAAATATAATAAGCAAAACATATTAGCATGAAACCATTAACAACACAGTAACTACACAGTGGTTTACTGTGTTCTTTCTTTTATATTCAGTCATTATAAACTACATAGAAGTATGAAACTGAAAAATTGAAGTATAATTTATATTGCATATTCCTTGTATGAAAGATCATTGTTATCAAGACATTTCGCGCTTTATTGAGCAATTTTAGATATTTAAATATCTAAAAATTTAAATTTAATATTTAATTAAAACCAAATAGAATAATTTAAATTTGGTAGTGTAGGCAAAAGGGAGTCATTGTAGTTTCTTGATGTGTTACTAGGCTTATATTCTAGTAAGTCATCATCAAATGGATTGTTTGGTCTTGATTACAAATTATCAAAACCAGGGAATTTGATGTTCTTAGAGGGACTAGTCAAACAGGTAACATAAATGTGTAAAACTGGTGAATGCGTTTTAATACTATCTAAAAATTAAATTTAAAAAGTTTAAATTTTGCTTTTTGTTACTAATTATAAAAATTTTTAACTTTTAGGGTACTGTTATGATGGTGGTCTCAATAAAGCAATAATAATATCTGAATCAGAAAATTTCATTTCTATATTCTAGATAACCATGGATGAATTTCCTGGTTATTCATAAATTTAGAGTCTTCCACTATTAAAGATTTGTAATGTTAGGGAACATACAATGACTCATGTAGTTTATGAATATAATTTCAGTAATATGAGTACTATGGCATAACACAGAAATGTCTCCATTGCCATGGCCATACATTGAAGGTTTATTTGTATAATTTTTGTCTAATTCACAGGAAATGTGATATTTAAATACATATGAATCTTCTAAATTTTTATTTTGATATTTTCCCTGGTGAGCTGAAAAAATGAATGTACTTCATTTGTTTTAAATCATCACATTAAAACTCTAGTTGTAATATTTTATAATGGCCCCTTTGTGACTTTAATAAGCAGTATTCTCTTAGCTTTCTTTAGGGCAAATAAATATATCCAAATCAAAAGAGAATTTTCAGAAGATATAAATTTGTTATATATCTATTGTACATATAAATTTATTATATATCTGAGTTGCTTATGAATTATAGAGATGCCATAAATGGAATACAGGTACACGTAATTCTAAATAGCTTTTTATTGTGAGGGTGGTATTTAATATTCGGAAGGAGAGAAACACAAGGTAAGAGGAATAATCTTGTGAAAATCCAGTGTGCAAGAAGAAATTCAATAAGCATGACTTAGGGAGAATATGTTTACAAGCAGAGGTTGTACCGTGGAACAGAATAGAAAAGAATGAAGCTTCACAGCTGTGATTTATCATCACAAAAGAAAAAGACAAACTATTCACATTTTATGCCTAGTGTTAATATTAGGGGGAAAAAAACCCAAAAGCAAAGTACAAGGTAATACATTTTCATTAATTGAGCAGATGCGATTGAATAATTTTAGTTTTGGACCTATGAGAGCTCTCTGTGGAATATTCAAGTGAAGATATTTAGGAAGCAGTTGGACATATACACACAGATGCAGACACACACGTCACACACACACAGAAGAGAAACAAGTATAATATAATATAATATAATATATGACTATGTCTTAATATGAATAACAATGGAAATTGTAAGTACCCTGACAACAGAAACTGTGTCCTGGTTTCTTCCACTATATCTGGCGTATAGCAAGGACTGAAAAATGTTGAATAAATGACATGAAGATCATTGAATCTATACAGATAAGAATCAAACTCAACAGAATGAAAAATAGCATTGCCAGAGAAATGATCTTTTTTTTCTATTAAATTGTAGAGAATCCTAACATATAAATTCTAAATCGGCAGTTCTCAAACATTTTGGTCCTAGCAAACCTTTACACTTAAAAATTATTAAGGATTCCAGGAAGCTCTTGTGTGCATTATCATTGATTATTTATCTCAGATATTAAAAGTGAGAAACATTTAAAATGTGTTTGATTCATTTTAAAATAATAAGTTACATTCTAAAAATAATAATAAATCAATTACATGTTAATAAATAACATATTTTAATGAAAAATAGCCATTGCAAAAGAATAAAAAATTGTGAGAAGAGTGATATTGTTTGACAATTTTAAAAATCCCTTTAATGTCTGGATTACTAGAAGACAGCTTGCATTCTTATATCTTCCACTGCATTCAATCTGTTGCCATGTTAAGTTCTGGGTGAGGAATGTAAAGAAATCTGGTCTGACACATATCTAGTTGTAACATAAGAGTATTTTCATAACATTTTCAGATAATCTTTGGTATTACACCAAAATCTGACAAATATTGTTTGATAAAGATTAATTTCAGTTTTCTGAGACAGTTCAATAAACTTAAAATTCATTGGTCTATGTTGTGCTTTAAATAGATATTTTAATCATAGAAGCTTTGAAATATTTGCAAAATATTGGTTCACTGAGTTATGTATCTCTTTTAAATGTTGGAACATTTTATTGTATAATAACAAAACATTACGCTAGTTGATATCACCACCAGTGTAATCAGAAAACTCTGATCAGAAAACCTGGACTTGATTTGAGGAGTATGCAAGTTTTCCAAAATATTTTTATACGAAGGCCCAAATTTTATCATTGGCAGAAAATTCTGTCAGTTTTTCTTGAGCTAATAGTTTAAGTTTATTCATTTTTAAGAAAAATCTTCCAAACACCCAAGTCTTAATAACCATGGTTTATATGTCAGTCGTTTCTTCAAGAAAAAACATGCCATTAAAAAGATGGCTAATTCAGATCACAACTCAATCATATAAATGCTCCCCCACCCCTCCTGAGTCAAGCGTCATGCTTTGGTCTGGAACAGAAGTGCTTTAGTTTTACATTTCACTGTTTTTTTACTCACACATCAAGGTTTTAATCAATAAATTTTACTTCTTTATCTTGGCCATTCTTAAGTGAAACTAGCAATTTTTTATTTTTTCCATTGCAAGTGTGTAGCAGTGAGGAATATGATGACTACTAGTGTAGTTCGGCACCACTGTCTGCCTCATTGTAAAATATCAGTGATTTTACCATTGTTGCTTTTTCTTTTTCTTATTTTTTTTTACCATAAGTGCAAATGTCAACACAATGGAAGAGGCACATACAATTTTAATATTGCTATGAAAATGTTTTTCACCTGGCAGATCACTGGAAAGGGTCTGGGGGCCCCCTAGGGATCTGTGGACTACATTGAGAGCCACTATTCTAAATAATTTCTCTCTGTAAGTACTATTGTATGAAGTAAGAAGAAACAGACTGGCTTACAAAAACATGTAAACAACGTATACTGTTAGAGAAGCAACTCAAATATTACTTTGATTGAAAATTTTAATACCTCCACTTGGTATAATTTTTTAAAAGTAATACTAAATTTTTAAAAGTAATACCAAAATAGAGAAAATGTTATGTTTAGCAATGGCTATGTTTCTGTTCCATTTTCGCTCCAGGTGCATATTCTTTTTATTTATTTTTTATTGCTATAGGATTGTGATTGAAATATAATTTAGTATAGTTTAAGACACTTGTCTAAAGGGTCAGCATAGGGTATGATATGAAAAGTGGATCATTTTAATAGCACATCCACTGAAAATCAATCTGTGTTCCTGAGACATTACCTTATATGTCTTCAAATATTTAAAAATGAGTGGTGGGGATTTTACTGGATCTGCATTATAGCACATTAAGCTATAATACCTTTATATGGGAACATGACTTTTTAAACTGCCAATCAGTTGTATCCTTTCACTGAAATCGTACTACATATGTCCTAGGCTCAGTTATGCACTAGTCTACTTTTCAGATATGAATGGCTTTATGCTTTATTTTTCAAAGCACACTTTCATTTAGTATATACCATACAATGAGTTAAAGCCATTAGGGGAGGTACCAAGTGATTGAGGTGAGCTTTGGGCTCCATTCATTGCAGTCCCCAGTGCATAAATATGATTTCAACAAATTTGTGTTGAATACCTACAATATGCCAGACAGCGGGTCAGCCTCTGTTGGGGAAGTGGTGGAAATGAAGATATGTAAGATAGAGTCCCTTCCCGCAGAAAACTTGAAATCTAAAGGAAAGCCAGCCTTATAAATAGGCAATTATTAAAATACATCAGAATTAACTAGTGACCAGAATTAGTAATTAACTAGTGACCAGAATTAGTAATTAACTAGTGACTAGAATTAGGTATACACATGATTGCTTTATGGGAGTCCAGTGGAAGGAATAATGTATTCTGACTGAGAAACTTAGAGAAAGAGGAAGGAGTATTTTGTCAGGTCTTACGGGAGTAAGTGAGATTTTGCTGGATGGGGACTTGGTTTGTCGGTTATATTCCAGGCAGAAGGCAGGCTAAGAGTCTGGGCACTGAGGGTAAAATATTTGGCGTGGTTGATTAATGGTGAGTTGGCCACCATGCTCCGTAGGAGAGGTGGCTGTGCGGGCTGGCCTTGGAGAAGTGGTAAGTGTGGTGGGGTGGGGGCTGTGAGGTTAATCCTTGAAATGCTTACCCAGATCTTTTTTAAAGTCCCAAATTAAAGGAAATAGGATACTGTTGTAGGACTGCTTTGCAGTCCTAAAACTTGCCTTCAAGCTGCCTTTTCCCTTGCCTTTTCAGCCTCTCTGGTGGTACATAGACTTTTGAGCATAGCCAGTATGTCTTTCTACCTATATAAAGTTAAAAAATGTGAGAATAAGGTTTAAACATTGGCCCAATTTTGTTACAATATTTTAATTTAATTACTGCAACAATCATAATAATAATACAGTTGACCCTGGAACAACACAGATTTAAACTGTATGGATCTAATGGATTTTTTTTCACCCAAATGGATTTTTTTTCACCCAAATGCAGATGGAAAATACAGGGTTTGCAGGTATGAAACGCGCCTGTACTGAAGACCAACTTTTCCTGTGGGTGGCTTTGCAGGGCCAAGTGTGGAAGTTTAATATCTCGGATTTTGGTGTGGGGGGTAGGTGTCCTGGAACCAATTCCAAGCTTATACAGAGGGATGGATGACTGTAATGGATGTGTTGTCTCATTTAATCCTCCTCCTCATCACTCTCTGAAGGTGGTACTCTTGGGATCCCCATTTTACAGACAAGGAACTTAGTCTTTTAAAAGTAGGTGACAGCATTGGGATTTGCATCCACTCTTAAACATCATGCTGTACTGCTTCCCACAATCTTGTGAAAGTGGCTCCTATTATTTCCATTTTACAAAGAAGGAAACGAAGGCTCAGGGAGATTAATAAGGGAAATAATTTCCCCTTATTATTATACTATCGTAAATAACAAAGCTAGGATTTTAGTCTCTATTTGTGGTGCTCCTCAGAACTTTTGTTCTTGTCATGACATCATGCTGTCAGCTCGTGTTAGACCGGTCTTCTTGAGGACATTTCAGTTCTTCTGCCACATTCAGGACCAGAGTTACAAGGAAAAATCCTGGCCTGTTCCCAGGGTAAGCAGAGAGGAGAGCAACTGATGCTTACAAAATTCTCTACCCTTGCAGACATATCATGTGCATCTCTGAATTAAAAGCTATTGTGTGACAGTCCTCCCAGTGGAAAACCAAATGCTTGGAGAATATGATTCCTTTCCTCTGTTTGAAAACAGTGTTTTATTTTTGGTGGTGGTGGTTTTCTGCAGGTAAGCAAGGTTAGTGACTTCTGTGTATTGGAAACAGCCTCATTAGAATCAACTCGGGAACACTGAACACACACACACACACACGTACGCACACAGATTTACGGAATTCTGATTCAGTGGATCCCGAGTACTGCCAGTAATCTATTTTCTAAAAGCTTTTTGGTGGAGTCAGACCAGAAGAGTGTAATGGTGAAAGCCTACTCTCTGTAGCCACGTCTCACTGGTTTTATTCACAGCCATATAAGCAAGTATTAGTTTTATACTTGCAATTGTTTTCTATATAGAGGATAGTTAATTGCCCATATTGATTTTATTTATCACTAATTCTTAAGTTCCCCCACTTTCAACTTCTCATTTTCATAGTAATATCAGTTTTAGATAGGAAGATGTATTTTGGGTTATTCTATTGTTAATATCTTATGTGGTTTACTGCAGGAAGTTGTTAGAGTTTCTCCGTTGGGAAATGTCTATGCTTCGGTATTTTCTTGAAATTCTACATTACTACTTATTATGGCAGGTTAACAAAAATACCTGAATAACGTGAATCTTTAAGACAAGACTCTGCTGCCAAAACCACCTGTGGAAAGAGGAATCTCTCAGCACATTTTCATGACCTTTCAAATCAAGAATTGCTGAGTTCATGTCAGAAATGATAGAGTTTTCTTTCCAAAGCAGTGAAACTGAGGTAAACAATATAAATGATTTGTTCAAGGTCAGGGAAGGAGTGCTTACTTGAGTCTCAATTTGTGACTTGGGACCACCTTTTGTTTCAGTTATCAGCACAGATTTCCCTGTTTAGCAGAAAAAGCTCAGTATAAGAAAGATTTTATATAAATTATGCATAAAGTACCATTTTAGTCAAGACTTTAAAAAATGCCACTGATCCTTTTCATACCTGTCCTGAAAAGGTTCTTATTTTCTGTCTTCGTACTGTTTGTACAAACCAATTCAATTTGACTTGATACAAGTTATCTCCTAGGGAATAAAAAATTGCCCCATATTAATAATCAGAGGTGATATTAGCTTGTGGCATATTGTTCAGTGGAGTACCTATTGTGATTGATATCAGCTTGAGTCTTGAGAAGCATTTTTATTGTTCAGGAGCTAGGTAAACAGTATGTTAATTGTGTGACTGGTTGCTTTTATCATTCTCAATGTTGCCTGGCATTTATTTATGTGAAAAATGTATTGTTTGGAAAGGTCCTTTGGGATCTCTCAGACCAATACTATATAAATGTAGACCATTATAGTTATTGATACAGTCATGTGTCACTTAACGTTGGGGGCATGTTCTGAGAAATGTGTTCTTAGGTGATTTTGTCACTGTGCAAACATCATAGAAGTATTTATACAAACCTAGATGGTATAGTCTGCTACACACCTAGGCTATATGGTACATATTGCTCCTAGGCTATATACCTGTACAGCATGTTACTGTACTGAACACTGTAGGCAATTGTATTAGTATTAGATACACAATGGTATTTGTGTATCCAAACCTATCTAAACATAGAAAATTACAGTAAAAATTCAGTATTATGTATATGTAGTCTGTTATTGACCGAAATGTGTGTGGTGCATGACTGTAATTTATAGCTGATGTTAAATCAGAGTTATAAACAAGCATTAGTAATAACTGAAAATAATTATACAAAGGGGTTGTGGGAGGATCACCACCAATCTCAAAAAGGAATAATGAGAGAAGATTGCATTAGGAAAATTGAGAACAGTGATTTAAATCTCTTGGAAAGAAGTGATATAAAACACTGCTATTAAATATTAGGTAACTAAACGTAACACCGTGGTCTTATCAAAGATGTAAGATGCTAAGAGGTGAATATAACATATTTATTTATACTTTACTAATATAAACTATGTTTTGTATGTGGTGTGTGTGTGTGTGTGTGTGTGTGCAAACACAATTTTGAGTAACTTTGGATGGAATCTCAAGGTGATTCACTCTAATTCCCAGCTACTGCTCCTGTTCTCACTGCTACTTTATTAGAACTTTTGTCATCAGATTAGAATGGGGAAAGGGAGTATATCTTTTCTTCCATTAAAATTGATTTAAAAAGACCTTATTTCTGCTTGAAAAGGATGTTGCCAACATATGCCTTGTGAAAGAATTGGATAATAATAATTAGTCCTTTTAAATGTAGTGGTTGATATGAGGATGTCTGCATTCTTCTTTCTCTTCTTTAATAAACTGTTTGGAAAACTGCCCTACACTACAGCCACACTGCCCATTTCCCTCTTCAGCCTTCTGGAATCTGGTTCCTTCTCCTTTTCTTCCTCCCTGTACCAATATTTCCTTCAGATCTGATTTGCACGTTGCTGAAGGCTCCAAACATTTGTGCTGCTCATCCTAAGTTATGTTGTTAAAGCATCTGAGACACTTAACCTTCTTGGAGTTTTTCATCAACATCTGTGGATCTCTCCTTCTTTCCTCCCCTACTCCTCTTCCTCCCCCTCCTCCTTTTTTTCCTTCTTTTCCTTCTCCTCTTCTAGCAATTAAATATTTGTAGTCTATCTACCACTCATGCTTTCCTCAACGTAGAATTTCCCAGGGCTCTATGCTGGTTCCTCTGTTCTTCTTTCTGCATCCCCCAACCCCCCACTCACCCCCCACACTGGTAATCTTGACCACTCCTATGGCTTCAGCCTTCTCTTCTATACAGATGATTCTCATCTCTCTAGAAAGATCTAGACCTTTCACTTCTCCAACTGTATCCTTCACTTGGATGTTCAACTCATCAAGTTCAAAATTAGGTGTATTAACTCTCACTTCACACCTATTTCTTCTCTTGAGTTTCTCATCTTAGTGAGTTAAACAGCATCCAACCTGGTCTTCCAAGTCAGCAAACTTGAACCAGTTTAAACTACTAAACTTGCTTTCAGTATTTCACCGGTAATGAAATATCTTGCAAACCTGTTCTTCCCCACTAGATTGCTCCTATCTTAATTATTTCAGTAACATTTTATTCCCCTCTCTCTAGTGGGCTACGTGCAGCAGCCAGAGGGCTTGTTTTCAAAACACTTCTATCATCATACTTTCCTCTTGCTTACAGTCATGAAATAGCTCCCTGCAGCTTTCAGCATCCTGCCTCAACTCCTTGGCTTAACACATCATACCTGTCCTGAAAAGGTTCTTATTGTCTTTGTACTGTATGTGCCCTTTTCTCTGGCTATGCTGGACTTTGTGATTCTGGAAATGGGTCATGCCCACCTTTATGATAGCACATATGTTGTTCCTTTTCCTGAATAATTCTCTCTTCTGTTTTTGACATGTCACCTTTTACTCTTTATTTTTCAAAACCCCATTTCACCTTTTACTCTTTATCTTTCAAAACTGAGGTCAAAAGTCACCTCTAGAAAGGCTTCTCTGGCTTGAGATCACCCTCGTTAGTGTTAGTCTGATTTCGATGTTCCACCTACATGCTCCTTTATCAGTAGGTAGCACTTACCATACTGCAATTGAATTGCAAAGTTACTTGTCTGCCTCCACCCTAGACTACAGCTTTTTGAGGGTGGGAGTCATGACTTACTTGACCTTACATTCTCAGGACTTAGTTTAGTGCATAGCTAAGAGGTGTTCAATAGATGTTTGCTGAATGAATGAAAAACTTAATGGTCATTTGAAATGGCTTTTTGTACGTCTGGACATTGCTCAGGAAGGGAATGGAAAAATTACATACTAGTGAATTTTCAGTCTAGTATTAAATTTAATATCATGAGAGAGGTTGTAACCACCTTGCCCGCTGCCTAGACAGAGCCGATTTATCAAGACGGGGGAATTACGATAGAGAAAGAGTAATTAAAGAGTAATTCATGCAGAGCTGGCTGTGCGGGAGACTGGAGTTTTATTACCACCCAAATCAGTCTCTCTGAGCATTCGGGGATCAGAGTTTTTAAGGATAATTTGGTGGGTGGGGGTGCCAGTAAGTTGGAAGTGCTGATTGGTCAGGTCAGAGATGAAATCGTAAGGAGTCGAAGCTGTCTTCTTGCACTGAGTCAGTTCCTTGGTGGAGATCACAAGATCAGATGAACCAGCTTATCCATCTTGGGTGGTGCCAGCTGATCTATCAAGTACAGGGTCTGGAAAATGTCTGAAGCACTGGTCTTAGGCTTTACAATAGTGATGTTACCCTCAGGAGCAATTTGGGGAGGGTCGGAATCTTGTAGTCTCCAGCTGCATGATTCCTAAACCATAATTTCTAATCTTGTGGCTAATTTGTTAGTCCTACAAAGGCAGTCTAGTCCCCAGGCAGGAAGGAGGTTTGTTTTCAGAAAGGGCTATTATCATCTTTGATTTAAACTATAAACAAAGTTCCTCCCAAAGGGACAGGACAGCTTGAAGGTTAGAAGCAAGATGGAGTTCGTTAGGTCAGATCTCTTTCACTGTCTCAGTTATAATTTTGCAATGGTGGTTTCAAGGTTATCATTAGGGGGAGAATGAGAAAGACTGTATTTTATTGAAATGGTAGTAAGTGGAGAGATGATTTTGAATCTCTAGAAACTCAACAGTATTACTGTGATGCCAACAACATTGACTTAAAGATTTTCCAATGAGATGACTCTTTGGATATTTACAAACATAAGCATATTTGGTTTCATATGAAAAAGCTATTTACAGTAGTACTGACTGCACTTTTCCATTTCTATTAAGCTGTCTTGGCATCGTGTAGCCTCAGAGGAAATACAGTAGCAAAGGTTAGAAATATTTAAAGCAGTTTTTTGCCTAAATGTAAGGAGAGGGACACAAAAACATCCAGTTTGCAGTTATAAACTCATAACATTGACACCCATTATGTCATAACATTGACATAACATTAATTACCAAGGTAATTAATGAATAACCTTGTTCAAATTACAGGATGGGCTGAGTATATCAAGCATGACAAATGGAAATGCTTTTGCTTGTTTCAGCAGATTGTGTTTATAAACTCTAGAGCAGGTTTGATCCCTCTTTCAGGGGGTTATGTTTGCACATGGCTTAAGAAATTAAAAATAAAAATGGCTTAAGAATTTAAATAGGTACATAGTTGTAAAGGTGTTGCACATTTCCAATTAGTGAGAAGAGACCGTACATGTGTATGTGTTAAGTTAGGTTATATTTCTGGTTTAGCATGGCACATTCTGTCGGAGGATTTCCTGGCCCCTGGTTCTGGAATAGATCACAGAATTGCTGTTGGTGTTGCCCATACTAACTAGAGTGGTGTAGGAAAAGGCCCCATTTGTGCTGAGCCATGAGTCTTTTGTACCCAGAGCTTACATCAGCCTTCTGGAAGAACTTAACATTAACAATCTGTGCACTTCTATTTAAGGTATTGTATAAAAATATTGGGCTCTTCTGGTTCTTGAATTGAAGTTAGCATTAGCAAGGCTTCATTCTCATCCAGGGAAAGAAAGATGGGTAATGCCCAGGTGTCCCTGCTTCGGCTTCCAGCTTTTTACTGTTCAGAGAACCCATTCCCTGCAGGTGCTCAAATGGGACTCACATTGTCTCCATCTGTCTCTTTTATTCTGTGTCTCTCTTTGTTCTTGTGATTAGAGCTTTTGAATTGTGGGTGCCGTCTAAAAAAGAGTCTTTGTGTTTTCTTGATTTTAGTCTACTGCGAGGACAGAGTCTTTACAATAGTAAATAGCTTTTCATTCTGAAAAAATAAATAATTTATCTTAATCTCGGTAACAACATGGCGTCCTTTGTGTATGAAGAAGATGACAACAATTTACTTGTTCAATTATTTTCATGGAAAAATTCTTAGGCATGTAATCCCTGCCTTTAAGATTCTTGATAGCTACTCTCAAATTGCTGTTCATAGTCATATACATAATAGTAACAGATCAATTTATCTATCTTCCCACACATTCACCAAAACTGGGTGTTATTATTTTTCATCTTTATATACATCAGTGGTGAACTTAATTTTATTATTATTTAAATTTGAATATCATTGATTCCTAATGAGATTTAGAGTTTTTGTATACTAATTAGCCATTGTATTTATTCTTTTGCAAATTGCCTGTTCATTACTTTGCCTATTTTTCTTTTGGAATATTCCTCTGTTTCCTTTTGATTGTCAAAATCTCTTTGAGAATACATACATTAATCTGTTGTCTGACATATATTTTACAATTGTATTTCTGTAATTCATCTATTCATATTTGGTGTTACTTGCCCTACAGCAATTTAAACAAATTGTGAGGGCCCATCCATCAAGATTCTCCTCTGCACTTTCTGTCATGTTATGCCTAGAAATGTGTAACAGTCCTATGGAAGATCTCCTGTGAAAGGCCTGGATTGGCCAAAAATATTAACTTTCAAAAAGGTTTCTCTTCTTTTGTACTACCAACTCTCTACTAAATAAGAGTAATATAAATAAGCAAACCCTCCCTTGATTACTGACTACCAAATGTCTCTCTTTCCTGGTGCTAAACACCTTTCTCTTTTCTCACCACTGCTCCCAGAGTGCAGATGTCAATAAAATATTTTGTTTTACTCTTACCTGATAAGTTCATGTTTACTATTATATCTTGTTCACAGGTCAATCTTTGAACTGGGAAATTCGTTTTAAACTAAAATAGCCATAGTAAGCTTTCAGGACTTTTAAAAATACGTATTTTCTTGTAGCTTTTTCATGATGTCATTTTAATAATGAAACATTGAATTCATCTTCATTTTGTGTTGTAAGTTATGAAATAGACATCTAATTTTTTGAGTTTTTGATAGCCAGTATCCAAAGTTATTTCTCAAAAAACTCATCAAATTTTTTTAGTGATGTGGAAGGCCATTTTAATATATTATTAAAATGTAATAATATGAAATATTAAGAATATATTACTATACAATATTATATTTTCTAGATCTGCTATGAATTGTCTATTTTATTAATCTGGCTATCTTTTTTTGTGCTAGTATATCATTATTTAAAATATTGCCATGATATATGTTAATATCTAATAGGGCAAGCCACTGCCATTAGAATGGGTTTCAAAATTTTGCTGGCTTTGTTTTTGAACATATAAATACATGTTTTAAAATTTATCCACTTAACTGGAATTTTTTTAGGAATAGGATAAACTTACAGATCAACTTCGAGAAAATACTATATCTGTACAGGGGAGCAATGTGTACATTTTGTATTCAACTCATATTATCTCTCAGTAGTATATTATAATTTTTAATGTAGTTCTGGGAAATTCCCACTAAGTTTATGGAGATTTGATATTTGCTGATGTTATTAATGTGTTATGACTGCTAATTAAATTTTTCTCATTATTTCAGGTAATTGTAGGTATATTAAGAAGTTATTGATATGCTTAAAATAATAATTTTTAAGTAGCACTTTTATTTACTAACTGCTTCCAGTGGAATTTCAGATTATCAGTTATTTTTATTCTTATTTCTTTTACATGTCTAATTGCATTGGTTAGCACATCTGGAATGACATGGAATACTGATTGTGATGCTGGGCATTCCTGTTTTGACCCTAATCCTCTAATACTGCAATTTTTAAATAATGCCTGCTGATCTCTGATGTCACTGTTGACCATCCTAAAAATGATTTCTAATTTAAAGTTTTACTAAATATAGATACACTATAAATTTTGTCAAATGCCTTGTCACCTATCAACATGATGATGTATTTTTGTCCGTTATTAATGCGTTTATCAATTTTTTCCAAATGTCTAACTACACTGTTTTTTGTGGAATAAATGCTTCTTTGATACTGTATATTGTTTTTAATATAATATTAGATTTAATTTTACTTAATATTTAGTATTTTATTGAGAACTTTTTGCATTAATATTTATAAATGAGACTTAGTTACAGGGCTTTATTTTTTTTTCCTCTTTTTTTTCCAAGCAAGCCACTTATTTTTTTAATTAGGAAGAAAGAGACACTGTTCATTTCCAAACATATAGCCTGACATAATACATTATTATATTATCAATTTAATGTATATTATATATAATAAAGTAAACAAATACTTTCACAAAGTAAAAGCAAGAAAAATTTGTGCTTTGCTAATCTTTCTTTTATTACAGTTTCCATTAGGTTGGATCAATTAGTGTTAAAATGTCCTTTAATAGTTCTAACATTGTTTTCACTTTATCACTTTATCAGGAAGGACATTGCTCTTTATAGGTGAGTTAGTGAAGAAGAAAAAAAAGTGATGACTAACATGATGTAAATCAGGGGTGCCCAGTCATTTGGCTTCCCTGGGCCACATTGGAAGAAGAATAATTGTCATGGGCCACATGTAAAACACACTAACACTAATGATAGCTGATGAGCTTAAAAAAAAAATTGCAGACAATTTTCCTAATGTTTTAAGAAAGTTTACAGATTTGTGTTGGGCTGCATTCCAAGCTGTCCTGGGACACGTGCATGTAGCCCATAGGCCATGGTTGGGCAACCGTGACCTAAACATAACTGATTTAGCTTGAATATGCCTTTAAACTAAACAGGATTTTTTTATTCCTAAACTATTCTTAAGAAAATTCAGATTTTCCATATCTTGAAATTTTGGTACAGAGGACAGTGATTCAATGGAAAGTATTCTACACTTGAAAAAATTTAACAATGATAAATGAAGGTATTTTCCTTATGTGGGTTTTGTGATATGCTGTAACATAGTTGAGCAGACCTTCACCTAAGCAGAAATTACTAGCTCAAATGGACTGCACAAATAAGGATAAGTGAATTTTTTGATCTGCTTTATAAAGCTCTCTATACGCCATATTCACATTTTTAATGAAACAGGAAAAATATGTTTTCTTCTTTCATATGCTAAGTGATTACAGCTAGAGAGGTTGACCTCACTAATATGTCTTCCTCTAATTTGGGATATGAATAGATTCTACTAATAACTCTTAAGGCACAATTCACACAAGATGCAAAATTCAAAAGAATAAAAAGAATGTGTTAATTGGGGACTTTGGATTTTTCTTAAATGACTTAGAGATATTTGCTGTTGCTCCGAATGGATATAGAAGACTTAATTACATAATTTCTTAATGGGCCTTTTAACTTTTATAACAGATGTTCTTTTACAACTGGTCTTTTATCATCATTAATAATCTGCCTGTAGTTTTTCAGTCGTATAGTATAAATTAGTTTATTGAAATTATATTAAACATTTAATATGGTGAAAAAATATATTATGATAATGTTTGTTCTGGCTACAAACTAAATTTAATGACTGTATACAAGAAATAACTACTAGCACATTTAAGTAAGAGTTTTGGTGATACTTGCATGCTGAGGGATTGTCAATATGGTAGCTTTCCATATTCCAGTTTTTACCCCATGGCAATTCTTCCAATATCAAATGATGTTATACCCTCAAAATAGAAAATATATATTATCTGTTAGAATTCTTTACAGTATTGCTTTAAGAACATCTCATTTAAAAAGGGGAAAATACTCCTTAATAATACAAATAATATACTTAATTGATTACTTAGATTTATTTTTTATTTATGGATATTTATTAGACATCATAGAAAATGAGGAAATAATAAAATGATATAGTCTCATTGTCTCTGGAAAAATATTTATGATAGAAATTATATGAATACATATATGTATTGATAATACCATGATCATTGTAATAATTGTGCATGTGCTGGAGAAATATTCTAATCTAAATATTGACTTATTCCTGGTGGTATTGTGGAATATGGGAATATATTAATTGTAGAAGTCAGTAGGAGATTTGGGATGCGTAGAAATAGTTCATTTTGGTAATAAAATGTCACAGAATGCACAAGTTAAGATGGTCAGTTTCTGGTAGGTACTTTGTTTCTCTTTTGTTTACTACCATTGGGAATATTCGGCCAATATTACTTCAATTTCTCCTTCTAGAAAATTTAGAAATTAAAGATAAATATAGGAAAGGGAATAGGTGGAAATAGAAATCAGGAAACGCAAAAGGTGATTCTTCAAATTTCTGGCATGATTCAAGTTCCAGGGCAAATATTTAATTCAAAGTTGGGTCTAGAGGCAAGTCAGTTACACAGGAAGTGCTCAGGATATTGAGTGGTTCTCTCACGTCCTCCTGAGAGTGGCCAGGGTATCAGAGTGAATAAAATGGCTTCTCTATGAGATCTCTTTCTAATTAATCAATATTATAGCTTTACCATTGGGACACCAGGAGAAGACAAATGATGGAAAAAATCTTTTATATACATTTCTTTCCAATTGACAAATTTGGCTTAATATGAAAAATTCATCTAAAGTCTTCATTCTTTGAGGTCCCTTTAAGCATATAATTGTATTCCAAATTAATTCTTAAAACATGTATAATTTGTTATAACTTTTAACAAGGTTTGTTAATAAAATGCTGTAATGTTTACCAAACAATTATATTCGAGAAAAGAGATGTTATACAGATTTATCGAAAAGAGAATTTGATAACTAAATTAAGTAAATGCCAACTATTATCCCTAAATGTAGATAGTAAATAACATTATTCCTTCTATGCTGTGTATCTAAACTACCTGTTTCCCTAATTTTTAATTTAATTCCTCAACATTATCTTAACTTTGATATATCAAAGTAGTAACTTTCTCCATATTGAGCCTCATATTTAAGCAGTTACCAACTATTGCTGTTTTGTTTATCGCACTATATCTTTCACGTTCCCTTCTCTCTTTTCAAATGTTTGTGACAGGCTTCTATCCTGCCTCATTCTTCCACAGATACAGGTTAGTGCCCCTTAGCTACTTGATTTTTCACAAAGTTCTCAACAGTTCCACATTGTTTACAAAATAAAATATTCTTAATTTCCTGGTCTGACATCCAGGTCCCCCCACAGTCTACCCCAAATTCACTTTTCCAAATTTACATCCTGATATGCTACAGTGATTTCTGTATTTCCAGTCCAGCTGGTGTATTCACTGTGGCAAAAATTGACCTTGAGCATCTCTAATCTTGGATCTTTGCTCAGGCATTTTCCAACTTCAAAAGTGCTCTTATTTTATTTTTTTTCCTATCCATACAAATACACATCTTTTCTTTCAAATCTTTGATCAAGCTTCATAGCCTTCATTATGATCCCAAATTATTTCAACTTCTAAATCAGTGCATTGCTAGTACTATTTCTTTGACACAATTTATGGTTTATGTGTGGAACTGTTGCTAATCTTCCTAGTTCCATGAGTCTTACATCATAGTCTGATCTGAATAGAAGACACTCAAACATTACTCTTACATTACTTCTTTATTCCTAAGTTGTTACTTTTGATTCTCCTCTTATTTGATCGATGTGTTTTGTTTTTCCAATTGAACTTTCTCAGTAAAAGATCGTCTTTCTAAACTCTTGCATATCTGATACTATATTTCTATTATCTTAGCTTGGAACACAGACTTTTGCTCCAGAACTCTTTAGATTTGTGACATTGTCATCCAGCAGTTAATGTAGTAGAGGTAGCTTAGGACAATCTGATGTCCATTCCTCTTTAGTTAAGGTCTTTACTTTTGCCTCAATACTTGAGAGACATTTACTTATTCTTACAAACCCAAAAATAATTTTGAGTTAAGGCTTCAGTGGGATTTCAGAGCTCGAGATCCTCTCTCTGAGATCTTAGATGAGGAAAAAGAAATCATAGGTGACACAAGGTAATCACATACAAAAGTCACTTCATTTAGGGCTAGTCAGTTACCCAGTATCTGCCAAATGCAGAACTTCTAAACTGGAAAACACAATTAATGTTTTGGAACTTAGTGAAGTTACCTGCTTGCTACTTCCCCAGTGCTGGACTGGTAAAAGAGTGGAGAACTAAGACAGGGAGAGAAAGGAGAAGAAATATATTACACGGCATATAGGATATGGGCAACTGGGTCTTAGTTTGGCTGCAGACTTCTGGAATCGACATGGCCTTAATTTTTCCACCCAAGGGGTAAGGAAGCTGAGATAGTTATCTTCCCCCTCACCATAGTGTGAAGGCCATTCCCTGGAGTTTTGACTCCTTGGCTCTTCTGTCCTGCTTAGCACATAGGTTGAACATGCTCCTGGGGCCAGATGACATTTTCTGGCTACAGATTGCAGGTACTAGCAGTGTGAAGCCATCAGAGCACTCTGGAATGGTGACTGAGGAGAGGGTGGGGCAGCAATCATGTGGGCTACAATTGGTGCCACGTGAGAAAATGAAGCAAAGGGAGGGTGAATAGCTAGCTGAACTTCATACAGGTGGGAGGGGACGGAATCAGGTCTTTAATCACTATGATAGCTTGCCATTGCACTCAAGGGCTGTGAAGCCTTTATGGCAGGGTGAGGAGAAAAAGAGTGAAGGAAGCTGCTACTTAAGCAGTGTGGTCAGAGAAAAAGCCTTTCTGAAAAGGTCCTGTGTGAACAGAGACCTGAAGGAAATGAAGTGGTGAGGCTAGCGATTATCTCAGGAAAGAACTTTCTGGCTAGAAGAGTGTCTGACATGTTTAAGGTACAGCAAGGAGAACAGGGTGGGCAGAACAGGGAATAAGGGCAGGCAGCTGGGAGCACCTCACATAGGGCCCAGAAGCCAGCAGGAAGCCTCCCCTGGACCATGGATGGTGTCCCTCCTTGTCACCTGTTGAGCTGATCAGTTTTCTGAGTTGTTCATCTAGCTCCTGTATTGAAGTGTTTTCAAAGGTCTTCTCTTCCTATGACTTTTCAGAATCAAGTTTTCCTTGTCTTCGAGTGTTTTTCAAAGTTACTGTATGTTTTTATTTTCTTATTTGTGCATTTGTGTGGACGGCCCACCTCTCCAGAGCCAGTGTGGGTATGCTGCTTTTCTGAGATTCTTTCTCTGCTCCTTTGTTTGGTCTTTCACAGATTGAGAAGACAATTGGAACACAAAGCTCCAAGCCCAGTTCCTAGTATCTAGGAGGCTTTCCTTTTCTGCATCATTACTGCTCTGCAATGGGATCTTTTCTTCTACTCCCGCTGTGAGCCAGCCAGCTGGGGTCCATATTTCTTCAGGAAGCAAAGGGAAATTAGTGGTTCTGCACAGATAGCATTCCAAGCAGCGCTGTCAGCAAGGGCACAGACAGGAGGAGCTTTGTGTGGCACAGCACTGTGAGAATGGCCTTAGTTCACGTGTTTCTCCCTTCCTTGATTTGCTACCCATGTGCTGCAGTCCCCTACTGGATCTGTGAAGAGAGCACTAATGGCAGTGGGGAGGGTGCGTGGCGGATAGTGGCAGATAGATTACTCATGCTGCCTTTAAAGCAGTGGCTGTGGAGTAGACAAGTTCTCAACAATTTTCTTCCTGGCATTTCTTAAAATGAGGTTCACATGCATGACTCACTTCCTTTTGTGTCTATAGGGCTTAGTAGCTCCGCCCCTTTCAGCATGTCAATCATATCAGAATGTAAGCATCAATAATGTAATCTTATATTAATTGTGCTCATGTGTACATACAATAATACTAGTAAAAAACTACTTGCTATACACATCCCAGCTGGCTGTAATGCCCAGCTACTCAAGTTTTCAGGTTGTTAAAATTCTATTATGTCTTAAAGGTTGTGGGAGATAGATATTGAGTGTGGAGAGGCAAACAGCAGGGGAGGACCTATAGTTTTGTTTTTTTAGGGGTGTGTGTGTGTGTGTGTGTGTGTGTGTGTGTGTGTATGATTTCAGATGAGCAAGTGTTTTCTGTTCTGGGCAATCCACCAGGTATGCTTTAAAATCCACTTTAAGCCATTTTGAAATTCTTTCCAGATCCTGGAATTAGGCTTACTGTAAGTACCTGCTTTAAATGAGGTATTTCCTTTTATGTTTTCCTTAGTGTTTATAGTTATTTTAGGGGGAAGTTAGAAAAGTTTGTATCTGGGACATCTACCTATATGGAAACTGATCCCATTGAGTTGTTAAGATCTTCATTGTACCAATTCATTAAGCATAGGTTTTTAATTAAATTCCCATGTAGTCATATACTATATTTAAAAATCTTACATTATTCTGAGGCAATTAAAGTTGGAATCAAATATTTTTTCTAAATATATACAGATTTCATGTATTAATATATGAATGTCAATGATCAGCATTTTTTAAAAAGTATGTTCTTAATGCACTCAAATGTGTCATACCCAACCCACAGAATTATATAGAATATTCTAAATGCAGTCTTGTTGAACCTATATATTGATATATATTAATATTGTATGTAAATATTCTATATTTATGTCATTTACCTACTTAAATATTTGGTTTAAATATATTTAGATAATAGTTAAAATTATTTTATTTTTATGATTAAATACACGTAAGTATGTATAGAATTTATGAAAAAGTTATGCAGTAATTGGAACATAGCTAATTGAGAACTATGATATACTTTGGGTGAATTTTATTTTATTAAAGAGGAAAATGATATATCAAGAATATGTAAATTTATATTAAGTGCTTGACAATATTTTTATAAATAATAACACATTACTCATGCAAACCAGAAATGGTTTTTTTTTCTTGGAGCAAATCTTGGGTGGCCTATCTTGGTTTTGTCAGAATTTTCTTTAGATTGGAAGGTTTGCTGGGCTTACAGTTTCAGATTTTTAAAAAACACTTGTTTCACTTTGTATAGCTCTGCAGTAAGATATACCAATTTTTATAAAAATCTGAAGATTTTTCTGGGAGATAGGGGCAGATACTTTCCAATTCCTCTTTTGTTTTCTGAATTATAATGGACTCTGTCTCACTAGTAGAAAAGGGCCATCAGATTCTGGAGGATTTTGGGGAAGATAATGGCAATAGGACCAGGGCCCCAGCCCTGTTCTGGGCCAGGATGGGGAGTAAGTGACAGAAATTGTTGACCACTTGGAGGATTGGGACCACCTTGCCTGGGAGAAGCTTTTTATCCCAAAGCAGTGGCCAGAGCAGGGACCCGCTCATCAGCACAGGCACAGAGGTGTATCACCCCTTAGGAGTCTGGATCCACATGCTTGTGAAGGGTCTGGATTAGTGTATCAAAGAACTATTGACTCCAAGTCTCCTGGTCCATCTAGCAGGCAAGCCACTGAAGTAGGGGCTTGCCTGCTCTCCAAGAATCACAGAACAAGGGGTCTGTGACTGCCACTAGAATGGGGACTTCCCTATCCTCTACGTTTTTTTTTTAACCTGATCCATGAATGATAACCATGATATAGTGGATGGCATGGAGTTTACTATTCATCAGACACTCTTAAAAGAGTTTAACATGTATTAATTATATTACTTCTCAAAAAATGCTGTGAGAAAATATTATTACTTCCATTTAACATTTTCTTCAAAATGAAACACAGAGAAATACTGTAGCTTGGATATTTGTCCCTACCCAAATCTGATGTTGAAATGTAATCTCTAGTGTTAGAGATGGGGCCTGGTGGGTGGTGTTTTCATCCTGGGGGCAGATCCCTCATGAATGGCTTAGGCCATCCCCTTGATAACACGTGAGCTCTCGCTCTTGAGTTCACAGGATATCTGGTTGTGTAAAAGTGTGTGGCACCTCCAACCCAATCTCCTTTACTCCTAGTCTGGCCGTGTGATATGCTTGTTCCCGCTTTGCCTTCTGCCATAATTGTAAGCTTCCTGAGGTCTCTCTAGAAGCTGAGCAGATGCCAACGCCGTGCTTCTTATACAACCTGCATAACTGTGAGCCAATGAAACCCCTTTTCTTTTTAAATTACCCAGTCCCAGATATTTATTTATTGCAGTGCAAGAACAGCCATTATATAACACAGGTACATTTAAATGTCCAACCTGATAATTGGTTAAGTCGGCCTCATAAGCTTATATTCTTAGCTTCTAGGTCATTCCTTGTTTCTATTGGAAGCCAGAAGACATTCTGTTACAGTCAGGGCTTTAGAGTAGGAGTGGACCAGATTGGATTATTCTGTATTCCTTCCACTTTTAGCCTTACTATTAGTCAACATAGGGATTGTGGACCTTCGTCCTAGGCAGTGTAAGTCTTGGAAAGAACAGATAGGGCCTCCTGCTTCTATTTGTGAGGTCTTGAGCATCACAATCTGGGGCCTGACAAGGGCATGTTCTTTGCTCAGTTGTAAAGAGGGATGCCTTGGGTTGAAATAAACATGCGTCACATGTATTTATGTACGTGATTATTCACAATCTAAGTTAAAAGTGACACACAGATCACTTTCTTTCATTACCAAGTATAATAAAACTACCCTTAGAGAAGCCAATTTTGTCTGAAAATACAAATCTAAAAGTTGGCTACAATCTACCTGTCTGCTGATAACTTGTAGACTGTACACTTTGATGCTTTCAGAAACATCTTCAGTCATCTTGAGCAAACATCTGTTCTTGTCATCTCCTTTGCAATTCATTTTCACAGCATGAACCTCATCTGAGAGATCCCACAGACTGTAAAACCTGACACAAAGTACTATTTGTTTCCAGCTATATATAAGAATGTGCATCCATTCAAGTAACTTTGGATGTCTTGTTTATTTCATTTTCTTCTCTTCCCCAAGCCAGTGATTTTTCACTTCTTTTTAAAGTACTGCTTAAAATCAGTTTTGAAGATAACAGGAGATGTATTAAAACAGTCAAAGCCCCCCAATTTTTTTTTTTTTTTGCAAATAGTTTATTATACATATGTACATGTTTTCAGCTGTCCCTTTTCAGGCACATATTTTAAAATGTGCTTTACATAAAAGTGTTCTTAAGTTACACACTTTCCACAACCATAAAGAAGATAAATGGATCACTATGAAGCATTCCTGAGATACCCATACATATTTGTTAGGTTAACCAGTTGTAATAAGCAATGCCAGACTCTCAGTGGATTGACATGAAAAAGGCTGATTGCTTTATAATTATCACAGTCCAGTGCAGGTAAGTGAGGCTGAGAGGGACTTTTCCTCCAGGCAATCATTCAGGGAACTAAGGTTCCTTTCACACAGTGACTTGGCCATCCTCTAGGGCCTCGAGTTTTCCTGCTGTATATTTGCACCTCACTAGTCAATTGAGGGAAGATAATAAGCATGGGAGACTCAGCAGGAAGCCTTTCAGAGCCAGATTTGGAATTGTCATGCAACACTTCTTGCATTTTATTGGCAGAACTCAGGCCTGCGCTTAACTACAGGGGATGCTGGGAAATACAGCTGCCTGCTCAGGAGGAAAAGAGGTACAGTTTGGTGAACAATTAGCTAATCTTCCATATCTCATTGAAGAGAACTCACAGTAGTAGCTGAGTCGGCTTCCTTCCTCTAAGCCTTGAGAGGAGGACTCAAGTGAATCACGATATCTCCAAGCAGAGAAAACATAAAAACATAATCACTTAATCACCTCACACAGACACCTGTTTAAAAATGTATGCCCTCTATGTAAATGTTGTTAGGTTTTGAAGGGAAACTAACAAATGTAAACTCCTGGAGGCCAGGAGTGCATCATATGCATAGGTGCTGCCTTTACTAAAATTAACAGTTTCTGATTTTTTCCTTCTTGTTATTTCTGATCACTTGTGTTTTTTACCTTGACCTAAAATT
The DNA here is from genome assembly GCF_000001405.40 of Homo sapiens. Taxonomy (NCBI): domain Eukaryota; kingdom Metazoa; phylum Chordata; class Mammalia; order Primates; family Hominidae; genus Homo; species Homo sapiens. Next base: position 126,723,846 of record NC_000007.14, on the reverse strand, counting down.
CTTCAACATTCTTACTTTTCACCCACTGCCCAGAGTGGCCGAACTTAAGTAGATGTTAGGAGACATAGAGTTTGCTTAGATGATTCACACAAAGATGTAGCTAATTGTAAAATTCTCTTGGAGTTTCAAAGTTCTCTACAGATCATTGTTTTCAGTATAACTACACTTTCATTTGCCCACACCTATGAGTGCAAAGCTTCCCAAAGTATTGCTGTTAACAAGAACACTGATTCCCTTGATATCTTTGGCAGTGGGTGTCCTGTTGCCTAAAGTGAAACTTTTTTTTTTTTTGGTTCGCCTCTGAGCATTAATAATTACAAATTCTTGAGCCATTGTTCTGATTCTGTCATGTTCTGAATTCTAGCATCCATGGGGGTCTTTAATTCTTGGCTTATTCATTCTTTATTCCAGATCAGTTTGCGGGCCTCTATTTCCTCCACCCAGGCCTGTTCCGTTGGCCGCAGGTCTACATCTGTAGTAACTTCTCAAATGAAGCCAACAGCTAACAGCAAATGGGGATTCTTAATTGACATAATTTCTAAATATAGGTGAAATAAAGAAATGTAAGAGGTCTCATGAAGGAGGCATAATTGTGAAGAAGATATTTCTTATACCTCTTCACATCATGTTTTTTAATGCCACCCGCAGTTAGATCTGCTTTCATCTAGATGAAGAGGCAGAGAAAGGGGCGTTATTACAGCCCTTCAATTTCTACCTCTTCCTGAGGAAATAAGGTGATCTGTTCTTTATTAATAAAGGGAAAAGCACCCTCCAAAGAAAACCTGCAAATGCACAGCCTTGTCTGATTTGATTTATATATATAATTTATATATATGTAAATTATATATATAAATTATATATAATATATGTAAATTATATATTTACATATATTATATATTATCTATAACATATATATTATATATAACATATTATATATATAATTATATATATTTTTTTTCACAGGCTCTCAGGATTAGGCATGATTCTGCCTATCACAAGCACTGTGCCAAATATTGGGTGATAGCCCCTCTCCTTAAAGATTATGAAGTTCATTCAAGAGAACAAGTTATAATGTGACAGTGCTGTGATAGAAATGACCCACAATTATTATTGTGATACGTAAGAAGACTGCTCAAAACAGAAGATGAGAAGGGAGAACATGTTATCATGGATGCATTCTTGCTTGTGCTTGGTTTCTTTAGTGAGAAAAGGGTAGCATTAGCTGCTCAAAATATAAGCAGTAGCAGAGAGTTGGAAAATTATCTTCAAGGCTATAGGAAACAAGAAAGACTTTTTAAGCTACACAGTGACATAAATAGTTTGTTTTTTAGAAAGATCATCTTCATAGTCCCATGAAGGGCTGATTGGAGAGAGATGATCCTGAGGCAGAAAGATCTAAAAGGCTATGACATTCATCTAGTGGATGATGATGAGAGCTGTGGTACTAGATGCAGAACCTGAGGCTGATTCAAGAAGTATGTAGGAGATAGATTGTATGACACTTGGTGATACTTGGCTAGATGAAAGGGATAACAAAATAGAATCTAGGCTAACTCACTTTCCTTTAGGTGATGGAAGTGTTGCTAATTAAAATAAATATAAGAGGAAGGGCACTCTGTAGAGAGAAAATACACTTAGTTTTAAACATGTTGGGTTGAGTTCCTCATGCAGGGTTCTGGAGAGGTCCAGTTGGAAATAAGATTAAAAATTTTTATGACGCCCAGGAGGAAAGTTAAAGAATAGAGTGTCCGTGCAGATTTGATGGAACAGTATCTTCTAGTTATTCATGATACCCAGTCATAGTTCATAATTTTATTAGAAACATGCATATAAATTAGTCACCTCCTGATGTCCCTCTGCTTAAGTGTTCATTGGTACAACTTTGTCTTTCAAATCCTGGGATTAGGAGGTCTTGTCCTAGCCTAATCTTCAAAAAAGCAAACAACAACAAAAAAATCAGAACAGCTAGAGGGTCTACAAAATGAGGTGAGGATTAGGCCTATTAAAAGAGGCACCATCAGGAGTGTTGTTCCTTGCAAAGTTGGAGAATGGGGTAGAGAGACTTAGAGGAAGTTTTCGACAGTACAGTTTAATACAGGTAGAGGGAAGTCATCTTCACAGACAGAGCTTGATTTTCAATTAACATTTGTTAAATGAAAGCGAATCAACAATCAGAGGAGTGCAGGAGAGGTCAAGTCTAAGTAGAAGGAGGTAAAGAAAGAATGAAAGGAAGAAAGTATTAGGTAAATTGAATGTTCTGTGAAAATAAATTGATCACTTTGATTTTTTTGATGAACCTGGGAAAATATCTTTGAAGTAGATTTCAAAGAAATTTCACAATAAGTGTTGTGGGCAATGGCAACAACACCAAGAAAGAGTTTAATCTTCTGAAAGGTCATGGAAGCATGCATTTCTTTAGATGCATGTATTATTATAGTACAGTTGGTAAAAGAAATGTTTCATTTCTTTATAACCTCATTATATTCATTCTTTAAAAAGCTCAAAGGGGAAAGCAGTGCTTTAGTGATGGCTGCACTTCAGTATTGTAAGACAAAGTATGGTGTTTGGGTCTGAATTGAAAAGATTTTTGATTGTGTAGATTCAGGATTAGACCCAAAATTGTGTGCCTTTGGGTTTGATCACCATTCAAGCCAAGCCCTGAGGCTTTTGACATTGTGAAGAAATAGTGACAGATCAAAGGATAAAAAGAAAAATCACTGCAGATAACATTCTGTTCACACATTTTAAAGACAGGTATATCCTATATACCATTGGGGTGTAGGGTCAAGCTGTTAGTGCTGATGAGATGTCAGCTCAAGAGAGCAGAAAACATTTTATGTTGTGATGACAGTAGAATGGCCAACACACTGATCTTTAATCTCTGTGTTTGCTAGAGGGAAAAAGTGAAGGAAGGCAGCAAAATAAACACAAAGCAGTTTCCTCAAAAGCCATCTGAAAGCTCTGAGTCTCCCCATACTCTTCTTAGAGATGCCAATGAAAATTCTACCTCTGTCTAGTGAAAGTTTACTTTTTTCTCATTTTCCTGTTTTGTAAAAGTAAGACAAAAATTACAAAGAAATACCTTTGGTCGAGGAAGTATTAATATATAAAATTCAGTTGGTATAAGAGATCCACATGTATTTTTGTCTATTTATAAACACTAAAAGTTTTATATTTTATTAGTATATTAGAATTATGAATCTTGGAATTGTAAAGACAGTGTGTATGGGGTCTCAGAAATAATCTACTTATCCTTTCTGTGTCATCCTTTTCAAATGAATATACTGCAACATTTTTGGTTAAAAGTTAAATTTTGCTTTCATTATATTCACATATGAAACCCTTGTCAGGAAGGTTTTCTGTCAGAAGAATGATGACTGCTCTAATAACCACTTATTCATTTAAGAGGCAACTTGTGGTCAGGCACAGTTGCTCACACCTGTAATCCCAGCTGAGGCAGGAGGATCGCTTGAGCCTGGGACTTTGAGAACAGCCTGGGCCACATAGACCCTGTCTCTACAAAAAAAAATTTAAAAAATTATCCAGGTTTGGTGGCACATGCCTGTAGTCCCAGCTACTCAGAAGGCCGAAGAAGGAGGATTACTTGAGCCCAGGAAGTTGAGGCTGCAATGATTATGCCACTGTACTCCGGTCTGGGTGACAGAGCCAGATCCCATCTCAAAAAAAAAAAAAAAATTGTGAGAATAACATGAGTTAAATATACATAATAAAGGAAGAACAGGAAGAGAGAGACAAGAAAGGAAGGTAAGAAGCAGAAGGAGAGGAGGGAGTGACAAGTAAGAAAGGGTATGTTTATAGTATATTGATATAACAGCTACTCTTACTAGAGACATTATAAATTAGAGACACTGATAAAATTATCACTATTACTTTAAAAAACATAACATTGGAATTAGAAGAAGTAAGGGAAAAGAAAAAATATAGAACTTGCTATAGAAATCAGTAAATACCTTGTATTTCTTTTTTTTTTTTTTCAAGACTAAAGACTATCTTTTAAACTAACAGCTGCTGCTTTAAAGAAAAAAAAAAAAATCCACCCACTCTTCAAGTCTCTGTCTATTTGTGATTTCCCAGCTCCCTGGAGGCCTGGTGAATTGTGTGGCATTTTTGCACAGAAAGATTACCCTGCTAAAAACTAGTGGATCACAGCCTGGGCAAACTTCAGCTATCACAGCTATCACAGGGCTGTCCAATAATACACCTCTGTAAGGTGTCGTGGTGGTTCCTTGGCCCTTCATTGTTATTTTTCACACATGTTGACTCTCACAGACTTACAACAGCATACTTTCATGTATGACATGACTGACACCTTGACAAAATCATTTACAACCTAGTTCATGACTCCTTTTAGTACAATACCTGAACCAGACCTACCCAGTTACTGGAATATGATTGCAGCAGAATTCCTATAGGTTTAAAAACATGCTGATGAATACTTTATTGAGTAAACATTTTATTTTGACCACTTAATGTAGTTTAGAAAGTGAAATCTATGTTTGTGTTAATAACAACTACTTTCAAAATATCCTTTTATATCACTCAGTAAGTTAAAACGATTAATGCATACTGTGATAATTTATTGTGTGCCAAAAATTATGCAAAATACTTTTATCCCATCAATATTATCTCATTTATTAATTTATATTTTATGATAACTTTGCAAAGTGTCTATTATTATAATACACACTTAGGTAAAAAAAGATCTGGAGTTCACAGAGCTTTAATAATTTTTCTAAACCCTCCCACCTTTTCAGTAGCTAATCTAAGAATTGAACTCACATGTGTTTGACTCCAAAACCCAGGTAATTCCATTGTCCCACAATATGCAGTATTGATTTTACATTAAATTATTTCCAAAGTATATAAAAGTAACTATATGAAAGATAATGGTACAGACCCTAATATTTTTCCTTAAAGAAGTAGATAGTAAGGTTATTTAGCTGGAAAGTATGGCAGATTATGAAAATGATTTGGAGCTACCCTCATGAGAAATGTATTTGAGTATCTCTAAGGAGTTCATAATCATGGTGAGAGCCCAAGTGAAAGTGGCTGACACGAACATATAATAGTGCAGTAACTGGAACCTCGTGGCACTCAGGCCGTTCTGGACATGGAAGAGATAGAAAGCATGAACAATGGAGCTGATCCCTGCAGTGAATAATTCTAGAGGGCTGGAGATGCAAGTCAAATGGAAAGTCTGAAGTTCACATGTGGTTACATCTACCTTTGACTCTCAGTTGGCTATGATGCCCTGCAAAGTAGCTAGTGGAGGCATCACCCTGAAAAGTCCTGGCCTCCACCACACAGCAGCAAAACAACTCACTAGCACAGGGAGACAAAAGCTCATCACTACAAATTCTTGCAAATAACTCACCCCAGGATATGAAATTTCAGAATCAAAATCCAAAAAATCTGTGAATCAACTATACCCCCACCCTAGAGCTTGAGCCTAAAATAGTCAGGTATAAACACTCTTGGTCACTGAAGTACGCATTTTTTTAACCTCCTAATATGGAACAAGCTTAGCCTTCCCTCTGGAAAACTGAGTAAATAGAGAAAAAAACACTGAAGTTATTATTATTATTATTATTTTTGAGACAGAGTCTCACTCTGTCACACTGAGTGCAGTGGCGTGATCTCGGCTCACTGCAAGCTCCCACTCCTGGATTCACGCCATTCTCCTGCCTCAGCCTCCCGAGTAGCTGGGGCTACAGGCGCCTGCCACCACGCCCTGCTAATTTTTTGTATTTTTTTTTTAGTAGAGACGGGGTTTCACCGTGTTGGCCAGGGTGGTCTCGATCTCCTGACCTTGTGATCCGCCGGCCTTGGCCTCCCAAAGTGCTGAGATTACAGGTGTGAGCCACCACGCCCGGCCAACACCGAAGTTATTAAAGACATCACCATTCAAACTAAGGAACCTATCTAACTATGTACTTATGAAAGAGTTACTCCTAGAAATAAGCAAAGAGTTTAGATGATGTTAAATTTATGTTCTTAGCACGGTTTCTAAGTAAATGATTTTTTGTCCATAAAATTATTCCGATATTAACCAAAATAATTGGTAATTTAAGTCCTGTTATAATTTTGAGTAAATAAATTATTGCCTCCTAAATTTTTATGTTTTTACAAGTATGTAAATTGGTAATATGTAATATAAAGGGAATGTATTTTAAAATGTTAGATTCCACAATTATTTGAAGTAGAAATGCAGGTTACACTACAAAGTCTACTTATTTGAAATAGTATGTAGAGAAAGCATGGTTATTGGCCTGTATTACTTTTCCTAATTGTCTCTTTTTGGGGAAGCTTTGTCCATAGTTGTATGTCCCAAAGTCCATAGTTGTATGTCCCAAACATGTTTGAGCTGCCCTCCTGGTGTGAAGGAGGGTGAAGGATGGCTGTGTCTGGTGAGCCCGCTTACTCCCAGCACTCGTGTCCCTGGATGGCTCACATGCATGCTACATGAAATCTCCACAACTCTTATTTCACCCTCCACCCCACAAGCCTCGACCTTCCTGTCAGTCACACCAGTGCTTTCCATCTCCACCCTTCTAGAATTATTTGCCTCAGGGATCAGCTCCATTGTCCATACTTTCTCTCTCTTCCCTATCCAGAGTTGCCTGAGGGCCATAGATTTCAGTGACTATACCATAATACATTTGTGCCAGCCACTTTCATTCAGGTGCTCACCACAATCATGACCCTCTAATAGATGCCCAAATCTCACAAAGATGGTCCCAAGTCATTTTCATAATCTGCTGCATCTCTCAGGCAAATGATCTTACTCCCTATTTCTTCAGGGAAAAGTTTTAGGCTCTTTACCATCATCTTTCATGTAGTTCCTTTTCTCCACCTCAAAAGATTTTAAGGAACTCTTATCTTTTTTCTGCTCCTCTTGACATGTTTATTATTCCTCCCTACTGGTGGAAGAAGAGCATGCTGGCCTCTTAGAGAATAACCCCTCCACTCATGTTCATGATTCTTCCTCTTCTCCCTCATGCTTTCCTCTCAATCACTCCCATTTCTTCATTTTCTCTCTCCTCACCGATAATTTATTTTCTACCTACAAACATTGTAAAAAATCATACATGAGAGTAGAGAGATCCTTAGAAACATCCTCAGGGAGAATGAAAGTCCTTGGCTCTTGAAGTTTCTGGGCACAGGCACACATAGAATACACAACAGAGTAGAAGTTTTGGACAAAAGAGAGCATGCATCAGGATGATGGAGGTGAAAACCAACATTTCATAGGGGAATTTAGGGAAGGAATCCTGAGTGATGCATCATGAAGTCATACGTTCTAGCAGCACCCACCCTCAGCACCCAAGGAGAATGACATAGGCAGATGCCACGGGGAGCAAAGGGTGTTATAGAAAAACAGTAACTATTACAAGCCTAACTGATCCCTTTCTGAATTTCAACACTTTTTTTTTTTTCTGTAGAGAAATAACTTAGCTGTCAAATATACTTCTCTGGCTAACTGCTTCACAACTCCAGATAGTTACAGAAATTGTTGCTGCCAACATGAGTCTCAAATTAGGCCAATTAGACTACAATTCAGGAGTCTAAGACCCTGACTATATGTAAGGAAAAAAAAAAACTGTTTTGAAAAAGAAGCCAGATGAGCATTTTAGAGAGAGAAAAAAAAGTGTTTATTCAATGTTTATTCAGTTTTCCTGCCTAAATTTAAATGCTTCTTAATTCAATTAAATTGTGTCAAACTGAGTATTATTAAGCACTTACTATATGTCTGTCTGCTCTAGAGGATGCAAATATATTTATGCCTAGGTGATATAAAATCTATTTTAGGTGAAAGGACTTATGCATGTGAAAAAAAATTAGAGAACAGAGTTCAATTATAAGCAACTGTGAAAATACATGCTCAGTTAATAACCTATCATGGTGGTCAGAAAAAATAAAATCAGTTTTGGTTGGAATTATCCATAAAGGAAATGGGACAGAAAAGCCATTGGCAGTGATAGAAAGGGTATTTGAAAAGATAGGAGTAAGGTTACCTCAGCCTACAAAAGCAAAATTTTAGCTATAGAAACATGGCCTAGCTATATTTGAATATTGGTGTTGGAGAGATAGAGATGGGTGCAAACAAATACAGTAGATCCTTAAACAACATGGATTTGAGCTGCATGGATCCATTTATCCACGAATTTTTTTCAATAAATGTATTGGAAATTTTTTTGGAGATTTGTGACAATTTGAGATAATTCACAGATAAATTATGTAGCTTAGAAGTAGCAAAAAATCAGAAAGGTAGGTATACCACAAATGTAAAAAATGTAGATTCTAGCCTATTTTATTATTTACTGCCATAAAATATACATGAATCTATTATAAAAGTTAAAGTTCATCAAAACTTACACACTTTCAGACCATACATGGTGCCGTTTACAGTTGAGAGAAATGTAAACAAACTTAAGGGTGCAGCATTAAATCATAACTGCATGAAATGAACAGTAATACATATGTACTACTGTAATAATTTTGTAACCACCTGCTGCTGCTATTGTGGTGAGCTCAAGTGTTGTGAGTATCTGCTTAAAATGCCTTGTGATGCTAATCATCTCCACATGAGCAATTTCATCTCTCCAGTAAATTGTGTATAGCAATAAAAAGTGATGTGTCAACGTTCTTGCATTTTTCATTGCATTTAGTGCAATACTGTAAACCTTGAAAGCACCATGGGACCCATACAAAGTGCCAGTAGTAATGCTTGAAGTGCTCCCAAGAAACAGAGAAAAGTCACGACATTACAGGAAAAAGTTGGCTTGCTTGATATGTACCATAGATTGAGATCTGCAGCCGTGGTTGCCTACCATTTCAGATAGAAGTTTCACCTTGACAACAGATGACATACACTTATGATATCGATAAATACAATACAGTTCTATGAATGAATTTTCTCTTCCTTATGATTTTCTTAATACCATTTTTTCTCTAGCTTACTTTATTGTAAGAATAGAGTGTGTTTATATATATATATACACATATATATCATATAAAATATGTGTTAATCGATTGTATATGTTACCAGTAAGGCTTCTGGTCAACAGCAGGCTATAAGTAGTTAACTTTTTGGGGAGCCAAAAGTTATATGCAGATTTCTGCATTGTTTGAGTGTCAACTGTATATATGAAAAAGGGGATGATCTTTTCCGTGAAGCCACTGCCTATATTGCATTTCATCTGGGCTCCCATTACACTTCTAGGAAACCTTTCTTTGATAAATTTTACAGTAGAATCTCATGGTTAAAAGCACAGGATTTGAAGCCAGACTGTCTGGTTCAAATTCTGGTTACACCACTTAGTGAATGACATTAAGCAAATTATTCAGCTTTTCTGTAACTTAGGTTTTTTCCATGTGTAAAATGGAGATAATAAGAGAACCTCCTTGATAGGACTATTGTGGAAATTAAATGACTTAAATGTGTAAAGTGCCAAGCACAACATCTGGCACAAAGTAAGCACTTTGTAGGTAGATACTATTTATTATTATTATTATTATTATTATTATTATTATTATTATTATTATTTGAGATGGAGTCTTGCTCTGTCACCCAGACGGGAGTAGAGTGGCACGATCTAGGCTCACCACAACCTCTGCCTCCTGGCTTCAAGCAATCCCCCTGCCTCAGCCTCCCAAGTAGCTGGAACTACAGGCATACATCACCACACCCAGCTAATTTTTGTATTTTTTTTTTTAGTAAAGATGAGGTTTCACAATGTTGGCCAGGCTGTACTTGGACTCCTTACCTCAAGTGATCCGCCCGCCTCGACCTCCCAAAGTGCTGGGATTACAGGTGTGAGCCACCGTGCCCAGCCAATACTATCATTATTGAATTACCTTCTGCTTGTTTCTGAGCTTCATGAAAGAGGCTATGCATTTATTTATTTAATTTAAAAATGTTTAATTAAGAAAGATTGAATATATTCAAGGTGTACAATGTGTACAATGTGATGATTAGATATACATATACAGTGTGTAGTGGTTACCACAATTAAACTAACACATCCATCCCCACCCATGCTGTACCCTAGATCATCAAACATATTCATTATAACTGAAAGTTTATATCCTTTGACTAACACCTACTCATTTTCCCCACCCACTAGCCTTTGAAGAATGCCACTGTATTATCTGCTTCTATGAGCTCAGCATTTTTAGATTTCACATACAGGCATACCTTTTTTTTTTTTTTTTTTACTTTAAGTTCTTGGATACATGTGCAGAATGTGCATGTTTGTTACATAAGTATACATGTGCCATGGTGGTTTGCTGCACCCATCAACCCAATCAGCTAGGTTTTAAACCCTGCATGCATTAGGTGTTTGTCCTAATGCTCTCCCTCCCCTTGTTCCCTACCTGCCAACAGGCCTGGTGTGTAATGTTCCCCTCCCTGTGTCCATGTGTTCTCACTGCTCAACTCCCACTTATGAGTGAGAACATGTGGTATTTGGTTTTCTGTTCTTGTGTTAGTTTGCTGAGAATGATGGTACCCAGCTTCATCCCTGTCCCTGCAGAGGATATGAACTCATTCTTTTTTATGACTGCATAGTATTCCATGGTGTGTACGTGCCACATTTTCTTTATGTAGTCTATCATTGATGGGCATTTGATTTGGTTCCAAGTCTTTGTTATTGTGAATAGTACTGTAATAAACATTCACGTGCATGTGTCTTTATAGCAGAATGATTTATAATCCTTTGGGTATATACTCAGTAATGGGATTACTGGGTCAAATGGTATTTCTGGTTCTAGATCCTTGAGGAACCACCACACTGCCTTCCACAATAGTTGAATTAATTTACACTCCCACCAAAACAGTGTAAAAGTGTTCCTATTTTTCCACATCCTCACCAGCGTCTGTTTTCCTGACTTTTTAATGATCACCATTCTAACTGGCGTGAGATGGTGTCTCGTTGTGGTTTTGATTTGCATTTCTCTATCAACAAGTGATGATGAGCTTTTTTTTCCCACATGTTTCTTAGCCGCATAAATGTCTTCTTTTGAGAAGTGTCTATTCATATCCTTTGCCCACTTTTTGATGGGGTTTTTTTCTTGTAAATTTGTTTAAATTCCTTGTAGATTCTGGATATTAGACCTTTGTCAGATGGATAGATTGCAAAATTTTTCTCCCATTCTGTAGGTTGCCTGTTCACTCTGATGATAGTTTCCTTTGCTGAGCAGAAGCTCTTTAGTTTAATTAGATCCCATTTGTCAGTTTTGGCTTTTGTTGCAGTTGCTTTTGGTGTACCATGTTTTATTGCGCCTCACAGGTACTGTGTTTCTTACAAATTGCATTTTTGTGAGAACTCTATTTCAAGTCGGTGGGTGCTGTTTTTCCAACATCATGTGTTTACTTTGTATCTCTGTTTAACATTTTGGTAATTCTCACAATATTTCAAAAGTTTTTATTATTACATCTCTTATGGTGACCTGTGATCAGTGATCTTTGATATTATTATTATAATTGTTTTGGAGCATTATAAACCTCATCTATATAAGATGGGAAACTTAATAAATTTTGTGTGTGTTCTGACTTCTCCACCAACCTGCTATTCTCCCATCTCTCTTTCTCTCTTTGGGCCTCCGTATTCTGTAAGCCATCACAATATTGAAATAAGGTTAATTAATAACCCTACAATGACTTCTAAGTGTTCAATTGAAAGGAAGAATCACTTTAAGTCAAAAGCTTAGTAAGGAAGCCATGTTGAAAGCTGAGACAGGGCGAAAGCTAAGCCTCTTGTGCCAGCTAGCCAACTTGTGAAAGCAAAGGAAAAGTTCTTAAAGAAAATTAAAAGTGCTACTCCAGTGAACACACAAATGATGAGAAAGTGAAACAGTCTTATTGCTTATAAAGTTTTGATTCATCTGTATAGAAGATCAAACCAGTCACAACATTCCTTTATACCAAAGCCTAATCCAGAGCGAAGCCCTGCTCTCTTCAATTCTATGAAGGCTGATAGTGGAGAGGAAGCTGCAGAGGTTGGTTCATGAGGTTTAAGAAAAAAGGCCATCTCCATAACATAAAAGTGCAAGGTGAGCAGCAAATGCTGATATAGAAGCTTCAGCAAGTTATCCCAAAGATCTAACTAAGATCATTGATGAAGGTGGCCATGCTAAATAACAGATTTTCAGTGTAGGTCAATCAGCCTTCTCTTGGAAGAGGATGTCATCTAGAAATTCATAGCCAGAAAGAAGTCAATGCCTGGCCTCAAAGCTTCAAAAGACAGTCTGACTCTCTTGTTAGGGGCTAATGCAGCTAGTGACTTTAAATTGAAGCCAATGCTCATTGACTATTCTGAAAACCCTAGGGCTCTTAAGAATTATGCTAAATCTAGTCTGTCAGTGCAAACAATGCCTAGTTGATATCATATTTGTTTATAGCATGATTTACTGAATATTTTCAGCCCAGTGTTGAGACCTACTGCTCAGAAAAGAAGATAGTTTTCAAAACATTAATGCTCATTGAAAATATACCTGGTCACCCAAAAGATCTGATGAAGATATACAAGGACTTTAATGTTGTTTTCTTGACTGCTAACATAACATCTGTTCTTCAGCCCATGGATCAAGCAGTATTTTGACTTTCAAGTCTTACTATTTAAGAAATATATTTTATTTTACTTTATGTTTTTGAGACAGTCTCACTGTGATATCCAGGCTGGAGTGCAGTGGCACAATCTGGGCTCACCACAACCTCCACCTCCTGGGTTCAAGCGATTCTCATGCCTCAGCCTCCTGAGTAGCTGGGATTGCAGGTATGCACCACCATGCCCAGGTAATTTTTTTCTATTTTTAGTAGAGACAGGGTTTCACTGTGTTGGCCAGGCCTGTCTCAAACTCCTGGCCTCAAGTGATCCACCTGCCTTGGCCTCCCAAAATACTGGGATTACAGGCATGAGCCATGTACCCAGCCAAGAAATGTATTTTATAAGGCTATAGCTGCCATAGATTGTGATTCTTCTTATGGATCCAGGCAAAGGAAATTGAACACCTTCTGAAAAAAATTCACCATTCTAGATGCCATTAAGAACATTCACGATTAATGGAAGGAGCCCAAAATATAAACATTAACAGAAGTTTGGCAGAAATTGATTCCAACCCTCATGGATGAATTTAAAGGGTTCAAGACTTCAGTGGAGGAAGTAACTGTAAATGTGGTAAAAATAGCAAGAGATCTAGAATTAGAAAGTAGAGCCTGAGGATGTGACTGAATTGCTGTAATTCCATAATCAAATTTGAATGGAGGAAGAGTACCTTCTTATGGATGATCAAAGAAAGTGGTTTCTTGAGATAGAATCTACTTCTGTTGAAGGTGCTGTGAACATTATTGAAATGACAACAAAGGATTTAGAATATTATATAAACTTAGTTAATAAGGCAGCAGCAGGGCTTGAAAGGATTGACTCCAATTTTGAAAGAAGTTCTATTCTGGGCAAAATGCTATTAAACAGCATAACATGTTACAGAGAAATCTTTCATAAAAGGATATGTCAATCAATGCCGTACTTTATTGTTGTCTCGTTTATGAAATTGCCACACAATTCCAACCTTCAGCAACCGCCACTCTGATCAGTCAGCAGCCATCAACATTGAGGCAAGACCCTCCACTAGCCAAAAGATTATGATTTGCTGAAGCCTCAGATGATAATTAGCATTTTAAGCAATAAAATATTTTTAAAATAAATTATGCACTTTCTTAGACATAATGCTGCTATACACTTAGTAGACTATTATAGAGTATAAAACTAACTTTTATGTGGGAAACCAGAATATTTGTGTGACTCACTGTATTGTGATATTCAGTGTATTGTGGTGATTTGGAACTGGACCTGCAATGTTTACAAGGTATGCCTGTGTAAGTGAGAACATAATGGTATTTGTCTTTCTGTGCCTGACTTATTTTACATAGCATTATGTCCCCTGAGTTCATCCGCGTTGTTGCAAGTGACGAGTTTTCTTTTTTTAATGTTTGAATAATATTCCATTGTATATATGTACCTCAATTTCTTTACTTATTCTTCTGTCCATGGACACTTAGGTTGTTTTCATAGCTTCCCTATTGTAAATAATGCTACAATGGAAAAGGAGGAATAGATATCTCCCCAAAATATTTATTTTATTTTTTAGATATATACCCAAAGTGGGATTGCTGGTTCATATGGTAGCTCTGTTTTAAATTTTTAAAGGAACCTCTGTACTGTTTTCAGTAATAGCTGTTCTAGTACATTCCCACCAACAGTGTACAAGGATTCATTTTCTCCACACCCTTTGCAACACTTATGTCTTCTATTATTTCTCCTCCTCCTCCCTCCTCCTTCTTCTTCTTCCTCTTCCTCTTTTTCGTCCTCTTCTTCCTCTTCTTCCTCCTCCTCCTCCTCCTCTTCTTTTTCTTCTTTTTCTTTTTTCTTAAACAGAGATGAGATCTTGCTATATTGCCTAGGCTGGTCTGAAACTCCTGGGCTGACACAATCCTCCCACTTCAGCCTTCTGCATAGCTGGGATTACAGGCATGAGCTACTCACCTAGCTTCTTGTCTTTTTCATAGCAGCTATCTTAATAGGTGTGAGGTGATATTTCATTGCAGTTTTAATTTGCATTTCTCTAATGATTATTAATGTTGAGCATCTTTTCATGTACCTGTTAGACATTTGTCTATTTTCTTTGGAAATACGTCTATTCAGAGCCTTTCCTTGTTTTTTCAAAACTTTTTATTTGACAAAAAATTTTATATATTTATTTTGTATAACATATTGTTTGTAATACACATACATCATGGAATGGTTAAATTGAGCTAATTAACATATGCATTACTTCACATATTTTGCAGTGAGAACACAAATTCTACTTTTTATGGAGTTTTCAAGGGTAGAATACATTTTATTAACTATATCACCATGTTTTACAATAAACATCTTAAAATTTAATCTTCCTGTCTAAAATTTTGAATCCCCTCACCAACATCTCCCCAACTGCTCCCCACATCCTTCGTTTCCCAAGTATTCCAGCCCCTGGTGTAACCACCATTGTACTCTCTACCTCCATGAGTTCAACTCTTGTAGATTCCACATATAACTGAGTTTATGAGGTATTTTTTTTGTGCCTGCCTTATTTCACTTAATGTCCTCCATGTTCATCCATGTTATTGCAAATGACAGAATTTCCTTAGAATAGTACTCTACTGTATGTACTATTCAGCCTCCATATATATATATGGAGCTCTCTCTATGTGATATATAATCTATATATGATATTTTATATATATAGAATCATATATATAGATATATACATATCACATTTTCTTCATCCATTTCATCCATTGACAGACACTTAGGCTGATTCCATATCTTCACTATTGTGAATAATGCTGCAATGAACATGACAGTGCAGATATCTATTTAATAAACTGATTTCATTCCTTTGGAAATACACCTAGTAGTGATTTGTTGGATCATATGGTAGTTCTATTTTTAATTTTTTGAGAAACCTCCCTACTGTTTTCTGTAATGGTTACACTAATTTACATTCCCACGAACTATGTACAAAAGTTTCATTTTTCCACATTTCTGACAGCATTTATCTTTCATTTTTGATAATAGATATTCTAAAAGGTGTGTAGTGATACCTCATTATGATTTTAATTTGTATTTCTCTGAGGATTAGTGATGTTGAACATTTTTTCATATACCTATTGAACATCTGTATATCTTCTTTTGGAAATGCCTATTCAGGTCTTTTGTCCATTTTTTAATTGGATTCTTCATTTTCTTACTATTTAGTTGTATGAATTTCTCATATAATTTGAATATTAGATATGTGGTTTGCAGATGTTTTCTCTCATTACATGTTGCCTTTTCATTTTGTTGACTCTTTCCTTTGCTGTGTAGAAGCTTTTTAGTTTGATACAGTCCCACTTGGTATTGTTTGCTCTTCTTGCCTGTGCTCTTGGTGTTCTAGCCAAAAAACCATTGTCAAGACCAATGTCAAGGAGATTTTCTCCATGTTTTTTTCCTAGGCTTTTAATGGTTTCAAGTCTTACATTTAGATCTTCAATCCATTTTGAGTTGATTTTTGTGTATGGTGTAAGATAAAGGGCAAATGTCTTTCTCATGTAGATAGTGTTTCAAATGTAATTTATAAAAGAGACTTTCTTTCCTTATTGTTGAGTATCAGTTGACCATATATGAATGGGTTTATTTCTGGGTTCTCTATTTAGTTCCATCAGGGGGCTGTACCTTTAATGCGTTGAAACTCTAGAGCCTAGCGTAGACCTAGAGTATAGGAGAAGTAAACAAATCTGATGAAGAAAAGAAAGTCTAGTTAAATGAAGCATTGTCTAATACTATACACCCCCTTCCCCACATACATACCTTAAGGCAAGATACAATTTGCTTAATGAACACTCTCATGCCATTATAGTAGTCATCTTGTTTCCAGCTGGCTTACAACTTGGACTCCTCTCTGAAATTCTGAAAGTCAGTGTAGAAACTTTAGCCTTATTTAAAAAAAAATACTTGTACACAATAATAGCTATAGTCTTTTTGTGGAGGTGAAAGTTAATCTACCTTTGTTTCTCTGGTGAGCCATGGTAGGTTCCTGAGCCAGGGGAGCATTGTAATAATAACAGTGTTTTAGGATTTCTTTTTTCATTAGACATTTAAAAAAAAATAGAGATAGGGTTTTGCCATGTTGCCCAGGCTAGTCTTGAATTCCTGGACTCAAGCGATCTGCCCACCTTTCCCTCTCAAATTGCTAGGATTACAGGCATGAGCTGCGATACCCAGCCAGGAATATTTATGTAGTAAATATGTAGAAAGTAGATTGTCTTGAAGAGAGAGCAGCTATAAGGTGGCCAGGTAGGCATGAGGTAAAAAGGACTAGGACCCCAGTGAGCATTTTGTCTACCTTTGTGGTAGACATGGCAGATACCAGGTATATATTAAAACTATTGAATAAGGAGGACCATTGAAAATAACATGTGAAGAATTCACATAATGCTTTTTGAAACCAGACTTACAGTATCTTATATTATCTGTGGCTGTAACTACTCATGTTCACTTTTTCCTTTAGCATGAATTATTAGTAAAGGCAAAACATTCTGCATTCTGAGAGTTGACCTAATGTGGTGATCATTTTATGTGTTAACTTGACTGGACCACAAAGTGCCCAGGTTAAACATCATTCTCAGCATTTCTATGAGGGTGTTTTAGGTTGAGATTTACCTTTAAATTGGTAGACTGAGTAAGGCAGACTACTCTTCCTAATGTTATGGGCCTCATTCATACGGTTGACAGCCTGAATAAGACAAAATGGCTGACCTTCTCCAAGGAAAGATTTCCCCCCACCTTACTGACTTCAAACTGGGACATTGGCTTTTCTCTGCCTTCTGATTTGAACTGAAAAATAAGCTCTTCCTGAGACTCAAACTTACTGACCTTTGGACAGGAACTAGACCATTAGCACTCCTGGGTCTCCAGCTGGCCAACTCACCCTGTAGACCTTGGGATTTGTCAGTCACCATAATAATGTGAGCCATTCTTTATATCAAATTGTATTTATTATAAGGAATTGGCTTATTGGTTCTGTTTCTCTGGAGACCCCTGATTAAAACACCTATACTATAGATTTTTAAAATCTACTAGGCAATTTCTCTCAGGTTTACATGGATATTGAAACAAAGAGAAAAATTCAGATGTTACTTGCAAGCATCTTCCTACTAAATAAATTTTCCATGACATTAAAATTAATATCAACCATGGCAATTATGTGTTCTTTCCTCTCTTAAAGTAATGGTACTTTTATCTAAAATTCATTTCATAGTGATATATTTAATGATTACTTGGGTCTTCTTTACTTACATTAATTAGGCTTTAACAAACCAGACAGCCCATAACATAATAAATAGCTTGAAATTAATATAGTGAAAACTCATTAAAAAAACTCTTGGTTTCTTAATTTACTGCTGCTCCTGAATAAATATGCTCAGATATTTTTATTTTCTTTTAGTGTGAATCATTTCAACTTAAAGATTAGATGTTTAAATATTTTGAGGCTCTCCAATGTTTTCCAACAGTGAAAAATCTTAACAGTTTTACATCTCTTAATGACTATGAGTTCAAATAACACATTCATGATAACCTGTTAGTTTAATATACATACATGTTAACCTATGTATATTAACCTAACTTTTTAACTGATTACATATTAGTTTCATATACGTCCATACATATATATTTGTTTAGGCCTGTGCACAAATATATGTACACACACGTACACAGATAGGCTTGTCCACACATAGATCTATGTATATTCTCTCTGTAATTATTTCAGACAAACAAATATATTTAAGTGGAGATAAAATGTTTGTTTAGTGACTTACATAGCTACTTTTCAATGTATGGCAATCATAACATCAACCTCAGCCACAATGGTATTGATGATTATGATTATAATGATAAAACTTGCATATGTAATGGGCTTAGCAAGTTTGTGCAGCAAGGAGATTGGCAAGATGGCCCATGGTATCCTGCAATGCTAGGATTATATTTATAAGAATAGCAAGTCAGCTTTCCAGATAGTAATTATAGCAAAGTAAGCAGACTTCAACTTATAGTCTCAGGGCTACTGATTATTGGGGAACCTGCCCCCGATAGTCATGTAGGTTCTTTTCTATTTTCCCTAAGCATCGGCCGGATTGAGAAATAAAGGGACAGAGTACAAAAGAGAGAAATTTTAAAGCTGGGCGTCCAGGGGAGACATCACATGTCAGTAGGTTCCGTGATGCCCCTCAAGCTGCAAAACCAGCAAGTTTTTATTAGGGATTTTCAAAAGGGGAGGGAGCGTACAAATAGGGTGTGGGTCACAGAGATCACGTACTTCACAAGGTAATAGACTATCACAAGGCAAATGGAGGCAGGGCGAGATCACAGGACCACAGGACAGGACGGGGTGAAATTAAAATTGCTAATGAAGTTTCGGGCACCATTGTCATTGATAACATCTTATCAGGAGACAGGGTTTGAGAGCAACCAGTCTGTTAAAAATTTATTGGGCGGGAATTTCCTCTTCCTAATAAGCCTGGGAGTGCTATGGGAGACTGGGGCTTATTTCATCCCTACAGCTCGACCATAGAAGACAGCCAGACCCAAGGGTCCATTTCAGAGACCTATCCTCAGGGGCGCATTCTCTTTCTCAGGGATGTTCCTTGCTGAGAAAAAGAATTCAGTGATATTTCTCCCATTTGCTTTTGAAAGAAGAGAAATAGGGCTCTGTTCCGCCCGGCTCACTGGTGGTCAGAGTTTAAGGTTATCTCTTTTATTCCCTGAACATTGCTGTTATCCTGTTCTTTTATCGAGGTGCCCAGATTTCATATTGTTCAAACACACATGCTCTACAATTTGTGCAGTTAACACAATCATCACAGGGTACTGAGGTGACATACATCCTCCTCAATTTATGAAAATGATGGGATTAAGAGATTAAAGTAAAGACAGGCATAGGAAATCACAAGGATATTGATTGGGGAAGTGATAAGTGTCCATGAAATCTTCACAATTTATGTTTAGAGATTGCAGTAAAGACAGGCATAAGAAATTATAAAAGTATTAATTTGGGGAACTAATAAATGTCCATGAAATCTTCACAATTCACATTCTTCTGCCATGGCTTCAACCAGTCCCTCCATTCGGGGTCCCTGACTTCCCCCAACAACTGATCAGAGTTGAAAGAATATAGGAAACATATAATAAGAGGGTTGTAGACGTCCTGACAGTCTGACTTAATCATTTGCTGGTAGTATAGGTAGACAGAAGTCGTCCAGTTCTTCCTGGGCCTGAGGAAGTGTTCGTGAATTTGCAGGTAAGGACAGGGTCTGTGGTTGTAGGGTTAATAGAGGGAATGTCTGATAGGCTTTGGTAACAGCCAACATAAGAAAGAGGTGCTTTGGTGGCCAGGTGTGGTGGCTTAAGCCTATAATCTCAGCACGCTGGGGGGCCAAGGCTGGAGGATTGCTTGAGCCCAAGAGTTTGAGACCAGACTGGGCAACATAGCAAGACTCTGTCTCAAGAAAAAAATTTTAAAAATTAGCCAGGTATGGCAGAGCACACCTGTAGTCCTAGACACTTGAAAGATTGAGGCAAGAGGGTCGCTCAAGGCCAGGAGTTTGAGGCTGCAGTGAGCTGTGATCATACCACTGCACTTCAGCCTGAGTGATAAAGACGAGACCTCGTATAAAAAACGAAAAAGGTGCTTGGATGCACTGTGCTCTGAGGTTTTGTTTCTGACTCTTATGTTAAAACGTCTTGACCCTAGGACCTGGTTTAGATGAGGATTTCCATGGAAAACTGACTGTTCCTTTGCAGATTCTTATTTATAAAACTCTCCTTGTCAAAGTCTTTTGTCTGGTTTGCATCTCAACTTTGACTTGTGCAACCAAAGATACCCAAAAACAAAACGAAAACAAACTCTTGATGCTTCAAACATATGTTTATTCTATCCTATTCGTCTCTGTTTTAATGAATTACAGCACATCTACCTTCTGATCTAGCTGAAAGCCAAGAATTTAATTCCTCCTTTTCCTCACCCCTGCTAGTACTACTGACATAGTCCTATACTAATCTTCCTGCTTTAATTCCTTTTCTGCAAGGCATCTAGTCTAATATTCTTAAAACTAGATCATGCCTGATTGAAACTCCTCAATGAATTCCCAATATACTAGGAAAAATCTGAACTTGTCTCTCACTGACATGGCCCTAATCAGACTCCCACAGTGTCTCATTTTCCGCATTCCCACCTCTTCATTCCTCCAGCAACAGTGACTTTATTCTTGTGGCTTGAACGTGCCAAGTCTTTTCCCAGCCTTGACCCTGTACGCTTGCTATTTTCTCGGTCTGGAATTCTCTTCCCCTTATTTGCCACATGACTCCTTTTCATTCTTTAGGTCTTTATCACTTAGCATTCTGTGACAGATAACAGAAACCACTCCATTTTAATCAGAAGGGAACTTAACATGGTAAGTTAGTGCTTACAATTTTTTAGAAGGTCTTGGGAATAGCTCTTGATGTGGAACTATTCCAGACTCCAAGAACACCACCACAGAACTGGCCCTCTACATCTGCCTCATCAGGAAGCTGGGGAGTTAGAAGACTGCTGTCCCAACTGCTGGCTTCAGGGTTGTACTACTATAACCATGAGTAGGGGATCAGGAAGTGGGGTCAGAACCATTACCTTCAGGAACACATCTTATGTGCTGTCTGACAATAAGGAGACTGGACTTCTGTGCCAGTGAAGTAGACACCTTCTCTGCCACTGCGTCGTCCTTCTACAGTTTAGTTCTGAATCAGTGCTTCGCATGAGTATATCTGGTTGTCTGTGTCTAAATCCAGATCCCTAGCTGCGGAGGAGGATATGAAACATAGCTTTTAGCTTTCCAGTTTCTGGAGTACAAGAAGGTATGCAAAATGAGGTTGAAACAGATGATGGTCTGCCAGAAGGCCTCCCCTCATTACACCTGTCCATCCCATGAAATCCTATTATATCATCCTCTTTATTCCCATAATAGCAGTTATTGTAATCTCTATCCTTTTTAATTTGTTTTTCATTTGTATACTGTGTGAGTCTTCCACTGCTGGACTGTAAGCTCCACAAGGCAAGGGGCTTTCCTCACTTATGCAGGACTTGGCATGTGCGAATGCTAGCACAAATGTGTTGCTGAATTGAGTTGAATAAATGAATAAATAGAGCCTGCTTATTATTTCTATATTCACTAAACGACACTCATTGGTCTCTGACAAGATTCCCTTTTAGTTGGGGTGACCAAATAACTTGTTGTTCAAATAGGGACACTTCGGAGAAAGAAATGGGTAGCATGATTAATAATTATACTAAGACAGAAGGCATGACATGGGGCTGTCTAAAGCAAACCAGGCATATAGTCATTAACTCATTATAATCACTATTCTCTGACAGACTTATCTTCTTAGGTTGCCGAAGAGGGATCCAGATGTCTCTACCCTGGCCAACTCTTTTTACTCCTTCATTTTCCAGTAGTTGGGTAAGAATTTTGGTTGCATGGACTATAACAATAGTTTTATACTTCTTGTAGGATTTCTAAAACTAAAAAAAAATTCTCACAATATTTTACTATCTAGACTATTTGAACTTGATTCTAGATCTTGTAACAAAAATCAAAAGCAGGGTTCTAGTGTATGGTTTTCCAATGTCATTTTAAGTAGGTTACTCAGCAATCACTGGGAGAGTTTACTAGAAACAGATTTTTAAAAACATCTCTCTTGGAGCTACTGATTTCTTTAGAGGAGCTCAAGAATCCATTCCTTGTAAAACTACCAGTGAGTATGGCGCATGGTTAGATTTAAGAACCATGAGATAAGAAGCGTCTGAGCCCTCT
This sequence comes from Homo sapiens, assembly GCF_000001405.40. Lineage (NCBI taxonomy): Eukaryota > Metazoa > Chordata > Mammalia > Primates > Hominidae > Homo > Homo sapiens. The sequence continues at coordinate 126,701,402 of NC_000007.14, read as the reverse complement.
TCTATATTTGGTACAAGGATTAATAAGTACTTTTAACATATATAATCATTGGCATTAACTACGATAAAAGCTGTAAATGACTCAGCAGTGGGAACTGACAGGCTACTGTGCTCCAGCGTGCAGGATGTCTGTGTGATGTGATGCATGTGTTTGCAATACAAGGCAGCCCACCCCCAACCTTCCGGGCCTGCAGCTGAGATCAACTGTGACTAACCTGATTCCAAAACTAGCTGACTCATTTCATTGCTTCCTGTTTCTCTTATTATACTTTGAAGTGTTTTCAGTGAAGAGCCTAGCACTCTGCCCAGTGTACTGTAAGTGCTTGGTAATTATTGGTTATATATATATACACACATATATATATACATTTATTAAAAGAAGGAAGGAAGAAAAGAAGGAATGGAAGAGAAGGGGAGAGGGAGGGAAGGAAGGAGGGATCAAGTAATGAGGCAATATGGTAAATATAGTAGAGAAACAAATTTACTGTTCTTTATCAGGATGCAATTTTAGGAATTTAGGATTTAGGAACATAAACACAAAGTATCTTGGGAACAGGACAAAATTATGTCCTCTGTTGTTTCAGATGACTTGTTAAAAACTGAAATTTTGTTGCACTGGTTTTTACACATCTGAGTGCTAAGGTAACTGCTTGTTTGACTGAATGTAACTTAAAAATATATGTAATGGACATTTTTTATTTCTTTAAATGGTGTAACAGGTTGATGTGAGAATGGACCTGCTCAGGGTGAACTAAATTGGGACTGGAGTCCCAATTTATCACCCTCATCAAATTATGTAATTTATTTCTTTCAAAATATTAAACTTTAAAATACAGATTATAATAACATTTATTTTAGGATTATGAGAATATGAGAATCAAGTGAGCTAATGAATGAGAATCATTGTTTTGAGAATCAAGTGAGCTAATGAATGAGAAAGTTCTAGGAAATATTTTAAAGTGAGATTAAAAAAGATTACTTGCCCTTTTCACTGAAACAGGTTTTCTTAAAAATCAATCATTAATAACTAGAATATAGAGGCATGCTGTATTCAAATCTGTTGCAGTCTTCAGCCTTATTTTCATTATATTGAGTTCTTGATTTCTTGATATATTTTGCGTCCAACATGGTTTCTTTCAGATACCAGTATCTGAAAGAGCTTTTTAATGAAATAGATTTTTAATATTCATTCATTGTCTAGATATTGTGAAATTGCTGTTGTTCTATACCAATCTTAGACATAATACAACCTGCAGTTACTGATGTGAAATTGAATGGAGAAACTTCATTCTGTAAAGTTGAATCAGTGATTAAAATAACCCTATGAACTATCTGAACAGTGTGTGTGCCTTGGTTCTGGTTTTCTTCTATCTAATTGTAGTCCCAATATCAGTTAACATCCTCCATCTCCCTGTGCAGTGATGCTTACTTACTCTGAACAGATGTTATAGTGACTGGAAAAAAATCAGTTTATCCATCAATAGACCTAGATCTCATATCTCCTAAAAATGTACTTTCCATCATTCTCTTTTGAGCCAGTATTTATTATTGTCCCAAAAAATGTGCATTGCAACTGGAGAGATGCAGCCAGCTTAGGCAAGCATGCCTCTAGTGGGCTTAGGGCATTTCTGGGCCACTCTGTCTCTTTATCTGGAGGCTGGAAATGATTGTTTGACACACACCAAAGGGAGAACTTCATCAGACACTGAAAATGGTACCTTGTAGCCTGCAAAAAAATACTTCCCATTGCTCCAGGGGTGGAGAAAAGTAAAGATGCAGAAACATAAAAGTCAAAATCAAAATGTAATAGAAAAATGAAAGAGGAAATAGAAGAGGAAGGTGATAAAAATAATGTATGAACTGCTTTTTTATTTAGCAGTCTTATCAAAATCACAGGGGATTTTTTTGTCTGTCAGAGTCTCAAATCCTTAGGCATCTCATGAAATATCATGAATTTTCAATGTGCTTTAAATTTTACATTTTTGAAAGCAAGAGAATTTTCTTACATACTGCATCAGTCCAGCAGATAAAAACTAGCACAACAGAACTCTTATAAACTTATTTTTGTCGAATTCACTTCTTATAAAAGCAGTATAGTTACAATTGAGGGAAATAATGGAAAATGGCTTTGCTGTGAATTTTGATGGCTTTGTTGAATCTTTAAATCTAACCTCATTCCGTCTATCATTAGTCTTTTCCTTTCATGCCTTTGATGGCAATCGTGTTTTACAGATGAACCCATTAATTCACTGGGAGGTTAAGTGATTAGCTCTGCCTGGCAGTCAGGTGCAGGGTTAAGATTAGATAAAAGTCCCTCAGGGTCTAGTGATTGCTAAACTTTGAGGACAGTGACCCTCCTTATTATAAAACCAGACATTCAGAAATTATCTAACAGCTTCTTTCACCACATTCCAAAGAAAGTTTATTTACCTTTACAGAGAAAGTGCCTATGATGGTTTTAAAAGCCAGGTTGCTAGAAAGACACTTTCTCCTCAGAAGCTAATATAATTTAGAGAGAATTTCTTGAGAGAAATATAAATGTATTTCAATTTATGCATTGCCTACATAATTAATAATAAAGTAAGTATTTTTTTGGCTTGTTAATATTCCAGGCACCCCAACAAGCTCTATTGGGGTTACGAAGGTATGCAACTCTTAGAACCAACCCACACTGAGTCATTCATTGTTTTGTTGCTTCATTCATTCATGACAGACAATTCATTTATGACAGTTGTTAAATTTATGAAAAAATAGCTTGATTAGGAAAGGTTTCACGGTCTAGATTGTATCAGATGGATAAAATGTTAACAGGCACAGAAGTGTGAGTCATTCCAGGTATAGGAAATAACATGACAATCTCCCTCCTAAATAAATCTCTGTGGTAGAAAGACATAGTAACATTTAATGAGTAGCACACATGCACTGATATGCCTAGAGCATTTTGTAATATGTGGAAAGTAATTTTAATATAAGTTAAATATTTATAAAATACATATTTAAAAGATAAGCATCATTTTTTCTTCAATTTTGTGATTCATCTAGTTTTCTGTAAATGGTAGAAAATAGAACAATTCTATTATATTCCAATCCTTCCTCCACAACCCTCTCAATAAAATTATAACAAAGAACAAGCCACTACATAATTCCCCTTCCACTTACTGTAGAAGAAGAACAACTCTTAATATTAATTGTGAGGGTTTCACCAGAGTATTGTCTAATTAAAGATGACCAGAGAAGCGGCAGCCTCAGAGACTCCTTTAATTTGACATCCTGAATACGTAGCATGTTTAAGAGTAGTTCTCAGGGGTAGTTCCACAATCTATTCCATTTGTATAAACCTCCAGAACTTCACTGAGACAATAGGAGTATGTAAAGGAATAACTTGCTTCCATGAAGAACAAATATTTACTGCATTTGCTTGCATTGTTTCTCAACTTTTTAGTAAATATTTTATTTCTGAAATGAAAGAACTGTTTTGTGCAAAAATTCCTTCAAGATGCAGATTTCAGTGAACTTGGGGTTCCAGCCATTGCAGCCTTGAGTATAATTTCCACCTGAAGGTTGAAGAGATGTGAGCAACACTTAGGCACCCCTTCTATATTTTCAGCAAATAGTGTTTTTAATGCTTCTTTGTTCTTCCCTTGTTAAATCTTCAGATTAGTAACTGCTGATTAATGCCCCAAAGAGAAGGGATTACAGGCAGATAAGTATTGCATACTAATTTCCTTAAATTTGGGGATGGGCAGAAATATGGAAAGATGTGAGTAAATGTTATAAACATTTCAAAAGAAAAAAAAATGACCCACAATGGGGAGATGTGTTAATGTGTTGTCCAGGCAATAAAAGTGCATTACTTTCCTTCTTTTATTGTGTATATTTAAGGCATACAACATGATGCTTTGATAAATGTATATTACATATATATTTAGTGAAATATACTAAGGTCAAGCACATTAACATATCCATCATGTCACGTAATTACCTTCTTTTTTATTTTTTGGTGGTAACAGCACCTAAAATCTGCTGTCTTAGCCAGTTTCTAGTATATAATACAAAATTATTAGCTGTAGTCCTCATGCTGTACATTAGCTCTTGAGACTTACTTATTTCAGTTGTTTATGTAACTGCAACTTTGTACCCATTGACGTGCATTTCTCCATTCCCCATCCCCTCCTTGTCCCTGATAACCACTGTTGTACTATCTTTTTCTATGGGCTTGACTTTTTTTTTTTTTTTTTAATTCCACACATAAGTGAGAACATACAGTATTTGTCTTTCTGTGCCTGGCTTATTTCACTTAGCATAATGTCTTCCAGGTTTGTCCATTTTGTCACAAATTGCAGAATTTTCTTTTTTTTTTTAAAGGCTGAACAGTATTCTCTTTTGTATATATTATGCATTTTCTTTATCCATTCATCCCTTGAGGGACACTTAGGTTGCTTTCATATCTTGGCTATTGTGAATAGTGCTGCAACGAACATTGGCGTGCGGATATTTCTACAAGGTGCTGATTTCACTTCCTTTTGGGTGTATAACCAGAAGAGGGATTGCTGGGTCATATGGTTTCACTTCCTGGGTGGAAGCCCCCCAGTTTTGAAGGCCTGTATTCAGTAAACTGTCTACAATAATCCCATCTGAGCCTCCTTTTCTTCAGCCTCTGTCTGTCTTTGTTTTGGCATCTATCTTCTCTGATTTGTTCCTTCCCACGTCCCTTCTCCATTGCCAGTTCCTTTTAGCCTCAGCAAATAAACATGTTCCAGTTTCTTATTTCATGAGAGAAAAGTAAAAATAAATAAATAAAAACACAACCTTTAAACCTTCTGCCTCTCTCTCAGTAATAGTTCCTTAAAGAAAGGAGGCTTCCATGTGTTACCACTGCGTCATTATCCTCAGCAAACTAACACAGGAACAGAAAATCAAAGACCGCATGTTCTCACTTGTAAGTGGGAGCTGAACGATGAGAACAGATGGATACAGGGAGGGGAACAACACACACTGGGGCCTGTCAGGAGTAGGGGGCAGGGAAAGAGAGAGCATCAATATCAAATAGCTAATACATGCGGGGCTTAATACCTAGGTGATGGGTTGATAGGTGCAGCAAACCACCATGACAGACGTTTACCTGTGTAACAAACCTGCACATCCTACTTATGTATCCCAGACTTAAAATAAAATGCATTTTTTCAAAGAGTTTTTGTTTCTTAAATTTTGCATCCAATTCCATGCATCACTCACTTCACCCTAGTCCCAGCCCTGTGTATCCACTTGTGCATTTCACAGGTAACTCAAGCTATTTGTATTCTACCTTCAATCAAGCCTTCTTTCACACTGTTACTCCCTGCTTCTGTGAACGTCATCACATTTTACCTGGTTGTAAAAGCCAGAAAGCTGGGTTGCCTTCACCCTTTTCTTTATCCCTGTCTCTCCAACCTTATAATCAGTGATCATATGTTGCCTCTTATGGCTCTTTAATATCTTTCTTCAGAAACACTCTCTCTACTTAAGACCCTCCTCATTTCTTTCCTGAATGGCCAAGAATTGTCCTCTAACTATTCTTTTGTGCTAATGTGTCCCCCGCCCCATCCTTCTCTGTTTTTTACGTAATTGTGGCCAGAGAAATTTTTCTAAAATGCAAATCTGATCATACATCCTTGACTACTTAAAGTCTTTCAATACCTTTTTATTGGCTTAGCATAAAGTCCAAAATCCTTAGCAAGCCGAATAAAAACCTTAATCATCTGGACCTCCTAAGCCCTTCATTTTACTTAATTGTCACTGACCAATTAAGACCTTTGCTGAAATACTTGCAGGGAGGTAAATAGGTTATTTCTCACAGCATTGGGCCTTCTAATATGCTTTCTTCTGCCTGAGATTCTCTTCCTGTAAAACTCAATTCATAGGGCACATTATCCAGGAATTCTTCTTGATGTTTACAGTTTCAGCTAGGCAGTCATTCCATCTACTCCTTGTAATTCAGTACTTCCGTTTCATAGCTGATACTGTTTCCTGGTCAGCCTGGTCTCCATGCTATGAGCTATTTGGAAACAGGGACCATATATTTTAATCTTATGTCTCTAGTACATTATACAGTTCTTGGAAGAAAGTAGGTATTTCCAAATGATAGAAGATATCAGTATGGAATATTATTCTTTTCTCATTTTCTTCATAATAATAACAGAATTCCCTTTAAAAATGTTTTAATATATTACTAATTTAGTATTTTGATGGATCAAGATTTGGCTATCTGCCTAGAAATAGTTTTTCTCGAATATAGGCATCTCAGTCCCTCCCATCTCTATTCCTCCTCTGTTGGAAAAGCCACCCATCAATGCAATCCTAGTACAAACTGAGATGCTTAAAAATCATGATATTTTATTCCGAGGATATCTATGAGGCAAGACTGGGGATGCAGGGAAAGAGTAGTTTAACAACTGACAGGACCACTTACATTCTGTTTCTCCATTCTTAAGCTCAGACCCCCAGATACATGTTAGAATCAAGGCATGAGACCATTGTTGTTGGCCACATTAAATGCCTCTGGCTGGACTTGGAGCTGAACAAGAATTGCATGGACATCTAGTCCAGACAAGGAGCCTCAAGAGACAAACGTATCTCAAGGTTCTGACTGACCTAGACTAATATAATTTAATAGCAAATGCATGAAAGCGTCATTAAATGTAACTAGTTTTGCCTAAGCAGAACCCAGAGGAGAAATGTAGATCTAAAATAAGACTTAGTATATTTCAACACTCAAGAGCTTTCTTGATCACTTTAAGGCATGCTAACAATTTTCCATATGTATAACAGTTATAAGGCAATTAATGGAATATTTTGCAAATCAATTGCAAAAAAGAGAAGAAAAAAATTGAGTAAGTAACAGCTGAAGTAAAAAATGAAACTGCTATAAATATAGATAATAGCTTCCATTAAAAGTGTCTTCCAACATTGGAAAGTTTAATCACAGTTACACTCAAATCATTGGTTACACTCTATTTCACAGTTATCCAGCTTGGGAAAATCTATGCACTATTAAACATGATAGGTTCAATGTTTTTTATAATATCTGGTCAGCAGTGGAAAATTTTGTTAGCTAATTTCATTAACAAGTTTCAGTTTCATTTAATTCTAACAATAATAATTAAAAAGCAAGTACTATGTTTTAGATGGTGCATGTCTAATCTGTAGAGGGGGAGGAATTTTTCTAAATGTAGAGGAATTGAGTCAGAATCACATAGGGAAATATAAATAGACCTAACTATTTATATTTAGTTAATAAATATAACTATATATAGTTTAGTTTGTTTTCTTATAAATAAATAAGAAAAACATAGTTGGGAGAAATATTTGCCTCAAATATAAGAGAAACGTTTAATACGTTGAATATTTATAATGGTCATACAAATTTCTAATGACCTATCTTAAAAAATCTTAAAATAGCAATTTACAAAGGGCATATTCCAACAATTTATGAAAGAAACTACATTTGACTGATACATTTATGAAAATGATTAAGACTTAGATGTAATAAATGAAACATAACTTGAGACATATTTTTCATCTTTTGAAATAGAAAATACTTTGAGAAGAAATATTTTGGATTGATAAGAAGGCACAGAGATCAGACTACTATTTTATATGCCCAGCAAAAGATTAAACAAACTATAAAACAAAGAAAACTGTCTAGAAAATAATTCGGCAAAATATTTTCTTCTTGCTCTTTGGTTCAGAAACACTACTTCCAAGAATTTTACCCTAAGAAGTAATGTAAAACTTTTAGAAAAAGTATTTGTACCTATTTTAAAAGCTTTTTATGTTAGAAAACAAAGGATATATAAATGTCAATAGATTGGAATATAATACAGGCATTAATATTGTTGCTTATAATAATTTAACAAAATGAGACCATGCTAATACACATAAACTGCAAAGCACCTACATGCTGTAATGTATTGTACTTATATACACCAAAACACTGAAAGAAGAATGCTAATTCATTACAATGATCATCTGTGGTTGCCAGTCTTATTGTTAATTATTATTGTTTTCTTGTATTTTTAAAATATATTTTTGATTTTTCATAAGGAGCATTTATTATTTTCATAATCAGAAAAAAGCATTTCTAATAAAAGAAATTTGGTTGGAAATGTATCACAAAGGAATAATAATGTTAGTATAACACTGCCTATTACCCACTAACCTCAAGCAAATTAGTAGATTCTTTGTACCCATGTTGACAATTTGGTTTCCCGTCTTGCCATTTGTTATTCCAGTGAATGACTGCTGTGATCTTTAGAGGAGGTGACATATCCAGTTAATCTTAGTGAAGTTTGAGGCGATTAGTTTGTTATTCACTCTTCCAGCCAACTTTTTCCTATTGAGGGTTTGGAGAGTGAAGTGGGGTGAAGGCAACACCATTCTTATTGCTAAAATAATTTAATAAGGATAGTTATATAAACAAAGCATTAAGCTGTGAAGAGAAATTGCCCATAAAGTATAACCTACTAATTTTCTGATCCTCCTTCTGTTTTACAAGATTGATATTTGGAAGGTGATTATTTTACTCTTTCAGGATTTGACCTTTGATAGGAATCAACTCCCTAAGGAATAGTTTGGTTAAACTAAACCTTAACTGAATTCCAAGTTAGTAAGGAACTCATCCTCAATAGGGAAGAGAAAAAATTGCAGTGTTTTATTTTTTTTTCCAGTCAGAACAGTGTATAACTACATTCTACAGTTAAGCAATATTAGATGTAGTCTTTGGGATTCTGATATATTCTCAGTTTACTGCTTAGTGCTGTAGTATTTTTCCATTATGTGCTGCTGCAAGAATTCAATCTTCCCAGGATGGCATATTGAACACACCTTCCATGTGGAGAGTAATGCCATGTCCTGAAGATAGTCCCCTCCATTCTCAACATTTTTAACACACATCATCTAATGTTGACATCAAGGACATGGAGAGGGCCTTAGTCATCACTGTCCTTGGTGGGGGACACTTAGAGTACTTTGGGACTCAACCTCAGGCATTTCCTCATCATTCTTTGTCACTCTCATTCTATAGCAAGTCAGCATATCTGCTACTGTTCCAGAGTTTGACCCAATTATAGTAGAATTTCAAAGGTTGTGGTATCAAAATTAAAATTCTGGTACTCAAGAATGTGTTTATAACTTTAGTGATACACATAGAACTAACTGTTGGATGGAGAAAGTTCGTTAGCCCACTCACTTCTGTGTCAAGGTCTTTATTATAGGAAAAGCTTAATTCCCATTGTGAATGGGCAACATTTTCTTTTCTATTCCTGGCTTTCCCCTCCAGTTCTCTTTCTTTTCAGCATGTTTCCCTCTCCTTCAGAATTCCAAAGCTCTGATCTTCCCTCCATCCTACCCTAAACTTGCCATTGAGAAAGAACTCCATACAGTCCTTCATGCTCAGACCTAAATGTAAGTTTACAATGAGGTTTCTGTCATTCTTTGTGTCATTTGCATTTAAAAGGGCCCGAAGATCTAGGTAGTCTACCAGGATTAAATTCTCACTGAGTAGAATTCCTTGAGTGAGCAGATCTGTCAGGTGTATTTTAGGGGTTGGTGTCTCTTTCACCCAGCCAGCTACGTTTGTAATTAAGGGCAACACTGAAGTTTATCTGCTCCACTCTTACCCTCCTGCTTGCATGCTTACTTTCATCCTTGTGGGGGCCCCAGTATTATGCCTTCAGGTGGGCCCAAACAGACTCTCATTCCTCCAATATTGTCTTAACTCATTACTAAAGTGTTGGTTCTTCTGGCCAGCTCTAATGATAACAGCAACGGCCTGTCTGGAGTGGCTGTTGCCATGACACTGGCTGCAGTAGGGGAGGTGTGGCCAGGGCTGAGCCCTCTCAGGAACAGATGGAAGCCCTGCCCCCTTCCAAGTTGGAGGGGCAGGAACCTCACTCCCCCAGGCACCACTGCAGCGACCTAGCTGCGGCTGCGGACTCAGGCATCTCTGCACTTTTGGGGGCCTGGGAAGCCCCTTTGCCCCTGCAGGATCAGAAGTACCTGCTCCCTCTGCCTGGCCTCTCCCCACTCCCGGTGCCTGCTCTGATTTCAGAGCAAAGTTAAGGCTGAGCCCAGGCACTGTCGCAACCTGGCCAGGTGCATGCATGCACACTTGGGGCAGCACTAACACACCAGCCCCCTGCCACCTTAGCCCCCTCTGGACTTTGGGCACTGACCAGCATGAGAGGGAGGCCAAGAAGGGGCTAAGGGCAGCTCAGTGTTGGCTTGCAGGCACCCCTTGGCATGAATAGCCTGGACGCCATGGGCACTGTAAATGGCAGGTTAATGACAATGGGAGGCAGACAGGCTCCTGGGTGGAAAGGGGCAGTTCCCCGGTGAAACCCCGCCTTCAGGCCAGTTCTGCAGATAGGAGTGAGAACTTGCCGTGCTTTTTCTGGGCCCACCCATGGCTGCCCATGGACCAATCAGCATTCACTACCTCCCCTCTGAAGCCCATAAAAACCCTGGATTCAAGCGACTCAGGCAAATGATGAGCTGACCATCATTTGGTCAGAGAGGAGCTACACATTATGGGTCTCCTCTTTGCTGAGAGCTGAGCAGACAATGGGATGCCCTGCCTGCAGAGAAAAGCTACCCACTGCAGGTCTCCTCTGAGTTGTTTAGTAAAGCACCCTTTGCCTTGCTCACCCTTCACTTGTCTGCGTACCTCATTCTTCCTGGATGTGGGACAAGAACTGGAGACCCACCAAATGGTGGGGCTGAAAGAGCTGTAACACACACAGGGCCAAAACACACCCCTTGCTCACCATGTTGTGGTCTACTAGAAGCAGAGAAGAGCTGCGGCCCTTTGGGGAGCCCAGACCAAGGAACTCCCTGAGCCAGGGATGTGACACACTCTTGGGGCTCTGCGGTTCCTGGTGTCTTCAAGCTTCTGGGCACCACTGCGTTCCCCAGTGCCAGCCGTGGAAACTGCTTGTGGTATGCCTGGTTCAGCTACAGCCTTGCAGGGAGGTGGCACCCATGCAGGTGCCTGGAGCTGCCCACCCCGCCACAGCCAGCGTGCCTGGCTGTGCACAGTTGCTGGATCCCACGCTTGCTTGCTCACATACCCCTCACCACTCCGTGCCTGCCTTGCCCTTGGCATGCGTGGGAACCAGGCCAGTAGCGCGAGCTGAGCGCAGCCTGCCAGGCCGAGTGGGCATAATGAGCCTAGCGGGCCCGAGCAAAACTCAGGCAAAGGCGCCATCAGCCACAGAGGTTTTCAGCCAGAAAAGCAACACTCCAAGGATCCTGTGACACTAGTAGCAGTAGGAATAAAATCAGAAGCAATTCCCAGCTCCAACACAAGAAGTTTAGCCCTGGAAACCTTAGTTTGCTTTGACTACTTTATTTACACACAGTTTATCTTTTATGTCATCCTCGGGCCAACTTCCTTATAATCTGCTCTATAGAGAATCTCCCACTTTACAGCTTAAACACAGGAAAACAGACCCTCCCCGCCAGAACGTATTTATTCAGTCCAACTACTGTAATAGAAACATATAGCCTCTCTGAGTCCAGTAGCATAAGAACAATTTTACCCATGGTCATGCAGAAGCTTCTGCTTATATATTTGTTATATACATAAACTGTATATGTATATATAAACATAATTAAAATAGCTATTGGGTCATTATTACAAGTGAAAATGCAATCTACAATTGTTGATGAGATAAATTGGCAGAGTATATCTGCTTCTGGCCAGTCCCTCTCATTCCGCAAATCTCTTTTGGAAAATCCTTTCCAGCCACCCCCTAGATCCCAACCTTCTCACCCCTGACACACATACACTCTACTGGCAGTCTTCAGTTATCTAGTGAATGATTTTTTTGAGATCAGCGCCATAACATTATCATTCAGTTGAGAAATTGAGGCTACTCAGCTTTCATTATTTTAGCCATAAGTACATTTTCTTCTATTAGCCATGTAAAATAGGCCCAGTGCTAAAACATTTTAAATATATTATCTTGCTCAGCCTTCACAATAACTTATTGTTGTTGGCATAATTCCTCTTTTACAGATGAGGATACCGAGGCTAAGAATGGTTGTTGCTTGTCTCAAGTTACCATTGTGCACAGGGCTCAAGACAAATTCCACAGAATCATTTGGTTAAGGAACAGGCTTTATTGGGGGAAATTTATAGGCTGGTGTCAGCAAGAGAGGCACACATTCCTGAAGCCTCTTGGCCTCCCACAGAGAGGTAAGCCAGGGCCAGTCCCTTGCTGGATACATAGTGGGTTTATATTACATTAAAGCAACATTGCCTGTGATTGGTCTCTGTTCTTATAGAGCAAGAAGAAGAGACTCTGCAGACAGGCTATTTGTATAACAGGTATAATTGTCAGCTGTTTTCCAGAGTTTTCTGAGGAAGCCAGCTGCTCAAAACCTGGGAAGCTTGGAACCAATGGAAAGATGCAGTTGCTCCTTTGCGGGTGAATAAAGCACTGTAACACCATCAAAAAAGGTGTGAACCTTTTTTTTGTAGAGGAAAAGCGAGAGCTCTCATTGTGAGTTATTTTATTGTCCAGGGAACTGAGAGAAAGCATTCCCAGCCACTTTTTGAAAAGTCTGCATTACATGCCATAGACACTGTGTGTCTCTGTGTGTGTGTGTGTGTGTGTGTGTGTGTCAGAAAGAGAGAGAGAGAAAATAGGGAAAGGAGGGGCAGAATTTAAACCAAGATCTCTGTGACTCTAAAGCTGGTATGTTATCTATTTCCTATAATACTTGCCAAACTTCTGGTATTTTTTGCCTTCTATCTGCAACTTCCTAAACTCACTCTCATTGCCATCTAGCTCAGCTCTACTCCACCCCAAGACAACTATACTTCTGTTCACTCTTTTTATAAACCACTGGGAATATTTATTCTAAGCGAAACTATGTCTCTAAACCCCAGAGACCTCTTTTACCTTTCCTTAATTATACTTAGGGCTCTATTCATCACCGACCTCCCTTGAAAAATTTCTCTAGTCAAGAGTACTGCTCTCTCACTCAGCTGCATAAATAGGGCTTCAGAGGACTCAGAGTGCTTTTTTGCATAGAGATCCTTGCTCCTTTAATTTCCTGAAAAATATGAATGCATGTTTCCAATATTCACTTTACCCATCTATGACATTTTTTTGAATTCTCATCCCTCCTACATTTAATTGACAACTCCTTCTCTGTATTTCTTAATACCCTGAACATACGTATATGAGAGAACCTGGCACAAAGGTTTTATTTACATGTATCTTCTCCTACTGGATATGAGAATTTTATGGGCATTCAGACAGTGAAAAACAAAGACACAGAATGTGATAGGATATTTGCAATATACATAATGATTGAAATGCTTGTATATGGTCTAGAATGGCTATTTTTTTAAAAAGCCTACAAATCAATGAGTATTAAAAATACAACCCAATAGAAAAAATGAGCTTGTGATTTGAACATGGACTTACTTCACCAATACAAAGAAGAAAAGTTAAAATGGTCCTAATAATCTAGGAAATGCAAGTTAGGTCCAGTAATATGGAAATGCAAATCTAGGTCTATTAATCTAGGAAATGCAAGTTAAAGATAAGATAGCAACATCTGTCTATAAGTATGACTAAATTTAAAGGAAACAGAATATCAGGTCTTGGCAAGAGTCTGAAGCTGTAGGATTCTTGCACACTGTTGTGAGGCATGTAGTGTCCTAAACCACCCTGTAAAACAGATAGGCAATATCTACTATGTTTGAAGACAGGCATACCAGATGATCTACCAATTCCATTCTTGGTTACATACTTAGTGGAAATACACATCCATTTACAACAAGGCATAAATAAAAGCATATTTGTAGTAGTAATGTGCATAATAGCTAAAGCTAGAAACAACCCATATATTCATTAATACTAGAATAGATACATAAGTTATAGTGTGTCCATGCAATGGAATGCTATTCAGCAATGAAAATAAGTGAATTACAGATAACCATAACAATGGAGATACTTCTCACAAGCAAACTCAAAAGTGGCCTAGCAGATAAAGTTCAAGTGGAGATAAAGTGATTTCTTTTATGTAAAGTTAGAAAAATAACAGGCAAAAACTAAACTAAAAGGTTTAGGAATACACTGTTAGGTGAAAATGATTTTAAAAAATCAAGACAAAGTTTATCTTAAAAGTCAGAGTGGCTATCAAGAGGAGAGATTTGTGGTTGGGAGCTGGTATAGCGGGGCACATACATGTGTGGTGGGGAGTGACCCCCAGATGTGCCAACCGTATTGCATCTCCTGACCTGTGTGGTGGTCACGCAGTGCTTGTTTTGTAATAATTCACTGAGACATGTGGTTTGGTTTTATTCAGTTTTCTGTGTATGTATTGTATTTTATATTTTAAAAGCATTATAAAAAGATAAAAACTGGTAGACGCAAGCTACTGGAATTGTAGGGTGACAGGCACCTTGAGAGGGACAAGACAGGTCAATAATTCCTGGGCTGGTTTTTCACATATCTTTGGATAGAAGGAAATAGTAATGTTACAGGATCCGTGGGGTGTCGCTTTTCTGGCTGGAAGCCTCTATGGCTGGTGGCACCTTTGCCTGAATTTTCACTGGGCCTGCTGGGCTCATTCTGTCCACTTGGCCTGGCAGGGTGCACTTGGCTTACACTACTGGCCTGGATCCTATGCCTCCAAGGGAGACTGTGAGTCAGGCGTGGAGTGGTGAGTGTGAGTGAGTGTGGGGTCTGGCCAGTGTGCACAGCAAGACACACTGGCTGCTGCTGCTGCGGGGCAGGCAGTTCCAGGTGCCAGTGTGGGTGCTGGCTCTCTGTGAGGCTACAGCTGGACCAGGAGGACTGCAAACAGCTTCTCCAGCTGGCACCAGCGAATGCAGTAGCTCCTGGAAGCTTGGAGATGTCAGGAACTTCAGGGCCCCAAATAGGGAGTCACTGCCCTGGCTCAGGGAGCTCCCAGAGCTGGGCTCCCTGAAGGGCCACAGCTTTTCTCTCCTTCTCTTCACCCACAACGTGGCAAGCAAGGGGCATGTTTCAGCCCTGTTTCTATTACAGCTTTTAGCCTTGCCATTCAGCAGGTACCAAGGTCTTGTCCTGAGTCCAGGAAGAATGAAATATGCAGACAAGTGGAGCGTGAGCAAGACAAAGAGGAGCTTTACTGAGCAATAGAACAGCTTAGAAGAGACTCTCAGTGGGCAGCTCCTCTCTGTAGCCAGGGCATCCCAGTGAGTGTTCATCTCTCAGCAGAGAGGGTAGCTCCTCTCTGCATTTGGTCATCCCATTGTCTCCTCAACTTTCAGCAGAGAGGAGACCCTGGGGTGGGCAGCTCCTCTCTGCAGCTTGTCATCTGGTCATCTCCCCATCATCTGTCTGTCCTCTGCTTGAGTCTGGCTGAGTCTGGGGGTTTTTATGGGCCTCAGAGGGGAGGAAGTGCATGTTGATCAGTCCATGGGCACCCACGAGGGCCCAGGGAAAAGCGCTACGAGTTCACCTTCTGGTATGCGGGAATGGCTCCCAGCCCCCAGGGTTCAGGCCCTCCTCAGCTTGAAGGTAGGGCATCACTGAGGACCTTCCCCCTTCTGCCCAGGAGCCTGTCTGCCGCCTGTCACCATTCATCGCACCCAGACCGTTCATGCCAAGGGGCGCCTGCAGGCCAGTACCCCGCTGTCCTCAGCACCCCTTGTGCCTCCCTCCTGTGCTTGTCCACAGCCAAAGTTTAGAGGGAGCCGAGGCAGCAAGGGGTTGGTGGGTCACTGCTGCCCTGAGCATATGCCCCTGGCCAAACTGCAACAGTGCTCAGGCTTGGCCCCAACCTTACTCCAAGATCAGAGCATACACTGACAGTGGGGAGAAGCCAGGCAGTGGAAGCAGGCACCTCCAAGCCTGCAGGGGTCAGAGGGGCCTTCCTGGGCCCCCAGGAACACAGAGATGCCTGGGTCCAGAGATGGGGCAGAGCAGCTGCAGCTGCACCCAGGGAGCTCCCACCCAGCTAACTCAGAGGGGGTGGGTCTCCCGCTTGTCCAGGGCTCTTGCAGGCTCCCTGAAGCATGGTACCACCCCAGGCCCGGCTCCGCCTCGAGTCCCCTCTCTGGTCACCCCTCTGTGCCCAACCACATTGTTCCCCTGCCTGTAGGCAACTTGGCCCGGCCCCATCATGGTGGCCCCCAGGGTGGTAGGCTCCAGGGGGTCCCCCAGGGGAAGTCTCTAGGGACTATTCGCCTCTTCCCCATGAACTCCCCATAGCAGTGGCTGTCAAGAGTGGCAAGCGGGGCCGGGGCCTGGAGTGGGTACTGCCCGGCTGCGTGAAGGTGGGGGCAGTGCAGTCAGCTTCCTTGGGGACGCAGGGCACAGGGGTCCCATGGCCACCACTGCTGCCCTGCAGCCTCTCCTGCTGCTACCACTTGTGCCTCCTTGCTGTAGCAGGTGTAATGGCAACAGCTGCTCTGGATGGCCCACCGCTGCCATCAGTAACACATTAGGCCAGATGCTAGTGCATTGCTTGCCTCTGAGATCACACTGTGGAAGGTAATGAAGGATGACATGAAAGTCCATATTTTCAGACTTCAACAACTTGTGGCTAAGAAAATAATACAAACAAAATACACAGAACACAAGATGTACGGGCTCCCATCTCCTAAACTAGTAGAAAATCTAGACTTTACCCAGGCTTTCCTTACCCAGATAATCCCTAGAATCTGCAGTTTTGGTCACATTTAATCCTGAGCCTGTCTGTCTTGCTACACATCTATGACACTGTGCTGGAGAGATGCAACTCCATTATACTCCTTCAAGCCAGACTTTTCAGAAGGTGCTCTTGGGTAGGCCACTTACTGCCTCCGATGGAGCCCTGGTGCCATTGAAGTCTTACAGGTCTACAGCTATGGTAGATAATCAAGGCCCTTTCTCTTGCTAACCTAGTGCATTCCTTGAGGACACCTCTGTCCCAAGTGCAGAGCTCTGCCACTCCCCCTGAAATTTGGTCCATCAAAGTGTGAAGGAGGATATTCTCTTCCAGAGAGTCCTGTTACAAAGACACAAGTTACAGCAAGAATCACTGGGAGCCGGGTGTGATAATACACAAAGTGGGCCACTTTCCTGAAGCTGAGTCCTTGGACCCAAGAGGATTCTAGCATCAGCCCCAGTCTGCTGTGACTACAGTAGCCTTCCTCTTCAACAGACAGATGCTAGGTTCAGAGTATCAGCCTACACCGCCCACTCCATATACAGTGATCGTGCCCTAAGTATGATTTTTTTTCTTTCTCACGTTCTTCCTTCCATTTATTTCCCTGTCTTCCATCCTCTCTACTTCTTTCCTTCCTGCTCACCTTCCCTTCATCCACAAATATTTACATGCTAGATATTACGCTAGGCAATGTAGAGTACAGTAGTGAAAAAATTCAACATGATCCCTCTTTCATGGAGGTTACTATTGCCTGCCTTTTTGGCTTTATTTGGGGTTATCTAAAAACCTCAGAAATGTTTTAATGCTATCTCACACAAAAGGGAGTGCAGTCCAAATTCATTCTCTCCTGGGAGCCTTTTAATCTACTATTAACTCATCACTCATGGATGAAAAGAGCTATGGGAAGGAAGACCCACACATCATCCAAAGACCATAAGTCTTTCCAACAAAAGCAATCAATTTCCAGACTCCTGTCTGGACAAAATATCTTGTTTATGTA
Source organism: Homo sapiens (assembly GCF_000001405.40). Taxonomy (NCBI): domain Eukaryota; kingdom Metazoa; phylum Chordata; class Mammalia; order Primates; family Hominidae; genus Homo; species Homo sapiens. Next base: position 126,683,711 of record NC_000007.14, on the reverse strand, counting down.
ACATATATTATATGTAATGTATTTAAACACCTGATTGAATATTAAGAAAAGAGCATTGGATTTTATTTAATTAATGCAATATATACTTGACCTTCAGTAAGGTTTACATGTGAACAATTAAGTGGAGAGATGGAGGGAGGGGAGAAAGAAACACCTAGGAGAAAAGGATAAGGGAAAATTAAGGAAAAAGAGAAAGGCTCACTAGGTCTGAAATACTTTTGCACTTTATGTTGTGAGTTGAAGAATGTGATCACCTTATCTCTGCCCTGTGAAAAGCTAATGAATTGTTTAACAAGAGTTTCAGCTCCTTAGCTTCTCTCAGCTTGAAATATCAGAGGCTTCATTGGGAATGAGTTAGTCATAGCACCAAACAGAGAAGAAAATGAGCTAAGGCAACAGCACAGACAGACCAGGTTAATGTAAGGCTGGTTAGATTTAAACTAAGGCCTTGCCTGGGTACTTTTTAATGCCACAATAATTCAATTATGTTAGGGTGGGGAGTAGGAAACAATTGTGGGTTCAGCAAATGTAGAGAACAAGTTTCTCACTTGCGCAGGTTTCCCTGCCTTTCCTTCACCATTTTTCTGACTGCTGTGGTCTGCTTATTCAGTATATCCTACCACAGGGGTCACACACTTTTTTTTGTTTTGTTTTGTTTTTTTTGAGACAGATTCTTGCTCTGTCGCCCAGGCTGGAGTGCAGTGGCACGATCTAGGTTCACTGAAACCTCCACCTCCCAGGTTCAAGCGATTCTCCTGCCTCAGCCTCCAGAGCATCTGGGACTACAGGGGCGTGCCACTATGCCCAGCTAATTTTTGTATTTTTAGTAAAGACAGGGTTTCACCATATTGGCCAGGCTGGTCTCAAACTCCTGACCTCGTGATCCGCCTGCCTCGACCTCCCAAAGTGCTGGGATTACAGGCGTGAGCCACCGCGCCCAGCCCACACACTTTTTCTGTAAGGAGTCATATAATAAATATGTTAAGCTTTGCAGGCTAGATTATTTCAGTTGCAACTACTGAACTTTTCTGTTGTAGCCTCAAAACAGCCATAGACAATAGGTAAATGAATGGGTGAGGCCGAGTCGCCAGAAAACTGTCTTTGCTAAAATATTGGCAGGCAAAAACAGTGCCGACCATTCTTTGCTGACCCCTGTCTTAGTGAATAAGAGTGTAAGCTTTACATAGGAAACAACTGAGTTAAAATTAAAACTATCATCTACAAGATCTGTAACCTTTGCCAAGGAACTTAACCTCTCTAAGCAGCTGTTTTCTCATCTCCAAATTGGGGATAATAAAGCCTCCCTTATGATCTCATGAGAAATAAATCAGATGGTTTATGAAAATTGCCCAAGACAGTGCCTGAGATGTATTATGTCTTAAATAGAGGACAGCTGTCATTATTAGTTGCTCACTCTCCATTCATGCATTCAGTCATTCAGATATTTAGAGAGTGCCTATTGTGTGTCAGATATTTAGTACAGTAGGGATATAATAATACATAATTTCTATCTCTGATCTAAAGGGACTAAATAGTATAGAAGGGAAAATAAACGTGTATAAGCATTTATACGGTAAGGAATCAGTGCTAAGAAAGGTACCATAATTCAGAAATGCTTTGGGAACTACTAAGGGTATATACATTTATCTAGTTTAGTTTTGAAGTTTCCTGGCTTTGAATGAGACTTTTTATATTTAGAGAAGTTGCTAATTTATTTCTATATATTGGGTTGGGATGGCTCATCAAATTCAAGTAAAACATACTCATAAAGGAGGAGGAATTACCCATGATAATTAACCGTAAATAATAAATACAGTAAATAAGAAGGAAACAGCCTTCAAAGTTTAAAGAATGGATTTTCTTTTTCTGGAAAACTTGCCTGGATACATAATCATTGTCAATTAAAAGTATGTGTTTAGAGAAGGTGAGATCATTGAAGCTATTGTGCTCTTGAATTTATCAACTGAAAAGGATCCTTCTTGTGTCTGCCTCTTAAAGCATGTATCTAGCAATTGAAAGTAAATACACCTCAGTGTGATGCCTGGAAGTCTGTGTACTTGGGAATGAGACAAAGTCCCTGCTCTGTCACTGGTGATTGATTCAGTCTGAAGGAGAACCCTCAAATCTCCAAGTTGTTGAGTTTCAGCCTGGCTTTTGTTTTCTCTGATGAGGAATAGCTCCAGGGATAATAATGCATGGATAGTACTTTTTCTGTCTGGTTTGCAATCTTATGTTAAAATGTCATTGCCAGGAGGTGGCCAGTAGCTTTGGAGTCATGAGGAAAGTACCTTAGGTAGATTTAGCTCTCACGCACACCAACAACAGTGGCAGCTCTCAGGGGATTGTGGAGAGTGGAGGATGGACCACTCTTAGAAGGGGGTCAGAGCTGGTGAAGAAATGCTGCTGCCACAGAGCAGAAGAGAACAACTTTTGCTAAATCATGAGATACCTATTGAGGAATCCTAAAATAATAGGGGGGAGTTCTAGTGGGCTAGCTATTCTGCATCAGTATATGGGGCAAGAAAGAGAATGCAGAAAGGGCAAGAATGAGTATGCAGAAAATGGGGTCTAATAAATATAGGGATTAAGGAGTCAGAGAGCTGGCTGCCTAACCACTTATTTTCTCTACCTACTTACTGTTCTTTCAAATATTTCTAAAGTACTTATAAGTATGTTCCTGAATAACTTCTTATTAAACTCTAAAAATAAATGTATTTTGGTTTTTCTTGTTTAAAGCAATCACACAATGGACAGGGGAAAGGCGGTAGTGATACACAGGTGAATACATACGTGTGTGTGAACAGCAACTAACAAGGGAAAATTAATCACGTAAAGAGTAACCAAACACACACTTCAGGGGCTTCTGAAAAGCACTGAGGGCTTTGCTTTATTAGAACGAGTGGTATCTGGATACCAATAAAAGCTGGAGAAAACAAATATTTCTGGGAAAACCACAAAATTAGTTATTCTTACATTCTCCTAAGCAAAGCATGCTACTAATAATGTTAGTCAGCAGTGCACCAGGGCAGATAGACAATGATAAAATGGTTATATTAGTGACAAATAGGTTACTTACAGGAGTTATTAATCTAAAACTCTCCTTCCTTACTTGGCATTATTAAATGGATTGTCTTGTATGCCACTGAGAGGCAAGACCTAACAATAAGAAAGAAATAATTGGAAAAATTCACACATTTAATGTAGAAATATACTGCACTTCTTCCACTGTAATATGTATTGCAAAACAAACTTTATATAATAATAATTTATTTGCTGCATAAAGGGCATTAAAGATACCTAACTAAAAAGCAAGTCTCAATTATTTAGAAACTTGAACATATGCTAATAATTCTTCTTGATCAAAGAAATGTGGGTTATATATTTCAACACTCTTATTGAAGGTTGAGCAGGCTGGTCAGGCAGGACTAGAGGTGAGCTTATATTCTCACCTCTTCTTGACAGTCTTCTGTCAATGAGATTGACAGTTTTCTATTCATAATCTCATAGTTCGTGCACCATAAATAACTACCAGTTGGGAGCTTGCCATAGCAGAGATATGCCACTCATGCTATAAGGACTTTGACTTCAGTTCCATTTGCGCATCTCACTCATTGTGCAATCTGGGGTGAGCCTCCTATTTATTAAGTTCCATCTTCATCTTTTTTTTTTTTCTGAGATGGAGTCCTGCTCTCTTGCCCAGGCTGCCAGGCTGGAGTGCACTGGAGCAATCTTGGCTCACTGCAACCTCCACCTCCTGGGTTCAAGCGATTTTCCTGCCTCAGCCTCCTGGGTAGCTAGGATTACAGGTGCCTGCCACCTGGCCTGGCTCATTTTTCTATTTTTTAGTAGAGATGGGGTTTTGCCATGTTGGCCAGGCTGGTCTTAAACTCCTGACCTCAAGTGATCTGCCCATCTCATCCTTGCAAAGTGCTGGGATTACAAGCATGAGCCACCACACCCAGCCTATTAAGTTCCATCTTTAATGAGACCCTCTGAGAAAAATAGCCCTTGCATCTACAGATTGGGTTTCATCACCCTATTTTATGTTCTTTCAGCATCTTGTACTTCTCATGTATGGTGATTATTATAATTTAATTATTTGCTAATTACAGCTGAGTAATGTGGGTCCTAATCAACACTATATTTCCAGCTTCTACCTTACTATCTGGCATATGGTTGATGCTCCATTTATATTTGTTGAGTAAATAAAGTTGTTTCACTCTCTAGGCATTAGTGTTTCCATCAGTTAGATAAGAACATTATACTAAAAGGTCTTTATAGAGTTCTTCCAGCCCTTAAATTCTGTACTAATTTTGTTTTAATGTATCTTCATTTAAAATCTTATATCAGAGGAAATTCTAGCTTTTAATTATGAATTGTTTGTCCATGCGTCCAAAAATAATAGTAGATAAAATACACATGTGGGAAAGATTTCCTGCAGTATGTACATTTGATGCAATAATTTTAGACATGTAAAAATGAACTGCAATAATTTAAAAATGGGCTAGCAGAGCATTCTCCATTGGACCACAAGCTTCTTGAAGGGAGGTACTATGCTTACTCATCTTTTAAACTGTAGTTCTAGCACATACCCTGGAAGATGGCCTACAGTCTTTACTGAATTAATAAGGGAGGTCAAGCGAAAAAAAATGGTGGCAAAATAGAAATAAGCAATGCAATGGAAAGCTTTGTTGGCAGAAGCCTGAGGAGCTTGAAGGAAAAATGGGATTAGATAAAGGTACTCAAGTGGGATGTTTTAATTTCTTATTAATGATTTACAAGAGTTTTAGACAAAGACATTTCTATACTTAAAAACAGTTTCCAAATTACCAGTTACAATATTTTTATCATTTAAATTTAATACAATAGAGAGGACCGAGTGCTTAATTGGAGCAACCTCCCACTCCTCACTGTTAGTCAATTTTGGAAAATTCCATCTCTTCCTGAAATTAAGATACTGTATGCAACTGTCACCGCAACCTGGATATCTGTCAAAAAGAAGGAAGTGGCAAGCACACTGAAGATGGGTCCTCCAGGCAGCTGAGTACCACTTAATGGAAAACTGTTTACAAAATAATTTTTTTTGACAGAGTACTTCTGAGAAGTGCTCTTAGTTTATCAGAAAGAGGAGAGCTGCTGTTTGAAAAGTGCTTTAAGTTTGGATAAAGATATTTCTCTTAAAAAATTCTGCTTCATTGTAATTTTTCCTCTCCTTGCCCCCCAAAAGAATGTTTCAGAATCAACACATTTCTCCTTCCAACTTCACACAAATATAACACTCAGTGGCTTTTTTATGGATGAAAGACGTGAGCTACTCAGCAGTTACAACATGACCAAAGATACTTCAGAATCAGATTACTCCACGGTATTCTTTGTTTTCTTTGAATCAAGAACACTAGTCTATATCTACTTATCAACTATTAAACATAAACCAGGTATGTCTTAAATATAAAAAATAAACTGTAAAGAGTGGAAGTGTCTTTTTTTAGATCTGCGTAAATCCTAACCTTCAGAAGAAGTTTACAAAGAAAAATGATCAAACTCCAGTACTAAATATAAAATCTTATTTTTTTGAGTTTTAAAAACATCTATTGTGAAATTGAGCACACATAGAGAAAATTGAACAAAACATTGATTTAAAGCTTAATTGATCTGCACTAAGCGAACACCATCATAACTACCATCAGGTTAATAAGTAGAATGTTCCCAGTGCCCAGGATGCCTCTTCCATGCCCCTAGTTATCAGTCGGGATTCCATCAGAGGAAACAGTGAGAGCTGCTATAGGAGATGAGAGTTGTTCCAGGGACTTGACCTTACACGACTGTGGGAGCTTGGTGAACAGTTAGTTTGTTTTAATTTGTTATTTCAATACCTTTACGAATACAAATGGTTTTTGGTTTCATGGATGAACTGTATAGTGGTGAAGTTGGCTTTTAGGATACCTGTCATCCAAATAGTATATGTTGTACCTAATAGGTAGTTTTTTTATCCCTCATTCTCCGCCTCAAAACTCCTTCTGAGCCTCCAATGTCTATTATACCATTCTGCATGCCTTTGTGTACCCATAGCTTAGCTCCTATTTATAAATAAGAACACGTGGTATTTGGTTTTCTGTTTGTGAGTTACTTAGAATAATAGCCTATAGTTCCATCCAAGTTGCTGCAAAAGATATTATTTCATTATTTTTTATGGCTGAGTAGTATTCCATGGTGTATATATATGACGTTTTATTTATACACTCATCAGTTGATGGGCTCTTAGGTTGAGTCCGTATCTTTGTAATTGTGAATTGTACTGTGATAACTATATGCGTGCAGGTGTCTTTTTGATATGGCTTTTTTTTTTTTTTTGGGTGGATGCCCCTAGTAGTGGGATTGCTAGATTGAATGGAAGACCTACTTCTAGTTCTTTGAGAAATTTCCGTGCTATTTTCTATAGAGGCTGTACTAGTTTATATTCCAATCTCCGGTGTGTAAGTGTTCCCTTTCACTACATCTGTGCCAACATCTATTGTGTTTTGATTTTTTAAATAATGGCCATTCTGACTGAATAGGTGGTATCTCATTGTGGTTTTAATTTACATTTCCCTGATGATTAGTGATGTTGAAGATTTCTTCATATATTTGGTGGTCATTTGTGTATCTTCTTTTCAGAAACGTCTCTTCATGTCCCACTTTTTAATGGTATCATTTTTTTCCTGCTGATTTGAATTCCTTGTAGATTCTGGATATTAGACCTTTGGTCATTGTATAGTTTGCAAATATTTTCTCGCATTTTGTGGGTTGTATGTTTACTCTGTTGATTATTTTGCTATGCAGAAGCTGTTTAGTTTAATTAGGCCTCATTTATTTCTTTTTATTGCATTCGCTTTTGGGGTCTTAGCCACAAATTCATTGCCTAGGCCAATGTCCAGAAGAGTTTTTCTTAGGTTTTCTTCTAGAGGCTTTTTGGTTTCAGGTGTTACATTTAAGTATTTAATCAACTTTGAGTTAATTTTTATATGTAGTGAGAGATAGAGCTCCAGTTTCATTCTTTTACATGTGGCTTTCAATTTACCCAGCACCATTTATTGAATAGAGTGTCCTTTCCCTAGTGTATGTTTTTGTCCGCTTTGTAGAAGATCAGTTGGTTGTAAGTATTTGGCTTTATTTCTGAGTTCTCTATTCTATTCCATTGTTCTATGTATTTACTTTTATACCAGTACCATGCTGTCTTGGTTACTATAGCCTTGTAGTATAATTTGAAGTCAGGTAATGTGATTCCTCTGGTTTTGTTCTTTTTGCTTGGTATTTCTTTGGCTATTCAGGCTCTTTTTTTGGTTCCACATGAATTTTAGGATATTTTTTAGTTCTGTGAAAAATTATGTTGGTATTTTGATAAGAATTGCATTGAATCTGCAGACTGCTTTGGGCAGGATGGCCATTTTCATAATATTAATTCTTCTCATTCATAAGCATGGGATGTTTTTCCATGTGTTTGTGTGATTTATTTCAGCAGCATGTGATAGTCTCCTTGTAGAGATCTTTCACCCCCTTGGTTAAGTATATTCCTAGGTTCATTTGTTCTTTGTAGCTATAATAAATGGGATTGGGTTCTTGATTTGTTTTTGGTTTGGTTGTTATCAGTGTATAGCAGTGCTACTGATTTGTGTACATTGGTTTTATAACCTGAGACTTCAGTGAATTTATCAAATCTGGGAGTCTTTTGGTAGAGTCTTTAGGGTCTTCTAGATATAAAATTATATCATCAGCAAACAGAAATAGTTTGAGTTCCTCTTTTCCTATTTGGATGACCTTTCTTCTTTCTTTTGCCTGACTGCTCTGGCTAGGACTTCCTGCACTCTGTTGAACAGAAGTGGTGAAAGTGGGCATCCTGATCTTGTTCCAGTTCTTAGGGGTGAGCCTTTCAACTTCTGCCCATTCAGTATTATGCTGGCTATGGGTTTGTCATAGATGGCTTTTATTATTTTGAGCTATGTTCTTTCTATTCCTAGTTTGTTGAAGATTTTTACCAAAAAGGGAGGCTGGATTTTAGAAAATATTTTTCTGCATCTATTGAGATGATCATATGGTTTTTGTTAGTACTTCTATGTATGCAGTGAATCACATTTACTGACTTGTGTTTGTTGAACCATCCCTGCATCCTTAGGATGAAACCCACTTGATCGTGGTGAATTATTTTTATGATGTGCTATTGGATTTAGCTTGCTAGTATTTTGTTGAGGATTTTTGCATCTATGTTCATCAGGGATAGTGACCTATAGTTTTCTCTTTTGCTGTTATTTCCTTTCCTGGCTTAGGTATCAGTTTGATATGAGCTTTGTAATGAGATAGGGAGGATTCCTCCTTCTCAATCTTTTGAAATAGTTTCAGTAGGATTGGTACCAATTCTTTTTGAATATATGGTAGAATTTGGCTGTGAATCCATCTGATTTTGGTTTTTGTTTTGTAGGGAGATTTTTTTTTAAGGTATTACTGGTTCAGTCTCGCTGTGTGTTATTGGTCTGTTCAGGATTTCTGTTTCTTCCTGTAAAATCTAAATGTTGCTAATGTTTGGTTTGCATCAATGTTGTTGCTTCAAACCAAAGGTAACTACTGATATCTTGATCTATGTACTTTGTAAAGGCCCTACCTCCAAATAGCATTACATTTAGGGTTAGAATTTCAACATATGAGTTTTGGGTGGACACGAACGTTCAGTTCATAAAAGATTATTTGAGACACAAAGTGACTTGCCTGGAAGTTCCTTTCTTCTCCTCACCCTAGCCCTTGAAGAATGAAGGGATCAATATTTGGCCCATATCCATTCCTACATTTATGGCATGTCTATGTACTTTAGCTCTCTAACGAGAAATGTGACCAGAATTCTGATTCTTTTTTCCCCCTATTATTTTTCCTTATCTAGGTTTTGTGCTTACTATGTACAAATCTGACGGTGATTGCCAGCTAACATTGATCTATGTAATTTGGCTAAATGGCCAGCAGCCTGCCTTGTTGCCATGGTTGCTTACTCTAATTTTTCTTTTTTTTTCTGGGGGCTACATGATATTCTTGGGAAGGCCAATTGTACTTTTTTCCTTTATTATACTTATTTCATTAAATTATAGTTATTTTTTATTTTTATACTGTGAGTTCTTGAATGCCAAGACCTGCAACTAATTATTTCTCCAGTATATTTCTTATAGTATAATAGATTTCTTAGAAACCTAAGTTTGACCCATTCAGTGGTCTTATTAATGTGATACCTAATGTGAAACCAGTGCTATTAAGATGCTTTGAGTATAGACACAAACAGTGAGTGTTTCTGTAGATTCAAATTTGAGGGTGTACCAACTGAAGGGAAGACAATGTACCCTCTTATTTAGGGGAGAAAGAATCTCAAATAGTTCACAGTAAACGTTATCAGCTTCATTTAAGGATTATGACTAGGGAAAAACACGCTGCCTTTTATATTCCTCAGTTGTTACAACACAGACATCTGTAAGTCTACTTAGTTGCTATTTGGGGATTATTAAATCTCTAGTAAGCAGTACAGTAGAGCTGGAGTATGGATTTTGTGGAATCAGTGGCGTGAGTAGGGAAAGAAAATAAATGGGAACTGGCCAGCAGGTTGAGAGATGGAATAAGAATCGGAAGAGATTGAATTGTAGTGTTTGAGTTAGGTAGAAATGATGTTCAACTGGAGTGCAGTTTATATTGTACTGAATCAGTTAATAGAATTGAGGAAAAGGTCTATATTGATATATTTAAGTTCTCAAGTCAGTGTGCAGTATCAGTGAAGAAGGCTAATCGAACGCCAACTAAGATTAGGGAAAATATTAATAATATGTAATACTTCTCCAGAGTGTCTCATAAAACTAAAGACGCTGAGTTGGAAAGTATCTTAGAGGTCATATAGTCTACCTCTCCCACTATCTCCTTAACTTTTATATTTAATACATGCTATTAAATGTTAGAATTTGGAGCAACACATTAGGAGGGATTAAAACACTCAAAATAACAACTAAAAAGTTATCAGTTATTAAAATTCAGCATCTACCATGACGAATTTGATAAGCATGATCTTGCTTTCTAAAAGGAAAAAGCATAGCAAGCTACACTTTGTATCTAGCAGCTCACTCGGCCCCACACACCTGTCTATAAAGACAGTGGGAGGATGGGAATCCATGTGTTCTTGGTGTGTTGATCCTGTCTTTGCATGTTTCCTCTTTCTCCAGTAAAGTCTATTTCTAGTGAGGCAACATAGAATTTGTCTCAAACCATTGTGCATTACATGGCTACCTTAAGTGGATCCACTTTGCAAGACACCTGTGTATACATCCTCTAAATCCATTATCTCCCACTTGAAAGTATTTCCCTAAATTGCCCAAGTAGTGTTGTAGGACTTACCCTTAGTTCAACTAAAGACAGGGTCCTTGTCTGTCCCAAAGCCATAAAAACGTAGGCTTGCAGATCATCTGAACAGTGAGTAAGGAGGGTTTTGTTGGGGGAAAAGGAAGAAAAGGGAGAAACAGGGACTCTCACAAGGCCAGAGTCCCTGCTAGAGTGCTTCCTGACAGGTTGTTTGAATCCCAGGTTCCACATAGGAAGAGGAGGACCGCAGCTCCTCCCTGCTTGCAAAGGGTGCCAACTTCCATGGCTCCACCGCAGTGGGCAGGCCGCTTGGAGTTTCTCCAGGCACCCCCTCCCACCTGGCTGTCTCATACCACCTTCTAGAGAAATACATCTAACTGCCATTAGATTAAGGATAGGGACAAAGAACTATCTTAACTGCTTTCGCCTGATAAGGGGGCACTGTTTTGGGGAAACAGCAGGCAGATCACCCTCAGAGGCCTATCTAAGGGTTCCTAGTAGAAGGGGCCATGTGAGAGGCTCTGGTTACAGGAGTGTTTGGAGTTTGATGCTTGAAAGTAAGAACAGATACACCACGTTATTAGAAAACATGTATCAAAATGAAACAAGGGGAGGGGTAAGGATAGCTCAAAAATCCCAAGGCCTTTTACCAGTTTGCATAGGGAGAGGGAAGCCAAAAGCCCTACTGGAAGAGGAACTTTACCCTTTTGCCAGCATGTTGTGCTTCTGGGTTCCTTTCCCGCTGAGCTTGATCCTGAGCCAACAAGTTTAAGGTTTGGAAAATTAACTTTTCCCAGTTTGGAGGATTCATTAGAGGGAAGTGTCTAATAGTACAGAGACATGATTACCTATTTGTGAAGAGAGACCAGAGGAAGAGAAAAGAGAAGGTGCCTTTTAAAGGATTCCCAGGGGTTTAGGATGCAGTCTAAAGGGGTACAGAGTGAATATAAATGGCTACCCATCTAGAAAAAGGGGAGCAGGCATCCCTGGTTCCTTTCTTTTCCTAGCAGATACCCACAGTACATGAGGAAGAGAGGGAAGAGCATCCTCTTTTCCTCTTCTGTCCTTGCATCCCCAGGGTCCAGTGACCTCGGCAGATGCCACCATGGGTGTCAAAGTGACTTGCACCCATGAAGCAGGGAGGACCTAGAGAATAGGAATTACCCACTCTCACCTATGCCACTATCTCCGCTACTGTCAGTAGCCTTGGAGTTCCTTAGTCCTCATTTATGCTATGGATATTAACATGGCCTTTATTCATGAAAGCTTGGGGTTGGTTTAATCGGTAGAAATCAGCCATGCTCACATGTGCTATGCCTTTTAACTTCTGTTATTGTCTGCCTCTGGATCCCTCAGATCCAGTTTTCCTTCCTAGGGTTTTTATCTGAAGCTTGGAATTGAGTTTCAGACAAAAATGTGTCTCAGCGGGGGTCGCATGGACTCCTTGTCATAAGCCAAATGCTAAGGTCAAACTGGAGCTGAGTTCTCCTCCAACAAGAGAGAGGAATGGATGTCTTGTGACACACCCAGATAACTGGTAGCCATAGTTATGCTTGCTGGGATTTCGGTGGATGACACTTAGCTTTGGTTAGCTACGTTGGTCTTACTTTCCCAAAAAGGAAACCTCTGGGTTATGGGCATCCTATTTATTCCCACTACCTGGCAGGATTTGTAGGATAACTGTTCAGAACTAGACTATTGATCCAGATTTCTACATTACCCATCCCTCTTGTTCTTTCTGAGCTGCAGCTGGGGATCAGTGGTTGGTTCACAGGAACAAGTAGGGTTGATCTAAAATGTAGGTGAAAACTTGAAAATGACTGGTGAGTTTAGAATTTAATGACAAGCATATGATAAGTTTTGAAACGTGATTTCTCTCTTGCAAGTCCTCATTTTTGTTAAATATCATCATGATGGAATGATTTATAAAACAGACTTTAGTCTTATACTTGGCCTGGTTATTTGCATAAAGTGCAGCAAGAATAACTATTTCTACATAGGCCTTTTGAATTGGCTTTCATGGAACTCTGTTTCCCAAGGAATCTTAGATAAGACCTTTTAAAGCCAAGCCCAGCCATGGGTTTGTATTGTCAAATACCCGTGAGTTGGGTGATTTTCTCCTCTTAAGGTCCCAAGACAAACTTGGAGCTCCTGGACCTGTTAGAAAGTGACATTCTTTACTGACCACAGGTCAAGAACCCTGTACAGGGACTACATGGACAAGGGTATGAGGCCAGTTTCCCACTAGATTTTTATTGGCTCTGCAAGTCAAGATTGACTCCTTAAAGGGAAGCATACCCTTCCAGTCAAAACCCTGGTAAAATAACTACGTTCTCTAATTGTGTCCTGTTGCAAAAGAAAAATGGATTCTTATTGTACTGATGCAAACAACTATATTGCCATAAGAATACTGACAGATAGTTTCCAAATTCTAGAGGAACCAGGCAGAGAGAAACAAACATGCTCCAAATTTTGACCACAGGAGTGTATACTTCACTTAATTATTAAAGGTCGTAAATAGTTCAAACTAAGTTTCCTTGACTATAAAAAAAACTAAAGCAAGGATCATCAATATTCCAAGCAAAAGTCAAAAAGATTTGCTTTAGCTTCCTGAGTTCAGTCCATTTACTTAACTCTTGTTTTGCTTGACATTCATGAACATTTCAGCTCTTTATGAGTCCTGTACTTTTTCCTTTATTCCAATGTTACAGTCTCTAAAGTTATCAGAAGCCTGTATTTGAAAGTACCTGTTAAAGTTGTATAGCTTATTATAAACCATCTTTTGAAAGGATTAAAACAAGACAACAATCGTCTGTGAATAACAAAATGTCCAGGGTAGTTACAGTTAGACACACAATTGACAAAGAAGTTTTGTTATCTCTGTTTTACAATAACTTAACATAACAACCTTAATTATGATTTATGGCATATACTTAGACCTTAGAATTTTAGAAATCCCATACAATTTTGGAACATATATTAGTATTATCCACCAAGATATAACCTAAAGAAGATTGAGCATCATTTTGGCAATCTCATATACCTAAACATGTCAAATAATCCTTTTTACCTCTCTTTTCTAGACACTTCAGGGGCCCTCTGAAGTATTCAAAAAACCAGGTGCCAGGGAAGACAATTTTGAAACTGAAGTTTGATTTTGGGAAAGCTGTTAAATATGTTTAAAGCACTTAATATTATGAAATAGAATTCCAGATTACCATAAATTATTTATTTTGCCAAAATGACTCAGAAATTTTAAAGAAGCAAAAACCTTTTATAACCCTTTTGAATTTTGTTAAGGAGCAGATTAGCATTTTAAGAATACCTTGTTGTTCTTATATTTTAATGTTCAATTTACAGAAAAACCATATAATACCCTTTTTTGAAGTTAGTCAATATGTTCACCCAGAGAACCTCTTCTGCAAGATTAATTTCCCCAGTTCTTCTACCACTTGTTTGAACCTTCGGCTTTCTCTTATCTAATTTAAAACAATCCTTTAACCCTAGGCAAAAATTTATATTTCCATGCCTTCTTATAACATTTTACAAAGAAAAAGCACATTTTACTGTTCTTATACCCCTTGCATGTAAATCTATTTTGAGTAGTCTCAATTACCTGTTATAATGGTAACCCCAGCAATTGTTATCTTTAAGGTGAAACTTGTTAAGTTGCTTTAATTGTGTGCTAACTGCAACCAAGGTTTGACTATAGCATAATAAGGGGCATAGTTAGTTCCATAGTCCCCAGGCCTTACCAATTGTGAAGCCAGCAAGTCAAATAGTTCTCAAAACCCAAAAAGCAGTTTGTAAACTCACAACACTTAGAAAACTTTGCATCTGACCTGCATTTTACTAATAGTCCTTAGGGGTGTTTTTATTTCTTAAAGATTAAAGTCACATGAACTGAAAGGTACCATAGATTTTATCTTCCCTTTAAAAACATCAGATCCAAGCAATTGTCTTTCTTTTGGCCAAATTAATTACAGCTTTTTTTTTTCTTGTTGACTTTTTTTTAAAAATTTTTAATTTTACTTTAGTTCCAGGATACATGTGCAGAATGTGTAGGTTTGTTACATAGGTATACATGTACCATTGTGGTTTGCTGCACCTATGAAACCGTTATCTAGGTTTTAAGCCCCACATTCATTAGGTATTTGTCCTAATGCCCTCCTTCCTTTTGCCCCTGACTCCCCAACAGGCCCGGGTGTGTGATGTTCCCCTTGCTGTGTCCATGTGTTCTTGCTGTTCAACTCCCACTTATGAGTGAGAACATGCAGTGTTTGGTTTTCTGTTCCTGTGTTAGTTTGCTGAGAATGATGGCTTCCACCTTCATCCATGTCTCTGCAAAGGACATGATGTCATTCTTTTTTATGGCTGCATAGTATTCCATGGTATATATGTGTTACATTTTCTTTATCTTTATTGCAGCACTATTTACAATAGCAAAGTCTTGGAACCAACCCAAATGTCCATCAATAATAATTAGAGCTCTTTTGACAGACATTACACACAATACACAGACAGGCAAAAGGAAACCCAGTTGCTGGGTGAAGCCTGGCCTAGTAAAACATCTAAAAAAAAACTTTAAAAGTTAACTGCCAACAGAATGGAGAAGGGGAAAGAAAAAAGAACAGTTTAAAAATGCCTGGGGAAGAACCTCTTATTCTTAGATAAGTGGTCCCTCCACCAAGAGAAAAGCTTATTTACTGTCTGATGGAGCTGAACCCCTTGACCAGGGAGGTGGAAGGCTGCGGCAGCATGCCTGGCTGCGAACCAGCCAGTGGCTGTGCAGGACCCTTGGGCCATGCGTCCCAGTGCTGGCAGGGATGGGGGTGGCGGTGGGGAGCTGCTGCTCACAGGTGGGTCTCGAAAAAGGAAGGAAAAGGCATGAAAAGGCCTGGGGGAGACAGGGGGTTGGGGGCATGGTTCTCCACCCTCAGAAGTCCAGGGATGTAAAGGCTTAGAAGGAACAGTAAGAGTTTCAGTCCCCATTTCACTCACTGCTTCTTGAGTCCCCACGTTGCAGGCCAAAAATGTTTCAGGACTTTTCCTTAGTTCAGCTAGCGATGGGGTCCTTGTCCGTCCTACGGCTATGAAAATTTAGGCTCACAAACAGTTTGAATGGTGAGTAAAGTAGGGTTTTAATGGATGAAAAGGAAGAAAGGGGGGTAAACAGGGACTCTCACAAGCCCAGAATCCCCGCTAGAGCACTTCCCGCTGGGTTGTCGGAATCCCAGGTTCCACCCAGGAAGAGGAGGAGCCCGGCTCCTCACCGCTGCAAAGGGCTGGAACTTCTGTGGCTCCACCCCAGTGGGCAGGCTGCTTGGAGTTTCTCCAGGCACCCCTTCGCTGTCTCAGTAGGTTGCTGGTGTATTCAGTCCACACAGGGTGTGGTTTTTGCTTCTAACAACAGATAAAGGTCGAAGCAAAAGTATGGCAGTCTGTTCTTGCTGCTTCCCGTGGCCACATGTTGCTCTTGCATCCTGTCCTCTGCCATGGTGAGGCTACTGCTGGTCTGGATGCACTGGTGACACCACCGTGGATATTCAGTTCACACAAACATGCTCAGCTGTTGTGCCACGAAGTCTCCCCACAGTGCCTTGCATCCAGAGCAGTTCTTGGTACTAGTCAGAAGCTGTGCCCAACAGCTTTGCCTTTAAATACCTGTCTTGGGCCTGGCTCACCAGCCTACATCATTCTTTTTCCTTTTCATTAAGGTGAAGTTGTGCTTCCCTTCCACCTTCTCCTCAGCTTTGAATCTTGGAAGTCCATTGTCAGATTCTCATTCTCTTTTCCTTCTGAAGCTTCAACTTTGCATTGTAGTAGCTTTAGGAAGTTGTGGTTTGATCAATTACAAAATTATTTTCTGTTTTGATCCTCCCTGAATAATTGGCACATTTTCCTTCTAAAATTACAAAGAAAGACTACTCAAGCAAAAATAATTTGCTTCAAGGTGTATTTCTGTAAGCTTCAAAATATTTTAAGAACATTCTACAGTGACACCCCAATTAAGCTTTACATTTGTAGGCATCCTGCTTCCTGCTACTTCCACGTACAATGTTTCAACTTGAAGACAACTATTCAAGTATCATATTAACATTCAAATAGCATCTTAGTATGTGGCTCTGGGCAAATCTTTGTGCTTCAGTTTACTTTATTGTAGAGTGAGGATAATAATAATGGTATATACATCTCTGGTTATTGCAAAAATTGAATGAATTAATATATGCTAAGTTCCTAGGACAGTGTCTGACATATAGTAAGTGCTATTTTTGTGTTATCTGTTATTATTATCATTATTGTTGTTATTACCATTAGGTCAAAATCCTTTACTCCAAACCTTGAGACCAGCTATATTTTGAAATTCCTATTGTTGGGTTTTTCTTAAAGGCAATACAGAGATACACTGGTGATATTATGTAATATCCCCAATGGAGCATAAGGCAGAATCCCATAATCAAGTATATTAATATTTATGCAAATATGTACAGCAAATTATATGTACAACAAGTTGAAATAGATAAAGAGCATAGATACCTTCTCTATTTCAGGTCAGGATTTGACAAAAATTAAACATATTTTTGGTTTTCAAACACTTTGGATTTTAAAACTGCAGATAAGGGATTGCAAATCTGTGTTGTTACTATTTTTGTTCTTATTCTTTTTTTTTTAAATCACTGTTAGAATTTACTCTCCTATTATTTTTTTGTATGGTTCTCAGTTTGCCACTATCTTGCTTAAGCTGAGGTTCCCAGAGTGGAACATGTTATTTTGGGTGTGACATGCTGGACGCAGTAGGATTGATACATCAGCCTCTTAATGTTGATATTAATGCTTTTGTGGCCAGTTCACCAATTATGATTTTTAATCAGCAAAAACGTTCTTTCTTTCATCTCATATTTTCTCTTATTATTTTTGTGCAACTGGTCTTTGGAAAAATAAGTTTCTCCCTGTGAAATTGTTTTTCCCCATGAAATTTAATTTTTCAGGCTTGGCACATTTTCCTAGTCTGATGAGATAATTTTGGATCCTGACTCTGTCATCTCAATATCTGCTATTACCGTGCATCAGATACAACTTTGATCAGCATGTCTTAATACAATTTGGTGATAAAAATATTGAAAAGGACAGTACCAAGGGCAGAGTTGACATTGCTCATTAGTAAACATTAGTCAACACTATTTGGAATAGCCATTCAACTCATTAAAATACATCAGACTGTATGACAATTCATATTTCCGTCCTTGACTCTAACTATCAAAAAGATCTTTGTCTGAGGTCTTGTTAAAATCCATATTTGATCTATCTACAGAAATCCCATGACATGTACTGCAATAGCCCTAATGAAGAAAGAAATAAGGAGGCTCTCACCTAATTTAGTCTTTAAAAACCCATGTTTCCTCTTTCTGTTTGCTTTCTCTCTTTCAAAGTCATCACAAAAATCTGTTTGATAATCTGTTCCTCAGATTATCAAGAAGATTATTGAAAACAATAAAACATGCAGTACTCTTGGCATGTTGATATATGTTAAAGATGACTACATAATTTGTCATTCAAATAAAGATAGTTTTATTTTATATAATTTAATATTATATTTTATATAATTTCAACTTTTATTTTTGATTCAGGGAGTACAAGTGCATGTTTAGGTATATCGCATGATGCTAAGGTTTTGTGATGTAAATGATCCTATCACTTAGTTAGTGAGTATGGTACCTAATAGATTTTTGCGTCTTCCGCCCTCCTTCTTTCCTTCTTCTAGTAGTCCCCAGTGTCTGTTGTTCTCATCTTAATGTCCATGTGTACCCAATGCTTAGTTCTCACTTATGAGTGAGAACATGCAGTATGTGGTTTTCTGTTCCTGCATTAATTTTCTTAGGATAATGGCCTCTAGCTGCATCCACAGTGCTGCAAAGGACATGACTTCATTCTTTTTTATGGCTGCATAGTATTCTATGGTGAATACGTATTAGGTTTTCTTTACCCAGTCCATTGTCGATAGGCACCCAGGTTGATTCCATGTCTTTGCTATTGCAAATAGTGTTGCAATGCACATACAAGCACATGTGTCTTTTTGGTAGAATGATTTATGTTCCTTTGGTATCTGCCCAGTAATGGAATTTCTGGGTTGATTGGTAGCTCTGTTGTAACTTCTTTGAGAAATCTCCAGACTGCTTTCCACAGTGACTGAACTAATTTACATTCCCACCAACAGTGTATTTTCTCCACAGCCTTACCAACATCTGTTATTTTTAACTTTTAAATAATAGCCATTCTGACTGGTGTGAGATGGTATCTCATGTAGTTTTGATTTGCATTTATCTGATGATTAATGATGTTGAGCATTTTTCCATGTTTTTTGGCTGCTTTTGTGTTTTAAGAAGTGTCTATTTATATCTTTTGCCCACTGTTTAGTGGAGTTATTGGTTTTTACAATTGTCTTGCTGAATTGTTTAAGTTCCTTATAGATTCTGGATATTAGAACTTTGTTGGATGCATAGTTTGCAAATATTTTCTCCCATTCTGTAGTTTGCAGTTTGATAGTTTCTTTTGCTGTGCAGAGGGTCTTTAGTTGAATTAGGTCCTAGTTATTGATTGTTATTTTTATTGCAGTTGCCTTTGAGGACTTACTCATATTTTTTTTCCCAAGGCCAATGACCAGAATTGTATTTCCTAAGTTTTCTTCTAGGATTCTTATAGTTTGAGGTCTTATATTTAACTTTTTAATCTATCTTCAATTATTTGTTGTATATAGTGAAAGGTAGGGGTCCAGTTTCATTCTTCCACATATGGCTAGCCAGTTATCCCAGGACCATATATTGAACAGGGAGCCTTTTTTCCATTGCTTATTTTTGTCAACTTTGTTGAAGATTGGATGACTTTATTTCTGGGTTTCCTATTCTGTTACATTAGTCTATGTGTCTGTTTTTATACCAGTACCATGTTGTTTTTGTTTCTTTAGCCTTAAAGTATAGTTTGAAATTGAATAATGCAATGCCCCTGGCTTTGTTCTTTTTGCTTAGTATTGCTTTGAGTATTTGGGCTCTTTTTTGGTTCCATATGAATTTTAGAATAGTTTTTCGAACTCTATGAGAGATAACATTGATAATTTGATAGGAATAGCATTGAATCTGTAGATTGCTTTGGGCAGTATGACCATTTTAACAATATTGATTCTTCTAATCCATGAGCATGGAATGTTTTTTGTTTTGTTTGTGTCATCTCTGATTTCTTTCAGCAGTGTCTTGTAGTCCCTTTAGAGATATTTCACCTCCTAGGTTAAATATATTCCTAGATTTGTGTGTATGTGTGGCTATTGTAAATGGGATCATGTTCTTGATTTGGCTCTCAGCTTGAGCATTATTGGTGTATAGAAATGCTACTGATTTCTCCACGTTGATTTTGTATCCGGACACTTTACTAAAGTCATTTATCAGAATAGGAGCCTTTTGGTGGAGTCTGAGATGGTTTTCTAGGTATAGAATAATATTGTCAGTGAAGAGAGATAATTTGATGATGTATTTTCCTATTTGGATGCCTTTGATTTCTTTTTCTTGCCTGGTTGCTCTGACTAGGAATTCCAGTACTATGTTGAATAGGAGTGGTGGGAGCAGGCATCCTTGTCTTGTTCCTGTTCTAAGTGGGGATGTATCCAGCTTTTGCCTGTTCAGTATGATGTTGGCTGTGAGTTTGTCATAGATGGCTCTTATTATTTTGAGATATGTTCTTTTGATGCCTAGTTTGTTGAAAGCTTTTATCATGAAGGGTTGTTAGATTTTATCAAAAGCTTTTTCTGCATCTATTGAAATGATTACATGTGGTTTTAAAAAGTTCTGTTTCTGTGGTGAATCGCATTTATTGATTTGCATATGTTGAACCAGGCTTGCATCTTGGAAATGAAGCCTACTTAATCATGGTGAATTAACTTTTTGATGTGCTGCTGGATTCAGTTTGCTAGTATTTTGTTGAGGATTTTTCAATCTATGTTCATCAGGGATATTGGCCTGTAGTTTTCTTTTTTCTTTGTGTCTTTGCCAGCTTTTGGTATCCGGGTTATGCTAGCTTCATAAAATGAGTTAGAGGGGAGTCCCTCCTCCTCCATTTTTTGGAATAGCGTCAGTAGGATTGGTACCAGTTCTTCTTTGTCTATCTGGTGGAATTTGGCCATGAATCCATCTGCCGTAGGGCTTTTGTTTGTTGGTATTACTGATTCAACTTTGGAACTTGATATTGGTCTGCTCAGTGCTTAAAATCTTTTAAAATGGAAAGGAGGTCTATTAATAGCTATGCCAGAAAGGCAGGCATAAGCTAGGAATATCTCAGACAAATGAGGACATGTGGTCGCCCATAAGTGAACATGGCTGAGAGTCTCTAATTCCTTCAGAGTGAGAAAATGCATTTTACAATATCCCTGTCTGTCCAGCTTCGTGCCTGGCTTCATGCCAGTATTGACACCAACATTCTTTAATTGACAGTTGTCCTCTATTACAGAAAATAATGAGAAGTAGAGCAACACCCCATCCATCAACACTAAACATTTCATAATCCATTTCCTCTGTGATGAACGGAAGCTCCTTGGCTTTACGACTCTTGTTGTACTGGATGGCACTTTAAAAAGAAAAAAAAAATAGAATATTTTTCTTGCTGTCTATACATTTTCAAGCCTTAGCTTATTATGTTTTTGAGCTTTCCTGACTCTAAGTTTAGGAACATTCTCCTCTGTACTATTTGTCCTTCTATGATTTGCACAAATCCTCATGAAATTTGAGGTCATCAGAGATTCCTATTGATCTCTTTAGATATGCCTTCCTGCCCCCACCTTTTTTGTTTTCTGAATTATTTGCAGAAGAAAAATTGAAATTTCTTTCTGAATAGTCTAATAAACCTCTTGAGCCTTCTTCCATTTCAGAGTTTCAGCCATGGTTTCATGCTCCCCTTTATTAGGACTTTTTTTTGAAGCCTCCCTTCCTGGCTTCTATTCATCTGATTAAAGCTAATGTTCCTTTCACTAGCTCTGATGAGGCTTAAGATGTCATAGACACTTTTTTCCTATGGTTTCTTTCATTTTCACACTCCCAATCTACTTGGTGGCCAGACTTAATTTGAAAAATTGCAGTTTTTATCATTGCTTATTCTGTTATCTTCAGCATAATTTATACATTTCTATTAAGAGATCCCTTTGCAGTCTTATTTTCCTTTAAGCTTCCCAATCCCTGGAGAAAATAAAAAACAAAACAAAACAAACTTGAAGAACCTGTTACAAAATGTAAATTTAGAGCAATTTGGAAAATCTTAAGGTATTTATTATAAAATTAAAACTGAGCAAAGTAGGAATGTAGTCATGGTATTTTAACAGTTAATAACAATACCTTTTTAGTCATGTATCAAATCATATGCTTTGCACACACAGTTATAGAATCATTAAATATGAGACAAGACAGAAATCCACTTGTGAAGCCACTGTGAAGACATGGGAACTTTCTCATATTAAAGTGGCATATTGATTTGAAACAAGTTGTTAGGGAGCTTTTTTACTTCCATCTCTATGAGTGGATTTTAAATCTGCTCTCTTGGGAGGAAGAGTATGGCAGTCACACTTCTGATGCTTGTATATTTCCAATTCCTCTTCCTACTCAAAGAAGGAGGCATGACGAACCCCCTGAGTGAGGCACATAAAGTCTCCCCACAGCCCATTTGCGACAGTGCAGAGGCACTACAAGGAAGAACTGACACTTGGGCTTCCATTCTCAGGCTCTTCAGGTGTTTGTTTTCTTGCTCCTCATGATCACCAATGAAGCCGGGGCTATTCATGCTGGCTGACCCCCATCCTGTAATGAGTGGAGTCCTGAGGGTCCCAGGGCTGGGTTTAGAAAGTGATTTAGAAGGTACAATGTATTCTCCTTTTGGCCTTTAAATGTTTTACAAGGGTACACTTAGAAACCTGAGTTTTTTAAAACATATGTTTTATATTAGAAGATATAAAAATTCAAATTCAATAAAGATCATTTACAAGAAAATAAAGAGATTTTTTTAAGTTTTAATTTGTGTAGGTATATTGTAGGTATATATACTTATGGGGTACATGAGATGTTTTGATACAGGCATGCAGTGCATAATAATCACATCATGGGAAATGATGTATCCATCCGTTCAAGTGTTTATGTTTACACTTTGTGTTACAAACAATCCGATTACACTCTTTTAGTAAAATGTTAGTAAAATGTAAATTAAGTCATTGTTGACTATAGTCACCCTGTTGTGCTATCAAATACTATGTCTTATTCATTCTTTCTAACTATTTTTTTAACCCATTAACCATCCCCACCTCCTCTCCATGCCATCTCTCTTACTACCCTTCCCAGTCTCTGGTAACCTTCTATTCTCTATCTCAATGAGTTCAGTCGAAAAACCTGATTTGTTTTGACAGTTGATACTGACCCTTATACATTTATACTTTACTGGACAGAAACTAGGAAGTGATTGGTGTGAAATATAATTTGGGCAGAAAAGTTCACCTTGGACTTTCCCAAAAAATATTTAAAGGTAGTGCTCGTTATAAGAATGACAGTTTCATATACTTTTGTTAATTCCCTCTTGGAACTTTAACCAGAAGTTTTGGCAGCCTGATTAGTCAGGGGTATTTTCTGAGAAAAGAATAATTAAGGACGGATAATTGCACTAAAAGTAATTAAAATATTATTCAGCCATACTGATTTTAATATTGTAGTAGACTTATATTACTAGCCAGGGAAATCAGTAGACTTCAATAAAAAGTGTAGACATGTATCCAAACACCTGTAATCATTTAGTATATAATAGAAGTGGCATATAAAATTAGTGAGACACAATATGTTTTATTCAAAATATAGTGTTGGCACAAATTTGGAGAAAATTAAACTTAGATTTATTTGTATCATAGTCTCTAAAATAATGTTCGTAGATATTAGGGAGTTAAATAATCCCTAGCATTTATTATTTATTATGTGCCAGATATTATGCCTTGCACTTTATATAGATTATCCAGTTTACTACTTTTAACTGCTCTGTGAGGCAAATACTAGTACTACTTATTAGTTTTATGATAAAGAAATTAAAGCACAGATCAGATTAATCATAGATCAGTGGAGGCAGAATAGATCATAAGATTAAGGTCAGTGTTAGGAATGGCTTCCAGTCCCCACGCTTTTAAACAATGCTCGTTAAAAGAACTAAATGGAACTACTGCTGAATATGTATATGTAGTTGCAGCACAGAGATCTTTCAAAACTTGTCACCAAAAACAAAAGCCATGAAGGAAAAAATTTAGCTACATAAAAACTAAAGGCCTCCCCTCTTGAAGAAAATACCTTAAATGAAATAAGACAAATCAATGATATTTTAAATGTATATGACAGAGGATGGATTAATATATTTAATGTAAAGAGGTCTTTTAAAAAGCTTAATACTCTAGGAAAAAAATGGACAGTAACATGAAACCAATATACAAAAGAAGTGTAAATGGCCCAAAACATGAAAAATGATTAGTCTTACTAGCACACAAATAAATGCAAACAAAATCAAGGATATCAATCCACACTTTTATTTGAAATAGTGGAAATACAAAGACCTAAGTTTTTAACTTTAGAGAATTGATGAAAAGCAGTAGAATTTAATGCAGTCTTTAATGTTTTAAGAATAAAATGAAATGGCAAAGCACACAATGTATTGCCAAGTAAAAAGAAAGGAAAAGGGTCTCACTTTTATTTATAAACAAGGCACAGATCTGCATATGAATTAAATACTAGTATGTAGTGCACCAAATTGTTAACAGTGATCAGTTCTAAGTGGAAGGCTTATTATGGTTGAATATTTCTCTCTCTCTTTAAAAAATCTTTCACTTCTGTTTTCCAAATATTCTAAATGGACGTATCATATTTGTATTTAGGAAAAAAATATGTATGTATAGTGAAGTAAACACTCAAATCTAAAGCCACTCCAGAGCATCACTTCCCTTTTCTAGTTATTTTTAGTTTACAAAGCTCAATCACGTACACATTATTATTTAACAGAAATGCCACCACAGGTAGGTTCCCCCTGCCACTTGTAATAGCTTGATTTTCTATTTCACAATTTTGGAGATTGTAGGAGATCGGTCAGGGTGGTGGGAAAAATTATAGAAAGATGGAAACATTCCTGGAAGGCTGGGAGGTTTTGCAGAAGCTTTGGGAAAGGATTGGGCTGAAGGCAGCTGAATTCTCTAAGAGTAGATAACAAGGAAGTGTAAGAGAATTGATCAAGGTAAGTTAGTTTACTTAGGCCTCTGAACCTGGGGGCGGGGCGGGGGGCGGGGCGCAACCATATTAATTACCTACAAGTGTGTTGCCTCAAGGCCTTTGTCTTTATATCTGTACTGAATAAATGACTGTAGCGGCCGCTTGTCAAGGCTGCGGCCTCTGTGACTCTTTACGGCATCCTCCTTGATGTCTGTGAGTGGCTCGGTCCCCTAGCCGCGCGGCCAGGCAAAACACCTGTGTCTGTGTACGTTTTTTCATCTGTCATTTGGCCAGGGTCTGCTGGGCGGGCCCGGCAGAAGACGAAGAGGATTTTTTTTCCAATCTAATATTGGGATTTCTGGTCTTCCTTCTTTACATAAAGTATATTCCTCCATTCCAGTTCCTTAGAGCACATACATCATCCCTGGTTCCCTGGTGTAAAAAGTTGAAGTATTTTGCTCCAGTTGATCTAGAATGTGGTCTTCTTATAAACTGTTAACAGATAAACCCAATGCCACAGGATTCATCTTGGACCAGGTTGCAGTATTGAGTGGACTGTGGACATAGATAACAGGTGATACATGTGCCTCACATTTATCATCCCCAAACTTCTTGGATTCGATGCTCTCTTAGGCTCCTTCCAAGACTGCCAGTTTTAGATCCTATTCTCTGCTCATCCAGTCCTACTCATTGGTTCCAATCACTAGTTCTGTTCTTTGTAAATCATTTTGCTTTCTCCCTCAAGTATAAGGCCAGGCCATTTTCTTTATCTTCTCTTTGGTCTCTGGAGAAGCATGACTTTATTCTTTTTGGAATTTGAGTTCACCAACATTTAGCTTCTGTTCAGAACTGCTTTCCATGACTCTGGGAGCCATAACTCAGCTCATGGCTGATGGACTGTTGTTGGAAATGTGTGGCCTCAGCATATGTTATGCCATCAACTTCACTCAGCTGAATCTCACCTGTTCTTTCTGCCTACTTCTCTTTATTTATTTTTCCTGTTTCCCCTTTTGAACTCATATGACTTTTAAAAGCTCTAGTTCCATTAAATTCTTTCCCAGCGGCTCAGGCCATTCCAGCCAACACATCATCAGCTGCAGGCTGTTGTTTCTTCTTTAAAAATTAATATAACCGTTAGCATCTCTTTACTTAATTTTAGTTTGTCGTTTCCGGCTTTAGAGAACACAAATCTATAATGAGGATTAGGGAGGAGCTCCCCCTATGCATACACAGGCCACAGGCCTTCTTTCCTGCACGCTTTAAATCACTCAGCGGAGGCTCCTCCTCTGTGGGTTTCCCCACTCACTCCACCCCCACCACAATAGCTCACTAATTAAACAACTGAATTCAAAGGTTCAAGTACATTCCCAGCATACACACTATGTCATTAGGTTTATGCAAACAAAGTAGTTTTACTGAATTTATACTTTTGACCTGTTATGTTTAGGCAAACACTTTCTTCCTAAAGCCTGCAGACTCTGGAGTTCAGAAGTTCTGAAATTCACAGAAGCTGAGAGTGATAGAAGCTTGGAACTATTATACATGCCCTCTGATTTCAAAGTTTATGTTCCTAAAGCATTGATTGCCCTAATAATTAGTAAACGTTAGAAATTTATATTTGGTTTACTAATGCTGTGTAATTGTTATCTTGTTTGTAAATTGGAATTGTATGTGACTTTTTTGGGGGGGGGTTGTTTTTACTGCTAAGAAAATATGTCAGTGTCCACTGCTCTATTAGGTTGGTACAAGAGTATTTGCGGTTTTCACCACAATTAAAAACCACAATTACTTTTGCACCAATGTAATATTTAATGTCAAGCAAGTAACTTAAGCTCATTTTTCCTTTCTAAAAGGTTATTTTTGTGTGTACAGGCACAACCTGACTTGATCTCGTAACTTAAGCTCATTTTTCCTTTCTAAAAGGTTATTTTTGTGTGTACAGGCACAACCTGACTTGATCTCTGTGATTCCATATTAATTTCCCTATGCCTTATTTTCCTCACCTAAAAAAATGAAGACAGTACCTCATGGATTTCTCTTGAAGAATAAATAATAGAAACCATTGTAGCACTCAGTAAATATAAATTGCTGTACGAACATTACTAAATCACAGCCATTGTGCTGTCTACATAAGCACTTTTCATTTGGGTTCCTTGCTAATGCATTAATCTGTTGCCAGAGGTAAGACCCTGCAACCGATGTCAGAAGTGGATGAATTTGTTTCCCTGAATATGCCTAGCTTTTAAAGGCTATGCTTACTGATGAGAGGCATAACTTTTTATTATTATTATTATTAATGATAAACACAGCTACTCTGTGAACACAAGCATCTCCAACATGCAGAAATAACCCCTCTCTGTCCAACTGTTAACTCTGATCTTCTTTTAGTGGCTGTGGTTCTGTTTGGTAGGTCTTTTGTTTTTTTATTTTTTTATTTTTGAGACAGAGTCTTGCTTTGTCATCTAGGCTAGAGTGCAGTGGCACAATCTCGGCTCACTGCAGCTTCCGCCTCCCAGGTTCAAGCGATTCTCCTGCCTCAGCCTCCTGAGCAGCTTGGGATTACAGGCACGTGCCACCAAACCTGGCTAATTTTTGTATTTTTAGTAGAAACCATGTTGGTCAGGTTGGTCTCGATCTCCTGACCTTGCGATCCGCCCGCCTTGGCCTCCCAAAGTGCTAGGTTTACAGGAGTGAGCCACTGTGCCTGGCCTGTTTGGTAGGTCTTGCTTCCAAAATAACATGAGGAGGAGTGGAAACTGTTAGCTCTCTCACCAATTCAAATGCCAATAAGATGCCCCAGGCCGTCAAGGCTGGCTTTTGCCTAAGCCCCTCCTTCACATTTCTCACTGTTTTGACTACCAGAAGGAAAGGATGTGTGGGGCACAGTCAGCAAGTTACTCTAGTTATCTTACCCCAATCTCCAAATCCCCAGAACTCTGGCATTTAATGCCCCTTGGAATTATTTTATTGTTATTATTTCTAGTCTATAATTTGTAACCCCACTCTTCCCCTCCCCAACAAATGGAAAGCCAATACTAAAAGTTCAGTGGACAGTTCCCTGAATTTGATGATTGGTAGGCAATTTAAGATAAATTTTATTATTTATGTTACATTACCAGCTATGAAGAAAGGGTTGAGTAGAATATCTATTTCTCTCAATAGGAGAAAGTGCAAAGATTAGCCCATTTTCTGTGTGTTTCTATAAATATAGGTACCCTGGAATGTGATTTTAATGCTATATCTTTCCCTTGTGTCATGCTTTGGAAATGTATCTACCTTGGGAGTCAGTTAAACCACATGTGGATGTTTTAAATAATCCTTGTGATTAAGCAAGTAAAATATCTTCTTTAGATTTGGACCAGCTATTTTGTTTCCATCATAATTTTGGACATTATTTGATAAATTAAAACAATAATACTGATTCAGATGCCTAATATGTTTGTAATGAGATATCCAAGAAAATGTCATCTCATGTGTTTATTTCTAGATAGTATCCATCAGAGATAAGCATGGTTTAAGATGAATGACCAGTAGTTGAGACCAAGAAGGATGATTTATTAGTCCGTTTTAACACTGCTATAAAGATACTGAGACTGAGAGAGAGAGACAGCAACAGAGAGAGAGAGAGAGAGAGAAAGACCATAATGCAATCACCTCCCATCAGATCTCTCCCTCAACACATGGGGATGATAATTCGAGATGAGATTTAGGTGGGGATACAGAGTCAAACTATATCAGATGAAATGTTTTAAATTTTCCATTATATTTAAAAAGATTATGGGATGCAACTGGGATCTCATAGGATAAGTGGATAGAGAAGATGGTGGTATGGAACTCAACCAGATGATCTGATACAGTGGGTTCTGAATATTACATTGAAAACATGAGTGAATGATAGACTGGCAAAGGAATATGAAGAGCTAAGGATATTATTATTGTCTTTATGACAATATAAAAGTTATGAAAAGCACCTTTACGCAGAATCAATCACATTTTCTTCCTGAAAAATAAAAGCAATGTTGTACCATCCATTTTATGTATGTTCTTTTTTTACTTTTCTGGCCAAATTTTCTCAGTTCTGTTTCTTTGGGTCACTTCTTGCATTTGCCAGAGACATTTCCTCCAGTCAATGATTATTTGCATTAGTTCCCTGTGGCTCTTCCTGAATTTTTTCAATGGCATAGTAATTTTTTTCTTGAATATTTCCTACTGCTTTAATTTTCACTCCTGTTTTAAATTCTTCATTAATTAAGCTTTCCCAAGGCTTAAATACCTATAAAACTTTTTAAAACTTAATCATTTGATTTGCCTGCTCAGCTTCCCTAGTCTTACCTGGTTTTAAGACTGTTAAACCTAAAATTGTGCCTGGGAGATGGTGTGATCACAGAAGGGAAAAGAAATGATGACATTGTTATTGAAAGTTTAATGATGAGTTTCACTGGAAAAATCTCCCACTTCAGTGTTCTTTGTGTTTCATGCTGATAAGCCGCTAATAATTTTAAATGCCTTCATTTTAGATTTAATTTATTAAAAACACTTATAGTTTTCAAGTCCACATAAATACTGGGTACAATTCATTCGGGCTAGAAGAAAATGAACCTTACATTGTCCTTTGCAAATGTTGTCGCTTACCTCAGCAAGGCTCTTTGATTTTAATTCTGTAGACCATAAGCCTGCCATAATTTTTCTGATTAAGAATTTGGAACTAGAGGTTGACCTTAAGGATAAAGTATCACATTTTTCTTCAATTTGAAGATAAAGAAATGAAAGCCCAGAGAGGTTAAGTTTGCAGAGCAGGATACTAGCAGAGCCAGAGCAGAACCCAGGGATTTGAATGCTCTGAGGTTTGTTCACACACAAGTCACCAGGGGCGATCAGTATAACCATAAGCCAGAAAGACCATGAGTTGGTCTGAAAAATCACACTTGTCACCTCACCTAATTCAGGGCCAGATGTAGAAGAATAAGAAGAATGTACCTGAATCTGCTTAGGGGTCTAGTTATTTCTATAAATGGGTATATAGAGAGTTCACTTGAATTCTAATGGATGACATTTCCTCTTGACTCTAGGGAAAGCTGTAACTGTCTTATGATCCCACGATATGGACTCTAGGACTATGCTTTTGTGACTTTCAAATCCAGCAGTTGTTTATAGTTTGTGTTATAAGATCTCCTGCCAATTATTAAAGGTATCTTTTCTATTATTTGAAATAGCCTTGTGTTCAATTGTATCCTCTTCTTCCCCACAATGCATATTACCAGGATAGGCTCTGTTACTACTTCTGAAGATGATAAATAGAAATATAGTTTGCTCTTTGATGAGAAAGAAAACAACACTATTGAACTGAAGTGCATTAAAACAAATACCCAGAGTATTCATGGGTATTCTTGTTCCAGATTAATTGCCCTGGACTATTATTTTTATTTGAGCTTTGTGATTTTTGAAGTTTCCATATGTAACAGAATCCCTTTTTTGTTGTAAGCCATAGAAGCAGCTGAAAACTGAACCACTTTGATAAAGTAAGCGTATTTTCTGTAAAGGTTTATGTGCTTTCAGAAACTAATTCTTGTCTATACAATCAATGTAATTTTCTTCTTATTTCTGTTGTAGTTACCTTATTTAATATAATTTGAGACAAAATCAGTTATTTTAATGCAAAAAGGAAAGGGTTTTATCTTCTTATTAACAAGGCCACTTATTTGGCCATTTCTGTGAAATAAATGGTTTGAATGAATCCCCCTAATTGAATATTGAATTGCCTGTTTTAGTAAGGATCACCCTCTCCTTGCCTTTTTTTTTTTTTTTTGGAGACAGGATCTCACTCTGTCACCCAGGATGGAGTGCAGTGGCAATCGTAGCTCACTGCAGCCTCAAACTCCTGGGATCAAGTGATCCTCCACCTCAGCCTCCCTAATAGTTGGGACTACAGGCATGTACCAACACACCTTGCTATTTAAAAAATGTTTCTGTAGACATGTATTCTCACTATCTTGCCTGGCTGGTTTTGGCCATTTTTGAACTCTTTTGATTCTCACACGTTTTATAGAGTTTTCCCTAAAGTGCATAGCTCTTTATTCCTTAGGGGGATCTTAAAATAGGGAGATCCCTATTTTATTGTGATGAGGTCAGTGTTCCTGTGACTAATCACTGAGTTACATATGTCACTGAGGAAAACTGTTCCTCTAAGCTACAGAGATTCCTGACATTGGGAAGGAGACATATAGAGTTAGCCTTAAGCCTGTTAGAATAAAGAGTGTAAGCCTTCTGTATTGGTCAGGGTTCTTTAGAGTGATGTAACTAATAGGATATATATACATATATAAAGGGGAGTTTATTAAGGAATTAACTCACACAATCAAAGGTCCCACAATAGGCTGTCTGCAAGTTGAGAAGCAAGGAAGCCAGTTTGAGCCCCAAAGCTGAAGAACTTGGAGTCTCATGTTCGAGGGCAGGAAGCATCCAGCATGGGAGAAAGATGTAGGATTGGAGGCTAAGCCAGTCTAGTCTTTTCACATTTTTCTGCCTGCTTTATATTCTGGCCATGCTGGCAGCTGATTAGATGGTGCCCACCAGATGATTTCTTTGTCACCCTCTTTGTCACCCAGATGAAGGTAGGTCTGCCTTTCCCAGTCCACTTACTCAAATGTTAGTCTCCTTTGGCAACACCCTCACAGACACACCCAGTATCAATATGTTGCATCCTTCAATCCAATCAAGTTGACACTCAGTATTAATCATTGTAAGTCTACGCCTTGTCGACTTGAACCCATACGCATCTGAGATCACACATTATCTTCAAATAAAGACAATAATAAGGTCATAATTACACGTAACATAATGCAGCTATCCTTCGTACAACCAGAAATGCACCAATCCCCAACCCAAATGCTATTACATAAAGCTAACGATACTTAAACGCTAATATGAAGTAAATCTGATGTCACATGTTAAAAGAAAAAGGAAATAAAATGAACATATTTCCTTAGTACAGGTGTATACATACACAAACATGGTTTTACCAAAAGAAGGAGGAAATACTCATGACAATTACAGTCCTCGTTTCTGCAACTGGTCACATGGTCGTAGCTGGTATTGATGACTACCTTCTACCCATTCTGTATTCCCTTTGCCTTCAGCAAGCACCCCAGCAGGTCATGGTTTTTTCCTGGTGGAGTCACCCAAACCTTCATTCCTGAAGGGTCTTGGCCATTTGTAGTCCTGCCTGGATTGGGCTGTTGTAGTTTCCCATTGACCTGAATCACAGGGCATGGTAATACTAAGAGACGCCGCAATTGATCTACTGTATTCCATGCATACTCTTCTTTACCTTCATTGTGGAGCAGTAGACTGATTTCATCTTGATAGTCTGGGTCAGTCACCCCAGCTAACACTGTAACTCCCTTCTTAGCCTGTTGACTTAAAGGTAGGAGGAGCCCAAAGTGTCCAGGTGGCAATCTTAACATCCAGTTTAATGGAATTATTGTTGTGTTTCCTGGTGGCAGCATTCCTCCCTCTGGAACTAAGACCTCTAGGCGAGCAGAACATAATGTCGCGGTACCAGGAAGCAAAAATTTTGCTGGTGGATCACTAAGGGTGATGGTGAGTGCTGCCACTTCGACTTCCACCCCTTGATTCCTGGACCAGTGAATCTTGGCTATGGGAGAAACAGTACCATATATAGGACGCCGATTCAGAGCATACACAGCCTTCCAGAGGACTTTGCCCCAGCCCTGCAAAGTATTGTCACCTAGTTGGCATTTTAATTGTGACTTCAAAAGGCCATTCTGCCATTCTGTCAATCCAGCTGCTTCAGGATGATGGGGAACATGGTAAGACCAGTGAATTCCATGAGCATGAGCCCACTGCCACACTTCTTTGGCCACAAAGTGAGTGCCTTGGTCAGAGGCAATGCTGTGTGGGATACCATGACAGTGGACCGGGCATTCTGTGAGTCCATGGATGGTAGTCTTGGCAGAAGCATTGTGTGCAGGACAGGCAAACTCATATCTGGAGTACATGTCTATTCCAGTGAGGACAAACCTCTGCCCTTTCCGTGATGGAACAGGTCCAATATAATCAACCTGCCACCAGGTAGATGGCTGATCACCTCAAGGAATGGTGCCATATTGAGGGCTCAGCATCAGTCTCTGCTTCTGGCAAATCGGGCACTCAGCAGTGGCTGTAGCTAGGTCAGCCTTGGTGAGTGGAAGTCCATGTTGCTGAGCCCATGCGTAACCTCCATCCCTGCCACAATGGCCACTTTGTTTATGGGCCCATTGGGTGATGACGGGGGTGGCTGGGGAAAGAGGCTGAGTGGTATCCATTGAATGGGTTATCCTGTCCACTTGATTATTAAAATCCTCCTCTGCTGAAGTCACCTGTTGGTGAGCGCTCACTTGGGATACAAATATCTTCAGAGTTTTTGACCACTCAGAGAGGTCTATTCACATAACTCTTCCCCAAATTTCTTTGTTGCCAATTTTCCAATCATGCTTCTTCCAAGTCCCTGACCATCCAGCCAAACCACTGGCTACAGCCCATCAATCAGTATATAATCACACATCTGGCCATTTCTCCTTCCATGCAAAGTGCACATCCAGATGCACTGCTTGAAGTTCTGCCCACAGGGGAAGATTTCCCTTCACTGCTGTCCTTCAGGGATATCCTAGAAAGGGGCTATAATGCTACAGCTGTCCTCTTTTGGGTGGTGCCTGCATATTGTGCAGAACCATCTGTGAACGAGGCCCTGGTCTTCTCTTCCTCTGTCAACTGATTATAGGGAACTCCCCATGAGGCCATTGGTGCAGGCTGGGTGAGAGAAGGCAGGGTGGCAGGACTGGGGACCATGGGCATTTGAGCCATTTCCTCATATAACTTCAGGACCTGCTCAAACCCAATCACATATATACTACTTCCATTTGATGATGGAATGCTGTGGACATGACCCACTTTGTGAGTAGGTGGGTCAGAAAGCACCCAGTTCATGATAGGCAGTTCAAGTGATAGGCAGACGTGGTGACTTGATGACCCATAGTCAAATATTCAGTTTCCACCAAAGCCCAGTAACGGGACAAGAGCTATCTCTCAAAAGGAGAGTAGTTATCTGCAGGAGATGGCAGAGCCTTGTTCCAAAATCCTAGAGGCCTCTGCTGTGATTCACCTGTGGGAGCCTGCCAAAGGCTCCAAATACAATCCGTATCTTCTCCTGATACCTCAGGCACCATTGGATCTCCTGGGTCATATGGCCCAAGTGGCAGAGCAGCTTGCACAGCAGCCTGTACCTGTTGCAGAGCCTTCTCCTGTTCTGGACACCACTCAAAACTGGCAGCCTTTTGGGTCACTCGATAAATGGGCCAAAGTAACACATCCAACTGAGGAATGTATTGCCTCCAAATCAAATAGGCCCATTAGGCGCTGTGCCTCTTTCTTGGTTGTAGGAGGGGCCAAATGCAGCAACTTATCCTTCACCTTAGAAGGAATGTCTCTACTGACTCCACTCCAGGTACCAAAATCTGTATTAGTCAAGGTTCTCTGGAGGGACAGAACTAATAGGATAGATATATATATAAAAGACAGTTTATTAAAGAGTATTAACTCACACAATCACAATGTCCCTCAACAGGCTCTCTGCAAGCTGAGAAGCAAGGAAGCCAGTCTGAGTCCCAAAGCTGAAGAACTTGGAGTCCGATATTTGAGGACAGGAAGCATCCAGCATGGGAGAAAGATGTAGGCTGGGAGGCTAAGCCAGTCTAGTCTTTTCATGTTTTTCTGCCTGCTTTATATTCTGGCTGTGCTGGCAGCTGATTAGATGGTGGCCACCCATATTAAGGGTGGGTCTGCCTTTCACAGCCCACTGATTCAATGTTAATCTCCTTTGGCAACACCCTCACAGACCCACCCAGAGTCAATACCTTGCATCCTTCAATCCAATCAAGTTGACACTCGGTATTAACCATCATACCCTCTTAAGTGGATCTCCCTCCTTTGTCTCTGTTATCACATTTATAATAGATAATTCACATTTGGGATCCACATTTTTTAGACATAGATTAAGATAGTGTGATGTACTTGACTAAGAAATGCACCAAGCTAACATAGCTTCTAAAAGTGAGTCTATGATCATGAGACTTTCTTCTCACAGCCATTTCGTAAATGACTGGCAAATGAAGTCTCCAAATTATATCATCACTGTAGGGATGCCACAGAAGTAAAGATAACTACTCCAGTAAATATGGTGGGAATATGGTGTTTCCCTATATTCTTCATCTAAGGATTATATTGCTCTAATAAATAGGTCTTAATATCAGTGTCGTTCAGCATTTGTTCATTTAAAGATATTTAAATCATAGTAAATTTTTCTGTTTGAGTTTGTGTGTATGTTTCAGATAATGGAGTTTCTAGATATGCAACTTGTTGGTATCTATCAGCAAATGTCATCCCTGATCCAAAAGCATAAATGCATCCAGTCATCTGAGAAATTAGCCAGATTTGCCTTTTGGTTTTGAATCTCAGCTAATGAATCTGTCCTGTTAGACAGTTCTATTGTTCTTACCCTTCTCTTTAGAGCTGTGACAGACACTGCACAAAGAAAACTACTACAGACCACAGAGGAATCATGGGTGTTGTGATTGAAAATAATTAATTCAAACATTGAACAGATATTTTTGAACAGCAACTCTGTGTACCTGGCACTACATTAGGCATAAAATACTAGAGATAGATAAAATAGAACAATTGTCATTTCTTATGAAAATCAGAAAATTTTTACTAAAATGACAATTTTAATGAAAATCAGACAGATAGGGAGGATAGATAATAATCACATTAAAAATCAGTGATTTCTGTGAACTATGATAGGTATATAGGGGATGGCTTGAGAGAGTGTAATAAGGACTCTTTGGTGACACTGACAGGATAAAAAGGTCTCTCTGAAGTTTGCAATGAGGTCAGATCAGGTGGGCAGCACCTTCCTGGCAGAGTAAACAGCTTGTGCAAAGGTCCCAAAACAGAAAAGCCTATCGGTTTTAAGGAGGTGAAATGAGGTAGGATCCTGGAGAATTGAATGTGAGATGGCACATATGATGCAGCTAAGGAGCTAGCCAGAATCTAAATTGTTCATTGTTTTGGAAGTGATAGTAAAAACTTTGGATTTCTTCCAATGTACAATGGCACACCATTGAAGAATTTTGATTAAGGTAATTACATGATTTTGTTTCTAGAAATTTAGTTTGCTATGAAGAAAATGCATTGGAAGAGAACAACATGGGAAAAGGGTGAGACATTTTACAAGCAGATGTTTCGGTGCATTTGTGAGATAATGGTGATTCAACTTAAGGTGGTAACAAATGCAGAGAGAAATGAGTGGACAAATTTGAAGTGTATTTTGAGGCAAAACTGACCACTTGGAAAATGTATAAAGAGAGAGCTTTCAATGATGGCTCCAGATTCTTCATGTAAGCAACTCTGGATGGTGTTTCCATATGCTAAGAGGCAAGTGGTTTGGAATGGAGGAGAGGGAGCTTGATAGTTCATTTCTGCATTTTTTAATTTGTGATGGCTATGAAATATCTGAGTTGGAATGTCAGGGGCGTAGTTGAATATATGAATCTGAAATTTGAAGAAGGGAATAGGCTGAGTTAGATATTTGACTAGAATTTTTCATTGCAAGCAATAAAAGCCAAATATGGCAAATTTAACTCGTAAGATATATAGATATATAAATAGATATATTTATATATCTATTTATATCTATCTATATCTATATCTATCTATCTATCTATCTATCTATCTATCTATCTATCTATCTATCTATCCATCTATTTATGTAGAGAGCAAGATCCCCCTAAATCCTTCACAATAAATGTGCTTATACATTTGTTGATTTAGGGGGGTCTTGCTGTGTTGCATAGGCTGGCCTTAAGCTGTGGGGCTCAAGCAATCTTCCCACCTCACTTCCTGAGTAGCTGGGACTGCACGCATGCACCACTGTGCTTGGCTCCTAAAGGAGATTTATTAAAAGATACTGTGAAGTTTGCAGACCTTCCAGCATTACCCACTGGGAACAAGGCCCTAGAATCACCCCCTAAAAGTCATCTGAGAAAGACAACATTGCTGCCACCCCTGGGCAAAATCATGATGGCTCAAAGTAAATATAGCACCAGCCCTGGCCACTGTATGCAGGAAATGGGACAACCATCTCTCTTCCTCTGGAGAGTGTTGTTTAATGAAATGCAACATGAGAGAACAATTACAGAAGAATAACACCAAGAGTATTACCAGCTATAAAAACTGACAACTGTAGAATCTTTGCTATGTGCCAAGTACAAGATTAAGCACTTTACATGGATTATATCATTTAATCACTACAAAAAGCCAATGGAGGAAAATAATTGCTATCCTCATTTTATTGATGAGGAGGTTTAAAAGTTTATAGATAAATCCAGTGTGTGGTGAGCCTTGGATTCAGACTTACCTAAGCCTGCAGAATGCCTTCTCTTAAGCATGTGGGTGGTATCACACAGCTGAGAGGCCATTGTGAGGAAGAACTGATAAGCCTCTCCTGGTTTGGCAACATGGACACAATTTGTAGCCTTTGAAATGGAAGTTTCAATGCTGAGAGAGGGAGGAAATTACAGAGGGATGAAGGATGAAGGAAGATGGGTTAGTGAGTGGAGATAGTCTTTTAGGTAACTTTTTTGAGACCTTTGGCTGAAAAGAAAAGTAGAAAGATACGGTGGTAGCTGAAGAAGGATCAGGGTATCAAAGGAACTTCCTTCCTTCCTTTCTTCCTTCCTTCCTTCTTTCCTTCCTTCCTTCCTTCCTTCCTTCCTTCCTTCCTTCCTTCTTTCCCTCCTTCTCTCTTCCTTTTCTTCTTCTCTCTCTTCCACCCTGAAGTCACTTCTTCCTTTAATCCTAAAGTAAACCAATCTGCATTTGAATGCAGATAGGTTAAGTGTTGGCAGGGAAGAAGAGGTTAAGAAAGCAGTAAGACATAATAACTTGTGAA
The DNA here is from genome assembly GCF_000001405.40 of Homo sapiens. Classification (NCBI taxonomy): domain Eukaryota; kingdom Metazoa; phylum Chordata; class Mammalia; order Primates; family Hominidae; genus Homo; species Homo sapiens. The sequence continues at coordinate 126,646,100 of NC_000007.14, read as the reverse complement.
TAGAGGCCCCTGGGCATGTGGAGGGATGATGACCAGAGTGCAGTGGGATTGACCCTTAATGTAACACTTTCTCTCTACTTCAGCTCTAGAGACAGAGAGGGAGGGGGTGAGTAAAAGACCTTGAAAATTCAGTTGTGGAATAAAAGTAGGGGCTATGGTGTATGACTTCTATTTTCCCTGGTAAAATATAGGGTAAGTTCATCAGCTGAGGCAAAAGGCAAATGGAAACTGAGATTTAGTAGGAGGTAGAAGAGGGGCACTATTTGTTGAGCCGAGTGAGAGAGAGCCAGATGGCTAAGAAATCTAGTGAGATTCCCAGGCAGTGTTGAAGTCTTTTGAATACTAATGATCATGAAGTTGAAGTACTACTTAGTACTAATCAGACAAGCCATGTTTTATTTCTCTTTCCCTCACCAGAAAAACATTTTAAACTTGTAATGTGGTCACTCAATGGGTTCTTCCTGTTCACTGCATAGACAAAATTAATCAATTGAGATGGTGCTATTGCAGTATAGAGTTTAACTGACATGAGTTCAGCCCATGTGGGAGAACTGGAGCTATCACTCAACCTCCCTAATAGCTTGGAGGCTAGGGTTTTTATGGACTGTTTGGTGGGCAGGGGGCTAGGGAATTGATGCTGTTGATTGGTTGGGAATAAAATCATAGGGGTGTGGAAAACAGCCTTTGTGTGCTGAGTCTTCCTCTGGGTGGGGCCATGGGGCCAGTTGAGTCATGAGTCACAAGTTTTGGTGGGATTCATCTGAAAAAGTACTCAAAAACCAATCTTAGGTTCTACAATAATGATGTTATCTATAGGAGCAATTGGAGAAGTCAGAGATCTTGTGACTTCTGGCCACATGACTCCAGAGCAGTAAGAGATTAGAGAAACTATGCCTACATCTCAGAAGAGTTCAGGTTCCTCCCATAATCCTATTCTTGTGGCCTTTTATTAGTCTAACAAAGGTGGTTTTTGGTCCCTGAGCAAGGAAAGGGTTAGTTTTAAGGGGAGACTAGTATCGTCCTAGCTTTCAAGTTAAACTATAAACTAAATTCCTTCAAAAGTTAGCTTGGCCTATGCCCGGGAATGACCAAGGACACCTCAGAGGTCAGAAGTAAGATGGCGTCAACACTGTCGGACTTCTCTTGCTATCATGATTTTGCAAAGGCAGTTTCAATAACACTGGGGAGAGTGTAGAGAATGGACTGTAGACTGAACAGAACTCAGAACAGGGAGACATTAGTATCCTCACAGAGAATAATTCTTCCTTTTGGGAAAATGGTTATCTATTATGACCTTTTCTGAGTGTGGTTCCCTGGACCCTGGTCATGGTTGTCACTGCAGACAATATCCAGTTATTTGTCTTGATAATCAGCTGTTAAACTGAAATAATTCACTGTGTTGCCAGTTGTTCTTTCCCCACTGTGGGAATTAGAAAGCATTTGGAAATTGGTTATATCATATAATACTTGCACTGTATATACAGTCTTCCAGAATAGGGAAGATTTAGGCAACAGTCTGGTAAGTGAAGTGCGAGCTATACACAGAAAACTAGCCAATGTTTTCATGAGATTTTGATTGAATAGACTAATTTTCAATAGGAGGAAAACCATCCTCTTTTGCAGCATGACTTCTGTCCTTGGGGATGTATCATTTCTATCCATGGAAAACACTGCCATATGGTCACGGCATCAGACATATTTAAGCCTTGAAAATTAGATCTTAAAGCATAAAAGCCAAGGGATGATGTGAGTTCTCACACTTTGTCTACATTCCTTTCAAAAACCCAACCAAATTATAATGAAAGAGGGAATATTTATGAGTAAAGTATGAGGCCGCTGTTGACATGAGGCATTTATGATTCAAACTTTATGTTTAAATTTGAAAATACGATATATTTTAATATTAAACTTCATTCCACAAATAAAGTTTGGACTGATTGATTCACAGTTAGCACTGAAGGACAAATTTTGGAATCACAACATAGATCCAAGATACCATCTAATGTAAGATTCACCATCGACTTTAGAAGCATATTTCTGCAAAAGACGAAACTCTACATTAAATGTACATGATTTCCTTTTAACCAAACCCACTTTTTCATACATTTATTCAAATGATTTTATTTGACTAGACTCTTCTGTATCATGATCAAAAGTTCAGTCTAAGCCTTTATCATATATATAGTCTGTGCATTCTGCACGACCTTCGGTGACCCACTGTTGAGTGACTTTCCAAAGCCTGTGCTTCTGATCTTGACCTCTTCACTTGCCTTAGCTTTGACAGAATAATGTTGAAGCATAGGGAAGAATACCAGGTTTTGTTGGCATTTCCTATTTTGTTGAATTCCTAGTTTTAAATTTTCCATAATAGAAGTAGATACTGCTGGATATTAAACAGTTTTTCTTGAACATCAGCTGGAAGTTTTTGACAGTAATTGAGTTTTAGTCTTTAATTAAACACAGTGGATCTCTGGAACTTCTCGTAGTTTTTAAAATCCTATGATATTCCAGGATATTTGACAAATTCTGTTGCTTTTAATTATCCTTTCGCATGCATATTAGGTGATTTTTTAAATTTAATAGCTATACATATACATGGACATATACACACATATAAATATACACAAGGTTTTAATTATATGTGTATATATTCTTTCTTAAAAATTGGAAACCACTTGATGTTGGATTTATAACATGATAATACACATTTTTTTTTTTTACCTACAGTGATCATTGCTTCAAACTATATATATATATATATATATATATATATATATATATTTTTTTTTTTTTTTTTTTTTTTTTTTTTTGAGACAAGTTCTCACTCTGTCACCCATGCTGGAGTACAGTGGCACAATCTCAGCTCACTGAAACTTCTGCCCCATGGGGCTCAAGCCATCTTTCTACCTCAGCCTCCCAAGTAGCTGGGACCACAGGCATGCTTCACCATGCCCAGCCATTTTTTTGTATTTTGGTAGAGACGGGTCTTGCCATGTTGCCCAGGCTGGTCTCAAATTCCTATGCTCAAACAATCCACCCTCCTCACCCTCCCAACATGCTGGGATTATAGGCTTGAGCCACTGCACCTGGCCTGCTTCCAACATTATTACTAACAATGATAGTTAACATTTATTAAGCACTTCCTATGTGCCAAACACAATTGTTGGCACTCATTAATATTAACTCATGTAATCCTTACACTTACCCTATTGTCACCCCCATTTTATGGATAAGAAACAGGAGAGAAAGTAACTTCCCCAGAATCACCTGGCTCTTGAGTGGAAGAACTAGATCGGAAGCTTCTGATTCCAGCAAGTGTGTTTTTGACCACTAGCAACACTGCCTCTTAAAGGAAATCTGCTTTCTTCAACTCTATCTCTATCGTATTTGGTGTAACAACCCTTTGCTTGAATGTTGTATTACAGCATTATTATTATTATTGTTATTATTATTATTTTTTTTAGATGGAGTCTCGCTCTGTCACCCAGGCTGGAGGGCAGTGGCATGATCTCGGCTCACTGCAAGATCTGCCTCCCAGGTTCACACTATTCTCCCGCCTTAGCCTCCCAAGTAGCTGGGACTACAGGCGTCCGCCAGCACTCCCGGCTAATGTTTTTGGTATTTTTAGTAGAGATGGGGTTTCACCGTGTTAGCCAGGATGGTCTTGATCTCCTGACCTTGTGATCTGCCCGCCTCAGCCTCCCAAAGTGCTGGGATTACAGGCGTGAACCACCGCCCCTGGCCTACAGTATCATCTTTTTTGATGACATTTTAAATCACAATTAGAAATAAAAATGTAAAGTCTAATGATGTGTGGTGCTTCCAGTGAAAGTGACACAGGGATGAGCATCAAATACCTTCAGCACAAAGCCGAGTTGTGCAATGTGCTCCTCACAACCACTGTAAAATATATACTCATTAAGAAATGTTTGTGTGTAGGAAATGTGTTCTTTAGACTAATGAGATATAGTAACAATAATGAAGAGCTACCATTTATTCAGTGCTTCCTATGTGGCTGACCCTTTATGACAGACGATGCTAGTGCCTACCCAATATCTACTCATTTTGTATGGCTGAATACAGTCTAATTTACTTTGGGATAGCAGTGTGCCCACCCAAGTTCTAGTTAGAGGAGCTCCCATGACAGTCTTGCCAATGAGGTGTAACTGGAAGACAGGAGGTTAAAGTGTGGAGAAGTTTTCTTTTTTTCAGATAAAAAAGAACAATTTTGCCACAAGAGACATGTGCTTTGGATCCTCATACCTTTGTGCCTCAGCTGATGTTGTCTACTCTGCCCATTTTACCTTTCCAAATCCCACCCACCCTCCAGTCTCTGCTGCAAGATCATGTAGTGGTGTAGAAAGAGGCCTGTGGATTAGTGGCCATGGGTAATTTTTTTCACTAAATTAATGAATTTTTCTAAGCTTTATTTTTCTCATCATGAAATAGTAAAACTCCCTACTTGTCAGGGATGTGAGGATTAAATGGAATAATGTAAGAAAGCTTCTCCATATGGTAGCTGGAACAAAACAGTGAATAGTTTCTCAAAGAAGCTTTCTCATGTGCTCAGCAGAAATGATCTTGCTCTTTCTCCCCCAAGGGCCACTCTGCACCATGCTTACTCCATGTCACATACTATTTTTTTCTTTATTTTGATTAATAGTATTTGTGTCTTTCTTACCAAATAAAGGTAAGCTTCTTGAAGTCACTGACGCTTACTCATAGTGAGTTTCTTTTTATTGGACTAAAAGTATGTGTTATTCTAGAGCTTAAGCCAACCTAAATTTATCCCACAGATTTGCAGACTTTTTCTTTGTTTTGGGTTCAGAACAGTAGATGGTCAGTTTAAAAGATTTTATTGAATAGTCACAGACCATTGCACTGGGGACAAAGAGAGCACATAAATATAGGCAAGAGAAACTTTTAAAAAGTAAAGTATTCCCATTGCTAACAGAGCTCTTGAAGAATATGATTCAAAATGAAATATAAGCTGATGTTAACTATGCAGGCTTTTGTCAGTGACCAAAGTAGTAGTGTATAAAGCAAGTGATTATGACATTTTATGGTGCATTTATACCAATTTTCTTTAAAAAGTGCTAATAATAGTAGAATATATTGATTCACACTAGATAATTAAACACCCTCTTGGTTAGAGGTAATTCACTTTTTAATGACATATTACCGAGCAGTATGTTCTTTCAGTTATTTTGGGTTTGATATGGCAAGAAGGGTAGCAAAATATAATTCAGATAGGGACGCTCTTCTCATGAGCTTTCCCACCTGTATACACCTGAAATAAAGAAAGTGAAATCAGGAGACAGGGAGAGAGCAGAAAGGAAGAAGGAAGATTGGGTAGGAGGGGGGGAAGGTCCAGAACAACTACTCTAGTTTCAGAAAATGACAGGGATGGAAGGAGGGGAGTAGACATACGTTGTCAAGAAATCCAACCAGACAGCTTTACTCCTGATTTCCTCTAGGCTCAAAAACTGCAGAAAATATATATGCACCCACCCTAATATATATTCTTTGTCCATACTGACAGAGAGAGAGATTGATAATATAAATGCATACTTTTATACATAAATCAATATATAAATGCATAGTTTTATACATAAATCAATATGCATAGGTATTAAAGTAGTTGATTTCATCTCAAACATCAATCTAGCTCATTGATATAATTCTAGAAAATAAACTAGCTTTGTTTTCCCTCAGTTTGAAATAATATTTTATCCTTAGTTATTCTAGTTTATTCTCATAAAACACTCCACCTCCCTCTCTCCCACACGTGGCATATGGTATCCAATGACAATCATAAATATCTTGACCTCTCCTTCTTAACACCTCATGAACTAGAACTCCAGCCATTAATTGCACTAAAGGCTATCATAGGTTCTGATTAATTATATTGATATGTTATAAAATTCTTAAAACATTCTCTTTTATCTTTATGTATAAAATGGACTCTTTTGATGAGTTAGGCTCTAAGTGAGACTATTGGAAAGATTTCATATCTCACATTCCTTCGATTGCCCTATTATGGTCTGTGTGTTCTGGTTATGTGTTAAGAGTTTTCTGACATTTGAAATCACAGACCCATTTGAACCACATGGAGTGCTTTTATTTCAAAGGAATTCAGCCTTAAATACAGATGGGCTTGTCTGCATGGTCTAGATGACATTTTTATAACCTGTAATGTTCTTCAGCAAGATGTGGTAAATGATTCTTCACATCATCCAACTAGAGAGTGCTTAGTTGTTAGTCTCATTCACACCACAGCTTCTGAGTCTGCTGAACACAAAATTATTACTGCCAGAACTGGCTAATGAAAATCCAGGTATTGCTACATTATTCATTTAATCGTGATCAGTATTAATCCCAATATTGTTGTCCCCTATTTTAATCTTTGTCATGCTACTTTAGTTTAGTGTAATTTCACTTTTTGCTTTTTGAAACAATACCCTTCCTAGGCTTGCAGGGAAGAAATGTCCTAACTTTGCCTCTTCTTGCTTGGCTGTGACTCCAGAATGAGCTAGTCCTGCTGGAGACTGGCTTCCAGCACTGTTATGACCCCTACTAATGTAATGAGACTGAAAATTAAGAAAACTATCAGAAAGGTACAAAGAAGCCGAGAGATAAGCCTATGGAATTGTCTTCATGTCCCTTCTATTTGCCCCTTTGCACTCTCAAATAACTCCCCCTTTGGGCCTTTGGACCCCACACTGCTGGAAATAAATTTAATAAATGGTTGTTAAGCATCTGCTTTGGGTAAGGCACTATGCCAGGGGATGGGAGGATACATCCTTACCTCTTACAATTTGTGACCTCATATGTACTATGTGGTCAGTAGATGCACTTCCATGCAAAATAAAATAGATGCCCTAAAGAGAGATGCAAGCAAAGTGTTAAAGTTACTTCCGAATGGCAGGAAAAGAGCATGCCAAGGAAGTGGCATCTGGACAAGCACTTGAAAGAAGATTCAGAGTTTCATAGCAGAAGAAAAGACAGATACGCATTTTAGGTTGTTTGAAGTGCTTGAGCAATTTTGGGAGAGTGGATGTCCCTGGGGAAGCCAGCGTGTAGCTCCAGTGGACCACGTGGCTAGAGTAGATTGTGTGGTGAGATTCAGTGGCACGTGAGGTGGAAAATGCAGTGAGGTTGAAGTAGAGTACAGAAGTGGCAGTGGGGTGCCCAGAAGGCCAGTGAAACTGGGCCCACAGTCAAAGGAAAGATACATGGGACAACTTACAGAAATTACTTGGTGAAGAACCTGGTATAGTATATTCAGGGAGAGAATGAGTGGCTCCAGGGTGTCTAGACTGGGATGTTTCTGACTTGTTCTGTAGTGCCCTACCTTCTATAAATACACCTAAGAAGCAAGATAGACTAAGTTACATCACAGGCGAATGTTATCTTAGGTACATCCTAGTGATTTATACTTGACAATTGCTTTTTATCCTGCTGGCCCTCTCTATGGTACTCCATTCCATTCTCTAGTGACTTCTGGCTGACCTACAATACATGTCCACCCAGCATCCCCTTCCAGTACTCTAGGCTGCCTTTCTAAATAAACCTACTTGTCTATATGCCCCATCCCATCAGAATCCTGCATTGAGTTATTTAACAGATAAAGTTGTCTGTGCTAATATATGAACAAATTAGTGGGTTAACTTCCCAAAGCAATAATTCTTTTGCATTTTACACATAATCTTGTGGTTAATCCAAATAGTTATGCTAATAGTGGGAATTTCTCTGCCTTGTGCCAGAGCAGTAGGAAGGTATCTGGAGGCTTCTATGTCATACAAGATGCTCCCCTTCTTTTTGTGGATAGAGTTGGCTCTTTCTAGAAACACAATGAGGGAAAGAAGAAGTGTTATTAAAATTAATCAGTGGTACTTAGGCAACCCAGTTTACAAAACTAAACAAAAAATATATTTTAGCACCTGATAAAAGTTTATTTTAAAAATATAAATGTATTATTTAAAAAAATCATATCACACCCATGTTACAGAAAAGTGTGGTATATAATGCTTTTATTTATTTATTTATTTTCGAAATATACCTTCATCATGGAAAAGTGTCAGTTTAAACAAACTTCAGGAGATAGGAGGAATGGGAAATTAATATTATCACTACTAAAAATGACCCATTTTTATGAAGATTTTTCATTTATTTCACAGGTGATCTCGTATATATTTGTATCATCTACCTTCAGGGGAATAATTGTTCATGTTGGGTACTTCTAAAATACAGAAATCATGATCCCTTCTGCTGAAATGCAGCTACCTTAGGGGCAGATGGTAATGATTACTCGAAAGGCCACAGACTGCTGTAAATAGATTAAGCATAGAAGGGACACAGATTATGAGAGACTTCAAGGGACTTCGAGGTAGCAAGAACATAATTACTCAAATTAAATTTGGCCTACACAACAGGCTAATGCTTCTTTTCTAGCCACATGTTTCAGGGAGACATTAATGTTCTACACTGTAATATTTTGTGCAAGGAGAAATAAGTATCTTTCAACAGAGCAACGATGTCTAAGCCATTTTTGTATTTGCTTTTTGGTGGTTTGTTATCTGGAAATATCCAGAACCATTATTTATTTATTTATTTAACTTCTTTTTTTTAAATTACAGTAAAATATACATAACAGAATATGTCATTTTAATTATTTTTGAGTTTCGTGATGTGAAGTGCATTCACCTTGTTGAACAACCATCACTACTACTCATCTCCAGAACAAGAGTCCTTATTTTTGTTCCTTAGTCATTTTTATTTATATGATTCTGTACAGTTAAAGCAATATGGTTTTCTTTTATTTTCTTTTTTTGCTTATCATATCCTTCCCTCGCACCCAAATTGTATGACTATTTCAAAAATAGATTTCTGGTGTCATGACTCCTTCGAGCTTTGAATTAATTATTCTCTCCTGGATAATGCATTTTCACATGCATGCTAGCATATTTAATTGGATATTGGCCCTCAGATAATAGTTTTCTTTTGTTGATATACAATCAATGAACTTGACAATGGGCCAATAAAGTGTTATTTTTTTCCTCCTCTCCAATGAGATAATTTGATCATTTGTTCTTATAAGGTAACATTACAAATTATCCTTAAATGTGGCGTAGCTATTTTAATAACATCATTGCTATTGAGATGATGAAGAACTTTAGAAATCCATGCAACAAAAGTTAAATAAAATGAAAAAAGAACCTAAATAAATATAAATAAGTTGTATATTATTGAAAGATAAAATGTCACAAGGCATCCAGTTTATTAAAGGCACTTTCAATTACTGTGCTTTTGTTATTTTTATAAAAATTCCTATTTTGTGTTTGAATTTAGTTAGGGTATAAGAACAAATTAACTAATGAGATAACCTACAGACTTAGATGAATTCCTACAAGCTTTCAGATGACAGAAAAAAAAACTAGAAGTATGGTCTCTGATTTTGTTTTTCCTTCAGATAAAAGGGGGTTGCAGAATCTTCTTTTGTATCGTTGGTATCCATGGATTCTGCATCTGTAGATTCAAAAAACCATGGATGGAAAATATTTTTTAAAAAATTGCATTTGTATTGAACATGTACAGACTTTTTTATTGTCATTATTACCTATACAATACAGTGGAACAGCTATTTACATAATATTTACCTTGTATTAGGTATAAGTAATTTAGAGTTAATTTAAAATATACAGGAGGATGTACATAGGTTATATGCCATTTTATATCGGGAACTTGAGTGTCCTTGGATTTTGGTATCCATGGGAGGCCTAGAAACCAAGCCTCTCTGGACCCCAGGGAATAACTTTACATATTATATACACTATTCTCCTATGCTGTTCTCATAATTTAAAAATACAAAATATGTATTTTATATAAGTTTCTGAGAGATTTTTAGTCATAAAGGTAAATGCATCTATAAACTTCAGAAATCCCAATTCCAAAAGGCATTTAAATCAGAATGCATAAAGCATTTAGCAATTTCAAAGGAAGAAAAATATAGCTTCATAAAAATTCTAAAGAATATTTTTATTTTCTTTTCAGACATTTTGGAATGTGTAAAACATCCCCTTATGAATTGAAAAAATACATATATGTGAAATGCCAGCCCCATTTACCTGTAATATCAACTTTCTAGTACAAGAATGTTTGTGGTTTTAGTGGTGAATTTATGATGTGTAAATGCTTGTGTGTATTTAGGAAATCTAATATTGTTTGAATAAAGTGGTAAATTTATTATCTCATAAATTAATGGTTGAGCTGAATCACATTATAGTCCTTTAACAAGTGTGTCTGTGATCTGAGTAGCAGTCAGCACAAAGCAAGGGATCAGGTTTCCTCTCCCAAGTAAGATAAAGAACAGGTATGCCACCTGTGTTATGCATTTGGATAGGGAATTTTGCCTACTGATGCTAATTCCAGTAATGTACCAGAGTTCTTAGGGAGAGGTAGTTCAAAAATATGAGACTCATAACAGAAATTAAAAAAAAACTCCTCAGAGCATGTGGTGTAAAAATTATATTTCTGAAAGAATACATTTTGTGATGTACCCAAATTTTAATTTTATTCTCAGGAACAAATAACTGCATTAAAACTCTATAAAGTTAGGCCTCAACAGAAGGCAACAATACTCAAAGTAAAGGGTCGTATGAGTTTAATGTTCTTAATTAATATATATTTTTAGAGTTAGTTGGATTCAGTTGATAAATTTTTCAATTAGCCAAATATAGTGGGAAATACAGAAAGTTGATATTAGTCACCAATATGAGCATAAATAGCTATAAGGCATTAACTCTTTTCAAACGGGAATTCATGTTGAAGAAAATGAAATGTCAACTTGTTTATTTTTTATACTCTTGATCAAATCAATGGGCAAGGAAAGATAAAATTAGCTTTTTGAATTAATTAGTTATTGGGCTGAACAAAATTATTGACTTATTCTACTTTCATAGACATGGCACTGAGGGAGGGAGACTAACAATTATTGACAACATATAGCACTTTTGTAAATGTTTAGTCATTTAATTCTCCAGCCCAGTCTATGATGTGGGTGACTTTCACCCCCGTAAGAGGAGGGAACACGCACAGGGATGGTGTCTCAGGATCTCACAGTGATGGCAGGTTTGAGTCTAAAGCCTCTGCTCTTTCTACTGCTAGACCCTTCTCTCTTTGGATGGTTGTCTAGTCATGACCCTCATGGAGATTATTTAACATTTCATCATTAAAAGTAAACATTAACATCACTGCTTTGGAGATAAAATCACTAAAATCTCAGGTATTGTCTTAAGTAAAGGCTAGACTTATATTTCCATATACTCATAACGTCTGCAAATAAGGACCCAATAATCATTTGATAATATTAGTAATCATTTCAGTGGAGATGATGAAAATGTACAATCTCCCTGAAAGGTGGGGGGAGGAAGGAAGGCAGGAAGGCCAGGGGGAGAAGGTAGGCAGGTGTGTTTCTAGGTGTGTTGGAGGACTGGGCTATGTTAGAAAGCGCTCTGGTACACCAATTTTGAGCTTGCAGCCAGTAGAAAATATGAGCAAACCCCAGATACTATAGGGGTTTAAGATAACATTGAGATTGAATAGTCTAGAGCTAAGTTTTGAAATGCAAAGGAAACAAGGAAAGTGAGAAACCAAGTTTCACTTGCCTGTGGGGTCAGGAAACCCATTCAGTTGATGAATGAGAAGGGGAAATAAGGCAAAGCCCAGAGAAATTCACAAGGTGGGGTCAGATCTTCCCCAGGACTTATTTTATGTGGCACTGCAGGACTTCAATATGAGAATGCTAGGGGCACTTAACAAGACAGCTGATAATGGCCTGGGATAGAACTGACTTTTTATTTTTGCAGATACATCTAAAAGCCACTTTAAAACACTTCTAATCAATCTTAATTCCTTCACTTTTTAATTCAGTGTGTTTCCATATAAAAGAACTTTAAAATGGCAATAGGATATTTCCTCTAATGATCATGAATAATAACCTCCTTCTCCTTTTAAATGAAGCCAAGAAATTTATTCCTAATTTAAACTAAATTCTATGTAGTTTATCTTCTGTAAAAGATAACTAATATACTAATAAAATCTATAAAATTACATTGAAAGCATAGCTGTTTTAAGATAAAATAGGCATTTTTTCATATACTTGTGATATACTAAAAATATGAGAAATAGAGTGTTCTCTCTTAATTAGCATTAAAACTAAATGGAATTAATTATAAAATAGGGACTTAAATTCTTTCAATTTTTACATTCTATATGTACCAAATAGTTATTTATATGGTACATATAATATTTATATGGTACATATAAATAGATTAATATGAACATTCTATATGTACCAAATAGTTATTTAGTGAAAGAGGTTATTTTAACATACAAAAAATTGTATTTTTGGACATGGATTTAATTCCTAGTGCTTTTCAAAAAAACAGATATGTTTTTAACTATTTAAAGGTCTTCAACATTTAAGATTAAATGATATAAGAATATCAGTGTCATGAAAACTGTTTCGATCATTTGTTTTAGCACAACAATTGTTTTCATTTTAATCAAAAAGATTTTGTCATCCAAGTGCTCCAAGTAGCTTATATCTATCTATAGACACAGACCAAGAGCGAATAACATCAAGATCTTCAGGAGCATTGATGCTAGCGCTCATCAATTGTTGAACACACACATTTCCTTTTTATTTTCTGGTACTAACATCTTTTAGATGAAACTACATGAATATTATTAGTGTTCTTCTCAGTTCAAGTCTGGCCAACTTGAACTGGACTCACTGGTGAACTGTAATTTGTTTTTTGTTTGTTTGTTTGTTTTTTACAGAACCAGGGTAATGGAACTAGGCTCTTCCACATTTCTTCTCCACTTTATGGGGGAAAGCATTGTGGTCAGCAGATTCTGAGAGCTACTTCTATCTGCTAAAATTTGCATATATTAGCCATTGATACGATGTGTATTGTTTACCAAAATATAACTTTTCTTATTTTATTCTTCCAGGTCTTCCATATTTCCTATATTCAAAGCAAATATTTTTAATGTATTTTTAATAAAAATAAAATGATTATTACAGGAAATAAAATAATAAAGAGGAAAAATTAGATTAGTTTACACTTTACTAACAAAAATAATCTAATTTTGGTGCTTAACTTTAAAAAAACGTGTCTCTATATCATGCTCTCGCTCCTCCTATCCTCTACCATCTGACAGGCCCCAGTGTGTGTTGTTCCCCCATGTCTCCATAGGTGCCCATCATTCAGCTCCTACCTATAAGTAAGAACATGCAGTATTTGATATTCTGTTCCTGCATTAGTTTGCTGAGGATAATGGCTTCCAGCTCCATCCATGTCCCTGCAAGGGACATTATCTTGTTCCTTTTTAGGGCTGCATAGTATTCCATGGTGTATATGTACCACATTTTCTTTATCCAGTCTCTTATTGATGGGTACTTAGGTTGATTGCATGACTTTTTTATTGTGAATAGTGTTGCAGTGAACATATGTGTGCAGGTATCTTTGTAATAGAATAATTTATATTCCTTTGGGTATATACTGAATAATAGGATTGCTGGGTCAAATGGTATTTCTGGTTTTAAATCTTTGAGGAATTGCCAAACTGTCTTCCACAGTGGGTAAATTAATTTACATTCCCACCAACAGTGTAAAAGTGTTCCTGTTCCTCCACAACCTCACAAGCATCTGTTGTTTCTTGACTTTTTAATAGTCGCCATTCTGACTGGCATGAGGTGGTATCTCATTGTGGTTTTGATTTGCATTTCTCTAATGATCAGTGATGTTGAGCTTTCTTTCATATGTTTGTTGGCTGCACATAGGTCTTTTCTTTAGAAGTATCTGTTTCTATTCTTTGCCCACTTATTAATGGACTTGTTTGTTTTTTTCTTATAAATTTGCTTAAGTTTCTTGTAGATTCTGGCTATCAGACCTTTGTCAGATGGATAGATTGCAAAAATTTTCTCCCATTCTGTGGGTTGTCTGTTTGCTCTGATGATAGTTTTGTTTGCTGTGCAGAAGCTCTTTAGTATAATTAGATCCAATTTGTCAATTTTTCCTTTTGTTGCAATTGCTTTTGATGATTTCATCACAAAATCTTTGCCCATGCCTATGTCCTGAATGGTATTGCCTAGATTTTCTTCTAGGGATTTATAGTTTTGGGTTTTACATTTAAGTCTTTAATCCATCTTGAGTTAATTTTTGTATAAGGTGTAAAAAAGGGATCCAGTTTCAATTTTCTGCATATGGCTAGCCAGTTCTCCCAGCACCATTTATTAAATCGGGAGTCCTTCTGCCATTGCTTGTTTTTGTCAGGTTTGTCAAAGATAAGATGGTTGTAAATGTGTGGTTTTATTTCTGAGTCTCTATTCGTTATATTGGTCTACGTGCCTGTTTTTGTACCAGTACCGTGCTATCTGGTTACTGTAGCCTTGTAGTATAGTTTGAAGTCAGGTTGCATGATGCCTCCAGGTTTGTTCCTTTTTCTTACGATTGTCTTGCCTATGCGAGTTTTTTTTTGTTTTTAATATCAATTTTAAGATAGTTTTTTTCTGATTCTGTGAAGAATATCATTGGTAGTTTAATGGGAATAGCATTGAATCTATAAATTGCTTTGGGCAGTATGGCCATTTTTACGATATTGATTCTTCCTATCCATGATTATGAAATGAGTTTCCGTTTGTTTGTGTCATCTCTGATTTCTTTGGGCAGTGGTTTGTAGTTCTCCTTGAAGAGGTCCTTCACTTCCCTTGTTAGCTATATTCCTAGGTGTTTTATTATTTTTGTGGCAGTTGTGAAAGGGAGTTCATACATGATTTGGCTCTTGGCTTGCCTGTTGGTGTATAGAAATGCTAGTGATTTTTGCACATTGATTTTGTATCATGAGACTTTGCAGTAGTGGTTTATCAACATAAGAATCTTTTAGACAGATTATAGGGTTTTCTATGCTAGATATAGGATCATGTCATCTACAAACAAAGATAATTTGACTTCCTCTCTTCCTATTTGAATACCCTTTATTTTTTTATTTTGCCTGATTGCCCTGGCTAGAACTTCTAATACTGTGTTGAGTAGGAATGGTAAGAGAGGGCATCCTTGTCTTGTGCCAGCTTTCAAGGGGAATGCTTTCAGCTTTTGCCCATTCAATATGATATTGGCTGTGTGGGTTTGTAGTCTATGGCTCTTATTATTTTGAGGCATGTTCCTTCAATACCTAGTTTATTGAGAGTTTTTAACATGAAGGATGTTGAATTTTATCAAAGGCCTTTTCTGCATCCATTGAGATAATCATATGATTTTTATCTTTAGTTCTGTGTACATGATGAATCACATTTGTTGACTTGTATATGTTGAACCACCCTTGCATCTCGGGGATGAAGTCTACTTGATCATCCTGGATAAACTTTTGTGTGTGCTGCTGGATTCAGTTTGCTAGTATTTTGTTGAGCGTTTTTCCATTGATGTTCATCAAGGATATTGGCCTGAAGTTTTTTGTTGTTGTATCTCTGCTAGGTTTTGGTATTAGGAAGATGCTGGCCTCATTTAACGACTTAGAGAGGAATCCAACCTTTTCAATTTTTTGGAATAGTGTCAGTAGGAATGGTACCAGCTCTTCTTTGTACCTCTGGTAGATACCAATTCAGTTGCTAATATGTCTGGTCCTGGACTTTTTGTGGTTGGTAGCCTATTTATTACTGCCTCAGTTTCAGACTTGTTATTGGTCTAGTCAGGGATTCAATTTCTTCCTGGTCAATAAAACTTTTTATTCTCTAAATTTTCCTCTGATGACAGCCTTGGTCACATTCTTTAGGTATTTTGATATATTGTTATCTGTTAAATAGCACTCTATGATTTTAATTTTAATTTTTTCTTTGACTAATTAATTAAAATAAGTGCTTAGTTTTTTGTTCTAAATCTTTGGAGGCTATTGTTTTTTTCTTATTTGGTGTTGTGTTAACTTTTTAATTTTTTAAGGCTTTTGTTAAGAATTTCATGTTTTATCACATAATGGTCAGAGAATATGAACTAAGATTTCAAAATCATGATTGCTAGCATTTCATTTTGGCAGAAAATAATCATTTTTGTAAATGTTTTAGATACATTTGAAAAGACAATATATTAACTAATAATTATTGTTTTCATCAGTTTGATAGGCCAGCTTCTGAAAGGATTATGCTAAAGTCAGACTATGTTTTGCTTTTTAATTGACAGCAATTTTAAAATATATTTCACTATGTCTTTTAATTATGCTCCACATTGTTATGCGTGCAGTGTAGAATAGAAACACCTCAAATCACCATAGTAACATAGACAATTCACATCTATCACAGTGGCCTAATATTCATTGACAGTTCATGTAATTACAGAAAATCAGGTCCATTATAAATAAATTATCTGCTATCTTTTTAAGTTAAATCCATAAATTATTGTCAGAGATGAGTAGATCTCTCCTAGTTTGATATTTTTTTTATTTCTTTAGACACTTAGGCATCTGTTCCTATAAAGTCCTGTGTATTTGATTGGCTCACTGTAATTCTGCAAACATTAAGAAAATATTAATTGTTAAATGCATTGAAAGACTATACCTTATTCAAACAATAAATTATTACAAAGGCATGCATAACCCAAGATAAAAGAACAATTTGAAACTTAACAAGAAGTGAAATAATGACTCAACTGGGAAGAGGTGACTTTCTGCCTGATTTTACTCTTTAAAAAGTGTACAAAGTGAAAAAAAATGAATTAAGCTTTTTGGCTTAAAAATGTAATGCGATTCTAATCCCACACAGTTATAGTTTATAAACCGGAAATAACAGACAGAAGGTTGACTGATGTAAAATCTAAAAATGTGCAGAAAAGCTGCTTTAGAGAATTGGGTAAAGGCAATTCTGTATGTGACCTATTTTGTCTGGGTTCATTGACCTCCGGGGAGGATTCATATTCTCCATGGGCACAATAGCAAGCCTAAGTAGCAGTCAGTTAATTCACAGAGTTACACGAAAGTTAAAGAATTGTTGTTTAGTATACCTTTCTTTTCCATAGTTTTAGTGTGGATTTTCCCCATTTTTTTAATGTTTGTTATTTGATTTATTATTTCTACCTTTCATTTCCTTCCCTCACTCTTTCATTATCCCTTCCTCTCCTTTTTTCCTCCTCCTCCCTCTTCTGCTTTTTTTTCCTCTATTTATTGGCTGTTTGGCTTATGACACATAGTTATCATTGATCCATGCAAAGTGACTTTCATTTATTTAGTTAGTTATTTAAAAATGTAATATGCATCTATGAAAACACTCTTATGTCCCCAAAAGCTAGTATTTTGACAAAAAGCTATATTTAAACATGTATTTAAATTACCAACCCATTCTCATTCCTCCTGAATAACTAACAACACTCCTTTGCCTTTTAAAATACATTTGTCTTGCATCTTTCTCAAAATGAATGAAAAAATTTTAAGTAATTGTTACACATTTATAAAATGTATTTTGTATACTTACTTTTTTCATTTAATATATTGCTGAGATTTATCTATATTTGTGGCCATCTCTGTAGTTCATCCATTTTGACTGCAGTATAATATTCCATTGTATGAATTTACCATATACCATGATTGATTTGTTCACTATCCTGTGGGCATTTAGGGCAATTCCAGTTGAGCTATACAAAACTTTCAAGAAAGATATTATTACAAGTTTACTCAAACATTTGCAGGCAATAGGAAAAGAGGGACTAGGCTGGGCACAGTGGCTCACGCCTGTAATCCTAGCACTTTGGGAGGCTGAGGTAGGCGGTTCACGAGATCAGGAGATCGAGACCATCCTGGCAACACAGTGAAACCCTGTCTCTACTAAAAATACAAAAATTAGCTGGGCATGGTGGCACACGCCTGTAATCCCAGCTACTCAGGAGGCTGAGGCAGGAGAATCTCTTGAACTACCTGGGAGGTGGAGGTCGCAGTGAGCTGAGATCACGCCACTGCACTCCAGCCTGGGCGACAGAGCGAGGCTGTGTCTCGAACAAAAAAAAAGAAAAGAAAAAGAGGGACTACTTTCCCATTTATTCTTTGAGGTCAGTATAACCTGATACCCAAACAAGAAGAACATTATAAGAAACAAAAATTACAGATCCTTCTCACTCATAAGTATGAATGTAAACATTCTAAACAAAACATTAGCAGATCGAATCCAATAGTGAATAAAAATGCAAATTATTGAAATCAAGTTGTGTTCACTCCATGTTTCCATAATGCAACATTTAGAAATATAGAAATATAATTCATTATGGTAACAGATTAAAGGAAAAAAGATTGCTAACATTTAAAATATATTCATAATAAAAATATTAGTTCATTTAGAATATGAGGGACTTTCTTAAACTGATGAAAAGTGCACATAAAAGGCCTAAATGAATATGATACTAACTGGGGAATATGGGAGGCATTCTTTTAAAGTTAAAAAAAATGCAAAGGTGTTCACTATTGCCACTTCTTATTAGCATTGTACTGAAGGTCCTAGATAGTACAATAAGAAAAGAAGAAAAAAATATTTAAGCTACAAGAACTGTTAAGGGAGACATAAAAATATAAATATTTGCAGAAAACTTGATGCTTTCCATAGAAATAAAAAATCTAGAGATCAATTATTAGGTATAATAAAAGAATTTGCAACGGTTTCTGAAACATGAAACTACTGACATTTTGGATAATTTACTGCTGTAGGACACTGTCCTGTGCCTTGTGGGATGTTTAGTAGCATCTTTGACCTCTTCCACTAGTTGCCAATAACATCACCTTCCCAGTTGGGATTATCAAAAATATCTCCAGACATTGTGCCAAATATCCTGTGAGGGACAAAATCACCTCAACCACTGAGCTAGCTATAAGACTGATACAGAAAAAGTTAGCTGCATTTTGTATACTAACAGCAAAGTAATAGATAATGTAGTTTAAGAAACATTAACAATAGTATCAGATAATATTATCTAGGAATAAATGTACAAAAATGGTTAGGTGCTATGAAAAGAAAATTATATAACTGTTTTAAGACTTATAAGAGAAGGTCTAAATAATGGAAGCAAGCAATACACATGGTTAGGAAGACAATATAAAGATATTAAATCTTTCCCAATTGATTTACAGATTTTATAAATTCTCCAGTGATAATCTATACAGTGTTGTTCATGGAAATTATTAAGACGGTTCTACATTTTAAAAATATTTTAATTGAGACAAGGTCTCACTTTGTTGCCCAGGCTGGTTTCAAACTCCTGGGGTCAAGCGATCCTCCTGCCTGAGCCTCCCCAAATGCTAGGATTACAGGCATGAGCCAACATGCCAGCCAGATTGTTCTACATTTTATATGGAGAAGTATAAAGCAAAGAGAAGGTAGAACACTTCTAAGAAAGAAAAATAGGAAACTTGTCATACTGCTTTGTCTTATTATAAAACTTTAGTAATTTATATTGACCATTGGTATTGTGTCAAGGATGGACAAATGGTGAATGCAACAGGATAGGCCAGAACAAGATCCATTTACAGATCTTAGATATAAAATAGAAGCATTGCTCCAGCCAGTAGGAAATAGGGTATTATTCAACAAAAAGAACTGAAAAAATGGCTACCAATATAGAAAAAAAGTGAAATTGTATTTCTACCTCATATCCCTTACCTACTATGGTAGGGATGTCAACTACAGGTATATTAAATGAAAATATCAACAGCATAATTTAAAAACTCTTAGTAAAAAATGTAAACTAATAACTTTTAGACTTGGGGGTACAAAAGAGATTCTTATACAAGCCATGAGAGCATCATTATAAAGACTGATAAATGTGACTCTTGTAAATCCAGATGGAAAGAGAATCTTTCTTTTTCCACCAACACAATGGACTAGTTGATGAAAGACCTTTTCCTAGTACAGCAAATTTGAAAAGGTTGGACCATATGTACACACACACACACACACACACACACACACTTCTCTCATATATGTAATCATCACTATTAGAGATACAATGATTAATAAAGCAAAGTCCTTTTTATAATGGAAGTCATATATACACATTTTTATATGTAAAGTATTTAATGTACCCCAGAAAAAATAATAAAGGGCTTCAAGTACATAAGATGAAAAGAGGATTTCTGTTACAGAATGAAAATATATTAGATTCAGGGTATTGTAACGTATTTTGGTTTGTTCTCACATTCATTTTAAGATATATTACCTAATCTTGCCTAATTATTATATGTTCTTTTTTATTTATTTCCTTTAGCCAAACATTTGATATTTTAATAGTCTCTGTGGTTACTTTTCTTACAAGAGATTTTATTTAAACCTCCTAATTCATCTGCTTCCCTGAGATGCATATCACAGAATAATGGGTCTTTTCCTATTTTAAAAGTTGAATCAGCTTATTTGAGTACTATAAATGCAATTATAGGGTCTATTTCTGTTTCTCAAATAGTGCTATTCATTAATGACAATGACACTTTGCAACCTTAAAGCACATTTTATCCAAGGATCATGAAGACATTTCCACAGGAGAAATTACTGTTATCTCAGTTTTTTGATAGATCAAGAAGAAGAGTTGGTTCAGAGAATTAGAAATGCTATTCAACTACATTTCTTGTCGTGTCTTTTTTTTTTTAACACACCAAAACAGTTAAAGCCATTTTCAACCTAAAATTGGGCACACATTTTTAATACTTCTATATTTGGTTTTTATGGAAACGAATTGTGTATTTTAGCCAAGGTAAATAAACATGGATACTTATCCAGTGCAATTCTGAAGAATGATTACACTTTCTCAAGTCCACCTTATATTATATATATCCACATTGAAGTAATGAGTATTAACTCTTAAGGACAATCTGAAACAAGTTATTAATCCATGCCAGTGTCTGATACTCACTCTACACTATTCTTGAAGCTTTATAATGTGACATGAAGTGAAACATTTATTTCCAGACTTAATATGATTTCACTTATTCATTTAATAACTATTCATTGAGAACTCACTAGATATTTGGATGTTATGGGTGTCTGCTGGAAGAAATAGACTGACAACCTGTAATGACTCAAACAGAATAGAAGTTTGTTTTATACTCACACAATTATGCTAAAGGAATGGTGGATTAACAGGTTAGTAGCACGGATATTCATGCACTCACGCTGGAATCCAGCCTAATGTAAGTTCTGTCGTTTTTAACATGCAGATGCTCAAAGTGTCCAGCATAACATTTTCATTCTAGCCAGCTAGGAAGAGAAAAGACCATAGAAGACCACTTAGGGGGTTTTAATGCCCTCCTATGTAGTGCATATCACGTGTGCTCACAATTGATTGTCTGAACTAATAATTTGGCCATGCCTAAGTGCAAGGAAGACTGGAAAAGGGTAGCCTAGCTATGTGCCCAGGAAAAAGATAATATTTATTTGGATCCTCATCCAATAGTCTGAGCTATATATATGGTGGAGAATGTGATAGAAATATTTTCCACAATCACAGGCATATCATCCAGCGATTTATATCGATCAGTTAAACAAACCAAATATTTTTAGATATTTAAAAGTACTATGAAGGCAATAATGTGTGTAATAGTGAATGACAGGGATAGAAATCAGGCTAAATTAGATATGGTGATCCGACAAGCCTCTCTTGATATTTTGGGTGGGATACGAGTAATGAAAGAAGCCAGTCAGAAGATCAAGTCGGGAAGAACACTGGGAAGAGAAAACAGAAAATCCCTGAGAGAGAGCAACCTTCATGTGCTTGCAAACAGAAAGAAGACCAGGTTGGAAGGAGTACAGAAAATGAGCAAGATCAGATAAATAAGAGACTTAAAGGCCATGATAAGCCTTTGAGTTTTATTCTAAGTGAAATGGGAAGCCATTGAAGGATATCAAGAAGAGGGATATTATTTGATTTGTGTTTCATTGACATTCTGACTGTAGGGTAGAGAGTGGATTGTTGTTGTTCAGTGTGAATGCAGGATACCTGCTAAGAGTTCAGGGAGAGGTTATAGTAGCCAAGACAAGGTTAATGCAAGAGGGGGTAAAAAGAATGGGCAAATTCTAGATACGTTCTGAAGATAGAACCTGTCCATGCATTAGATGTAAGCTTTTTTGAGCAGGGGGTGGGGACAGGTTCTCTCTCTGTCACCCAGGCTGGAGTGCAGTGGTGCTATCACAGCTCACTGCAGCTTCCACCTCCCGGGCTCAAGCCATCCTCCCAACTCAGCCTCTTAAGTGGCTGGAATTACAGGTGTATGCCACCATGCCTGGCCTAGATATGGGCCTTGTTTATTTTTACCTCTGGAGAAGTTTAGATTTTATTTTAGGATCTGGTCTCCAGATCTGGCATCCACTGAGCCATACGTCAGTCTTTGGTTGGTCCACATACATTTAGGGAAGAAATGATTGAAGGGGGGTTCAGTCCAGTTGAAGAGGAGGCCAGATGAGAAAGGCTCAGCAGTGGGCCTTCATCCCCAGTGAATGGAGTGTTGGAGCGAGGGAGCAGTGGCTGCTGAAATTATCTGCCTTTTAGACCTGTGTTGTTTTAATCTGGTCAGCACTAACCATGTGGGTGTTGAGCAGTTGAAACAGGGCTAATCTGAATTGTGATAAGCTGTAGTATAAAGTATACATAAGATTTTGAAGACTTAGGAAATAAGTGCATAAAGTACCTCAATATTTCTATATTGATTATATTTTGATGTGATATTTTTCATATGTTAGTTTACATAAAGTATATTAAAATTAATGTCACCATTAAAAAAATTTAGACTTTTTAAGAAAATAATTTACATTTACAAAAAATCTGAACATAGAGCACAATTTCTATATTACACCCCTCCACACACACATAGCTCCCCCAACCGTTAACATCTTGTATGAATGTGGTACATGTATGAAAGCTAATGGATCAGTATGATACATCATTATTAACTTAGTTTACATTAAGATTTAGTCCTGTGTGTTGCTATAGATGTGGGTATTAAATTAGGTTTTGAATTGATTGAATGGTTGGACAGTAAGCTGCTTACTAAGCGGAGATGACTGTCTGAAGAACATGTTTGGAAATATGTAAGAATCAAGCATTGTGTCTGAGATAATTATCAAACAATAACGTGGAGATACAGATAATTGGAAAAGTCTGCATTCAGGGCTAGACATATAAATTTGAGACTCATCAGTGGAGGAATGAGGTTAAATTTTAACTTAAAATGTGTCAAAGAGTAAAAGAGAAATAAGAAAGTGGAGAAAATGAACACAATTTTACCATGAAGGGAGTGAAAAATGAAGCAGTAGCTGAATGAGTCTGTGGGGATAGAGTAACGGATTTTAGTTGCTTTCTTCTTGAGAGCTATTAGAACTGATTTGTAAATTGATGGGGATACTTCTGCCAAAAGTCTAAATTTGTTTATGTAAAAGAAAGAAAAGATAACTGAACTGAAAGTGCATGGAAGGTGAGAGTGATGGGGCCCCAGCACCAAGGGAGGACATTCCTTTGATTGGACCTGGGATATGTGTTGCATCAGGAGGGATGGGAGAATATGAGTGTGGATACAGGTAGGCGGTAGATTTTGTGGTGGAATGATGAGGAAGTTTTTGTATTGCTGTCTTTTCTCAGTGGAAACGTATGAAGCAAGCCGGAATGACAGGGGAAGGAAGGTGTTGGATATGTGAGGGATGAGAATAAGTCATGAAACAGTCAAATATTACCTAGAAGCGAGGGGGAAATGGGCCAACTGGGAAAGTGTGATAGGATTGCAGAGCAATGCTGATTGTCCATGTGAAATCTGAGGGTATGAATTTAAAGTAAGACCAGACAGCAGGGACAAGGTAAAGGAAGTGAGGCACCTAGCATGCAAAATTCAGGGAGATAGATTCCCTCTCGGAGTCATGCCCTGGGCATCTCATTTGCCTCAGCCTAGTCCTGGTCTTGTCAGACAATAAAATTTTATCATTTTATTAAACAATGTTCAGCTTCTTGGGTGCAGGCAAAGAAGATGTACAATTGAATTTAATTGTACAATGACTGTGATTTTGATAGAGCAATTCACTGGACAGAGAGAAGCGCAAGAGAATAGAGGGTATTCCCTAGAAAGATCATAGAACATGTCTAGGAATAGGAGAGAAGAGTCACTATCATGGGAGCGAAGCAGTGTGACAAAACAGGGTGATTAATGAATTGGGAAGTGTAGGAAATCATAGAATTGTTGCAGTGAGGATGGAAGGTGGTGTCCAAAGAGGAAACTTTTGGAGATGATATGGTTACTAGACAAGACAATTTCCAGAGAGTGACTATGATAGTATGTGTCAAGATGCGTGAATGATTTTTTTTTTTTAAATGGTGATTGGGGCCAGGCATGATGTCTCACACCTGTAATCCCAGCACTTTGGGAGGCAGAGGTGGGTGGATCACCTGAGGTCAGGAGTTAAAGACCAGCCTTGCCAACATGGTGAAACCCTGTCTCTACTAAAACTACAAAAATTGGCCAGGCATGGTGGCACATGCCTGTAATCCCAGCTACTCAGGAAGCTTAGACAGGAGAATCACTTGAACCTGGGAGGCGGAGGTTGCAGTGAGCCGAGATGGAGCCACTTCACTCCAGCCTGGAGGACAGAGACAAGACTTCATCTCAAATCAAACAAACAGACAAACAAACAAACAAAAAAGGTAATTGGAAATAAGTAAGTCTAACTCTGCAGCCAGGATGTTGAGTGTTGAGTAAATTATACTACCACCAAAGAGATAACAGAAATGTGGTTGGAGGAGAATACAGTAAGTCACATGCTAAAGGCTTCAGAGAACTGGGGTGAGTAATTGATACATGTAAGAGTAATCAAGTTCCTAAATAATAAAACTATATGATTTTAATTCAAATATGTGAATCTATTTAAGTGTAATAAATACTTAGTAAAGTAAATTGGATAAGGAAAGAGAGCATGAATAATTGAGACACTGTTGAAAATTGCTACTTCCTATGGCATTTTGGTCAATGACAAATCTCACATATTTATTCTTTATTTAAGGGTGCTAAAAATTACTAAATTAACCCATTTCATTTCTAGCTTTCTTATTTTTTTCCTGCTTTTCCAATAGTTTAGGCAGTGATGATCAGGAAAATAAGGTTTTGGTAGCATGAGGGGAGCAGGGAAGAATAAACTTGACAAAAAACTGAGAGGATTGCACTAACAAAGAGATGTATAATTTTTGCACATAAAGGTGAATGCATTATTTTTACATTGTGTTTTGCATGGTGTAAACAAGAAAATGTATACTAAGGGGGCATAAGTGCAGCCAAAGGAATGGAAGATGATGAGTGTTTGCGTTCATTGCACATCTATTGTGTACCAGTCATATACACTGTCATCTCATGCAACAGTTTAGGAAGGTTGGGGTTATTATGCCTGCTTGGCAGATGAGAAAACAGGCTTAAGGAGGGTAACTTACTCAGATCACACGGATAATTGGTAGAGCCAGAAAGCAGACTCTAGTCCCTGCATCCCAAGCCCATATTCTTCCCCTGCGCAATATTCAAAAGAGCCAACATTTGAAAAAAAAAACCTTCATTGAATATATCATTTTCCCTACAAAACCATGTTGGAGTGCTTGAGATGCCTACGAATAAAAATATACTTTTTCACACATTTCTTATTGAACAGAAAATATTCAAGGAGATGTGTGACATCTAAGGGTAGCACCTGATGAGTAAACATTACCTCACAACTCCATGTTGTTTGTTTCCATTTCTGCACTAGCACATGTGGATGGAAAAGTTTGTTTTAAGACAGCATCTTGCTCTGTCACCTGGAGTTGGAGTGCAGTAGCGCAATTCTAGTTCACTGTAACCTCAAGCTCCTGGTCTCAAGCGATGTTTCTACCCCAGCCTCCTGAGTAATGAGGAGTACAGGTGCATGCCACCATGCCTGGCTAATTTATCTTTTGGTAGAGATGGGGGTCTCACTGTGTTGCCCAGGCTGGTCTTGAACTCCTGGCCTGAAGAGATCCTCCTACCTCAGATTCCCAAAGTATGAGCCACTGCACCCAGTGTGAAAACCATTTTAAAAAATTAATCCACTTTTGGCTGGGCACATTTATTCATGCCTGTAATTCTGGCATTTTGGGAGGCCAAGGAGGGAGGATTGCTTGACCCCAGGAGTTCAAGACCAGCCTGGGCAGCATGCAAAACCCTATGTCTACCAAAAATTACAAAAATTAGCTGGGCATGGTGGCACAGGCCTGTGATCCCAGCTACTCAGGAGGCCAAGGTTGGAGGATCCCTCGATCCTAGGAGGCAGATGTTGCAGTGAGCCAAGATGACACCACCGAGTTCCAGCCTGAGTGACAGAGGGAGACCCTTTCCACCACCCTCCTCAAAAACAAAATTAATACACATCAAAATTTATGAAATACCTAACGTATAGGATGGAGAGAAATAAAACAGGAAAATGTGAGCATAATTTATCATGTAAAATATGTGTGAATATTGCTTAATCAAATATATTTGTTATATTTCTTTTTTTAATGTAAATAGCATTTCTTTTTTTTCCTTTTTTCTTATTATACTTTAAGTTCTAGGGTACATGTGCACAACGTGCAGGTTTGTTACATGTGTATACATGTGCCATGTTGGTGTGCTGTACCCATTAACTTGTCGGTATATCTCTTAATGCTTTCCCTCCCCACTTCCCTCACCCCACAACAGGCCCCAGTGTGTGATGTTCCCCTTCCTGTGTCCATGTGTTCTCACTGTTCAATTCCCACCTGTGAGTGAGAACATGCGGTGTTTGGTTTTTTGTTCTTGGGGTAGTTTGCTGAGAACGATGATTTCCAGCTTCATCCATGTCCCTACAAAGGACATGAACTCATCATTTTTTATGACTGCATAGTACTCCGTGGTGTATATGTGCCACATTTTCTTAATCCAGTCTATCACTGATGGACATTTGGGTTAGTTCCAAGTCTTTGCTACTGTGAATAGTGCCGCAATAAACATACGTGTGCAAGTGCCTTTATAGCAGCATAATTTATAATCCTTTGGGTATATACCCAGTAATGGGATGGCTGGGTCAAATGGTGTTTCTAGTTCTAGATCCTTGAGGAATCACCACACTGTCTTCCACAATGGTTGAACTAGTTTACAGTCCCAACAACAGTGTAAAAGTGTTCCTGTTTCTCCACATCCTCTCCATCACCTGTTGTTTCCTGACTTTTTAATGATCGCCATTCTAACTGGTGTCAGATGGTATCTCATTGTGGTTTTGATTTGCATTTCTCTGATGGCCAGTGATGATGAGCATTTTTTCATGTGTCTGTTGGCTGCATAAATGTCTTCTTTTGAGAAGTGTCTGTTCATATCCTTTGCGCACTTGTTGATGGGGTTGTTTTTTTCTTGTAAATTTGTTTGAGTTCTTTGTAGATTGTGGATATTAGCCCTTTGTCAGATGAGTAGATGGTAAAAATTTTCTCCCCTTCTGTAGGTTGCCTGTTCACTCTGATGGTAGTTTCTTTCGCTGTGTAGAAGCTCCTTAGTTTAATTAGATCCCATTTGTCAATTTTGACTTTTGTTGCCATTGCTTTTGGTGTTTTAGACATGAAGTCCATGCCCATGCCTATGTCGTGAATGGTATTGCCCAGGTTTTCTTCTAGGGTTTTTATGGTTTTAGGTCTAACATTTAAGTCTTTAATCCATCTTGAATTAATTTTTGTATAAGGTGTAAGGAAGGGATCCAGTTTGAGCTTTCTACATATGGCTAGCCAGTTTTCCCAGCACCATTTATTAAATAGGGAATCCTTTCCCCATTTCTTGTTTTTGTCAGGTTTGTCAAAGATCAGATGGTTGTAGATGTGTGGTATTATTTCTGAGGGCTCTGTTCTGTTCCATTGGTCTATATCTCTGTTTTGGTACCAGTACCATGCTGTTTTGGTTACTGTAGCCTTGTAGTATAATTTGAAGTCAGGTAGCGTGATGCCTCCAGCTTTGTTCTTTTGGCTTAGGATTGTCTTGGCAATGAGGGCTCTATTTTTGGTTCCATATTAACCTTAAAGTAGTTTTTTCCAATTCTGTGAAGAAAGTCATTGGTAGCTTGATGGGGATGGCATTGAATCTATAAATTACCTTGGGCAGTATGGCCATTTTCATGATATTTTCTTCCCATCCATGAGGATGGAATGTTCTTCCATTTGTTTGTATCCTCTTTTATTTTGTTGAGCAGTGGTTTGTAGTTCTCCTTGAAGAGTTCCTTCACATCCCTTGTAAGTTGGATTCCTAGGTATTTTATTCTCTTTGAAGCAATTGTAAATGGGAGTTCACTCATGATTTGGCTCTCTGTTTGTCTGTTATTGGTGTATAAGAATGCTTGTGATTTTTGCACATTGATTTTGTATCCTGAGACTTTGCTGAAGTTGCTTATCAGCTTAAGGAGATTTTGGGCTGAGACAGTGGGGTTTTCTAAATATACAATCATGTCATCTGCAAACAGGGACAATTTGACTTCCTCTTTTCCTAATTGAATACCCTTTATTTCTTTCTCCTGCCTGATTGCCCTGGCCAGAACTTCCAACACTATGTTGCATAGGAGTGGTGAGAGAGGGCATCTCTGTCTTGTGCCAGTTTTCAAAGGGAATGCTTCCAGTTTTTGCCCATTCAGTATGATATTGGCTGTGGGTTTGTCATAAATAGCTCTTATTATTTTGAGATACATCCCATCAATACCTAATTTACTGAGAGTTTTTAGCATGAAAGGCAGATGAATTTTGTCAAAGGCCTTTTCTTCATCTATTGAGATAATCATGTGGCTTTTGTCTTTGGTTCTGTTTATATGCTGGATTACGTTTATTGATTTTCGTATGTTGAACCAGCCTTGCATCCCTGGGATGAAGCCAACTTGATCATGGTGGATAAACTTTTTGATGTGCTTCTGGATTTGGTTTGCCAGTATTTTATTGAGAATTTTCACAGCGATGTTCATCAGGGATATTGGTCTAAAATTGTCTTTTTTGGTTGTGTCTCTGCCAGGCTTTGGTATCAGGATAATGCTGGCCTCATAAAATGAGTTAGGGAGGATTCCCTCTTTTTCTATTGATTGGAATATTTTCAGAAGGAATGGTACCAGCTCCTCATTGTACCTCTGGTAGAATTTGGCTCTGAATCCGTCTGGTCCTGGACTTTTTTTGGTTGGTAGGCTATTAATTATTGCCTCAATTTCAGAGCCTGTTATTGGTCTGTTCAGGGATTCAAGTTCTTCTTGGTTTAGTCTTGGGAGGGTGTATGTGTCGAGGAATTTTTCCATTTCTTCTAGATTTTCTAGTTTATTTCCGCAGTGGTGTTTATAGTATTCTCTGATGGTAGTTTGTATTTCTGTGGGATTGGTGGTGATATCCCCTTTATCATTTTTTATTGCGTTTATTTGATTCTTCCCTCTTTTCTTCTTTATTAGTCTTGCTAGCGGTCTATCAATTTTGTTGATCTTTTCAAAAACCAGCTCCTGGATTCATTGATTTTTTGAAGAGTTTTTTTGTGTCTCTATCTCCTTCAGTTCTGCTCTGATCTTAGTTATTTCTTGCCTTCTGCTAGCTTTTGAATGTGTTTGCTCTTGCTTCTCTAGTTCTTTTAATTGTGATGTTAGGGTGTCGATTTTAGATCTGTCCTGCTTTCTCTTGTGGGCATTTCGTGCTATAAATTTCCCTCTACACACTGCTTTAAATGTGTCCCAGAGATTCTGTTATGTTGTGTCTTTGTTCTCATTGGTTTCAAAGAACGTCTTTATTTCTGACTTCATTTCGTTATGTACCCAGTAGTCATTCAGGAGCAGGTTGTTCAGTTTCCATGTAGTTGAGCAGTTTTGAGTGAGATTCTTAATCCTGAGTTGTAGTTTGATTGCACTGTGGTCTGAGAGATAGTTTGTTATAATTTCTGTTCTTTTACATTTGCTGAGGAGTGCTTTACTTCCAAGTATGTGGTCAATTTTGGAATAAGTGTGATGTGGTGCTGAGAAGAATGTATATTCTGTTGATTTGGGGTGGAGAGTTCTGTAGATGTCTATTAGGTCTGCTTTGTGCAGAGCTGAGTTCAATTCCTGGATATCCTTGTTAACTTTCTGTCTCGTTGATCTGTCTAATGTTGACAGTGGGGTGTTAAAGTCTCCCATTATTATTGTGTGGGAGTCTAAGTCTCTTTGTAGGTCTCTAAGTACTTGCTTTATGAATCTGGGTGCTCCTGTATTGGGTGCATATATATTTAAGATAGTTAGCTCTTCTTGTTGAATTGATCCCTTTACCATTATGTAATGGCCTTCTTTGTCTCTTTTGATCTTTGTTGGTTTAAAGTCTGTTTCATCAGAGACTAGGATTGCAACCCCCGCCTTTTTTTGTTTTCCATTTGCTTGGTAGATCTTCCTCCATCCCTTTATTTTGAGCCTATGTGTGTCTCTGCACGTGAGATGGGTCTCCTGAATACAGCACTCTGATCAGTCTTGACTCTTTATCCAATTTGCCAGTCTGTGTCTTTTAATTGGAGCATTTAGCCCATTTATATTTAAGGTTAATATTGTTATATGTGAATTTGATCCTGTCATTATGATGTTAGCTGGTTATTTTGCTTAATAGTTGATGCTGTTTCTTCCTAGCCTTGATGGTCTTTACAATTTGGCATGTTTTTGCAGTGGCTGGTACTGGTTGTTCCTTTCCATGTTTAGTGCTTCCTTCAGGAGCTCTTGTAGGGCAGGCCTGGTGGTGACAAAATCTCTCAGCATTTGCTTGTCTCTAAAGGATTTTATTTCTCCTTCACTTATGAAGCTTAGTTTGGCTGGATATGAAATTCTGGGTTGAAAATTCTTTTCTTTAAGAATGTTGAATATTGGCCCCCACTCTCTTCTGGCTTGTAGAGTTTCTGCCGAGAGATCTGCTATTAGTCTAATTGGTTTCCCTTTGTGGGTAACCCTACATTTCTCTCTGGCTGCCCTTAACATTTTTTCCCTCATTTCAACTTTGGTGAATCTGACAATTATGTGTCTTGGAGTTGCTCTTCTCGAGGAGTATCTTTGTGGTGTTCTCTGTATTTCCTGAATTTGAATGTTGTCCTGCCTTGCTAGGTTGGGGAAGTTCTCCTGGATAATATCCTGCAGAGTGTTTTCCAACTTGGTTCCATTCTCCCTGTCACTTTCAGGTACACCAATCAGACGTAGATTTGGTCTTTTCACATAGTCCCGTATTTCTTAGAGGCTTTGTTCTTTCCTTTTTACTCTTTTTTCTCTAAACTTCTGTTCTCGCTTCATTGCATTCATTTGATCTTCAATCACTGATACCCTTTCTTCCAGTTGATCAAATCAGCTACTGAAGCTTGTGCATTCATCACGTATTTCTCGTGCCATAGTTTTCAGCTCCATCAGGTCATTTAAGGACTTCTCTACACTGGTTATTCTAGTTAGCCATTTGTCTAATCTTTTTTCAAGGTTTTTAACTTCTTTGCATTGGGTTCGAACTTCCTCCTTTAGCTCAGAGAAGTTTGATCATCTGAAGCCTTCTCTCAGCTTGTCAAAGTCATTCTCCATCCAGCTTTGTTCCATTGCTGGTGAGGAGCTGCGTTCCTTTGGAGGGGGAGAGGTGCTCTGATTTTTAGAATTTTCAGCTTTTCAGCTCTGTTTTTTCCCCATCTTTGTGGTTTTTATCTGCCTTTGGTCTTTGATGATGGTGATGTACAGATGTGGTTTTGGTGTGGATGTCCTTTCTGTCTGTTAGTTTCCTTCTAACAGTCAGGACCCTCAGCTGCAGGTCTGTTGGAGTTTGCTGGAGGTCCACTCCAGACCCTGTTTGCTTGGGTATCAGCAGTGGAGGCTGCAGAGTAGTGAATATTGCTGAACAGCAAACGATGCTGCCTGACCGTTCCTCTGGAAGTTTCGTCTCAGAAGGGTACCCGGCCGTGTGAGGTGTTAGTCTGCCCCTACTGGGAGGTGCCTCCCAGTTAGGCTACTTGGAGGTCAGGGACCTACTTGAGAAGGCAGTCTGTCCGTTCTCAGATCTCAAACTCCGTGCTGGGAGAACCACTACTCTCTTCAAAGCTGTCAGACAGGGACATTTAAGTCTGCAGAGGTCTGCTGCCTTTTGTTTGGCTATGCCCTGCCCCCAGAGGTGGAGTCTACAGAGGCAGGCAGACCTCCTTGAGCTGCAGTAGGTTCCACCCAGTTTGAGGGAATCCGGGCTGCTTTGTTTACCTACTCAAGCCTCAGCAATGGCGTGTGCCCCTCCCCCAGCCTCGCTGCTGCCTTGCAGTTGGATCTCAGTCTGCTGTGCTAGCAATGAGTGAGGCTCCGTGGGCATGGGACCCTCTGAGCCAGGTGTGGGATATAATCTCCTGGTGTGCCGTTTGCTAAGACCGTTGGAAAAGCGCAGTATTAAGGTGGGAGTGACCTGATTTTCCAGGTGCCGTCTGTCACCCATTCCCTTGGCTAGGAAAGGGAATTCCCTGACCCCTTGCACTTTCCGGGTGAGGCGATGCCTCGCCCTGCTTTGGCTCACACTCGGTGGGCTGCACCCACTGTCCTGTCCACACTGTCCGACAAGCCCCAGTGAGATGAACCTGGTACCTCAGTTGGAAATGCAGAAATCACCCGTCTTCTGCGTCGCTCACACTGGGAGCTGTAGACTGGAGCTGTTCTTATTTGGCCATCTTGGAACCCCACTCTGTCAAAGTTATATTTCTTACCTGTGTTGTTATTAAACCTTGATAAATTAATGACTATATTAACAGACATTTGTCATTTGAAATTTTTTTGTGGACAAAAAAAAAATTCGCCACTTAATTCTGTTTCTCAGAGTGGCCAGTTTCAGTACAAACAATGACATTTTTAAAAGATGGCAAACTTGTAGGAATTATTAAACAGCTAATGAGTTAGTTCCTTATGGCTACTCAACGATGCTCTTTCTACATTGACCAGAGTTCCATGGCAGTCATTTGAAATGAGTCAATATGTAATGGAATCAGTTCTTCCTGAAAAAGGGTTGAAGTAATTCAACTGCAAGCCTAATTTAAGACTAGAAATCGCATTAGGAAAACAAGATGCAAGGGTCATCAGTAATAAAAACCACTTCAGCTACTGGTGATTAACTCAGAGCCCATTCACAGATATGTCAAAGTTTCCCCGTGGTTTCTAATGTCACATTAATAACAAAGTGAGAGGATTTATTTGGTCTCTCCGTTTGTGAATATAAAAGATGACAGAAAATATACATGAAGTTCATAATGTCATGAAGAGGGAAGCATGGATTTGCTTGGGATCATTAGGGGATGCCTCTTTCATGCTTTCCTATAATTTATTGATTACTTGCTCAGTACTGAACACTGTCTTTGCTGCAGTGCTTACAAAGATAATAGATACTTTTGCCTTTCTTAAGAAGACCATAGTTTTGTGAAGATTGCAGAGGGTCCACCCAGTGTTGAGCACATAATAGGCTCTAAAAAAGTATCTGTGCAATAAATGTTTGGTCAGGTACAGAATGGATAGTAAGTCTGTGGAATGTTGCGAGTGCTTCGATATTGCATGTTAGGACATAAAGAGGTGGTTGGGCACCTTCCCCAGGGTTGGAGTAAGATTAAGCTTCTGTAAGTGCATGACCCTTGAGCCTCATCTTGAAGGAATTATATAGAGAGGGGTAAGGAGGAAAGAGAATGGGAAATTAGAGAAAATAGCCTGAGCAAAGACAGAATGGTGAGACAGAGCATAATGAATTTAGGGACCGGAATTTTAGGTATAGGTGGCATTGTGTTGAAAGAGATCAGAGATTAGTGAGAGTGACATCAGGAAAACTTATACGCTCACTGAGTTTATATGTTCTCATATAGACAGTGGCTCTCAAACACAACATTTCCACAAAACAACAAAAGAAATTATAGTTAATACGTAATATGATGTACTAAATGTTTTATATATATTGATTCATTTAATCCTTATATATCCCTCTGAGGTGGGAATTGCTATTAGCCCACTATATAACTGAGAAATGTGAGATATAGGGAAATTAAGAAATGCATTCAAGACACCACATCAATAAGTGACAGAGGGGCGTTTGAACCCAATGATCTGTCTCCAGAACCCACACTTATAACTGCTTTAGAATATTGCACCTTAATACAATGTCAAATTTAGTGTAACTTGATTTTAATAATGATATTCAAAGTATCTAAGTTGGAAATTATTATATTTTGTGACAATGTGGCTCTCTAATGAGCTCTCTTGAGAGGCTTTCTTGACTTGGATATAGAAACAGCTAACACATTAGGAATTATGTATAACTTAGGGTATATTCATGGTAATGTGTTATACAAATTACATTATTTCATCTTAGGTACTGTTATTGTAAAAAAGATTGGGAACTGCTGTTGTAGAAGATAAGGAGTCATTGAGTCAAGGAGTTGACAACTTGGGAGATTTTAAGTAGAGAAAATTAAGTATCCCTTTATTGAGGAGAGAATATGTAATTAAAATATTTCAAAGTGATATATAAATGTCAGAAGTTGATCATGTTAATGTGAAATTCTCAACATACGTGTTTTTCCAGCCAGAAATATCTTCCTCATTTGAATTTCAATAATCTTTTGTCTAGCCATCACTTAGAGAACTTTCAACATCCTTTCTATTACTATGTGTTGGTGTGTACTGAAAGTAAATGTGCAGTGAATAATTTATCCCCATGCACTGTTCTAAGCACTTGACAAGTGTTGATTATTTAATTCTCACAACAACTCTATGAGAAAAGTATCATTATTACTCCCATTTTACAGGTGAAGAAACTGAGGATTTAAGAGGTTAACCTGCTCGAGGTCACTAGGAGCTGAGAAAGGTTTTGGTCAGGTTTGGCAAATAGGTTCTACTTCCATATATAAGGAGTAGCTAAGATAGTACTGCTTGATTGGAGAGCTCTTATTTTATTCCCTGAGTAATGTACATCTATCAATTTATATATAAAGTCATTTCTCATGTGAATTAATAATAATAGTAATAATAATGTACATATTTACAGCTCTTTTAGGACTTCAAAATTTATTCATATTTATTGTTAAGTCTGTGTGGTAAGTGAAGGAAAAGGGACATACACAAGTTGTGGAAATCAATGGGGAATGGAGTGAGCCTGGACATGGAACTTCCAGTTCCGGGAGCAGAGCTCTTTCTTCCATGCGGTGCCATCTCTTGCAGCCTCAGCAGTTCCTGATGATACCAGATGTCTGTAGTCTCATCAGAGAACTTACACCATGTTTAGATTTTTAGGAAGAATCAAGAAAACAGAATATTAGACATCTGTCCATTAATTACTGGAAAAGTATTCACATTGTTGTTATGTGACTCTGATTACATTTATTTACAGGTTACTGTGTTTTTTTGATAAAGTCATCGATTTGTTTGATAAGTTAAATATTTTACAATTTTGTGATGGCTGGTAATTAGGTAAACAACTCTACAGATAGAATAAGAAGCTCATTATAAGATGGGAATATGTACAGTTGACGTATATAACTATTAGTTATGTATACTTTTGGAGAATACAGTATGAGACAGAGATAACAAGAAGGGGAAACCCTCTAGCACAGTTTAGAAATTAAATCCAATATCCTGTGAGAAGAGAGTCAGATAAAAGGCCTGCAGAGGGAAGACAGACACCAAGAAAAGGGATTGGTGTCAGGTGAATTTTTCAAGACAGGAAAGAATAATAATAATAAAAAAATGTAGAGAAGCCTAAAAGCTGTTAGAGAAAAGGAAAGTCTGTATAGATAGTGAAGCTAGATGGAACAAGAAGACATTGGGGTGGTGATCCATTTCTACTCTTCCCCTGTAATTACATAAAAGTTAATAAGAGGGAAAATAAAAGTGAGCAGAAACTATTAAGAGAAAAGATGAAAACTTCCGAGAGGAATGGAGTTTAGAAAAGACTACAGTTCTTGCACCCTGCTGCTCTGCCACTGTTAGACCTGTCACTGTGAAGGGGGAGAACAATCATGATCTGGGCAGAGTTGGGACTTCCCATAGATCAATGCCTCACCCATTGAGAGGTTCCCAACAGTAGACCACATTGATATACTCTTGGGCAGAGGTAGCAGAGGCACAGGAACGGTGCTCTCTAACTGCTTTAGAGAGTTTGGAAAAAGCAAAACTCAGGATTCTGGCCAGAAAGTTCTCCTGCCATATTTTGAATTGCTGTTTGTAGTTCGTATTGTACAATAGCTGTCATGCTTCAAAACATTTACATTTTTCTCTATTAACTATCATACTATGTAGCCAGTATTGAATATTCAGCCTATCAACTTTTATTTATTTAGCTGTTATGTGCATTGCTTAACTTGGATACTCATCATTTACTTTCTAATATGTACAATAAAGCACGTCTTACTCGTGTGTGTATGTCTGGGCTTCTTTTTCATGTAAAAGATATTATGCTATCAAGAATGACCTTGTATGGATTGCAATCTTTGCATCACTTACTTCACACAATATATTTTTATCTACCATTCCTTCTAAAAGAAAAATAAACCCAGTGGGCTATCTTACTAAAACTTTATTAACATTGTTTTCTAAATCTTTATAGGCAGTGCTGGCACTCCTGTCACTTTTAATGAAAACGGAGATGCTCCTGGACGTTATGATATCTTCCAGTATCAAATAACCAACAAAAGCACAGAGTACAAAGTCATCGGCCACTGGACCAATCAGCTTCATCTAAAAGCAAGTATCGTCATAAACATATATTAATGTATATAGCTCTCCAGGAGGGATGCTTTATTTTTAAGTGTATAACTTTTGCTAGAATAGGTTTTCCCCATAAATAAACTCTTAGAAAATGTATGACTTGATTCTCTCTTCAATTTAAAAATGTTATGGACATTCTTCAGCCTCTTTAGAGAAATCTCCTGATATCTGTAAGAATTTAATGAATGATCTGATTTTTTTCCTGCAGTTGACTATACCCTTAGATAAATTTTGCCCTTTTATGAAAGAGTCATTTGTTGTAATCTTTGTACATTTTTTGTATGTCTGTGTGTTGGAGGTGGTGTGGAATCGACTGAATATGCCCTCATTTATAAATTTGGGCTTAAAAAAAGGTCACATCTGGCTAACAAGGTGAAACCCCATCTCTACTAAAAATACAAAAAAAATTAGCCAGGGGTGGTGGTGGGTGCTTGTAGTCCCAGCTATTTGGGAGGCTGAGGCAGGAGAATGGCGTGAACCCGGGAGGCGGAGCTTGCAGTGAGCCGAGGTCGCGCCACTGCACTCTAGCCTGGGCGTCAGAGCGAGACTCCGTCTCAAGAAAAAAAAAAAAAAAAAAAGGGCACATCACTTTTGCCACATCACAAGGGGAGACCTTCTGGCTATATCTGGTTGATAGAAGTGAATCATACTCTGTGTTTATATTGCCTCTTTCAGTTGCAACACCAGGGAAGGTTGATGTATCTAAGGGTGATGTTCAGATTACTTAACAGCCTTTAGAGCTACCTGCTATTTTTGTCTACCGCAGGCACTCTTCAGGTCCAGTGTCCATTAATTCTGCAGTTTCCACAAGTGGCCATGTGAGGGCGACTTGAAGAGCCCAGCCGGAAGCAAGTTCCCAAGGCCTGGGATTGGTGCCCAAAAGCACCTGGGCATTTGCCTGCCAGGTGCCGCACCATCACCCAGAGTTCTGTTTCTTTCGGCTGGAGTCTGATGGGTACCCAGTGGGGTTAGCACGTGGGGATGGCAGTACGGAGGAGGAACTTCATCAGGTGTCTCAGGCTGGTGGGCACTCCCTCAGAGGAGCTCTCTTAGGGCAGAGGTCTTTGGGGGATTTGGGGAGAGCTGCTAGGTACCATCACTCTTCAGTCCTAAGGGGCTCTGGAACAGGAAACCAATTCTGAACTTGATGGATAAGGGAGGCCCAGGAAATCAGTGCACAGGGCTGTGGATGCTGGGGTGGGGAGGGCAAGGAGGGCAGCATCTACTTACCACCAGGTGAAGAATTATTTCACATTTTAACAGCCCTTTGCCCCATATTAGTGCACACTGGCTTTTTTAAGTATAGAGAAGTATGGAGCACGTTCTGTAGTCTCAGTCGAGGTTTAGAGTTCATTCATCCAGCATCTCTTCCACAGAAAAGTAGGACTTTTCACAGAAATTTGGTGGCCAGGAAATAACTACAAGAACAGTAGACATGGACACAGGAAGGGGAACATCACAGTCTGGGGACTGTTGTGGGGTGGGGGGAGGGGGGAGGGATAGCATTGGGTGATATACCTAATGCTAGATGACGAGTTAGTGGGTGCAGCGCACTAGCATGGCACGTGTATACATATGTAACTAACCTTCACATTGTGCACATGTACCCTAAAACTTAAAGTATAATAATAATAATAAAAATACATAAAAAAAGAACGGTAGACAGTAGGATGTTTTTAAAATGCTTCAAATAAACTAGGAAAATATTCTTCTTCTGTTCTGTTGTTTTAATGTGTAATTCACTCTTTCCTCTAGCAAAAAACATCTCCTCTTCTTGATTCTCAGAGCTACCATAATACTGTGAGAGTGTATACATGCTTTCTCATGTTTGAACCTAATCAGAAGACATCAATTTGATATTTTTAATCAATTTTTTTTTGTTTTGTATTTCCAAATATGTCCCCCAAAGTGATATGTCTATGCAGCACCAGTCACCCAAGTTCTCAGAAAATTAGACGATGAGAAATTACAAAACTAGGGAGATTATGATTTATTTTCTTCCTCATAATTATTGCAGCTATGCATTTAATAATGCACAGACAGCTTATGTTTCTAACTATTGTAGTGATACGTAAGGCCACATATCAATACTTTACTACTTCTAGGTGCTTCATGAAATCTTATCCATTGTTCTGCAATCCATATTGACATTTATTGAAACACAACTTTGATAATGCCACAGGTTATTGATAATCAATAGCTTTTTGACAGAAGCCCTTTTGAAAGAGGACCTATAGGAAATGAAATAAGACAGAAATGTTTTGACAAGGTCTAAGATAGGAAAGCTTTTTATCTGACTTTTATTAATGTCGGACTGCCTATCATTAATATATTCTGATGATTAGGGATTTACACAGCAAAATCCAGTGTTTGAGAAATATATACACTAACATACAACACCATTACATAACATAATTTTACACACAAGTACACATATATACACATCTCGCCATATACGCATAATGTAGTTATAAACTTCCTATTGAATCTCAAGCTGCTCTTTTATGTACATTTAACAGTGCATGAAAGTTTTATGTTTATGACTGTATTATCGTTCATAAAATGTATCAAAACAATTTGTGAGAATTATTTCTCATGCATGATTATGATCATTTATAACTAGATAGCGTTGCGGGTTTTACCGAAATGGAAAATGCATCTCTTAGAAGAAAAAACAATAAATTGCACTGTGGAGAGAGGTTATAAATTAAGAATTGAATTCTGAGGATTATCAGGACAAATCAAATGACTTTTATCCTTAGGAGTTGGATTAGTCACCTGCTTGAAGGTGGAGTAGTAGAGTGCTTGGCAAGCTACCAACTTGTTAATGTTTTGCTTAGATCTATGGCAAAGCACTAAACAAATTATTTGCCTCAGTTTTATCATGTCTAAAATGAAAACAGTAGCACCCACCTTATATGGTTGTAATAAGCATTAAATGAAGTAATACAACAAAGCCCTTTGCCCAGTGTTTGGTACACCTGAGATCTATAAATGTTACTTATGATTAATTCAGTATCTCAATATTCTATGTGGTCAGTGAGACACCTGATAGATAATGAGTCTACTGGGCAAAGCGAAGGTCCCATTAGAAGAGGGACTTGAGTTTGTGTGAGAAAGTTCAGAGACAGTCTCTGCATTTAAAATGCTGACTGTCCCCACAGCCAGTCCTTTCTGCCTGTCTTTGACATTGGCCTTAATACTTGGAAAATCCCTCTGCACTCAAAAAACAAACTTTATATGAGATAAATTTATTTTCCTGTGCTACCATGTGAATAGATATCATCACCTAGGCAGTTATTTTTTGAATAGATTTGGGAAATTCAGTCTGTGCTCATACTCTGTTAAAAGGTGTTGAGACTATAGTGAATATGTGAACCCTGTTCTCAGGGAACTCACAGATTAGAAGGAGAGACAAACACTCGGACCAACCACTCTAGCGCAATGGAGCAGGTGCACTGATGAAGGTATATATATATGGGTTTGCAATGGCAGCCTAGAGAGAGGTTGCTAATCTGGCCTGACCTCTGGTGGGAATTGTCACTGTGGCCAAAGGAGGATACTGACAGGAGGATTTACTCTTATCCATATACTGTATCTCTTCTTGTTCTATTAAACCAGATTTATGATAGCTTTCACATTCTCAGTGGTAAGCATTTATCAGTCAGTTATTGGATTGAACTCTGCTTGTTTTCAAAGAGCCAGTTTTTCTGGCTGAATTCAACCATAGTATAAATTTGTACAAAGAGGGTATATGGTTAGGCATATTGGAATGCAGTAAATTTGCCTTGAATATCTCTTAGTGGATTGAACGAATTTTTTAAATAAGTAGATTATTCTTTTTCTTTTTCCTGGAAAATATATTAGGTATTTCATTTCCTCAAAAGCATTATCTTTATTGTTCCAAACATTACTGTTTCTTTTTTCTTTTTATGAAACTAACATATGTTCTTAATTTGGCAATTACAATCAGCATAATTTGTTTAAGTTTTCTACTCAGTAATCTCGGCCCACACATGAGGCATGTATTGTCTACCTGAGAGTGGATTTGAACAATGAGTCTCTCTATTTTATTAGGCAGAATCTCTCAAGAGACAGGTGGTCCTTATTAGTGATTACAAAACATATTGTAACCTAGAGGTTCAGAGTAAACAGAAGAGCCTGAACTGTGAAAAGAACAGCCATATGCTGCTCTGTGTCCACAGGGAGAACGTGTACTGGGGATGCTGTATGGGCCAAAAATAACTCGGGGCTTTTTTTAATGCTTTTTCCAACCAGATCCACTTTTTCTTGATTACTGTAGGAATGA
Source organism: Homo sapiens (assembly GCF_000001405.40). Classification (NCBI taxonomy): domain Eukaryota; kingdom Metazoa; phylum Chordata; class Mammalia; order Primates; family Hominidae; genus Homo; species Homo sapiens. The sequence continues at coordinate 126,605,028 of NC_000007.14, read as the reverse complement.
AACATATGTTTTTATTGGTTTCAACATATTATTCTTTTTATAATCAAGGAAATAAGTTGAATATAAATGATAAATAACAAAGAATAGTGACTTCACAAGGGTGTCCCAATCTGCCCAATTATTAGTGGCAGAGTGTAATTTGGAAGGGTGATTTGAAGGAGAAACTGAATTAATAATTTTGAACCTGATTTAATTTTCAGTGGATGACTCCATAGAAGAAAAACTTCTGACAGGATACTGAGCTTTGAGCCTCAGTTTTCTCATCTAAGTGGGATAATAGATATTATTATGAATAGTAGATGCATTGTAATATGGTGATCAAGAAAAAGATCTCAAAGTCAAACAGAAGATGTTTGAATTCTGACCTTTCATTCATGAGCTGTATAGCCAGCCTTGGGCATGTGACTTAGACTCAGGTTCTTTATCTACCAACTTGATAGAGTTCTGAGATCATCAAGGAAATTGCATGTACAAAAATCCTAGAACATTGACTGGTACATATTAAGTATTGAACGAATGTGATAATAATAATTTTTGTTTTGTTTTGCCAGTACAACCAGCCTACTATAGAGGACCTATAGTGGGTATTTCAGTATGAAATCAAACTGAAGCTGTATTTGCAGTCTTCTTTCTGTCTTTATTCTGATGTTCTGAATAGGGAGTAGCTGTAAAGAGAGGTATATGCACCATGATAACTTGTCTGTCTACACAATAAGCCCAAAGTATTTGTTTTGATATTTAAAAAAGTAGCCTCTGTGATTCAAATGCTTTGGGAAAAACTAAAACTTGAGCAAACTTTCTGATGGAATTTTGCTCCATTAAATTGGTCTTTACCACATACCTATAGTATAGTATTTATTTTAATTGAATGTATGTATTTTCCTATAGATGATCAGTTAAATATATACATGCTATATGTATGTATACTGGGGCTTCCTTGGCTTGCTTGGATTAAAAAAAGGGAAAATTCCTGAGTCTCCCCATTTGTCTCAGGGATTTTGTTTTTATTCTGGATAAACAACTGTTTTTTTTTAATGCAAAAATCATTACTTTCATTAATTTCATAGAGGAACAGCTTTTATATAATGAAAAATATTAAAATGGTTTTGAAGTAACAATGGACTGAATAGAGTTGAAACAGGGTTTGAGAGAAGACTTGACCTTTGCTTGCTTTGACAGTTAGGAAACATGCATTTTCTGTTTGCCTCTGTTTCCCTGTTTGCAAAGTTGCTTACATGTGAAAATGCTCTTTCCTATGATACATATATACACAAACACATACATACATACATATATATATGTACACACACATATTCACCCTATGAAATAAGTATTATATGATGCACTCCTTTTCCTACATAGCATAAGTGTGAGTCAATTCCCTGGGCCCTTTCTCTATATTCTGTTAGAACTTTAAATGCCACTCTATTTGTCTGTTGTTGGTGTATAAGAATGCTTGTGATTTTTGTACATTGATTTTGTATCCTGAGACTTTGCTGAAGTTGCTTATCAGCTTAAGGAGATTTTGGGCTGAGACAATGGGGTTTTCTAGATATACAATCATGTCGTCTGCAAACAGTGACAATTTGACTTCCTCTTTTCCTAATTGAATACCCTTTATTTCCTTCTCCTGCCTAATTGCCCTGGCCAGAACTTCCAACACTATGTTGAATAGGAGCGGTGAGAGAGGGCATCCCTGTCTTGTGCCAGTTTTCAAAGGGAATGCTTCCAGTTTTTGCCCATTCAGTATGATATTGGCTGTGGGTTTGTCATAGATAGCTCTTATTATTTTGAAATACGTCCCATCAATACCTAATTTATAGAGAGTTTTTAGCATGAAGGGTTGTTGAATTTTGTCAAAGGCTTTTTCTGCATCTATTGAGATAATCATGTGGTTTTTGTCTTTGGCTCTGTTTATATGCTGGATTACATTTATTGATTTGCGTATATTGAACCAGCCTTGCATCCCAGGGATGAAGCCAACTTGATCATGGTGGATAAGCTTTTTGATGTGCTGCTGGATTCGGTTTGCCAGTATTTTATTGAGGATTTTTGCATCAATGTTCATCAAGGATATTGGTCTAAAATTGTCTTTTTTGGTTGTGTCTCTGCCCGGCTTTGGTATCAGAATGATGCTGGCCTCATAAAATGAGTTAGGGAGGATTCCCTCTTTTTCTATTGATTGGAATAGTTTCAGAAGGAATGGTACCAGTTCCTCCTTGTACCTCTGGTAGAATTCAGCTGTGAATCCATCTGGTCCTGGACTCTTTTTGGTTGGTAAACTATCAACAGACAAACAGAGAGCCAAATCATGAGTGAACTCCCATTCACAATTGCTTCAAAGAGAATAAAATACCTAGGAATCCAACTTACAAGGGATGTGAAGGACCTCTTCAAGGAGAACTACAAACCACTGCTCAAGGAAATAAAAGAGGATACAAACAAATGGAAGAACATTCCATGCTCATGGGTAGGAAGAATCAATACGGTGAAAATGGCCATACTGCCCAAGGTAATTTACAGATTCAATGCCATCCCCATCAAGCTACCAATGACTTTCTTCACAGAATTGGAAAAAACTACTTTAAAGTTCATATGGAACCGAAAAAGAGCCCGCATCGCCAAGTCAATCCTAAGCCAAAAGAACAAAGCTGGAGGCATCACGCTACCTGACTTCAAACTATACTACAAGGCTACAGTAACCAAAACAGCATGGTACTGCTACCAAAACAGAGATATAGATCAATGGAACAGAACAGAGCCCTCAGAAATAATGCCGCATACCTACAACTATCTGATCTTTGACAAACCTGAGAAAAACAAGCAATGGGGAAAGGATTCCCTATTTAATAAATGGTGCTGGGAAAACTGGCTAGCCATATGTAGAAAGCTCAAACTGGATCCCTTCCTTACACCTTATACAAAAATCAATTCAAGATGGATTAAAGATTTAAACGTTAGACCTAAAACCATAAAAACCCTAGAAGAAAACCTAGGCATTACCATTCAGGACATAGGCATGGGCAAGGACTTCATGTCCAAAACACCAAAAGCAATGGCAACAAAAGACAAAATTGACAAATGGGATCTAATTAAACTAAAGAGCTTCTGCACAGCAAAAGAAACTACCATCAGAGTGAACAGGCAACCCACAAAATGGGAGAAAATTTTCACAACCTACTCATCTGACAAAGGGCTAATATGCAGAATCTACAATGAACTCAAACAAATTTACAAGAAAAAAACAAACAACCCCATCAAAAAGTGGGCAAAGGACATGAACAGACACTTCTCAAAAGAAGACATTTATGCAGCCAAAAAACACATGAAAAAATGCTCATCATCACTAGCCATCAGAGAAATGCAAATCAAAACCACTATGAGATACCATCTCACACCAGTTAGAATGGCAATCATTAAAAAGTCAGGAAACAACAGGTGCTGGAGAGGATGTGGAGAAATAGGAACACTTTTACACTGTTGGTGGGACTGTAAACTAGTTCAACCATTGTGGAAGTCAGTGTGGCGATTCCTCAGGGATTTAGAACTAGAAGTACCATTTGACCCAGCCATCCCATTACTGGGTATATACCCAAATGACTATAAATCATGCTGCTATAAAGACACATGCACACGTATGTTTATTGCGGCATTATTCACCATAGCAAAGACTTGGAACCAACCCAAATGTCCAACAACGATAGACTGGATTAAGAAAATATGGCGCATATACACCACGGAATACTATGCAGCCATAAAAAATGATGAGTTCATGTCGTTTGTAGGGACATGGATGAAATTGGAAATCATCATTCTCAGTAAACTATCGCAAGTACAAAAAACCAAACACCGCATATTCTCACTCATAGGTGGGAATTGAACAATGAGATCACATGGACACAGGAAGGGGAATATCACACTCTGGGGACTGTGGTGGGGTGGGGGGAGGGGAGAGGGATAGCATTGGGAGATATACCTAATGCTAGATGACGAGTTAGTGGGTGCAGCGCACCAGCATGGCACATGTATACATATGTAACTAACCTGCACAATGTGCACATGTACCCTAAAACTTAAAGTATAATAAAAAAAAAATGCCACTCTAGTTCTTAACTTTGTACTTGATTATGAAAATACTTTGTTCTGTTTCCTTTCCTTGCAACAAGATGATTTTTAAAGCTGTGTATTTGTTTATTAGATGCTAATTTATTCTTTCAAAAAGTCATTTTGAGGTCATTACTTATATCTCTGTTTATAAAATAACAAGATAAAAGATAACAATATGATTTGGTAGAGTCATATTATTCACACATTGAGCAAGTGTTAAGGTGATTAAATTTTAACCACATCCTTGCCAAGCCCAGAATAAGTACTCAATAAGTGTGTATTTAATATGTCATGAATAATATGCTGATCTTTTCTACATATTGACTGAACATAGATGGATGATCCAAGATTATCTATTAGGAAGTACACTCATGTACAGATTATTTATTCAGTGACTGTTCCCTGCCAGGCAGGATGATAGTCCATGGCAGGGCATCAGTATAAGATATACAGTCATCCCTATGTAGATATGGGGAATTGGTTTCAGGACCCCACATATACCAAAATCTATGCATGATCATTTCCCCTAGTCAGAAGCCATGCATATGAAAAATCAGGCCTTCTTATAGGCAGGTTTCACATCTGCCAATACAATATTTTCTGTCTGTGTTCGATTGAAAAAAACCAATGTAGAAGTAGACCCATACACTCCAAACCCATGTTGTCCAAGGGTCAACTGTATTTCCAGATATCAACGGATTTCTAATTTATTAAAGCAACCATATACTCATAACTACAATAATTGCATAATTATACAGGTACAGATTAAATAATAAACTATTTGAATTCAGTGGTTTGAATGTGAATTCAAGGAATCAATGATCACCTTAAACTAGGGACACTGGATAGTTTCTTGACATAGATGAAATTCAAACTAGACTTTAAATTCTTTTAATGGTCAAAATATTTGGAAGAACATATAGGCCATTGAAAAAGCATCCATTCGTCCATCCACCATTCATCCATTCATATATTCATTTTGTAAAACAGCACCTCCAGTTTGCCAATGCTCTAGTGCAGGCTGGGATGGTTTAGAAGTGTCTTAGATTCAGTTCATTGTGTCATCCATGAAGTAACAGGACTATGCGGGTTCAGCATCCAAGGATATGTCTCTTTCATGAGCCCATACTAATACATCCAGCTGTGTTCCTTTATTCTTTTTTAACTTTAAACACACATTCATTATTAGCAAAGTATGATCAGCATTCACAAGGAAACATATTCTCTCTTGGTCTGGAGGCTGAGGAACTAGAGAACTGTGTTGGTGTATCTGGTTTAAAACATTTCAGTACAAATGGGTCAAAAAGACCATAGTAGTTAGATGCCTGATAGATGCAGCCTGACTCTTACCTTCCGTTCTCAGAGAAGCAAGATAATTGGAGGCAAGGAACCTGTTCTACTTGGCTTTATGTCTTCAATGATTAGTATAATATGGGACTTACTAAATGTTCATGAATAAATTAATAAACCAAAAATTTAAAGCACTGTTATCTTTACAAGGCCAAAAAGGTGAGCTGACCCTATGATAACTGAGATAATGTATAACCGAGGAGCACACTGTAGTAAGGGTAGAGCTAGGAGCCATTGTCAAGGTAATCAAGGACAAACTCCAGAATGGATAATCACGTTAAAAGATCCTTGCAATCAGGCCAGATAGAATCTGAGGGAAAGTCCAAAGTTACACACAGGAGCAAGAGGAGTGCATGTATGTGACCCAGATAAAATTCTGTGGGGCACGTTGTTACTATTACCACTGGCTTTTATTCTTGCCCATGCCATTTGCAGACCTACAAATACTGAAGACGGCCTTAGAGTTACTGAGTGACTTCTGATAACTGTCTTTGAGGAGCATCTGCCATTGAATGGGCAGATCTGTTCTGCTTACACAAGGACTTCATAATGCAGGTTGTTAAGTACAATAATACAGATGAGGACGTTGTCTAGGTTTTCATACCTAGATAAAGGCTCAGTTTCTTTACGGGACTGAGTATGATTCTGAGCTCCCAGAACAGAGGACCATCTTATCAGAGAACATTGTGGGGAATGAAGAGAGATAGCTTGAACTTAAATTCTATAAGACCTCATATACCATGAGAACATTTTAAGATATTTTTGAGCTACACTGAGTTTTTCAATAGAGAGATGCTCACATTTAAGCTTCAGGAGAATGTCTTTGGCAGCAAAGTGCAGATTAGCTGGAGAAGAGGTAGTCCGTGAGCTAAGTCAAAGCCGTAATTAAGATTTTTTTTTTCTATTTTACTTAATTTTCTGATAGATTCTCTCTTGCCTATTTATCTACTTTGTTCCAGCCTTAATTCATAAAATATTTCGAAAGGCCTTACTAAGATACATTTATCACAGTAGGACAAATAAATAAGTGAGGACATTAGGAAGAAGGAATAAAGGGTGTTAGTGAATTTTAGTTCATACTCAACTTAGATTTTCCCAATAATAATAACAAATAGATTCATCTAGGCTGTTCAGTAGAGTAGGTGAAGTAATCTTGTTACTATTTTAAGAATATACAAAACTATGCCATACCAAATCTGATTTAATCTGATTAGGACTTGAGAAGCTGAATTCAGTTATTAGATCCAGTTGGAGGCAGGTTTCTAGGGCAATCTACTAGTATTCAGGGTGTCTAGTTGTTTGTCAGGGAGAAATAGGGCATTAAAAACCTATCATTATAAAAAAAATAGGAAAAAACCACAAGAATTTAATTAGTTATTTAAATAATAACTGAAAATAACAGAAATAGAGAAGAAACAAAAAAGGTAGACCACATATGACTGAGAACATGTGATATTTTGTGAATAGAATGATGGTTAGCAAAGGCAGGGAGGAGTGGGGGAGGGGAATTAAGAAGGCTAGGTAGTGGGTACAAAAATATAGTCAGCTAGAAGGAAGGAGTTCTAGTGTTCAATAGCACTATAGGATGATGATAGTTAACAATACTTTATTGTATAATTGAAAATAGCTGGAAGAGAAGATTCAGAATGTTCCCAACACAAAGAAATGATAAATGTTTGAAGGAGATCCTAAATCCCCTGATTTTATCATTACATATTGTGTGCATGTATCAAAATGTCATATGTACCCCACAGATATGCACAACTATTATGTATCCATGAAAATTAAAAAGTTCAAAGATAGTGGTTTAATTGGAAAAGGAAAATCAAAGAAAGTGATGCTGCTTAAAGACATAACGTGAAGCAAGAAATGTGTTTTTATACCAGCACCAAAGATGGATAAAAGAAGCTAGTGACTCTAGACTTTTATGGAGATAATAAAGTAATAAAAATGAAAATAAATGATATTTTAATCCTTATTTTAACCTTGGGAGGAGTAAAATAAGTACAATTTTAACATAACAAGTAGAATAAATAAGGTTAAAATAAGGTTATAAACATAAAATGAAGCTCTGGGATGGAGGAATAACTGGTAAAAAGTCATTTTATTGTGGTAGATTTACATGTGAATCCTGTATCCTAGAGTACTTTTAAAAGTTCAGTGGGTTTCATCAGCGTTATGTGAAATCTAAAACATACAAGATAATTACAACTAAGAACTGAAAAGTATTGTATATTAATTAAAAGATGTAGCCTCCCATTGTAGATAGGCCAGTGATTTATAAAAGCAAGACAAAAGAAAAATTAATGTTTATTGACTGAATCAAAAATTTCTCGTGACACCTTTCCTCAAAGCTTCCAATAATTAACTGAGGGAGGAGAGCCAAAAGCTAGGATCCTCCTAAACTCCCCGTAGTATGTTAATATGGTTATGGATGCCATATTTTCAAATGAAGTTACAGAAATATGCAATTGTGTATAATCTCAGGGGTTTGAGGTATAAAATAATGTTTTCTTTTTAGATTATTTCGCTTTGTTGTATATTTAAATGATGAAATATACAACAAGGACATAGAAATGTACTAAATTTTACTAGTATTTGATTGCTTTCATTTGTTATAAAATCATTTTTATTGATGTTATTGTGAGATAATTGCAGATACATTTGCAGTTGTAGGAAATAATTAAGATTCCATGTCCCTTTTACATAGTTTTTTCCAATGATAACATTTTGCAAAATTATTGTACAGTATCGCAACTAGGATATTGACATTTATATAATCTATCAATCTTATTCAGATCTCCCTAGTTTTACTTGTATTCCTCTGTGTGTGTGAGTGCATATGCTTATACTATGTATTTAGCTCTCTGCTATTTTGTTAACCATTTATATCTGCGTATGTGCTACCACAGTAAACATACAGAACATTTCTGTTATCGCAAGGATTCCTTATGTTGTCTTGTTATATCCATATTGATTTCTCTCCCATATGCCTCACTCCCCAATGCCTGACAACCACTAATGTGTTCTCTATTTACATAATTTTGTCATTTCTAGAATGTTATACAACCCCATCAATAAGTGGGCAAAGGACATGAAAAGACATTTCTCAAAAGAAGGCATACATGTAGCCAACAAGTATATGAAAAAACGTTCAACTTTACTAATCATTAGAGAAATGCAGATCAAAACCACAATCAGATGCCATTTCACATCAGTCAGAATAGCTATTATTAAAAAGTCAAAAAAAGCAGGTGCTGGTGAGGTTATGGAGAAAATGGGAATGTTTATACACTGCTGGTGCAAAAGTAAATTAGTTTAGCCATTGTGGAAATCAGTTTGGAGATTTCTCAAAGAACTTAAAACAGGATTACCATTCACCCCAGCAATCCCATTACTGGCGTATATACCCAAAGGAATATAGTTTTGGTTTTTGGGGTTTTTGTTTGATTCAGAGTCTCACTCTGTTACCCACTCTGGAGAGCAGTGGTGCTATCTCAGCTCACTGCAACCTCTGCCTCCTGGGTTCAAGCGATTCTTGTGGCTCAGCCTCCTGAGTAGCCTGTGCCACCACACCCATCTGATATTTGTATCTTTAGTAAAGACATGGTTTCACCATATTGTCCAGGCTGGTCTCAAACTCGTGAGCTGAAATGATCTGGCTGCTTTGGCTGCCCAAATGTTGGGATTACAGGCATGAGCTACTGCGACCAGCCGGACTATAAATCATTCTATCATAAAGACACACGCATGTTCATGTTAACTGCAGCACTGTTCACAATAGGAAAGACATGGAATCATCCTAAATGCCCATCAACAGTAGACTGAATAAAGAAAATGTGGTACGTATACATCATGGAATACTACATGGCCATATAAAAAAGGAGATCATGTCCTTTGCAGAAACATGGGTACCCTATTAAGTACTATGCTTCTTACCTTGGTGTCAAAATAATATGTACACCAAACCCCTGTGACATACCCTTTACCTGTATAACAAACCTGGACCAGGTGCAGTGGCTCACACCTATAATCCTAGCACTTTGGGAGGCCCAGACAGGCTGATTACTTGAGTCCGGGAGTTTGAGACCAGCCCGGGCAACATGACAAAACCCCATCTCTACAAAATAAATAATAAAATAATAAAATAAAATAAAATAAAATAAAATAAAATAAAATAAAATAAAATAAAATAAAATACCAGAATTAGCTGGGGTGGTGGTGTGTGCCTGTAGTCCCAGCTACTGGGGAAGGGGAGGTTGCCGTGAACTGCGATCATGTCACTGCACTCTAACCTGGGTAACACAGTGAGATCCTTTCTCAAAAACAAAAACAAAAAGAACAAAAACCAAAAAAACAAAAATCCACAAACCAAACTTCACATGTACCTCTGAACCTAAAATAAAAGTAAAAATAAAGTAATATAAAATTTTCATCAAAGCTGTGTAAACAAATCACACAGTATGTAAGCCTTTGGATTTAGCTTTTTTTACTGAGCATATTTTTTTTTAATTTCATCCAAGTTGCTGCATTGCTTTTTATTGTTGACTAGTACTCTAATGATGAATGTACCAAGGTTTGTTTAACCACCCACCCTTTAAAGGACACCTGTAAAATAGTTATGAAGAAACCTGCCATGAGCATTTATTGAATTGTATTTAGAGAACAGCAGGGTAGAGTGATGTCTTGTCTCAGAACTGAACTAAATCATTTCTTAATGGACAGATAAAATTTATGTATTTATTATGTACAACATGATGTTTTGAAGTATATATACGTTGTGGAATGCTTAAATCTAGCTAACATAAGCATTACCTCACATAGTCATGATTTTTGTGATAAGAACACTTTATATCCACTCTTTTAGCATTTTTAATGAATACAATATATTATTATCTATAGTCACTATGCTGTACAATAGATCTCTTGAACATATTCCTCCTAAGTGAAATTTTGTATCTTTTGCCCAATATCTCACAAATTCTGCCATCCTTCAATGACCCAAGCCCTTGTTAACCATGATTCTACTCTCTGCATCTTTCTAGATTCCATATATGAGTGAGATAATATGGTATTTATCTTTCTGTACCTGGCTTATTTTACTCAACATAATGTCCTCTAGCTTCATGCAAGTTTTCACAGATGACAGTATTTCATTATTTTTATGGATAAACAGTATTCCATTATGTATATACACCACATTTTCCTTATCCATTCATCCACTGATGGACACTTAGGTTGATTCTACATCTTGACTATCATGAATAATGCTACAATGAACATGATAGCACAGATATATCTTCAACATACTGATTTCACTTCCCCTGGATATATATCGAGTAGGAGATGGCCAGATCATATGGTATTTCTATTTTTAATTTTTTGAGGAATCTTCATATTATTTTCCATAATGGCTGCACTAATTTACATTCCCACCAACAGCTTGCAAAATTCCATTTTCTCCATATCCTCACTAATACTTTTTCTCTTTTTGATAACAGCCATCCTATCATGTGTGAAGTGATACCTCATTATGGTTTTAATTTGCATTTTCCTAATGATTTGTGATGTTGGGCGTTTTTTCATATACCTATTGTCTATTTGTATGTCTTCTTTTGAAAAGCATCTATTCAGGTCCTTTGCCCAATTTTTACCAGGTTATTTGTTTTCTTGCTAATGAGCTGTTTGAGTATCATATATTTTGGATAAAACCTTTAGCCAGATGTATAATGTACAGATATTTTCTCCCATTCTGTAGGATGTCTCTTCACTCTTGTTGATTGTTTCCTTTACTGTGCAGAAGCTTTTTAGTTTTGTATAGTCCCCTCATTTATTTTTGCTTTTGTTTTCTGTGCTTTTGGAGTCACATCCAAAAAGTCATTACTTAGACCTATGTCATGGAGATTTTCACCTATGTTTTCTTATAGCAGTTTCATAGTTTTGGGTCTTATATTTAAGTATTTAATCCATTTTAAGTTAATTTTCATATGATGTGAGAAAATTACCTAAATTTATTCTTCTGCATGGTAGATATCCAGTTTTCCCAACATCAGTTATTGAAAAGACTGTGATTTCCCCATTGTATGTTCTTGGTACCTTTGTTGAATCAGTTTGCTGTAAATGTATGGATTTATTTCAGGGCTCTCTATTCTGTTCCATTGGTACATTTGTTTTCATGTCAGTACTATGCTGTTGTAGTAACTATAGCTTTGTTGTACATTTTAAAGTTAGGTAACATGATGCAGCTTTGTTCTTTTCACTCCAGATTGTGTTGGCTATTCAAAGTCTGTTGTAGTTTCATACAAATTTTAAAATTGTTTTTTCTAGTTCTGTGAAGAATGGCACTTGCATTTTGATAGGGATTGCATTGAATTGTAGATTGCTTGGTGTAGTATGGACATTTTAACAATATCAACTTTTTCAATCTGTGAACACAGGATATCTTTTCATTTATTTCTATCCTTTCAAATTTTTTCACCAGTATTTCATAATTTTCAATGTATAGATCTTCTAACTCCTCGTTAAGTTTATTCACAAATGTTTTATTTTTTGTAGTTATATAAAGGGGATCACTTTCTTGACTTTTTCAGATTGTTCTCTGATTTTTGTATGTTGATTGTGTGTAATGTAACATTACTGAATTTGGATATTAGTTCTAGTAGTTTTTTAGTGTTTGTTATAAATAACAGCATGTCATCTACAAACAAGGACAATTTATCTCTTCTTTTCTAATTTAGATTCATTTGCTTTCTCTTGCCTATTGCTTTGACTATGACCTCCAGTATGTACTGAATAGAAGAAGTGGCAAGAGTGGCCACTCTTGTCTTCTTCTAGATCTTAGAGAAAAAGCGTCCAACTTTTCCCCAGTGAGTTTGATGTTAGCTACGGGTTTGTCATATATGGCCTTTATTATGTTGATGTACATGCTTTTTATACCTAATTGTTGAGAGTTTTTATACCTAATTGTTGAGAGTTTTTATCATGAAAGTATGTTGAATGTTGTCAAATATTTTTTATCTGCATCTATTGAAATGATCATACGTTTTTTGTTCTCCCTTCAGTTAATGTGATGTATCACATTTATTAATTTACATATGTTGAACCATCCTTGTATCCCTAAGATGAATCCCATTTGATAATGCTGAAGATCTTTTTCACGTGCCTTTGAATTCTGTTTGCCAATATTTTGTTGAAGATGTTTTACATCAGTGTTCATCAGGGATATTGGCTTGAGGTTTTTCTTTTTTTTTGTAGTGTTTTTATCTGGCTTTGGTATCAGGGTGATGCTGATCTTGTAAAATGAATTTGGAAGTATTCCCTCTTCAATTTTTTAAGGTTTTAAATAATTGATATGAGTCATTCTTTAAGTTTTTGATAGAATTCAGCAATGAAGCCATCAGGTTCTGGGCTTTTTTTTTTTTGATGGGAGACTTTATATTATTGATTCAATCTCCTTACTCATTATTGGTCTGTTTATGTGTTTATTCATTATTGGTCTGCTAAGATTTTCTATTTTTTAATAGTCTGGTCTTGGTAAGTTGTATACATCAAGGAATTTACCCATTTTTTTCTGAGTTTTTCTATTTGTTTGCACGTAATTGTTCATTGTACCCTCACAATCTTTTGTGTTTCTGATGTATCAGTTGTAATGTCTCCTTTTTCATTTATGATTTTATTTATCTGTGTCTCTTTAAGTTTTGTCAAATTTGTTAATCTTTTCCAGAAACCAACTCTTAGTTTTGTTGATCTTTTCTAGTGAGTTTCTAATATCTATTTTATTTATTTCTGTGATGATCTTTTTTTTTTCCTTCCTTCTACTAACTTTGAGCTTAGTTTGTTCTTATTTTTCTAGTTCCTTAAGGTACAAAGTTAGGTTGTTTACCTTAGACTGGTCTTTTTTGATGCAAGCATTTATTGCTATGAACTTTCCTCTTGGAACTGTTTCTGTTGTATCCCACAGGTTTGGGTATGTTGTATGTTCATTTTTGTTTGTCTCAAGAAATTTTTAAATTTATCTTTGAATGTTCTGTAAATATCTGTTAAGTCCATTTGTTCTAGGGTATAGTTTAAATCCATTGTTTCTTTGTTGACTTTCTGTCTTGATGACCTCTCTAATGCTGTCAGTGGAGTATTGAAGTCCCCCACTATTAATGTGTTGCTGTCTATCTCATTTCTTAGGTCTAGTAGTAATCATTTTATAAATTTGGAAGCTCCAGTGTTAGGTGTATATATATTTAGGATTGTGATACTTTTCTGTTATACAAGGCCTCTTATCATTGTATTATGTCCCTCTTTGTCTTTTTTAACTGCTGTTGCTTTAAAGTTTGTTTTGTCTGATGTAAGAATGACTATCTGCTCTCTTTTGGTTTCCATTTACATGGAATGTCTTTTTCCACCTCTTTATCTTAAGCTTATGTGAGTTCTTATGTTTTAGGTGAGTCTCTTGAAGGCAGCAGATACTTAGTTGGTGAATTATTATCCATTCTGCCATTCTGTATCTCTTAAGTGGAGTTTTTAAGTCATTTACATTCAATGTTGGTATTGAGATGTGAGGTGCTATTCATTGTGCTATTTGTTGCCTAAATACCTTTTTTTAAAAAAAAAATTTATGGTGTTGTTGTTTTATTGGTCCTGTGAAATTTATGCTTTAAGGATGTTCTGTTTTGATGAATTTCAAGGATTTGTTTCAAGATTTAGAGCACCTTTTAGTAGTTCTTACAGTGCTGGCTTGGTAGTGGTATATTCTCTCAGCATTTGTTTGTTGAAAAATATTGTATCTTTCCTTTATTTATTAAGCTTAGTTTCACTGGATACAAAATTATTGGCTGATAATTGTTTTGTTTAAGTAGGCTGAAGATAGGGCCCCAATCTCTTCTAGTGTGGAGGGTTTCTGCTGAGAAAACTGCTGTTAATCTGATAGGTTTTCCTTTACAGGTTACATGGCACTTTTGCCTCACAGCTTTTAAGATTCTTCCTTCATCTTAACTGTAGACAACCTGATGACAATGTGTATAGGTGATAATCTTTTTATGATGAATTTCCCAGGTGTTCTTTGAGCTTCTTGTATTTGAATGTCTAGATCTCTATCAAGACTGGGGAAGTTTTCCTCGATTATTCTCCCATATATGTTTTCCAAACCTTTAGATTTCTTCAGGAATACCAATTATTCTTAGGTTTGGTCATTTAACATAATCCCAAACTTCTTGCAGGCTTTGTTCATTTTTTTAAATTCTTTTTTTCTTTGTCTTTGTTGAATTGGATTATTTCAAAAACCTTGTCTTTGAGCTCTGAAGTTCTTTCTTCTGCTTGTTCAATTCTATTGCTGAGACTTTCAGTGCATTTTGCTTTTCTATAAATGTGTCCTTGATTTCCAGAAATTGTGATATTTTTATTTATGCTATCAATTTCACTGAAGATTTTTCCCTTATACCGTCTATCATTTTTTTTTTTTATTTCATGAAATTGGACTTCACCTTTCTCTGCTGCCTCCTTAATTAGCTTAATAATTGGCCTTCTGAATTCTTTTTCTGGCATATCAAGACTTTCTTCATGCTTTGGATCCATTACTGGTGAGCTAGTGTGATATTTTGAGGGTGCTAAACAACCTTGTTTTGTCATTACCAGAAGTGATTTTCTGGTTCTTTTACATTTGTGTAGGCTATGTCAGAGGGAAGATCTGGGGCTCAAGGGCTTCTGTTCAGACTGTTTTGTCCCATGGGGTGCTCCCTTGATGTAGTACTTACCTACTAGGGGGTGTCTGCACAGAGTTCTGTGATGTGAACCATCTTTCTGTCTCTTAGTCATGGATAGCAGCACCTGCTCCAGTGGAGGTGGCAGGGGAGTGAAATGCATTCTGTGAGGGCCCGTAGTTGTATTATTGTTGTTTATTGCACTAGTTTTGTGCTGATTGGCCTCTTGCCAGGAGGTGGCACTTTCAAGAGAGCATGAGCCGTGGTAGTATAGGGAAGATCAGGCAGTGGCTGGAGCCCTAGAACTCCCAAGAGAATCTGATCTTTGTCTTCAGCTACCAGGGTGGGTAGAGAAATACCATCAAGTTGGGGCAGGGTTAGACATGTCTGAGCTGATTCTCCTTGGGCAGGGCTTGCTGCAGCTGCTGTGGGGGATGGGTTTGTGGTTCCCGGGTCAATGGAGTTACGTTACCAGTAGGATTATGGCTGCCTCTGCTGTGTCATGTAGGTTGCCAGGGAAGTGGGGGACAGCCGACAGTTACAGGCCTCACCCGGCTCCCATGCAATCCAAAAGGCCAGTCTCACTCTCACTGTGCCTCCCCGCAATAGCACTGAGTTTGTTTTTAGGCAGTGGGCAAGCAGGGCTAAGAACTTGCCCCAGGCTACCAGCCTCCCAGCTGAGAAAGCAAGCAGGACTTTCAGGTTTCATACCTCCTTGCCTGCCTGTGTCTGCACTCTGGATTCACTCTCTCCCCCAAGTTCTGTCCAAGAAATTTTGCATGTTTGGTTGGAATTGTTACAAAGTTCAGCTTGAGGTTTCTTTTTATCTGTGGTCTTTTCCCAGTTCCACTGGCAACCCTCCCCAAGGATCCCTGTGAGACAAAGTCAGAAATGGCTTCCCTGGGGACCGAGAGAGCCCACAGGGCTCTTCTGGCACTTCCTCTACTCCTGTATTTCACTTGGCTCTCTAAATTGTCTCAGTTCTAGGTAGGGTCAAATCCTTCTCCCATAACCTGGACCTTCGAGTTCCCCAGTGAGGGTGTGTGTTCACCCTTTCCCACTTTCATACTTTGGGCACTCATAGTATTTGGGCTGTCTCCTGGGTCCTGCAGGAGCAATCTGCTTCCTTCAAAGGGTCTGTGGATTCTTTTGGCTTTCCTGGTATGTTCCTCCAGTAGTTCTTTCAGGAAAAGTTCATGATGTATCTCCACATGCTGCTCTGCCTGTCTGAGTGGGAGCTGCAATTTAGTCCTGCCTCCCATCTGCCATTTTCCCCCATAAATCCTATGTGTCACATTTTCTTTATCCAGTTCACCACTGATGGGCATCTGGGTTGATGTCACGTCTTTGCTTTTGTGAATAGCTCTGTGATATGCATATGAGTGCATATGTCTTTTTGGTAGAATGATTTATTTTCCTTTGGGCATATGTCCAGTAATGAGATTGCTGGGTCGAATGGTAGTTCAACTCTTAGTTCTTTGAGAATTCTGCAAACTGCTTTTCACACTGGGTGAAATAATTTATACCCCCACCAACAGGTAATCATCAGAGAAAGGCAAATCAAAACACTTTTCAACTTTCTATCAACATTATACTGTCTATGGCACTAGAACCAAACTCTTACTGAGTATCCAAGACTTCATTAAAATTGTCTCTGCTCTGTCTTTCTTAAGTTATTCTAATACTCTTCTAGACTTGCCTGTAACTAGTTCTCATTTGACTGCTTTTCTAGCTGTCAGAGCCATGGGTACATATGTTTTTTTACATTCAGGTTATTTCATTAGATTCAAAAATCAGATATGAGTTCTAGATGAAGCCATTACATTGTCCTTGAGACTGCTGACCCAACATCTTTGTGAGATTTTTCTGAAGGGAATCAGAGGAGACCGCAGTTGTCATATGCTATATAAATCCCCTACTAAGAACATACTTTAAACTTAGTGACTGTTCTTTCTTTTTCTTTTTTTTTTTTTAATCTTGGGATTTTTAATTACATAAATTTAGTAAACTCTTCAGATATTATTTTTCATACTTCACATTACTTTTTTTTCTTTTTTTTATGATACTTTAAGTTCTAGGGCACATGTGCACAACATGCAGGTTTGTTATATATGTATACATGTGCCATGTTGGTGTGCTGCACCCATTAACTCGTCATTTACATTAGGTATATCTCCTAAGGCTATCCCTCCCCCCGCCCATCCCATGACAGGCCCGGTGTGTCATGTTCCCCTTCCTGTGTCCAAGTGTTCTCATTGTTCAATTCCCACCTATGAGTGAGAATATGCGGTGTTTGGTTTTTTTGTCCCTGCGATAGTTTGCTGAAAATGATGGTTTCCAGCTTCATCCCTGTCCCTACAAAGAACATGAACTCATCCTTTTTTATGGCTGCATAGTATTCCATGGTGTATATGTGCCACATTTTCTTAATCCAGTCTATCATTGATGGACATTTGGATTGGTTCCAAGTCTTTGCTATTGTGAATAGTGCCGCAATAAACATACGTGTGCATGTGTCTTTATAGCAGCATGATTTATAATCCTTTGGGTACATACCCAGTAATGGGATGGCTGGGTCAAATGGTATTTCTAGTTCTAGATCCTTGAGGAATCGCCACACTGACTTCCACAATGGTTGAACTAGTTTACAGTCCCACCAACAGTGTAAAGGTGTTCCTATTTCTCCACATCCTCTCCATCACCTGTTGTTTCCTGACTTTTTAATGATTGCCTTTCTAACTGGTGTGAGATGGTATCTCATTGTGGTTTTGATTTGCATTTCTCTGATGACCAGTGATGATGAGCATTTTTTCCTGTGTCTGTGGGCTGCATAAATGTGTTCTTTTGAGATGTATCTGTTCATATCCTTCACCCAGTTTTTGATGGGCTTGGTTTTTTTTTGTAAATTTGTTTGAGTTCTTTGTAGATTCTGGATATTAGCCCTTTGTCAGATGAGTAGATTGCAAAAATTTTCTCCTATTCTGTAGGTTGCCTGTTCACTCTGATGGTAGTTTCTTTTGCTGTGCAGAAGCCCTTTAGTTTAATTAGATCCCATTTGTCAATTTTGGCTTTTGTTGCCATTGCTTTTGGTGTTTTAGACATGAAGTCCTTGCCCATGCCTATGTCCTGAATGGTATTGCCTAGGTTTTCTTCTAGGGTTTTTATGGTTTTAGGTCTAACATTTAACCTTTAATCCATCTTGATTTAATTTTTGTATAAGGTATAAGGAAGGGATCCAGTTTGAGCTTTCTACATATGGCTATCCAGTTTTCCCAGCACCATTTATTAAATAGGGAATCCTTTCCCCATTTCTTGTTTTTGTCAGGTTTGTCAAAGATCAGATGGTTGTAGATGTGTGGTTATTATTTCTGAGGGCTCTGTTCTGTTCCATTGGTCTGTATCTCTGTTTTGGTACCAGTACCATGCTGTTTTGGTTACTATAGCCTTGTAGTATAGTTTGAAGTCAGGTAGCATGATGCCTCCAGCTTTGTTCTTTTGGCTTAGGATTGTCTTGGCAATGCAGGCTCTTTTTTGGTTCATATGAACTTTAAAGTATTTTTTCCAATTCTGTGAAGAAAGTCATTGGTAGCTTGATGGAGATGGCATTAAATCTATAAATTACCTTGGGCAGTATGGCCATTTTCATGATATTGATTTTTCCTATCCATGAGCATGGAATGTTCTTCCATTTGTTTGTATCCACTTTTTTTTCGTTGAGCAGTGGTTTGTAGTTCTCCTTGAAGAGTTCCTTCACATCCCTTGTAAGTTGGATTCCTAGGTATTTTATTCTCTTTGAAGCAGTTGTGAATGGGAGTCCATTCATGATTTGGCTCTCTGTTTGTCTGTTATTGGTATATGAGAATGCTTGTGATTTTTGCACATTGATTTTGTATCCTGAGACTTTGCTGAGGTTGCTTATCAGCTTAAGGAGATTTTGGGCTGAGACAATGGGGTTTTCTAAATACACAATCATGTCATCTACAAACAGGGACAATTTGACTTCCTCTTTTCCTAATTGAATACCCTTTATTTCTTTCTCCTGCCTGATTACCCTGGCCATAACTTCCAACACTATGTTGAAAAGGAGTGGTGAGAGAGGGCATCCCTGTCTTGTGCCAGTTTTCAAAGGGAATGCTTCCAGTTTTTGCCCATTCAGTATGATATTGGCTGTGGGTTTGTCATAAATAGCTCTTATTATTTTGAGATACGTCCCATCAATACCTAATTTATTGAGAGTTTTTAGCATGAAGGGCTGTTGAATTTTTTCAAAGGCATTTTCTGTGTCTATTGAGATAATCATGTGGTTTTTGTTGTTGATTCTGTTTATATGCGGGATTATGTTTATTGATTTGCGTTCAATTTTTTAAACTCAGGCAACTAATTATCCTGTTTCTAATGTTAGTTTATTGAAGAATTGGCTGATTTTTATAAATAGTATCCATAAAATGTGTAACGGGTGGATTTCGTGTTGTTTAAGGCACAAATGAACTTAATGGACAAACCTTATGAAGATTGTGATGATACGAAAAGCATAACTGGAAATTAGGAGATGTGTTTTTAATTCTCACTAATACTCAGATGGGTTTATGCCTTATTGTTTAATATGTAGTGCCTCAATTTCCATATTCATAGAATTAGGAATTTGCTACAGTTATTCACCAAAATTTCTTCCTTATATATTCTCTAATTATTTATTTCAGATATTGAAAATTAGGTTAGAATGTATTTTTCTGCTTATCTATTTATTTTTATAGTTAAAAGGTACTCTAATAAGTTTGTGGTTTCATTTATTTGTATAAATAGAAGCGATGCTATACTCACAGTGTTTAAGAATTCACAGTGTTTAAGAATTCAGAGATCTTCTTTATATGATTAATAACATTTTATTTTCAATTGGGTTATTTATTTTAAAGAAGGATGAGTGCTTTTAGCTTATGAATACTAAGACTAACATGAGAGCATATAATAACCACTTATTTTGCTTACCATTGTTTTAATAAACATGTAAAAATTATTCAAAATGACTATGATTTTTTTTTTTGCTCTCACAGCAGCATGTATTAAAAGATGCTTTTAAAAATAGGGCTCTGCTACAGGGAAGCTAAATTTATTCTATTAGGTAGACTAAAACAGGCCTAAGCGGAAACGACAAACGTTATTTGGGAAATGCTAATTGTTTGAAAAGCACTTTTTGATGAAGATGAAAGAAGAGTTAAGTTCTATGTTTGTAAAGTTAGGAGTTTTTATGGTTTATAGAAGAGCAGACCACAAATGAGCTATAAATGTAAGGTAGTCTTATTTTGCTTCTCATGAAAAGAAAATTAAATGATTTCGGAATTTCTGCTGTGCCATCTAAAATTTGGTTACATTCAGCTTGTAACATTGAGACAATCGGTCAACAAACATTTATAGGCATACCTCAGAGATATTACAGGTTAGTGTCAGACATGCACATTAAGGTGAGTCCCTGTCTCCACTAAAAATACCAAAATTAGTCGGGCATGGTGGCGTGTGCCTGTAATTCTAGGTACTCAGGAGGCTGAGGCAGGAGAATGGCTTGAACCCAGGAGATGGAGTTGCAATGAGCCCAGATTGCACCACTGCACTCCAGCCTGGGTTATGGTGTGAGACTCTGTCTCAAAAAATAAAAAAAAAGTTATCTTTACAGTATACTCTAGTCTATTAAGTGTGCCATGGCAATATATCTAAAAAAACACGTATCTTAATTTTGAAATAATAATTGTTAAAAAGTGCTAATTATCTGAGTCTTCACTGAGTCATAATCTTTTTGTTGGTAGAGGGTCTTGCCTCTGTGTTGATGGCTGCTAATAATTAGGGTGACAGTTGCTGAAGGTTGGGGAGGCTGTGGCAATTTTAAAAAATAAGACAACATTGAGTTTGCCATATAAATGGACTCTTTCGTGAAAGATTTATCTGCAGCATATGATACTGTTTGGTAACATTTTACCTACTGTAGAACTTACTTTGAAATTGGAATGAATCTCAAACTGTATTGCTGCTTTATCAACTGTGTTTATGTAATATTTGAAATCCTTTGTTGTCATTTCAACAATGTTCACCAAATCGTCAGCAGGAGTAGATTCTGTCTCAAGAAACCACTTTTTTTGCTCATTCATAGGAAGCAGTTACTCATCTGTTCAAGTTTTATCATGAGATTGTAGCAATTCAGTCACATCTTCAGGCTCCAATTCTAATCTAGTTCTCTTGGTATTTCTATCACTTCTACAGTTACTTCCTCCACTGAAGATTAAACACCTCAAAGTCATCCATGAGAGTGGAATCAACTTCTTCCAAACTCTTGTTAATATTTATATTTTGACCTCTTTTAATGAATCTTGAATGTTCTCAATGGCATCTAGAATGGTGAAGCCTTTCCAGGAAGTTTTCAATGTATTTTCTCCAGACCTGTCAGAGGAATCAGTATGGCAGCTACAGCATTAAGAAATGTATTACTTTTCTTTTCTTTCTTATTTTTTTATTTTTATTATTTTATGTGTGTGTGTGTGAGACAGAGTTTCACTCCTGTCACCCGGGCTGGGAGTGCAATGGTACAATCTTGGCTTGCTGCAACCTCCTTTCCCGGGTTCAAGCAATTTTCCTGCCTCAGCCTTCCAAGTAGCTGGGACTACAGGCGCGCATGACCACACTCAGCTAATTTTTGTATTTTTAGTAGAGATGGGGTTTCACCATGTTGGCCAGGCTGGTCTCAAACTCCTGACCTCAGGTCATCCACCCGCCTTAGCCTCCCAAAGTGCTGGGACTACAGGCATGAGCCACCACTCCTGGCAAGAAGTGCATTTCTTAAGTAATAAGACATGAAATTCAATATTACTCCTTGATATTTGGCCTACAGATTGGATGTTGTATATTCAGGCATGAAAACAACATTGATCTCTCTATATATCTCCACTGGAGCTTTGGGGTGACTAAGTACCTTGTCAAAGACCAGTAATATTTTAAAGGGAATCTTTTTTTATGAGAAGTTCATCCCAATGATATGTTTAAAATATTCAGTAAACCATGTTGTAAACCAACATACATGAAACTACAAAGCCTGAGTGAGAACCTGGGTAACAGGCTTTGTACTTCCATTTATGCAACACAGGCCAACTAGATTTAGCATAATTCTAAAGGGCCCTAGGTTTTTCAGAATGTTCAATGAGCATTGGATTCGATTTAAAGTCACCTGCTTCATTAGGCCCTAATAAGAGAGTCAGATTCTCCTTTGAAGCTTGAAGCCAGGCATTGACTTCTTTCTAGCAATGGAAGTCTTAGATGGCCCCTTCTTCCAATAGAAGGCTGTTTCTTCTCCATTTAAAATCTATTGATTGTTGTAGACACCTTCATTCATTATCTTATCTAGATTGCCTGGATAACTTGCTTTAGCTCCCATATGAGTACTTGCTACATCACCTTGCCCTTTTATGTTATAGAGGTTGCTTTGTTCCTTAAATCTCATGAACAAACCTCTGCTGTCTTCGAGCTTTTCTTATGCAGCTTCTTCACCTCTGCCAGCTTTCATAGACTTAAAAGAATTAGGACCTTGCTTTGGATTAGGCTTTGGTTTAAGGGAATGTTGTGGATGGTTTGTTCTTCTATCCAGACCACTAAAACTTTCTCCATATCAGCAATAAGGCTGTTTTACTTTCTTATTATTTATGTGTTCCCTGGAGTAGAACTTTTTATTTTCTTCAATAACTTTTCTTTGCATTTACAACTTGGTTAACTATTTGGTGGAAGAGGCCTAATTTTTATCTGTCTCAGCTTTTGATATACCTTCCTCACTAAATATTATCATTTCTAGCTTGTGATTTAAAGTTAGATATGTCTTTCACTTGAACAATTAGAAGCCATTGTAGTGTTGGTAGTTGGCCTAATTTCAATATTACTGTTTCTTAGGGAATATCAAGGCCCAAAGAGAGGTATAGAGATGGGGGAACAGGGGGTTCATTGAGCAGTCAGAACACACAACATTTATCAGTTATCTGTGTTGACTTATATAGGTGTAGTTCTGTTGCACTCCAAAACAATTACAATAGTAACAAAACAGATCACGGACCACAGATCACCAAAACAGATATAATAATAATGAAAAAGCTTGAAATATAAGAATTACCAAAATGTGACACAGAGACATGAAGTGGGTACATGCTGTTTGAAAAATGGTGCTGAGAGACTTGCTCGGCATTCAACTTGCAAAAAAACATGCTATCAGTGAAGTACAATAAAAAAAAGCACCGTAATGTGAGGTGTACCTGTATTGCCCTTTTATTTGTATAGAGTAAACAGTTTTATGTTTGAAGGTAGATGTATTAGACCTCAGGTATAGTGATCACGTCTCAATTCTGTCTTCATCACAGGCATGAACTTATTCATTTCCTGAGACTCCTGAGAGTTCTTCTCACTCTTTATCAGGTCTTCACAAATTTGTACGTTAAGCTTTCCTCCTGAGATGAAGTTTTGCATCTGCTACCAGCTGGATAAGCAATTACTGGGCATTCCATGAAAAATAGAACTTTTTCATATCCTTTAAGAGATTGTTAAGAAGTAATTGGCCTTGGAAAGCTAATACCATTCTGCTACCCTTTTGGGCATATCTTCCCAAAGGGCAGAATTTTATTCATTTTCTGAGAATTTCTAATGACTCTGAACATTAGGAGATGGTCTCTTTCACAATGTTTTTATTTTTTATTTTTTATTTTTTTCTAAAAATTGAAAACCTAAGGCTGAAATAACTTTCAAGATGATAGCTGTGGTTCTTGTCCAGGTAAGCATTTTCTCAAAGCCTTCCTCAGAACACTGGTTCTGCAGGCTTTTAAGTAGCTACTATATATGCATAAAAAGGCTTCCTGGTCAAATAAGTTTAGGGAATGTTAGGATAATTGTTTTTTTTTCTATTTTTTTAAGACCTCTTGGAGACTTTAATGTGCTAATATACTTCATGACTGACAGAGAAGTGGGTATTAGGTATACTTTTTAATAAGTTGTTTTAACTACGAATTCCTTTTTATTTGAAGAATATTTATGGAACCAATATTCCTTAAACCTACTTTGAGAAATGTTGGCTTCCATTGAATTTTCCATCTAAGTTGAATTACATATTTATTAACTCGTTTGATCTTTACTATAATTCTGTGAATTAGGTACTCTTTGAATGACCATTTTATAGAAGAGGAAACTATGATTAACAATAAGTTGCTTATTTAAGTTCATTCAGCTAGTGGAGACATAGCTAAAATTCAAAAGCATATATATCTGATGCCAATGTTCGTGCTTTCAGGAATACCGATAAATGGAAATCAGGCAGAAGTTGATGACTGATTGGATATGGGAGACCAGGAGATGGTGGAGCTCATGATCAATCTTAAGTAGACGAGAATGCAGAAGAAAGAGATTTTAGGAAAAAGAAGAAAGCCTTAAGAAGAAGATCACATTTAAGCTAGATGGATCTAGACTATTCTGGACAAGGGACATGAAGATAGGAAATACCAGGGGTAGAGAATGGATTGCACAAAGGCAAAAAGAGGGAGTCTTGGAATTTTCATGAAAAACAGAGGGACTAAGAAGAGAAATCATAGAAGTCCTATTTAAAAAGAAAATTTTGGAGTTTGGATTTCAACTTGGAACATGGCTTTTATCCGATAACTATTATCAGTCACTACTCTAAGGAAATAACCTGATGCCAGCTGGACATTAGGAAGATTAACTGTATCAATGTCTATAAAAAGATGGCCCTCAGAGAAAACCATCATTTAACAGTGCTCTTTGGCCATTTGAATTATTAGTGAATAGGCATGTATTTAATTTATAACTTACTGAAAAAAATTTAAAAATACTAATTTGTTCTAACCACAACTTTTTTTTTTCATATGGGATAAGCACGTTTTCTTTTTACCAAATATCCTGATTTATTCTGTAATATTTCCTTAATATTTATCTGATCTCATTTTAAGGAATTTAGGGACCTTTTAAGGGAGATATATCATTTCAAAATTTACTTAGTAACCTTTTCTATAACATTGATTAACAGAGTATTAAATAAATATCTTATTTAAGTTAATTAGTTTTTACTAATTCCTTAAATGCCACAATTTTGCATAGGTGAATGAGTTAGTGGACAAATTTAGAAGACACTGGGGCTGAGCTTTATTTCAGTTGACAAATTATGGACACTCCTGGTGCGATCTAGAAGAAAGGCAAGTAAAAATTCCTTTTCCTAGAATACCAACTACTTTTTCCCTTCTCATAAAAACTTTATAAAACTAGTTGGACAATGATGACATGTTCTGCCTGCATCAGAGCAAAGCCTACTTGTCAGGTCTATTGCCTGCCATGGACTTATTAAATGTCACTATTCCAGTGTTGAGGCTGATTCCAGTCAGCATGTTACTGCACTGAAATCTTTCCTCATATGTGAATCGAAAGTTCCTATTATATAGAGATTCTTAGTTTATAGAAAGTTTTTAAAGATCAAAAGAATTTTTTTATGTGAAAATACTTTGAAAACTTCAAAATACTATAGAATTGTTGGTTATTATTTATGGGAGCCATAGTCATTTTGTATAAAGAATACCAGTCACAAAAAGTCACATGAAAAGAACAGAAAACAAAATTCAACTTTGTCCTTTTTTCCTGTTAGAGAATTTTTGACATATTTTGAAGTGTAAATTTAGTCCTAATTGGATTTGCATACATTTAAACAGAACCAAACTTCTAATATTTTGTTTTCTCTAACTTTTGTGTCTTTCTTTTTCTTTTATTTTGTATTTTTAGTGGGAGGAGTAGAATCCTTTACCTCTACTTAGAAAAATACCATTTCATACCTACTTTACGTAAGATAATGGCCATGAAAAAGTCTGGTACTATTACTGGCACACAGAGTAGATTCTCAGTAAATGTGGGTTAAATGTGAAAAATTTCCTTGTAGGGTTATGACAACAAGGTTGTCACCCTTGCTTCAAATGGATGAGGCCAGGATGGGAAGAGAAAAATAGGTCTTTTTTAAGTTCTTTTTTTTTCCTCTTTAAGTTTAATAATTGTCCGATAGCTAATATCTAATGTAAAATACTACTAAAATTAGAGAACTGAATTAAAGACCAAATTAAAAATGGTGATTTTTATTAATGTGCCTTTATACAGCCTTCAAGTAGACTTTAGCACATATCTTTAAAGCACATAAAAGATAGCTGCTTTTTGTAACTGGAGCCCCTCATCCTTCTAGAGTACACCTCTGCAGCATGACAGCCATCTGCTGCTGCTCCCTTAGTGGCTGCCCCTAAACTGCCCAGACTCTCTAAATGTTGAGTGGAAGAAGAGAAAGGAACAGCTGTTCGGGAGCTTTGTGGCTGCCTCTGCCCTCCTCACCACCTGGCAAATGCACAGCTCAGCTCATGGAGCTAGCAGACACACTAAGTCAAACTGTATTCTTCTCCACACCACTTGCTCCTTCCTCACATAAACTACTAATCTCCTTTCTGCCATCTTTTATCCTTCTCTTTTCTGTTATTTCCATTCGATCTTTAGGATGCTAAGTGGAAATGGGATAGGGAGACTGAACAGCTGTATCCAGAGAGGACAAATTGTATCCTGTTTTCCATCTTACTATTTTTATTACTTTAACCAAAAATTCTTTAAAAAACCTACATGTCAGAAATATATGTAAATACATAATTTCATAGAGTTTCCAATCAACCCATTATGATGGGTATTGCTTTTTATATGTAACAGGAAAAATATGGATATAAGACTAGTAAGAGTTTCTCACTTTAGTCTTCTCTTTAAAAAGAAACATCTTTGCTGCCCATAATCAGACTGATGAATGAGAGGGAGAGTCAGGAATCATTGAAATCAGTTTGATTGATTTACACTAAAAACATAAGAGAAGGAAATGAATAGATTAGGAGATGAAAAGGAGGGAATAGAGAAAGAAGCATGGGTTGGGTTTGGTGGGAGATTTTAAGAGTTATGAAAGAAGAAAGAGAGTCTTTGGGGCAGCTGCAAAATGAGAAAGATACACATTAAAAGAGGCGAGGAGAGAGAGAGAAAAAAAATGCTTTGAATTGAGAGGCCTTCCACGGAGAAAGCATGCTCAAGAGGGTACAAAAAGGCTTTTAAGAAATTGCATTGGGTTACATAGAGATTTATCTTTTGGCATTGCTGAGAAATTTCAATTAATACTTAAGTTGCTTTCGAATTAGTTTTTGATGTTTAGACATTATGTTATAGTTCCATGAGGCAGCTGAGTTTTCTGTGGTTACAGTACTGGAATGTAAAATGTCACATCTACTTTTTTTTTTTGGAGTAAATCATCATCTAGGACATATATTAGAGTAGAACTTCATAGTGTTTTACACTTTGGAAATTTCACAGAAATTTGTATTTCGTTGTCCTTGAAATATTATACTAAAGTTAGAGGGAAATTTTGTTACTACTCTGAGATTAAGAGTAGCCCTTTGGGGTGATAATCTACTATTTGGTATTGGATTACTAAATGGATTATTTTTAAAGTTAGTGTTAAATGATTACACTAAATCAAGACTTCTAGGAAGTTCCTTTAGGTAACTGCAGATTGGAAATTGGCTTTTCAACTTTATCTCCCAAGATGTCAGCTATGTTAAGAAACGAGATACCATTCAGGATGGAGGAAGGAGATGTGGCACCCATGCCTAGATTGGGTGATAACCTAAACCTCTGCTCTCCTGACTGTGGTTTTATCCTATGGTTAGACTTAGAAACCACCAGTACTCCTAAGAATTTAAGGAATTGATGGCCAAGTTTGGAAAAATAGGACTGTGAGTTATGGATAAAATTTCCCACTGAAACAGGACAGCTACGATAAGCTTTGGAGCCATTGGGTTGGTAGTGAAATGAATGATTACATGGTTTGGCTTTAGGATGTTTTCCTGGAGTCAAAAGCTTGCACAACCTGTGCTTTTGAAGAAGACAAGAAGACCACCTCACTGACCTAGAAAGGATACAACAGAGTCAATGGGGGCTGTAAGTGTAAGTCTGGTTTATAATTAGACTTTGATAGTGAAGAGAGAAATACCCACCTTTGCAGTCAGACTGGAGCTCATTGACATTTTGAGGAATAAAACTCAGGAGCTCAGGATCCTCACTGACATTTTAAGGAATAGAAAATGAAAATACCAAAAAGGTGGGAAGAGAGAAAAAGAGATGAGAGTCAGTCAGTGTGGGCTGATAGAGGATTTCTGTAGAGGTTTAACAGAAGAAAGAGATTTAAGGATAGTTGCAAGTATTAGAGATATTAAAAGCTGGGGGCCGGGTGTGGTGGTTTATGCCTCTAATCCAAGCACTTTGGGAGGCCGAGATGGATGAATCGCTTCACCTCAGGAGTTTGAGATCAGACTGGGCAACATGGTGAAACCCTGTCTCTACAAAAAATACAAAAATTATCTGGGCATGGTGGCTTGTGCATGTAGTTCCAGTTACTTGGGGGACTGAGGTGGGAGGATCACTTGAGGCCAGGAGGTGGAGGTTGCAGTGGGTGGAGATCACATCGCTGCACTCCAACCTGGGTGACAGAGTGAGACCCTGCCTCAAAAAACAAAACAAAAAACCAAAACAGAACAATACAAAAAGTTGGGGAAAATGACTTTTTGTTTGCTCTGTGCTGTGAATTGAGTCTTCTTTTGCCATTTGTGAGTGACATCAAGAAATATTTTAATCACTTCTCAAAATGTTGGTGAGAATTTAGTTTTTAAATATTACATAATGCTGGGCCCTGTCTACATGGGGCATTGACTTTGCAGATGTTAAACATATTTACAGATGAGGAAACCAAAGCTCAGAGACTAGAAAGGGCTTACTCATGACTCTCCAGCTATAGCATTTG
The DNA here is from genome assembly GCF_000001405.40 of Homo sapiens. Lineage (NCBI taxonomy): Eukaryota > Metazoa > Chordata > Mammalia > Primates > Hominidae > Homo > Homo sapiens. The sequence goes on along the minus strand of NC_000007.14, from coordinate 126,576,006 downwards.
ACCAATACTAAAGCTGTTTGCATTACACAGTGGTTGCCTCCATCAGCCTCCATCATGTTTCTTGTTAGTAACCATTCTGGGAGAAGAGTGGATGAGAGCTAATAATTGGGTGATGAGAGAAATATATTTGGGTTCAAGACCAAAAATTGCACTTGGAAGTTAAGTTCTCAAAATAAGAGAGACACAAATATAAGAAAGAAAGCAAAACTCATTATACTGCCTTAGGAAATACAATTTTTTTTTAGGGGTTGGCATCTCACAAATGCGAGAGTATCACAGGCTTACAATTTCAAAAAACAGTGTGTATGTAAACAAGGATAATGTTTCTGAGTTCCACATTGACATCTGATTATTCAATTATGTTGGTTTGGTTAAATTTTTTTTCTTACCTTAAGTTCAAAGATACAACTCATGAGTCAAGTAGCAGATTTTATTTTATTCCCTATAGCAGCGGTCCCCAACATTTTTGGGACCAGGGACTGGTTTCATAGAAGACAGTTTTTCCATGGACTTGGGGTGAGAGGGATGGTTTCAGGATGATTTAAGTGCATTACATTTATTATGTGCTTTATTTCTATTATTATTATAATACATTGTAATATATAATGAAATAATTATACAACTCACCATAATGTAGAATCAGTGGGAGCCCTGAGCTTATTTTCCTGCAACTACAGAGTTCCATCTGGGGGTGATGGGAGACAGTGACATATCATCAGGCATTAGATTCTCATAACAAGTATGCATCCTAGATCCCTTGCATGCTCAGTTCACAATAGGGCTCACACTCCTATGAGAATCTGATGCCTGTGCCGATCTGACAGGAGGCAGAACTCAGGCAGTAATGCTTGTGCTGCTCACCTCCTGCTACGCAGCCCAGTTCCTAACAGGCCACAAACCGGTACCAGTCTATGGCCTGGGGGCTGGGAACCCCTGCCCTAGAGGATCTGTTGTCTACCCTTATAGTATATGGTTGCTCAAAGTTAACTGAGGGAAAAGGAATCACCAGAGAATTCGAGCCAGTTCTGAGACAGAGCTTGGAATTCAATAGGGCTGACAGAAGACTGTGAGTCATGTTATACTACCCTTGCCTAATAGAGTCAGTATTCATCAGGGAACCTCTTCACAGGAAGTGCTGAGTCCACACCTTAACAGTCAGGTCGATCAATGGTATCAGATAGTAGATGTAGTCTTGGGGCCAGTCTGCAAAACAGTCTAAAAAAAATTAAAAGGAGCCTGTTTCTAAAAAAAATAGTACAGTGTATTCTGTGAGTGTCTAATTAAAAAGAAAATGAAAAAGAAGTGGAATGTTAGTTGCCTTGGGGGATTTCAGATCACAAAGCACTCAAAGACTTAACTCTGTAGAAAAAAAGCAAAGTGAAGAGAGAGTTGGAAAACACATCTGAAGATTCAGGTAGTAAGATTTCAAACCTCAGTCCTGAAGATGTAGCTTCATCACTGACCGTATAATAGGTGGGAAAATCCCTAACTCCTTAGAGATGACACATCCAGCATTGGAATGTGTTATGATGAATACATGGTTTTCCAAATTCATCACATTCTTTTTTAATATCCCTTTAGTCTCTGTTTACAGACTTACTGGACTGCTTGCCAAGCCTGCAGTCAGTCATGCTGGAACTCTCTAAGGTTATCTAAGAGCTGTATTATATTCCAGCCAAAATCAGTGGAGTTGCTTATCTCCCACATTGATGAGGAGTTCAATGTTCTGCCAGTAACTATAGTAATGGTTTTGATGTAATGGTATATTTATTAAACCAATAGCTATGGTTCAGTGTTGGAACATTGAACAAGCCTCATTGGCTGAAGCCAGAAATGTGCATTTCTTCTCCAGGGTAGGTGGGTGATGGTAACAGTGTCATTTAAAATGGTGTTTTAAGTTTTACTTCTTAATTTCTTTTGAAGTTTTTATTTTAGAAGATTGCTTTAAGTCAAAAGCAAGAATATCTGATTTCACTTCTCCAGACCTTTGGACCTCCTTAGAGAGGCAACCTTTTTGAATTGTTTGCAGTATTTTTGTTAATAACTACAAGTATTATACCTCAACTTCTTCATCTATTAGGTTATTTTCTGAGAATGTGATAAGAAAGGTTGGAATTTGAGGATGGGCATGGTGGCTCATGCCTGTAATCCCAGCACTTTGGGAAGCCAAGGTGGATGGATCACCTGACTCTCAGGAGTTTGAGACCAGCCTGAGCAACATGGTGAAACCCTGTCTCTACTAAAAATTCAAAAATTAGCCAGGCATGGTGGCACACTCCCTGTAGTCCAAGCTACTTGAGAGGCTGAGGAAGGAGAATCACTTGAACCCGGGAGGCGGACGTTGCAATGAGCCGAGATAATGCCACTGAATTCTAGTCTCAGTGATAGAGTGAGACTCTGTCTCAAAAAAAAAAAATTAAAAAATAAATAAAATGAAATAAAGGTAAGAATTTGTTTACTTTTGCTGTCTTTTATACCCTCTTCCCTCCCCAAAGCTTGCTTTGTATATTTTTGAGATTCTGATTTTTCTTCTAGTAAATTTTGTGGCCCCAGAAAAGTATACTTAATCCTCTATTTTTGGTTACAGCTTTTTGACATATATCTTGACTCCCTGTTTCATTAAAAAATGCTAAAATATATATACTTTGCTCTACTATTTCTTCTCACATATACAACTTATTTTTTGTTTGTTTGTTTTGAGCCACACTTTTACATCATCCCATTGTGAACACTGGCATTCTATCCTGTGAGAATAATAAAATTTTCTTTTTCTTTGTTCCTGGGTTGACTCTAATAGGAGAAAACAAACATTTACATTATGATGACTGTGTAAACATTATTTAAGTTCTGGACTAAGATTCCATTTCCCACTTCAAAATATCTGACACCATAAACCTGGGGCCATTTAAAAGAGGATGTTGCTGGCATCAAGGTCACCTGAATTGTCTTCTCTTATATTCAGTCTATCGCTTAACGTTCTAATGCATTTTTACTTGCTTTATATTTAGATTTAAAAAATTTTAATGTTGTTTCCAATCATCATTCTTTTAGTTTTTCTTGCACCGTTTGTGGTTATGCATTCTCTCTGTGTCTTTCTCTGTCTTCATTATCTTTGTGGGTCTTCATTCAACCCCCTTAGGATGTCACTTCTGTACCTCTGTGTCTCCTTGTTTTCAGCTTTGCTGGTTGCTTTTTAGTTTACCATGAAACTACCCTCTTTCTCTCCTTTCTCTACCATTCTGGGATGGAATATCATTTCATGGATTCCAGGTTTTCCTCCTTCTTAGTTTACTTCTGCATGTTTGGAGTGCATCCTAAAAGAAATTCCCAGGATAGGTGCAAAGGAAGGAAGTTACCTCAGAAAATGTCTTATAGATAGCTTTATTCTGGCTTACATTTCAATTGATAGTTTTGTTGGATTTGGAAACAATAATAGAAAATTTTCCATCAGAACTTTAAAGGTATTACTTTGTTATTTTTAGTACCTAGTATTGTCAATAATAAGTCAAATACCTTTGTAGGAAACTAGGGGTAACTTGGCATCCTCCAGCATTCCCTGTGCAGAGCAGCCATCGGATGTTGTCATGTAGACATTCATGTCTATCTATCAGCATTGGAATATTTCTTTGTATTATTTTATAGATATTATACCATACAAATCTTCTCTGGTCTTTATTTTTTGGAATTCTCTTAACCAAATAATACTCTGTGGGATGATCCTTTATCTTGCTAACACTGTCTCTCATATTTATCTTTTTGCTTTATGCATTCTACATGTTCTCAATTTTATCCTTTATGTTTGTATGTATGGTTGTATTTTCCTCTCTAGTCTCTATATTACTTATAACTTTTAAAAGTTCATTTTCCTTCTTTGGAATAATTCAGTGTCTTCCAAGACCAGAGAGTTTCGTTTTATCTTCTGTCCTCTCCTGCTATGTGGTGGTACATGGTTTAAGACATTCCTGGGGCCAGGTGTGGTGGCTTATGCCTGTAATCCCAGCACTTTGGGAGGTCGAGGCAGGAGGATCACGAGGTCAGGAGTTCGAGACCAGCCTGGCCCAACATGGTGAAACCCCATCTGTACTAAAGATAGAAAAAATTAACCAGGCATGGTGGCATGCATCTGTAATCCCAGCTACTCGGGAGGCTGAGGCAGGAGTATCACTTTTACCCAGGAGGCAGAGGTTGCAGTGAGCCGAGATCATGCCATTGCATTCCAGCCTGGGTGACAGGGTGAGACTCCATCTCAAAAAAAAAAAAAAAATCCTGTATATTTGGAATTGGTCTCCTCTGCTGCTATGAAAAACGATTGACTTGTTTTTGCCCTAGATTTCTGATCTGAAGGGGAAGGCAGCCCAGGGATTCAGACTCTATGCAGATCAAAGGAGAGTGGGAAATACTTGTTGGCAGGCAAAGAGGATATTTGTTCCTATGGGAAGGGCCAGCACACACACTAGAAATCTTACTATTCCCAGAATTTTGTTCATTTTCTTAAAGAAGAGCCCTCTGGTTTCTTGCCCAGGGGTAAATGCCAGTTGAGTGGGATGGGTCTCCCATCCTTGTCCTGTATATAGATCATCAATGGCTCTGTAGTTAGACTCTTTATTTTCAGTACAGTATTTAATCTCATTTAAATCTCATAAAATCTAAATTACTTCCTATCTCTGTGTGCTGTGTCTCCATGGGGTTCCCTTTGGGAAAATAGATTGTAATTGAAGCTGTCTTGCAGTATATTTCAGTTTGTGAATTTTCTACTTATTTTTATCTATCAACCTATGGACTTCTACTTTATATTTCTGATATTTATTAAAAATTTCTTGTATTAGTAATGATTTCCTTTACATTTTGTATAATTACATGATCTCTAATGACTTTATTCTCTCTTGCATACTTAGACTGAGAAGGGCTCTGGAGCGATGAACAGCAAGTCATGAGCCAGGTCCTAGGCCAGCTGTGTCAGTGTGGTTTGAAAGTGACCTCATGCAATGTTGCCTCATTTATGAAGAGGGTAGTTGCCTGTTGGTTATGCAGACAATTAGATTTAGAAAAAAAGTGACAAACATCACAGAAATGGTATTTGAATATCATCACAACTCATTCTGCTGACATTCTGAATATATGTTCTGAAAAGCCAAGGTTTGGGGATCTCAACTTTTTGGGGTATTTATGAAAGAAGATGTGAATCAACTAGACACCTATTTTCAGAAAGAGTCTTGGATTGTGTTGTTGCTCTTTCCCAAGTCTGGTTTTCCTGAGCTGGAGTAGCCAGGGGAAGTGTCATGGTAATTCCTATGGGTAGGGGTAATGGGGGGAATGCCAGAGAATGCTCCTGAAATTTTTAGTAGTTTTATAATTTAGTGTCAGTGGCATACAGGTAAAGGAAGATGTTTTTCAATAAGTCTTCAACCTTCCAATAAATGGGTGATGGGACTAGTGCAAAATTATTCATTGTTACCACTTATAAAAACTTCTTTAGAGACTTCTTGTCAGTGGGTGGATTGCTGTCTAGGAGTACAGGAGATATTTTGAATTTCTAATGTCTAGTTTATTTTATATTCATACAATGAAGTAGGCTATTGCAGCTGGAGTGGCTTAATGCTTTGAGCCCTAAAGTTATAATTTAAGAAGTATCCTACCTGACAGATGTCTAGGACCCATATCCCACTTCATGCTCACTTATGCAAGGATTTTTCATCCAACACTGTTCTACACTGTCTCCCAGTGGGGAAGTACAGGTGAACTGAAATTACAAATGAAATTACAGAAGGCCAGAACATATGAATATGTAATATAGAGAGTGGGCATAGGGCAAAGTATTGATTGAAAATAAACAAGATGAGAAGGAAGTAGCTAGGGAAAAGAAAAAGGCAATAGACAACAAAAGAAAATATCAAGTTAGTTTAAGAATCAAGGAAATTAGAAAACTTGATGTAATCTGGAGCCAGGGAAGAGTTACAGTGAAAATCAGAATGTTCTGGTCATGAAATCCATGTGGATAAATAATAGACTCAATTCAGGTGACTATGGAGAAAGAAAATTACATCTTATGGGGATAAGTTGTTCTTCAAGCCCTCGTTGATAACTCCAAGCATTTTTAAGGACTGGAATTTAAAAAGGATGATGTCTAAGAATGATATTGTTTAGATGTGAAAAACTGGCAGACCTAGGATTGACTTAGGTGCCTGTAATTTGCCTTTCTGTATTCAGCTTAGAGTTCTAACACCTTGCAGCTGATAATAGAGTAGATTTTCTTTCTAAATGGATGAGACTGCATTTTTGGATAATTTATATTGCTGGCAGGATGTGGGAAAAGACACGCTTTACCACACATTACTGAGAGAAACCACTTGGCCCCTTCTATTGTCACAGCAAAACTGATGAACAGTTCCTACAGAACGCTTCCTCCCTGAGTTCTCCATGTGGTTTCATTCCAATTTTAGTGACTCTGTGCTAACACTGCTAGAGAATTACTGGTGTGTCAGTATTTGACTGGCAGCTCTGATGTGGACACAAAGTGTCGTTTTCTTCCTGTAGTAGAATATAATTAAAAATAAAATTCACTTTCAGCATTTTTGTTTCTTTTTGAAGAAGTTCAGTATGTCTTGGGGGAACAAACATGTGGATACATGGAGCCTGTCATGGTCATTAAATACCCAGGTTGGAAAGTACCTCTGTGCAAACAATAGTTATGTGGCACTTTTGCCAGCTTCATTTTAAGGAACAAATTAGAGAAACATTGGCTTGTGACTACATTATGTAAAATACAAAACAAAACTAGAGTAAGAAACTACCCAGTCTTTAGATGGCCCACTGATTTGAGAGGAGAAACAAAATTTTTCTTGTTAGATAGTTGTGGATCTTTTGTGTGTTCATTGGAGCAGCTAAACTTTGGGGCATAAATGGAAAGAAAACAATTTGAAGAAGTATAATAGAGTGGAATTTTGAAAAGTCTTCAGAGTATGGGGCTGAATCACTGCTGTTTAGCAGGTGATTGACAAAGGCATTGTTCTTCTCTGGTTTATTTATTCAGGATTATGTATCCTGATTGTTTTTTCTTTTTGATTTTCCTTGCAGTAGTATCAACCTTGATAGTGATTTTATAGTTGCTCAGTACGTTTCATCTTGGCTAGATCCCAAATCCCTTTGAAATGATTTCCAACTTATTAAAGAGCTACAAACAATTGTCACAATGCTGAAGTCACCAAATAGGCTCTAGCAGCACCCTTTGTTTTGATTTAATTTTAAGATTATCAAAATCTTATGGAAGAATCATTCCCTTTATTTTGTAGCTTGATCAATATTTTTAAACTTTAATGTGGTCATTTATAATGAAAATGAAGGACAACATAAATTTTTGTAGTACTTTTTATCAGTTTAATGATCTGCATATAAATTTAGGAATAATCATTTACTTCAAAGTCAGTCATTTAAAAAATCTTCTCAACTCCCAATTATATGAAGTTTAAATAATAGTCTGCAGAGGTGAGAGACAGAGGGAGAGAGAGGGAGGAGCTCTGCAGTTTTCTTGGAGAAATGTAACCTAGAAACCCAGATGTTTTGTATGCTAATCAGGTAACCCTAAATAACTTAGTTTTAAAGACTTACATCAGTTCCGAATTACCTGTGTTAATAGAGTTTTAAAATATGAAAGTAATGGCTTATGTGGAAATATTTTAGTTTTGGAATATATATTTTTCTTTCTGTTAACGTAACTATGGATATGTTTGATATCTTGAATGTTCACTTTAAACAGAATATTGAATTCATGTTGGGAAGGTCTAAGTAAAGAGGAGGCACATACACACTCCTGAAGCTTCCTTCCTTCTTTGCCTCATTATCTCTGTTCTGTTTTTCTTTCCAACTTTGAGCCCCTCACTAAAACTAATATAAAACAGTAGGCAAATGTCTTTTCTTTTTATAATTTTAACTAGTTTACCAAATAATTTTAATTTGTTGGAGATATAAACAAGATATTATTTCTTCCTTTTCTGTCCTGTAGAAGAGTTGAGTGCAGATTCCATAGCTTTCTGATAATTTTTGGCTATTAAAATTAATTCACCATCATTTAGGACAGCAATCCTCATATCCTCTCTGAAGCTTACCCCTTACATCCTCCACTGTAAACTAGAGATGTTATTTTGTCCAATCAAAGTATGAATGAGGACTCATGGGCAAGGATGATGGTGGGTCCAGGGTTGATAGTCTCTTTCTGGATATAACATCTTATTTTTGTCTCTTTATAGCTGGGTGGGAGCAATGAGGATTTATACATGAGACCAAGTTCTTACCTAACCGGAGGCTTATCAGTAATGGGGAAATATCTTTTTATTTTATTTTATTTTTTGCACCAGAGAGCTAATTTATTTACCACTAAAAGCATACACAATTAAAAAACTGTTGTATTATAATTAAAAACACTTAACATGAAATCTACCCTCTTAACAAATTTTTTATTATTTAAGTTTTAGGGTACATGTGCACAACGTGCAGGTTTGTTACATATGTATGCATGTGCCATGTTTGTGTGCTGCACCCATTAACTTATCATTTACATTAGGTATATCTCCTAATGCTATCCCTCCCCCCTCCCCCTACCCCACAACAGTCCCCGGTGTGTGATGTTCCCCTTCCTGTGTCCATGTGTTCTCATTGTTCAATTCCCACCTATGAGTGAGAAAATGCGGTGTTTGGTTTTTTTGTCCTTGTGATAGTTTGCTGAGAATGATGGTTTCCAGCTTCATCTATGTCCCTACAAAGGACATGAACTCATCATTTTTTATCCCCTTAACAAATTTTTAAGTGCACAATACATTATTGTTGACTATAGCTACAATGTTGTCCAGTAGGTCTCTAGAGCTTATTCATCTTGCTCAATTGAAACTTTAAAATGTTGATGAGTAATTTCTCATTTATTCCTGCCCCCATTCCCTGGCAACATCCATCCCACTCTCATTCTATGAATTTGATTATTATATGATTCGACTCATATAAGTGGTAACCACCATTCTAAACTTAACTTCTATGAGACCAACTTCTTTAGATTCCACATAGGAGTGAGATCATGCAGTATTTGTCTTTCTGTTACTGGCTTATTTCCTTTAGCTAATATCCTTAAGGTTTGTTTATGTTGTCACATATTGCGGAATTTCCTCTTTAAAAAAGATAAATAATATTTCATGGTATTTATGCATCTCATTTTCTTTTCCGTTCATCTGCCAATAAACATTTAGATTGTTTCCACATCTTGACTCTTGTGAACAGTACTGTGGTGAAGATAGGAATACTAATATCTCTTTGAGACCCTGATTTCAATTCTTTTGGATAAATACTCAGAAGGGAGACTGCTGGGTCATGGGGTAGTTCTATTTTTACCTTTTGAGGAACCTCCATGCTGTATTCCATAGCGACTACACCATTCCTCATTTCCACCAACAGTGTGCAAGGGTTCCAGTTTCTCCATATGCTTGCCAACATTGGTTGTTTTTTTGATAATAGTCATTCTGACAGGTGTGAGGTGATACCTCATTGTGATTTTGATTTGCATTTTCCTGATTATGCAAATCATCAGGAAATAATGTTGAGCATTTGTTCTCATAGCTATTGTCCATTTGTAGATCTTCTTTGGATAAATGTGTATTCAACTATTCTGCCTATATTTTAAGTTGGGTTAGTTTTTTTGCTATTGAGTTGTAGAAGTTTCTTACCAATTTTGAAAACTAACTCATTCTCAGATATATCACTTTCAAGTATGTTTTCTGATTTCATAGATTGTCATTTTACTGCTTTCTTTGCTCTGCAGAAGATTTTTGGTTGATGTAGTGCCTCTTGTTTATTTTTGTTTTCTTCGCCAATGCTTTGGATGTCAAATTCATCAAATCATTGCCTAGATGAATGTCATGGAGATTTTCTCCTATTTTTTTCTAGCAATATTATAATTTCAGGTCTTACATTTAGTTCTTTAATCCATTTTGACTTGATTTTTGCATATGGCAATAATAAAAGTGCCAGTTTTATTCCTGTGCATGTGGATATCTAGTTTTCCCAACACTATTTGTTGAAAAGACTGTCCTTTCCCCATTGTATATTCTTGGCATCCTCACTGAAGATCATTTGACCAAATATTCACAGATTTATTTCTGGGGTCTCTATTCTGTTCTATTGGCTTATATGTCTGTATTTATACCAGTACCTTATCATTTTGATTTTTGTAGCTTTGTAATATATTTTGAAATCAGGAAGGGAGATGCCTCCTGCTGTGTTCTTCTTGCTCAAAATTGCTTTGCTATTTGGGTTCTTTTATAGTTTAATATAAATTTTAGGATTTTTTCTACTTCTATGAAATTTCTTTGGGATTTTGATAGGGATTGCATAGAATCTGTAGATCACTTTGAGTAGTCTGGCATTTTCACAATATTAAGCCTTCTAATCCATAAATACAGGATGTCTTTCCATTTGTTTGTGTCTTTAATTTCTTTCATCAATATTCTTTAATTTTCAGTATATAAGTCTTTCATCTCCTTAGGCTTATTTCTAGGTATTTTTATTATTTGTGATGCTATTGTAAGTGAGACTGTTTTCCCAATTTTTTCAGATAGTTTGTCATTAATACATAGCAATACAATTGATTTTTATGTTGATTTTGTATCATTTAACTCTATTGAATTTGTTTGTTCTAACAGTGTTTTGTTTTGTTTTTTTAATAATTGAGTCTTTAGAGTTTTCTATACATAAAATGATGTCATCTGCAAACAGGGACAATTTTGCTTCTTTCCAATTTGGATACCTTTTACTTTCTTTTCTTGTCTAATTGCCCTGGCTGGGACTTCCATTACCACGTTGAATAGAAGTGCTAAGAGTAGGCATCCTTGCCTTTGTCCCGATCTTTCAACTTTTCACCACTGAGTGTGATGTTACCTGTAGGCTTTTCATATGTGGTCTTTATTATGTTGAGGTATTTTCCTTCTAGTCCTAGTTTCTTGTCAGTTTTTATATGGAATTGTGGTTGAATTTCATCAAATGCCTTTCTGCTTCTATTTGGATGATTATGGAATTTTTATCCTTTATTAATGATTAATTGATTTTCATATGTTGCCATCCTTGCAACTCAGGGATAAATCCCAATTGGCCATGGTGTATGATCCTTTTAATGTGCTATTGGATTTGATTTGCTTGTATTTTGTTGAGAATTTTGCTTCTATACTCATCAGGAATATTGGCTTTTAGCTTTCTTTTCCTTTGTTGTATTTGGCTTTGGTATGAGGGTAATGCTGGCCTCAAAAAATTAGTTTGGAAGTGTTCTCTCCTCTTCAGTTTTTTTGGAATAGTTTGAGAAGGGTTGGCATTAAATCTTTAAATATTTGGTGTAATTCAGCAGTTAAGCCATCTGGTCCTGCACTTTTCTTTGTAGGGACATTTTTTATTACTGGTTTAATCTCCACACTAATTAAAGGTATGTTCAGACTTCATATTTCTTAATGATTCAGTCTTGGTAAGTTTTTTCTAGTGTTTTTTTTCCATTTCTTTTAGATTATCTGGTTTATCTGAATATAATTGCTTTTAGCAATCTCTTATAATTTATTTTATTTCATTGGCATCAGTTGCAATGGGGAAATATCTTTGACTTCACTCTGGTTCAGTCTGGTTCCATATGCTGGTAACCATGGCTGACAGGTGGTTTCCAAATCAGTAGTGTGCTTTGCTTCCTTGAGTTGAGTTCAGCTTCAACTAGCATCTTCTTTGATGAGGAGCCCTTCAGAAAACAGCAGGCCTATCATCTCTTGGCCCTTGCTATTGATCAAAACCCCCAATTAAAACACTTTTGCTAGGAAAGATGTCTCATTGCCCAGTGGCTGCTAGAAAAGACTAGGGCACCTGCCCATCATCTGACTTTCATTTCTTTTTCACATGGAGGTGGGACCACCCAAACTGCTAATTTCTCTTCCTCATCTCCAAAGGGTTCTGGTAGCCATCTACTAGACCTAAATATAACCATAACCATCACCCTAACTTTTTGCCTTGGACCTGATGAAACTCTATTATAATTTTTATACCACTGGTTTAGAGTTCTCCAGAAATTCTGCAGCCTTTAGAAATTTCTAGCGATAAGCACTTTCTCTGTTAATGTACACTTTCACACATGTGAGAAATCAATAAATTTCATGCATCAGGAAGTTCTAAAATAAACTATCTTACCATCCTTCTCTGTTGTGGTAGCCCCAAGTATACCTGTAGGTTTTGTTGGTCAGCAAATATCCACCTAGGATATCTTTTTATGCAGCTACCAGCAGTCTCCACAAGTGGTTCAGTTGGAGAACTGTCCTTTTGAGGGAAAGAGCCAAAGCCACTCCCCTAAACATGGCTCTTTCCCAGAGGCTGACAAGCCACAGCTTGATGCCCTTGAGCCCTTCCCTCTCAGTTTTCTCCCTAAAAAATGAGATTTAAGAGGAAGAGTGGATGGGAACTTGCTCAAGTAGGGCTGCCTCTGGCATGTCTTGGTTGGCCTTCAGGATGGCTCTCTGACTCCTCTTAGAATGTAAAGTAAAGGTAGTTTTTGGGAAGCTCTTCCCAGACCTTTCAGCTTTAGGATTTACCTGGATTTCCAGGTAAAGGAAAAATCCTACTCAACATTCTGTTACACTACAATTTCTTAGTATTTGCACTGTTGACATGAGAAATAATGAATATTTTTGATTAAATATGTTTTTTTTTTAAAAAAAAACCACAGGGCAAGTAGAAGTTTTGATATTATAAAAGAGAACTTAAGAAGAATGTTTCAAAATATCAAGAATTTAAAATTACTGTTGATGCCGTAAATCACCGAGGGGTAGAATGTTATGCCTGTGTATTATACAAGGCCAGATGCCTAAGTGCAGTGTAACATGAGGAAGCACACGTAAGTGCTAAGGGGCATGCGATTACTACGTTCATTATAACAGGCTTCTAAGCTTTCAAACATCATATCCACATATTGTACAATGGGCAGTACGGAAACAGCTTGGATACATTTGTTATAATAATTAGTTAACCATATATTTCTTTAGTAAATCTTTGGGTCATCTTTTTGACATTTAGAGCTTGTTTATTTAAAACCTTTGCTTATTTATTTATTTGAGATGGAGTTTTGCTCTTGTTGCCCAGGCTGGAGTGCAGTGGTATGGTCTCGGCTCACCGCAATATCTGCCTCCTGGGTTCAAGCGGTTCTCCTGCCTCAGCCTCCCAAGTAGCTGGGATTACAGGCATATGCCACCACACCGGCTAACTTTTTTGTATGTTTCAGTAGCAACAGGGTTTCTCCATGTTGGTCAGGCTGGTCTCGAACTCCCAACCTCAGGTGATCTGCCCCCTTTGGCCTCCCAAAGTGCTGGGATTACAGGCGTGAGCCACCACGCCGGGCAACCTTCGCTTATTTTTAAAATAAATTGTACCTGAATTTCATGTTTAAATTTAGATTCTTAGATTATATTCCACATTGAAACTTCTTATTTAATTTACATTAACTGAGCATTTCTTCAACAATAAACACTTAGTATTGCATTTCTTTGAACCTCAATATAATAGACATTCCTGATCCCAGGACTCCCTTGTTAATTAAGACTCAAAAACTAACTGGGAAGCCAACCAGCCATTCTGTTACCCATACCAAACAGTTTGAAATAAACTGGGAGTGTACACATTCCTATTATCACAGAAAATTACAAGGTTTTGGTGATGCCTTTGATGCAAGTAAATCTTTTGTGATTTATCTTTATCTAGTGTTTTCCCCAAATACTCCTACATAAAGCTTTGGACAGCAAGACACTTTATCTCTCTCCACTTTAGTTCACTCTTTTTAATGACCCATCCAGCTTAGCAGTTTATGGTTTTATCATGTCTAATTTTTTATATTCACCCTCTGAATTATATTTTCAGATATCAGGGTATAGGGGAATAATGTTTTCTAAGACTGTGTCAATTAGATGTTATTTATTAATCTTAAAAGAAAATGCCCTATATTCACATTCCCATCTTAAAATGAAAGAAATGAATAAATATAATTTTTAAATAAATAAAATGGTTTCCAGTTTCATCCATGTCTCTACAAAGGACATGAACTCATTCTCAGCGAACTATCGCAAGGACAAAAAAACCAAACACCGCATGTTCTCACTCATAGGTGGGAATTGAACAATGAGAACACATGGACACAGGAAGGGGAACATCACACACTGGGGACTGTTGTGGGGTGGGGGGAGGGGGGAGGGATAACATTAGGAGATATACCTAATGCTAAATGACCAGTTAATGGGTGCAGCACACCAACATGGCACATGTATACATATGTAACAAACCTGCACGTTGTGCACATGTACCCTAAAACTTAAAGTATAATAATAATTAAATAAATAAATAATAAAAAAATAAATAAAATAAAAGATAATTCAAGTTTAAATGAGGGAGAATCTATAGCTGCTGCTGTTGATCAGACCATTGTGTTATTGTTTTGGTAATAATATGGTATAGCATCCTGGATTGGTTTTTATTTTACTACCTTTTTTTTTTGAAACAGAGTCTCACTCTGTTGCCCAGGCTGGAGTGTGGTGGCATGATCTTGACTCACTGCAACCTCCGCCCTGGGTTCAAGCAATTCTTCTGCCTCAGCCTCCTAAGTAGCTAGGACCACAGGCACGAGCCACCACGCCCGGCTAATTTTTATATTTTTAGTGGAGATGCGGTTTCACCATATTGGCCAGGCTGGTCTCAAACTCCTGACCTCGTGATCCGCCCACCTTGGCCTCCCAAAGTGCTGGGACTACAGGTGTGAGCCACTGCGCCTGGCCTATTTTACTACTTTCGTAGCTGTTTTTTCTGAGGAAGTACAAGACAAAAGGTGCCAATAATGGCAATTATGGTTAACCTGAGTGAAATAAAGATTTGAGCAGGAATATATATTTCAATGTGTGGACAGCTGATAGGATTAGTAGACCATGTAGTGTGTCTGTCACAAGGAAGTAAAGCTGACTAATCAAGTCTTAGATAAAAGATCTGATTTCTAGTATTGAACGTCAAATGTTTACAATAAGTTCAAATTAAAGAGAGGATTGAAAAAGCTCACATGATTTCATGGGCTGCTATAATAATGAAATTACTTAAAGGATTATCATTTATGTGTATATTTTCTTAGCATTCCTATTTAGCCAACTTGATAAATATGCATTTGATTCATTTCTATTGAATAGCAATACTGTCCTTATCCCATTCCTAAATGTCATCAACTTCAGAATTGTTTAATTATTTCTTGAAATTGGAATGCTAGTACTTCAAAATGATATTTATAGAATTATTGCAGTGCTGCTTTATAGCATTTTGGGTCTTCTTGGAGAAATCTGTTATAGAAAATAATGTATTTATTATATAAGGCCTATTTACCATGCTGTGTTCCTACACAAAAACAGTGAATTTTGATCAGTAAATCTTATCTGTGGTGTTAGTTTCCTTTGGTATTTTGCTGGTTCATTTCATCTCTATGCAGAGATTTTTATTTATTTATTCACTCTTTTATAGATAACAATAGAAGGCTGACTAAAAGCATTCCCCCCTGCTGCTTGAAATCTCAAAATATAAACAAACATCTTTCTAGAATTTCTGATCCAAGAATACAGTAATTTTTATATAATTTTCTCTATTCTTTTCTGAGTTTCCATTACATAAATCAATGTTATTCATAGGTTTTATAAGCCATATGAAATATTAGCAATGAGTTATAATTAGAAATCTTGCTGCTAACCTGACTTCCGGTTAAAAAATCAGTGACTTATATTATCACTGATATAGACTAAAAATTATGTGGATTTGAAAACATCACTGCCCAACATTTTAATATTCTGTCATCTGAAATAGAAAATCGGTCATGCCTTTAAAAAATAAAGCAAAGGCAGCACAGGTTGTAAGTGTTGCTGCTGTTATGTAAGTACAGCTTAGCCTTCTGCTCTACAATGCAGGTTTCTATCTTTAGGTTAGATTTCAAGTGGCGATGCATTTGTCAGTCCAGCTTTCTCAGATCATAAAATGATCATGTCTGTTGACACAATTACTGATGCTGCTATTCAGGACTGGAGAGTGATTGAAGAGAATTTCAAAGAGAAAATATATCCAGTTGCAAATGGAGACATGGGTGAGTTTCAAAGGCAGTAAACTCACTATTCTTACATCGAGCCTACAATTGAAATTTTCAGTTCCAATTTAAAGTAATAGTTTACATTCATACCAGGTGGATTCCTGAAAGTTCCAATTCATACTCAGATTTACAGGTGGAAGGACTTACAGAATCAATTGAGCATTTTTTAGTTCTGATTCTAAACACACTGTCCACCACTTTTTTCCCAGTATAAGTTGTTAAGCCATCTCAAAGGTGTTTTAGAAGGAACTGTTGCACAAGACAATGTGATCTATTCAAGAATTATCCAGCACAACAGTAATTGAGACGAGGTTTGAATCTGTTTGTTAAAGTTGGAGAGCGCTAACAGCTTACCAACTAGTGTCAAAATTACCAGTAGCTGGCTCAGTGTGGTGGCGTATGCCTGTAATCCCAGCACTTTGAGAGGCCGAGGTGGGTGGATCACTTGAGGTCAGTAGTTTGAGACCAGTCGGAGTAACATGATGAAACCCTGTCTCTACTAAAAATGCAAAAATTGGCCTGGTGTGGTGGTACATGCCTGTAATCCCAGCTCCTAGATTACAGGCTGGGATGAGAATGAGGCTGAGGCATGAGAATCACTTGAACCCAGGAGGCGGAGGTTGCAGTGAGCCGAGATCGCACCACTGCACTCCAGCCTGGGCCGTAGAGCAAAGGTCTGCCTTAAAAAAAAAAAAAAAAAAAAGCAAAAGATTACCAGTAGCTGACACTTCCTTCAAGATCAGTATCAAACTTGTTCTGACTTTCCAGCCATCTGGAGCCCATTTCCCTATGCACATTACTCACACCACTTATAAGCCATGATTTGCTCTGGAAAAACACATGTGAGGGTGCTTTGCATCAGTACCCGTCTCTCTCTTCACTAATTGTAGCTGCTATTGCTCCACCTAGCTTGATTCTTGAATTCCTGATTCCTAAACTATTCCTGGTCTTTGGTTAGATTCACTACTTTGGTCTTTGCAATGTATCTTTGTTTTCCTGATTCCTTACCACTTTTGATATTGAATGATGACTTATTGCTCTTTGTACAGGCCATTTAGGTACAGTCAGCCCTTGGTATCTGCAGGTTCCACATCTGTGGATTCAGTCAACCACAGGTTGAAAATATTCAGAAAAAAAAGGAATGGTTGTGTCTGTGCTAAACATGTAAAGACTTTTTTTTCTCATCATTATTCCCTAAAAAATGCAGTATAAAAACTATCTTCGTAGAATTTACATTGTATGAGGCATTGTAATTAACCTAGAGATGATTTCAAGTATACAGTAGGATGCATGTAGGTTATAAGCAAATATTACACCATCTTATATAAAAGACTTCAGAATCCATGGATTTTGGCATCTGGAAGGTCCTGGAAACAGCATACAGAGGCATACAGAGGTTGAGAGGGTGGCTTTGTGGTTAAGCTACCTAGATTGAGGACAGCTTTGCCACTTACTTTATGTGTATATATACATGTATATACACATGGCCCTTGGCAAATTAGATTTTCTCACTTTGTGTAATTTTCTTCAATTGTACAATTATGATATCAATAGGGATGTTTTAAGATTAATAAAGAAATACATAAAAAGAACTCTGAACTATACTTGGTACACAGTTGTAAGCTATTAGCCATTTTTGCTCTTCACTGTGGTACTTACATGTACTTAACTCTCTGCTAACCTACCACAAATCATAAATGCTACCTAGAATTTTGATCCTACCCTTCCACCTTTTTAACCCTGAGCTTACTCAAGTTGCTTTATGACAGTGAATTATAAATTTGTTGAAATGTACCTTATAAATGTGATCTGTGAAAATTCTTCAAATCCAGTAACAGATGCCATATGTTAGTATGAATTTATGTTAATTTTAATTCTAAAAATTATTCTCTTCTGATTTATTATTTTGTGAAACCAGAATTCCTTTATAATTTATAGTTTAAAACAAACTTAAAGTACATCTTTATATTACTTTTTGGTATTCACCATGTGCCTAGCAAGCACATATATATAGTGTATATATATAATATACATACATATACACATACTTTGTCAATATACACATACATATATACGTACTTTGTCATACACATATGTTGCCATATTTCTATTTTTACAGTTTGCCCAAATTCTGAGCATGCAAAGATGAATAAGATATGACAATGAATGAATAAAAAGATCTTACTAAGAAAACATTAAAACTTTTTTAGAGCTACTCATTACATTGGTATTAGCTAGAATTTCATATTTTAATTCTTTACTCACAGTGAATTTTATAATAGGAAGTGTTGTACAGCAACAATGGGGAATTTCCAGAAATTTCTTACGATCGCCACTTGTGGTTGTTTTACTAAAACTGAAAGGAAGATTGTCACAAAAGTGAAGATGGATCCTGGCAAGATGGAAACAGAAGCAGCAAAGAAGTGCCCTGTGCTGGTGTGCGAGAAAAATGTACAGAGACAGTAAGGATGGACCAAGAGTGATTCCAAGGTGGTAACTGAGCACCTGAGCCCGTCTCTGTCAGATACATTTTACTTTTCTTTGTTATTTGCTATCCTTATGGTAATGGATCCAGAGCATTATCCAGTCTTACCCTAATACCGCTGCCTTTGCTCTCTTTTAAGATTTCAAAGTTTTCTTCTTAAATATACTCTATTGAGGAGAAAATCGCCAGCAAGGCAGTGTGAGGTCTTCTGCACTTGCCAGTGTCTGTTGGGAGACAGTATTCCAGTGAATATCACAGGAAGATATCCCTGATCCCTTCTTTAGGGGAGCAGCTTCCCCACAGGCAGCTCATTTTTCAGAGCAAGAATAGGGCTCTATCTTATCTTTTTCTTTCTGTTTCTTCTTTGTGCTGTTCCTTGGCCCTTTACTTGAAAACAATACTTAATAGTATATCCATATTTCTTTCAAGTAGTTTTATGAATTACAAATAAAACTAAAGACACCAATGGACACCAATGAATAAGTCTTTCATTTATATCTGATTAGGGAAAGAAACTAAAGACAATGGAATAGAACTGACATTCTCTTTAGAGGCAAAATGCATTTTTGGAACAAAAATACATACATTTGGAGTCTTTTGATTACATCTTTTTAAAATAAATAATCTGAACCATGACTGACATTTACAAGACTGGAGGTTCTCTCGTGAAAAAGAGGAAAGTTTTCTAATCAAAATTGTGGACACATTTTTTTCTTTTTTTCAAGACGGAGTCTTGCTCTGTCACCCAGGCTGAAGTGCAGTGGTGCAATCTCAGCTCACTGCAACCTCTGCCTCCTGCGTTCAAGCAATTCTCCTGCCTCAGCCTCCCGAGTAGCTGTGATTACAGGCGTCTGCCACCACACCTGGCTAATTTTTGTATTTTTAGTAGAGACGGGGTTTCACCATGTTGGCCAGGCTGGTCTTGAACTCCTGACCTCAGGTGATCCACCCACCTCGGCCTCCCAAAGTGCTGAGATTGCAGACATGAGCTACCACACCTGGCCCACTTTTTTTTTTTTTTTTTTTTTTTTAAAGAGGAGAACTGCTTCTCCATTGTCACTCTAGTAGTGTCATCCCTGAGCCTTGGTTTGAGGATTTACAATAGTAGGTACTAATATGAAAAACACAAAACAATAACTAGTTTTAAAGGCTTGACTGACTTTGAGAACTGAAATTATTCAAACATGCAGCTGCTTTCATGAGTTATTTCATTTCATGGATACGAAGTATTTTGTCTCTCATTCAAGTAACTTTAAACAAGGGGATAATTCTTCAACTATATGTATCCAACCCCAAGATAATTTATTATTTGGGGAAGTAAGGGTAAGAAAGTGCTCAAGCTGCTTTTGGTTTTTCAGAGTTGGGAATATGTTCACATTTCAACTGGATGTTTTTGGTGCTTTGTAGAGATAGTCATTGTACTTCATTTTAGTATTCTGAGATATGAGTTTTCCTTGATATGTCCTTTTACAGTCAATCAAATTTCTTTTCATGGGCATTAGCAAATATTAAGCAGAAAATATTCAAATGTGTGGTTCAAAGAGGGATTCAATCTGAGAGCATTTGTATTCCACACATATTTTAGGAAGAATAAAGTGAGCATTTGCATCTGTACAAGTAAACAAACACTGAATAGAAAACTGAGCTAAACAGAGCTATAAAGTTTGAACAACAGTAACAAACTGCTAGTAGGTGCTTCATTTACTGATCTGAAGTGTCAAATAGCAGAAACCCTCGTAATAAATTGTTTTGCTTTAAAAATAATTTGATATAAGAACAATTATAAACAATAACTGGACAAATTAATAAGAATATGAAATATAACAAATATAGTAAATGCAGGTATTTGTGGTAATTGTTCATTTCCAATAATTAATGGATCTGATTTATGTTTGGATCATATTTCTGTGTGACAAGACAGGGATTCTAGTTTATAGCTGTTCTTAGCATTGTCTGGTAGTGACGCAAGATAAATTTAACCATACACTGTTGGTTATTCTGCCTACCCCTTAGCCCAGGCTATGAAGATAGTCTCTTGGCCTGAGCAATTAATAGGAATCTCCTTTCATCATTTACGTAGTTTGCTTCTTCACATCCAGCTATGAGCACTCTGCAACCTAACTTAGTACCGTGTCATGGGATCGACTATAAATTGTACCTTACTCTCCCCTATTCACATGCACCAGATTAAGCTTTCTATGAATCTATCAAAAAGATAAATTGCGTCTGTTTTGTTCTATTGGTGTTTCTGTTCTAAATAATTTTATTTATGTTCTTTGTTTTGTTTTTAAGTGTTTCTTTGAGTTTTAACATCATAATTTATTCTTACTGCTCTCACATTTTCATTTTGAGTTATAGGCAACACATCCATCATTTCCATTCTAAAAAGAGGAATTTCTGTGCCACAAATTGGAATCTCAAATTCCAACTTACTCTTTTCTTCTTACATTTATCCTATTATTTGCCAAACAAAACAGGAAGTTCTTTAAGAATGATAAATCTTAACCATATGATGTTAGTAATATATTAGAAACAAAGTTATGTAATTTAGTGCCCTAAAAATAACATATATGACAATAAAAAGAAAGACTGGAAACAAAAACAGAAAATTTAAGAAAAACTATTTCTGAAAACTTTTATAAAAATAATTTTGTTTAACTATACTTTCTATCTCATTTCTTCCTCTAAGCAGACTATTTCTAGTTTTTGTTATATACCATGTGCTTTGCCTTTTGTTCTTTTCTTCCTTGTGACTCTTTTTAATTTTAGTTTTTTTGAAATAGGGTTTCATTCTGTCACTCAGGCTGGAGTGCAGTGGCACGATCATAACTCACTGCAGCCTCAACCTCCTGGGCTCAAGCAATCCTTCCACCTCAGCTTCCTGAGTAGCTGGAACTACAGGCATGTGCTACCACATCAGGCTAATTATTATTATTATTATTATTATTATTTGTAGAAATTGGGTCTTGCTATGTTATCTTGGCTGGTCTCAAACTTCTTAGCTCAAGCTGTCTGCCCACCTCAGCCTCCCAAAGTGCTGGGATTACAGGCATGAGCCACTGCACCTGGCCTCCCTTATTACCCTTTTGCTTGATTTATTATTGAGTTGGTTTCTCTAAAACTTATCTTTTTGTTTTTATTTTTATCTACAATTTAAAAAAATCTTATGTCTGTATTTACACATTTAGTAATTAAAGATGTGCCATTTTCTGTTCCTTTACACTGAAACTAATAGCTTAAACAATTTTAGGAAGCACTTAATTCATTTTAAATTTCATTTCTTTGAGAAAAGATTGGAATATATTTTTCCAAATATGAAACAATGATACATTATTAAATATGTACTTGCAGAAGATAGGCATTGAAAATGAAAAATAAAATAAAGTACAAAAGAGTACCATGAACATTGGGAGCAAATCCCATTTTGTATCTTTTGCAATTTGGTGAGTAATGAAACTAACTGCCCTGCCACTGGAAATCCAAAATGCCTTCAGCTTTCCTCTTATGTTTAAGTGTACGCTTATATTTTGATTGATAAGCTATCATTGAATTGCTTTCCAGCTGTATATCCATTTTTACAAACATCATCACCTAACAAATCTCTTGAGATGAGTGCAGTGAAACCATATTTTGTATTGTAATCAATACAATTGGGTATTAGGTTAGCCTCTAAGCATTCAATATCTGAGTCTAAGTTCAGATTACTACCATGTGATATTCTTAATATATTCAAAACTAGATGTATTAGATGTACTAGAGGGTTCATGTTATGCATTGGGAGACGGAGACAGGTTATAATCCACCCCAAGCAGAGTATTACATTGAGTTTTATTCATTCATGTGACGAATTCACCTTTCAGAACTACTTTTGGTCAAACAAAATATTGTTTTGGAGAAGACAAGGTCACAAAGCTGGCATTTTAATATTTCATTCCATTTTAAAAGTGAAAAAAATTAGAGCTTCAACATTGTGCTTATTTAATTAAAATAACCCAACAGAATATGTCACATGAAATGTATCAGTTACATGGTAATGAAATTATAGCAATGGTACACCAGAGCTGTACATTTTCTGGAATAAATTTTATACAAAGAAGAGTACATTTGGGATTTTTTAAAAATAATTTATCTGTTGTTTATTATAGAGATGTTAAAATGGGAAATAGAAAATAGAATCTCTATCCAATTTAAGCAGGAAGTAGGGGATACATCACATTTATTTTAGGAAGAAGAATAGCAGCAGCTATGGTGTTAGGCAGAATAAGTAGGTGAGTGAACAGGAGGAGGGATTGGTGGTGGTTGTTGATGATGATGATTATTGCTAACTATGACTATTATGCCTACCCTGTTCTAGGTTCTTTATATGGATTCATCCATTCAATACTGAAAAATCATTTGAAGTAAGGTTTTACTGATTTATTTTCTCAGATGGGGAAATTGAGGCTCAGGGAAATACATTTAGTAAGTTATAAATAAGAGACTTAAATCCTGACCTAATTTGAAAACCTAATGTTTATTTAAAGATGAAAATTTTCAAAGTGCCTTGTCAATATGGCTTTCAAGTTATGTAGAATGATTTTATCATTGGAAACTGGAAATTTATAATGACAAAAGATAGATTTTCCTATTTAAAGATAAACCAGACCAATAACATGTATAACCATTTTAAATAAATGTAATTAGCTAAAATGCTTTGGCCAACAAATAACACATAGTAAATACTTAGGAATTTTGCCATTATACATTCTATTTTATATTTCAGAGTTAGGTTAACTGGATATTCAATCCTGGAAAGTTTGTACAATGAAGAGAAAGTATATAGAAATGGATTTTGGAGTATTAGCTTGTATTGTATAATTCTCAAAAGTGCCCAAAGAATGATAGCACATATTTGCTTTATTATGTTTATGCTATTATTTCCTAATACTTACAAAAATTGAAAGTTGGATTATATTATCTCAAGATTGTACATACATTAAAAATATTATTAGCACCTTTTTTGTGCAAATGCTAGCTTAAGTAAAATAATATGGAGCCAAAGTATAAGGCATTTTTAAGGTACATATTAGGCATGGTTCCTGACTTAAAGAATAGTTAAAACTAATAGAGGAGTTCATTATAATATAGGAGCATAATGAAATTATCATACAAATGATACCAACAAAATTGCATGATGTGAGAGGAGGGATGGACCACTTATGATTCAAGTGATCGGGGACAAATTAACGGACGAGGCATTTGAAATAATTCTTGAAGAAATAGTAGTGTGTTGACAGCTAGGAATGGAAGAATGGTCTTCAAAGCAGAGGCAAAACAAGAGTAAATAGAGACATGTAAAAGAAGATGAATACAAAAATTGAGTGAAGCATATAATTTTCATATGGGCATTTTATGTGATGCTCAAAAGGTAGATTGGGAAAGAGTGTTTGAGGGCATAAAGTCAGGTTACTAATGTTTATTTTGCTTTGTAACCTGTGAGAAGTTGTAAATTTTCATTAGAGAAGTAAACAAGTAAACAAAGAGAATGTTAAGAGTATTTTTATCTGTCCCCGATTTCTATGTGCAAGATGGATTAGAAGAGAAAGAAAGCTAGCTACGTTCCCTTTGTGGTAGTCAAGGAATGGCATTATGATAAATGGTTCCAGCAGGGCCAGAAAAAACCATGGATGGATAAAAAAAAAAATTACGTATGGTTGCCAATACAGGGCATAAAACTGAGCTGAAAAAAATTGGAGAATCAAGAAGAAAATGTTTAGGCCAAATGGTGAATCCATTTGTAGACATGATGAGCTTTATGTCTCATACTTTAGTTCTATCTCACAGCGCTTGGTCAGCAGGACATTGGAAATGTTCTAGTTCATAAGTAACAAGATCAGGATTGAAGTACAGCAATGATGTTTAAGGCCAAGGAATAGTTGGGACCTCTGACAAAGACAAGTCAAAAAATATTAAGGATAAAACCATGGGCAGTCATAGGGGAACTATCAACAAGAATAGTGAACCAGCATTCATGACAAGAGAGAAATAATAGTGATAGTGTTCAGATCTCAAGTAAGGAGGGCTTCAAAAAAGAGGTAGATAGAAAAGAGGCCATTAGATTTGAATGCTGATACCTTTCTCGTGAGCCTTTAAAATGAATAGATTGTAAAAGCTATTTTGCATGGGGAAGATGGTACAGGGGACATAAAACATTGCTTCTAAAGGTATGGTGAAGAAAGAAAAAGAATGCAGCAGTTAAAGAATACAACTATGTCACAGATGGTATTTTCAAGGCATGGGAGACCAGGGATGTTTAAAAAGCAATACAGCAATATTATATTATGTTATATTATTATTTTATTTAATAAATATGGTATTTTATTATTTTCCTTTTTTGTATTTATAATTACATCTGTATGTCAGAGTCCAGGCTGTGTATTTGAGTTTTTTCCTCTCTTTTTTTTCTCCCTCAATTAGACTTGCCAGGTATCTGTAATTTCAACTGGCTATTCCATAGAAACTGTTCTTGGATTTTCTTTTTAATTAATTCACCATTATTCTGTTTCTAAGTCTTTTATTATTAATTATTCCCTCTACTTCTTATAGTATTATGTATCATTTGTGCCTACCCTCTATAATTAATACTAAGTTCATTTATTTTTATTATTTTCTATTTTAAAATAAAACATTGAATAATACAAATTTTTGTTATAAGTACAGATTTGTGTGTAACACTTGAGTTTTGATGCAGCTTTCTCATTATCTTTTATTTCTAAATGGTCTTAATTGCACTTTTGACCTGACTAATTGGAAAGAGTTATTGTTTAATTTCTAAGTGGTTGCATTATATGTTTATAATTTTATTTATTTCTAGTTTTTCTACAAAGTTATCAGAAAATGTGGCCTAAACAAAGTTTTCTTTAAAAAAACTTTTAATCTATTAAGAAATTTATGATTCATTTTTAAAAATACTTTTTCGGCCGGGTGCGGTGGCTTATGCCTGTAATCCCAGCACTTTGGGAGGCTGAGGCGGGTGGATCATGAGGTCAAGAGATTGAGACCATCCTGGCCAACATGGTGAGACCCATCTCTACTAAAAATACAAAAATTAGCCAGGCGTGGTGGCGTGTGCCTGTAGTCCCAGTTGCTCGGGGGACTGAGGCAGGAGAATTGCTTGAACCCGGGAGGCAGAGGTTGCAGTGAACCGAGATCACTCCACTGCACTCCAGCCTGGGGACAGAGGGAGACCGTCTCGGAAAAAAAAACAAAAAAACAAAAAAACAAAAAACATTTTCACTCTACTCTGGAACTTGTCAATTTGTCATTTTTCTAACAGTTTTTTTTTTATTGCTGTTTGCTTTGTTGCCCATAAAACAACATGCAAGTTATATTTTCATTGAGACCTGGGTGCTTGGATCTAGATTATTCTTATTATATTCTTACATTTACATTATATATCCTTCATAACTATTGTTGATAATGTAATCCTGTTTTATAATGAACTTTACTCACATTTTTGTAGGTTTCTCACATGTTTCAGCAATCACAGTCATTTCTTTTACATTATGGCTCCTTTATTGGACTTCTCAAGTTTGAATTTGTAGTTTATTGCATTACATATTCAGGTAATTTTTCCCAGTAAAGTGTCTTTAAATGTTATATTTTCTGAATGATTGTATATCTGAGAGTTTCTCTCTAGTCCTCAAATGTAAAATAAACCTTGTCATATTATTAATTATGTGATCATAAGAGTTTCTCCTAAAAAGTATTACGCTTCTTTTTATTCTGCATTTGTATTGTGGCAGAATAACTAGAAATATATGTATAAACATAAACTACAACCATTTAGAAATTAAATAATAACTTTTCAGTAAGTCACGTCAAAAGTGCAATCAGGACCATTTAGAAGTAAAAGATAATGAGAAGGCTGCATCAAAACTTGAGACTATCTTTTTAAAAGATTTTTACTAGATGATTTTGTCAGGGGTGGGGGTCCTTGCTTGAATTTTATTGGGCTTTTCTTTAACTTGTAATTCCCCACCAAAATAATCTTATGTTTTGTCAGTTCTTTCCATTGATTTTGACTTTCAATCTATTTGCACAGATGTTTCTTCAGAAAAAAAAAATCTTTCCTCATATCTTTGATTTTATTTTTCTATAACAGCTGTTTGGATTTCCCCATCAGAAATGTTAATCATCTATAATTCTCTCAATAGCCTCTGTCTTCTCTTTTCTTCCATATTTTCCATTATATTTTCCATGTCTGTATTGTTTTCTTCAGTGGTTTGAGGAAGAAGCTTTATGTGGTTTCTACATTAATGATTTGATTTTATACAAACTCTACCCTGTACTTCATTGTTTTCTATGTGGATTTAAATTTGACATTTCACTTTTAGCTCTCCCTACTTTGTTTCTTATCTGTCTTCCTTTTCAGTTAGGTTTCTTAACTTTTCATTTCAACTTGCTCTTCTTTAAAATGCTTATTAAATTTATTTATACTTATGATTTTGAAAGTCCATTGGTCCCACTAAGCTCGTTTCGAAGATGGCAGCCCCTAGTACTTCTGCCCCTAGTTTCAGATGCCCAAAGTCAACTACAGTCAAATTTTTAAATTAATGGGTCCTTGATGTGTTTTACTCTTCTCTCCTGAATAACTTGCTCACACTTTCTACTTCTTACTTTTCTGCTATGTTTGTTTATATTGACTTCTCACCATAGGAAATGAGGAATTATCTCCTTTATATCTATTTTAACCCTGTTATTTACACTTCCTCTCCTATCATCTTCCCAATGTAGCTACACCATACCTTACATTATCATGGGCATATAGATGCTGCTCATAACTGTGTCACCTGTTATGCTTTGATTACTTTTATTTTCTTGGAAATTTTTTTTGTTGTCCTTATAGCTAGTAACCGTAATTTTTAAAGTTATCTGTTTAAATACTTAGTGTTTCTGTTTTGGTTTTTATATAATTAAAGTTTGTTTTTTATATACTTAAGGACGATTTCTCCCAAACTTTCTACCAGAGGATATTTGGATAGTTAACCAGTTTATGTCCTTTTTTTTTTTATTATTATA
Organism: Homo sapiens; assembly: GCF_000001405.40. Taxonomy (NCBI): domain Eukaryota; kingdom Metazoa; phylum Chordata; class Mammalia; order Primates; family Hominidae; genus Homo; species Homo sapiens. The sequence continues at coordinate 126,548,308 of NC_000007.14, read as the reverse complement.
CTTTAAGTTCTAGGTTACATGTGCACAATGTGCAGGTTTGTTACATATGTATACATGTGCCATGTTGGTTTGCTTCACCCATCAACTCGCCATCTACATTAGGCATTTCTCCTAATGCTATCCCTCCTCATCCCTCCACCCCACGACAGGCCCCAGTGTGTGATGTTAAAGTTCATGTTCTTAGAGAGTCTCTCCGGCTTCTCCAATTTAGACTGGTACCTGTCTAGGTGGACAGCACAGCTTGCATCCTAGGATCTCCCTTGACTGCCGTTCTGAGGATATTCTTCGCATCTTTTTGTGGTGGATTCACATCTTTTTTGTGGCGTATCTCCTATTTCCTGTAGCCAACTCCCCCTCTTCCTTCACTTATTTTCTTATTTAGGTTCAGCACATCAACTAGGTTTTTTTTTTCATTTTGTTTCTTTCGTTCTCCAGAATCTTTTATGATCTATTTGTTCTCGGGATTCTGACATTTCTGCAAGATATAAACTAATGTTTGTATATTTTTATATGTTGTGCTGGAATCTCAGTAGAATGTTTTAATCTAGAATTTCATATACTTTCATTCTGGAAAAATTTTGATATTTTTGTTTAATGATTCCAACTCCCTATTTGCTTTTCCATGAATTCTTCTTATAATTATTGGGCATGCTGAAATTATCTTTAATTAACTTTTTTGCTTCATTTATTTCTGTATGTCTTTTTGCTTAAATTTCTGGGAGATTATCTCAGCTTTACCTTCAAATTATTCTATTGAGTCTTCATTTCTGAGATTATAATCAATTATAATTATTATCCAGAATTATAATTTATTATGAATAATAATGAATGATAATGTATCAGATATATTATTAAACATAATAATTATAGTTAATTTATTCTTTTATGCTTTCTGAATTTTTTAATAGAAATTTCCTATTTCATGCATCTATTTTTAAAAAAATCTCTGGAGTTATAATAACTTTAGATGCCTCCCTCTCCATGCATTGGGGAAAAAGACTATTTTCCCCAAATTACTTTTCTCTCTATTTGTTTAATGTTGATTTTGCATGGCAGAAAATTTCTTTAAATGCCCAGTGATCTTTGGACTTCCATTTATATGTAAGGGTGCACTATAACGCTGATTTAAAACTCTTTGCACTTGGATGAGTCTGTTGACAGAGAACTTCATTGAAAAATCACCTAATATCATAACATTTTGATCTTTTATGTTGCTAAATCTAAAAATTCCCAAAGATGAATCTTCAGATCCCTTGTTAATTGTGTAAGGCTGGCTAATAGTATTCCATGACCTAGGTGGGAAAAAAGAACTGGAAAACTCAAAACTCAGGATTCAGATTTTTACTTGGTAAAACTAATTTCACGATGGTATCCCAGTACCAACTGTGCCAGGTGCCTTGCATCCAAAAAACCCCTTGATTTACTTTGTAGCAAGAGTTCCATTTAGGGTTACTTTGACTAAAACATGCTAAATTCATACCAAAATGATTATGATGCCTCATATGGAATGTAATGACTAGAATAATCCTAGCTGGAGAGAGTATCTTACTGTAATGATTATGAGGGAAAAGGAATCACTAGGATGTAGCATTCTCAAACCATGAAACAAACATTTACCTTATTCTAAGTGTCCTGTGAGAACCAATCCTTTAAATAAATTACTACCAAATTATTTTGCTGCTTCTTTCTAAATCTGTTTTAAACTTACCCTTTCTTTTCTATTCTCAGTGAACTGATTGCCTGGCCTGACTCATTCATCCCCTGCTCCTGTCTAAGGCCTCCCCTGACTAGGGCCATATTCCCTTCACTTGGACGATTATTTTAAATGCCTTATGCTGACTTCACTGTCTCCTATCTCCTCTGCTCCCTTTTCTGGATGGGATGTTCCTAATAGAGTTGGTTTTCAAAACATTTTGGCTACCTATTATTGGTCATGCACTGCCCCGGGAGCATTGAGGAGAGACAGTAAAATGTGATTCAGTAGTCACCCTGGACTCGAATCTATTGGACATCATTTAATAGCTGTGTGATGTGATGCATATCAACTACTGTTCTGTATTTCTTTAAACAAAATATGAGGAAAATACTTAACTCACGGGGTTGTTATAAGCACTAAATGTTAAGTGATTAGAACAATCTGACACATAGTATGTCCTCAATAAATGTTATTATTATTACTATTATTATCATCTTTATGTTTTGTTTGTTTACTAATATAAAATAGCTTGCCACTGAAAATATTCATTCCAAACCTCTTTGGCTATCTTTAACATTCTGAAGACACGTGTTCCTGTAACCCTCTATAGATTGCATTAAATGAACGTTGAGTCATATGGGCTAACACTGAAATGGGTAAGTGTTTTGCACTGAACAGAACATCTCCTATGTTGTTCAAAATATCACAGAATAATTTAAAATGAATTATCTTAGTTTCTGCATGCAGGAATCAAATTAGTACATGGAAAAAAGAAATGTACATAATTAAATGAAATATTCTGAAAATTTGCAGAATTGCCATTAGGGAGTACTAGTTCTGAGCTCATTTTAGTATTATTAACTTCTACTTATTAGCAATGAAGGATCAATTTAATTAGATTTAGTTATTATAAAGTACTGACCATATAGATTCAATGTAATTATTTATGTATAACATTTAAGTCATATTTTAAAATTTAGCTGACTTTTAAGTTTAAAAACATGAATACTATAGTACTTTTAAATACTATTCACAAAAATATCACATTAAAATAGCTAAAATAGTAATTTTTATGGTAAACATTCAGATGAAGTAATCCTACCTGAAAATATTTTTTTGAAGGAAATTATTTGAAACTCTAAATTTGGCCATCTATAATATAAACATGAACATAGTAACAAAAACATAACTCAATGGCTTCAATTAAAAATGGTCACTCTGTGATATCCAAATTAGAATTATCATAAGTTAAAATTTAAGGGAAAAGATTATTCTACTTCAATAGTCTTGCAACAAATACCATATGTGCCCTGCATATTTGCATATGCACTGTGTTGGGGTGAAGCCTTATAATAAGGTTATTACATCCCATTTACCCAAAATATTACAGGTCTGACTTCCTGCACCCTTCCCTTAAACCACCGCATCCACAATACATACGCCAACATGCACACTCAAGATGCCACCATCCGTGGACTCAGAGTTAAGGGGAGAAGGCACTCTTTTACGTGGCTTTTTCTGCATAGAACTTGAGTGAAAGATGGGGCACTTCATGTAACAAATATCAGAAACCATTATTAAGAGCTGAGATTGTCGGACGATAAAAACAAGTAATAGCAGATCTGGATGAAATCCAGAGATGGTGGCTTTTGACTTTTTGCTTCTGATATAATTTTTAGACAGACCAGCTGTATTTAATGATGGGTAGAGCGTGGATATCTTTTCTCCAGTGCTCCTCTCAGTCCTAATAAAGGAACCTGCAGAGTTTCTGTCTTCCACATCATCTGTTCATAAAATACTTTGAAGGCCAGGTGCGGTGGCTCATGTCTGTAATCCCAGCACTTTGGGAGGCCGAGGCGGGCGGATCATGAGGTCAGGAGTTTGAGACCAGCCTGACCAATATGGTGAAACCCCGTCTCTACTAAAAATACAAAAATTAGCAGGGCGTGGTGGCGTGCACCTTAGTCCCAGCTACTCGGGAGGCTGAGGCAGGAGAATCGTCTGAACCCGGGAGGCGGAGGTTGCAGTGAGCTGAGATCGTGTCACCTCATTCCAGCCTGGGCAACAGAGTGAGACTCTGTCTCAAAATAATAATAATAATAATAAATAAACTTTCAAAATATTAATTTGTTAGGTCTTCCAAACATCCTTGTGAGGTATGCGGTCAGGGTACTTAGTCTCCTCAAAATTAGCTTCTCTGAAGCTGCGGATGACATAATCTAGAGACCACACAGATTTAGGAAACGATAAGTTTAGTACTCCCATCTGCCTACTGCCTAAAGCCAGGCCTACTCAAAACACTAAATAGAGAGAAGTTATACATTTCTAGTCATAGACTAGTTTATCACATGTTCTATTTATTAATCAAGTTATATATTTATCAAACATGGAACTCCTACTAAGTCCTAAGTCTTATATAGGGGTTGGGTGGTCCTTGAGATTAATGTGCTGTCAGTCTGGTGGGGAAATAAACACATCAACAGATAATCACCATATAATGCCAAAGTGTTACAATAAAAATATGTCTTGGAGGAGGATGAAATACAGAGGAGGAACATATCTACCTGTCTGGAGCAAAGTAGATAAGAGAGACTTCACAGAAAACTTATCTCATGAAGGTAACCAAGGCCCCTAAATTTTCAAATCCTATGGTTATGAAATATTACTGTCTTCATACATTGCCAACTACTTCATCATTCCTGAAATTAACTATTTGATTGGCCTCTTGCACTGTGGACTAGATTCTTCCCTAGTTACCATTTGATCATGTTTTTACATCGTTTTCCACTGGTCTTCCTGAGTGTGCTTCTTAAATTGACTCTTTCCAGTGATCCATTTGTGCCATCTTCTCTTTGTATTTTTCATCATGTCTGTGGGAGAGAGCTCTCTCATAAATATTCATGACCTCAATTGCCTTGCATATACCTGTGCCTTTGAAATCTTTACCTCTAGGCACACTTGGCTCACAAACCCATGAACTAAGTCATGATCGGCCTTTCAAAACCAGTCATTCCCTTGTACGCCCCTTTTCAGTGAAGGATACCACTACCTATTCACATGGCATTTTAGTCTTTCTTCATTCATTCAAAAATAGTTATTGATGCCTATTAGGTCTTAGTCATGATGTTAGGATCTGGAACACAGTGGTGGAAAATCAGACCTGACTTCTACTCTTCTTAGGAAAATAAACTTTTAATTAGTGGCTTAGCAAAGTACAGTTCATTACTTGCATGTGTCAGAATCACTAGAGGAAGGAGGGATTCTTTTAAACATGCCAACATAGGGTTCTTTCTCAAACCTATGAGTTGTAATCTCTAAGAACGAGAAATATGCATTTTAAGTAAACCCTTAAGTGATTCTTAGGAATATAACCTAAAATTTAAAGCCCACTTTTTAAAATAAAAATAAAATCAAACAAATACATAATCATGTACTGTAAAAGTCCATGGAAGAACACTAAAAGGACTAAGGAGGATTGCTAAATGATGGTTGCGCATTGCCTGGGAGTTAGACAGGGACAAGATCATGCATAGATGTCCATGTAGGCTGGTTTATTGGATTTATGTATGCAGTGGAAAGAAGTGAAACACTAAGGATGGATGTCAAATCAGAAAACTAGATCCCATCTTTTCATTCATCTTTTGCCCTTACTCTACCATGATCTCTGTTGTCTTTACTGTATCTCAAATCTATCCTATCTTCTTCATCACCACCACTTAGACATAATTCACAAAGTCTTGCTTTGCCTGACATTATGGCAATATTTCTCTAATTCATATTCTTGCTTCTCTGCCATCCTCCCTCTGATCTGTCACCACAGTGATTTCTCTAAAATTAAAAAATAATACTATCATGTCATATATTTGCCTAAAAGTCCTTTAATTACTCACCACAGCTTTAAAGAATAAAGTCTGGAAACTAGATGCTGCTTACAAAGCCCTTCGTTATATGGTCACTGACTGTCTTGTATTGATACACACCATGTTCTAATCATGCCATATTGCTTACAGTGATTACAGTGTACATTTGCTTATAGGATTCATCCAACCTGAAATGCCTTTCTTTGTCTTCTCCAGTTCCATTTTATCTTTCAAGGCAGTCTCACCTCCCCTGAGAAACTTTTTACCCCTGTGCTGATGCTGAAGTGCCCCAGCTCTATGTTCCCCTAGTATCCTTTGCATGACTCTTTAACATCACTTGTAATTTTTATAATCATTACTGATTAATTGACTTTCTGTTCCCTGGACTGTGATTCTATGAAAGAAGAAACTGTTTTATTCCTTTCTGTATGTACAGTCCCTAGTAAAAATCCACGTTTATTAGCTGACAAATGAGGTATCTTTTGACTATGCTTTAGTAATACAAATGCCGACCCTTTAGAGCCTAAATTAGTTTTCTAGGGTTGCCATAACAAAGTACCACAGACTGGGTGGCTTAAATAACAGAAATTTATTTTCTCATAGTTCTGGAGGCCAGAAGTCCAAGATGTTGGCATAGTTGTTTTTCTCTGAGGCCTCTCTCCTTGACTTTTAGATGGTTTTCTCCTTGTGCCATTCCATGGCCTTCCCTCTATTCATGCCTGTGTCCTAATTCTGTCTTCTTGTAAAAACATCAGTTATATTGGATAATGTCCCACCCTAGTAATCTTATTTTACTTTAATTACCTCTTTAAAGATTCTGTCTCCAAATACAGTCACATTCTGAGATATTGAGGGATAAGACTTCAACATATGAATTTTGGGAGGTACACAATTCAACCCATAACAGAATTCCTTAGCACTAACGAAGTATTTAGTGATTAGAATGCTACGATCTCAAGTAGCTCTTAGCTCCAGGAATCTTTCTTGTATGTACCTTTGTACCTGATAATCTGTATCTAACAAATTTAGATGGTCCTTGAAGAAGCAGCTGATAGAATACTCACATTTTTCCCATGGCCATTGCCATTCCTCAGATTCCTGTCATCATCTTTCATCTGGAATTCCGCAACAGCCTCAGCGTGATTGACTTCTCTCTAGTCTTGGACTCCTGCAGTCTTCTTTCTACGCTACAGTCCAGAGATTCTAAAACGTGACTCATCATCTTTATCCTGGCTATATCCCTATGGAAGATCCCAACTACCTTCAGGATGGCATCCAAACTCCTCTCAATGGCTCACAAGGCCCTTCATGATCTCACATGTACCCTCTTTCCTGGCCTGTTTCTTGCTACTCCATCCACTGCTTTTATCTACCTTCCTGCTATTCTTAATACTTTTAGTTCCTCCAGTTTGTCAAGGCTTTTTGAAACTATATATTAGTAATTTTGTTTTTTGCCTGATGTGCTGTTGAGCTCCTCTTCTGTGCCTTGTCTCCTGTGCAACCTCCAGACTGCTGTCTGCACATCCATGAACCCTGGGCTTCGTGGTCCTGCTGTGTGCTCCTCTAGCAGTTCCATTTCCTCATCCTTCTGTAAGGGAGACTCACTGTGAGCTGTGATTGGCCTTTGTTTTTTTCTCTCCCCATCTACGTTGTGTCTGGAGGGCAAGAACCATGTCTTGGTCTTGTTGAATTCTCACATTGAACTTTGTGCCTTAAACAAAATGGGCATGGACTATGTTTTTGTACAGCATTATAGGACTGAGTCTTAAAACCACTTGAAAATATCTACTTAAATAGTCTCCACATTTTTTAAATAACAGCTTTATAGAGATAACTTACACGCCAAAAATGATCTCTTTCAAAGTATGCAATTCAGTGGTTCTTCGTATATTCACAGTGTTGCACATCCATCACCAATATCTAAGTTTAGTTCATTTTCATCATCATCCAAGAAATCCCATACCCTTTAGTGGTCATTCTCTATTTCCTTCCCCCTAGCTCCTGGAATTCAATGGATTTGCCTATTCTGGATGTTATATATAAAATAAAAACATGCAATATTAGTATTTTGTGATTAGCTGCTTTCATTTCTTAGTGTAATGTTTTCAAGGTCCATCCATTTTGTAGTAGGTGTCAATACACTATTCCTTTTGATTGCTAAGTAATATAGATATACCACATTTTTTATCCTTTCATCAGTTACTGGTCATTTGGGTTGTTTCTGGTTTTGGGGGGTATTATGAATAATCCTGTTATGAACATTTATACACAAATTTTTGTGGGAACATATGTTTTTAACTATCTTTGGTATATACCTAGAAGTGGAATTGCTAGGTCATATCAAAACCCTATGTTTAGCTTTCTAAGGAATTGTCAAATTTTCCAAAGCTACAGTACCATTTTACATTGCCACAGCAATGCAAAGAATTCCAAATGTCTTCATCCACATCTTTATCAACACTTGCTATTGTCTTTATTTTTTATTATAATAGTCCTAGTTGGTGCACTGGTTTTGATTTAGATTTCCCTGATAGCTAATAATGTTAGGTATATTTTCATGCACTATTGACAATTTGTATATCTTCTTTGGGACATGTCTATTCAATTTATTGGCTCATTTGTAATTGGATTATTGGTCTTTTAACTGTTGAATTTTAACAGTTTTTAAAAAATATATTCTGGATACAAATCCCTTATTAGAGATAATAATGACTTGAACATATTTTTGCCTATCCTGTGGGTTGTCTTCTAACAATCTTGGTGGTGTCTCTTGACCCACACAATTATTTAACATAGATGAAGTGCAATTTATTTTTTTTGTTGTTGTTGCTTCTGCTTTTGGTGTCATGTCTAAAAAACACTGCCTAACACAAGGTCACAGAGATTTACTCCTGTTTTCTTCTATGAGTTTTTAAGTTTTAGTTGTTGCATTGTGTCTTGGATCCTTTTTGAGTTAATTTTTATATACAGTGTGAGGTAGGTGTATAACTTCATTATTTTGCATATGGATATCCAGTTATTTTGGCATCATTTTTTGAAAAAAAAAATTCTTTATTGAATTTTCTTTGTATCTTGTCAAAAATAACGTGAACATACACGTTTATATTATAAATGTGTATGAGGTTTATTTCTGGACTCTCTAGTCTATGCCACTAATTTGTTTATTATTATGCCTGTACTATGTTGTCTTGATTATGACATTCTTTGTAATAAGTTTTAAAATGAGGAAATGTGAATACTCCATCTTTATTCTTTGCTTTCAAAATTTTGGCTATTCTGGGTCCCTTATATTTCCATATAAATTTTAGGATCAGATGATCAATTTCAGTGAAGGAGCCAGCTGAGATTTTGACTGGGATTGTGTTGAATATGTATGCAGATCAATGTGGGAAATATTGCTATCTTAGCAATAGTAAATCATCTGATTCATAAACACAGGATTTCTTTTCAACTATTTATACTTTTTTTTTCACTTTTTTTCAATGATGTTTTGTAGTTTTTCCTGGATAAGTCATGTGCTTCTTTTACTAAGTTTATCACTAAGTATTTTATTTTTGGTGTTAATGTAAATGAAATTTTTTCCTTAATTTTATTTTAAATTGTCTTTAAAATAGGAGAAGTCTTCGCACTTTTAAAGGTTATATAGATCTGGAACATCACAAAAAAACAGGATTTCAGCTTGGGAATCATCTCAAGCATATTAGATTTTTCAAAGGACACGGGCCACTTTGAAGAAGAGATAAATATTGTTTTCTTTGTGGTCACTTAAAGCTGTACATGACTCAAAGGAAATGCAGAATATTAAGAAATATATATATAGAGAGACACATATAATGCATATAATTACATAATTTTATATTCTGTTATCAGATTAACTGTGCAACATGTACTCATTCATGTGTGAATCATGTGATATGCAAAATATGGCACTAAAGTTTAAAATTTTAAGTACCCATGCAGATTGTATGCATTTATATGAAATTTAATGAGTAATGGTTTAAAAATAATCATTAGTGTCTCTGGAAGTAATTGCACATGCAGTCTTCCATTACTTAAGTCAGAAATATTGAGTTTTGAATATCGAGGTGTCAAACTAGTCAACAAAATAATTATTAATTAATAATAATTAACAAAATTATTACATGTAGAGCAAGAGGAAATGTGTTAAGAATGGTATGACTAAGTATCAGTTATCTGTAAACAATGTATTTAAAATTTTCCCACATCCTGTATATGGTAAGCACATTAAAAAAATACCACTTGATATTTAGGAAAAACATTGTATTAGAGATATTAGATTGAGAGTTCTGTAATGAAGACTGAAAATTATTAATTATAATGGGGATTTTACTTGTTCAACATTCTTGTAATCATTCTTGTAATCCTTTCTTCAGGAGTTATTAAAACTATACAGAAGAAAATTATTCTCTAAAAATTATATTCTTTTTAAAGAGTTTATAAAACAGTACTCCTAGTTGACTTTTCTGAAAAGATTGAAAATTTAAAAATGTAAGCACACTCACCCGGAAACTTTGGTTTCACGATTCTTTGTGTACTTGTCTGCAATAATAACAGGATTTGACAGCAGAAACCAGCTGATGACTTACATTTTCTGAAATGCACTGGATTGAAACCTATTGAATAAATCACTATTGGTAAACATTGTCAAGATAAGAATGGGCCATTTTTTTGTCCCTGGAAGATCTATCTATATAACTATCCTCCATTTGTTATACCATGTATTTCAGACTGAAAACGTCTTAATAACAGAATAATACCAAAGGTGAGGAAGGCAAATTTTAAAAATATATGGTTAAGGCATCTCTTTATACTTATAATGAAAGATGGTATAATTTGTTAATATAGCAATAAACAGGGTTGAATAATCTTTGTTTATGCTTTGTAACAGTTGTGGAAATTAGGCAGTTTTCACTTTCAAATAGTGTTTTTTTTGTTTGTTTGTTTGTTTGTTTTTTTTGACGGAGTCTCGCTCTGTCACCCAGGCTGGAGTGCGGTGGCGTGATCTCGGCTTACTGCAAGCTCCGCCTCCCGGGTTCACAGCATTCTCCTGCCTCAGCCTCCCAAGTAGCTAGGACTACAGGCACCTGCCACCATGCCCGGCTAATTTTTTTGTATTTTTAGAAGAGACAGGGTTTTACCGTGTTGGCCAGGATGGTCTCGATCTCCTGACCTTGTGATCCGCCTGCCTTGGCCTCCCAAAGTGCTAGGATTACAAGCTTGAGCCACCACGTCCGGTCCAAATAGTGTTGGTTTTAATCATCATTTAGCAACTATGTAAAATAAGTTGTTAGTCTCAAATATTACTGTATTTGTAAGATCCTTGTTCAAGCATTTGTTATTTGTCCTTTCTTGAAGTGGATACTAGTTGGTTTTCAGACTTTAGCTATGAAATCAATTCACAGCATAGTTTAACAAAGATTCCTTGATGAAAATTAAGTCATGCATATTTAGCATGCATATTTAACATATTTATTAAAACATAATCTGTAAACTATAACATTACAGTCTCCTTTATAATAAAAATGTTACACATATTGCTTATTTTTTTACTTAAAGAAAATTCATAGCTGTTAAAAAACTGGTATTTTTCATATTCTTACAACTTTATTTTTAATTTATGAAAAACGTTTTTTCATTGGTTCAAAACATTAAAAAATTGTCAAGGAAAATTTCACATTTAGCTTATAATGATAAATAGTTATCCTATGTAATGAAACCTACCGAGTATAGGTACATTTCTTTTTTAACACATCTTATGTTGTTCTGAGAAGTAAAGCATATTGAGAATTAAAGCTTCCGACATGTGGTTAGAGAAACTGACCTTTAAGGTTTCTTGAAGTTTAATGTTTCCAATTTTTTTTTGCTGTTTTTCATTTTTTGTTTTGTTTTGTTTTGTTTTGTGTTTTTTGAGCAGGAACACTGTAAATCTATGGAAGTTCCCAACAAAATGCAATTTTGTTTCTATAGTAATTAGCTTTTAAATATAACCTTCAAAAATGTATTTTCTTATCTTATGAGTCCCTTAGGTTGTAAAGTTAATTCCTGAAGCACCCAGTGGAGCATTTCATTTTTTTTCTCAGTATTTTTGAAAGAAATCACTGTGTGCTTCCATTTACCTTTATTTCTTTCTTCCTGTAATCTTATAAGTAAATAAAATATAATATTTTTAAGTCATTAAAACCCAATAAGAAACTAGAGGGTTATAATAGATTACATTTCCTTTGTAGTGAGCTGACAGGATAGATCTAATAGTCTCAAATGCCCTGATGACATATGACAGATGAAGTAGCATCTACTTTCTCAAGGGAGGATATCTGAAATTAAAGACACAAAGTCTCTACTCTGAGGAGATTCGACAGCCCTCTAAAAGGATAGAGCTTGAAGACTACAGTTCTCTGGCCTCAACCATTCACCCTAGATTCAAGAAAGGAAAGCATTCTTAAGTAATTGTTCATGAGAACGATTTCAGTCACCTGATTGTCAAAGAGTAAGCCACCATAAGAATGATGAAGGAATATTGCTAAAGCTACATACTTCGGGCTGCTTTGGAAGTATACAGTCGCTGTCCCTGGGTGTGCCTTCTGGATAGATAACTACACTGATATTAAAATGAAAGTGGCCACCAAGTAGCTAAGTTTAATTTGAGCTGCATTCATTTTCTGTTGTTGCAGAACAAATAACTCCAAAATGTAGCAGTTTAAAACAATAAACATCATCTCACAACATTTCCGTAAATCAGAAATTCAGGAACAGGTTAGCTGTGTTTTCCTGGCTCAGGGTCTCTCATGAGTTTGTATTCAAGATGTCATTCAGATGTCACCTGAAGGCTTGACTGGAGCCAGATGATGACTTTCTAGGTGGCTCCTTCACACGCATGGGAAGTTGGTGCTTGTTGTGGACAGGAGGCCTCCATTCTTTCCACAGGGCTGCTGAGAGTTTTCATGATGAGGTAGGAGGGACTTGGCTCTGGAGGTGGGACTTGGACACTGGACCAAACTGAGGACTAGCTAAAACAGGGACAGGACAGAAGCAGCTTCCCGTAAGACATGCCCACCATTGCCATGGCAGTTACAGCCTCTTTCCATGGCAGCGACCTGCAACCTAGTAGTTATTACCTTTTTCCTAGAAATTTCTGCATAATCCACCCCTTACTCTGCATGCAATTGAAAGTAGGTATAAACACAATTGCAGAACTGCCCTGAGCTGCTGCTCTCTGCCTGCTGCTCCTGCTCTGCAGGAACAGTCATGGAGCTATAATTGCTGCTTCAATAAAGCTGTTTTCTTCTAACCACCATCAGCTTGCCCTTGAATTCTTTCCTGGGTGGAGCCAAGAATTCTGGCAGGCTTGGTCCCACTTTGGGGCTCGTCTGTCCTGCATCAGTGACACTGGAGTGCTTCCACTCGAGTGAATTATCCAGCAGAGAGCAAGGCCGAAACCAAAATGCCTTTTATGACCTGGCCTCAGAAGAGACGTATCATCATTTCTGGAATATACTATTGTTTACACAGACTAGCCCTATTCAAAGTGGCAGCGGGCCACAGGAGTACATCAATTTTCAGAAGTGAGGTTATTGGGGGCCACGGTGGAGACTGACTACCACACAGTATAGTAATTCTTTTGGATTATTAGTAAAGGCGAACTTATGAAAATAAGTTGTTCTTTTTTTCTGAAACATTCCTTCATCTCCCTTTGCTGTGCCTCTTGAGTACCCTCTATTTCCATATCCCAGTACTTCCAAGCTGTCTCCTTATTCCTCAGGGCTCTGCTCTAGTGCCTTTCCCATCCTTTCTCCCTCATGAATTCAACAAATATGTATCGAGGGCAAATTGTATGCCAGTCACTGTTTGTTCACACCAGTGAAAAAATTACTCACTTCATAGAGCTTACCTTTTATAGTAGCTGCTTTTCATAGTAAGTGGTCTCCCGTCATCTGTAATTTTCAGTTTTGTCCTATTAGCATTCTGCTAAAATTACTGTGTCTAATAAGAAAAGCAAATTAAAGGTAAGAGATCAATGATTGGTGCTGTCTCTTTCACGAACTGCTTGTATCTCGATAGAGTTATTCTATGATTTAACCTGAAAGCATAAGGTTGGATTTTAAGGCCCTGAAGCGATACTAAGCAAAGTGGGGAAAATCTCATTTGTACTAATTTCCCTGCTTTAAATCACCATAGGGCCACTTTCGTTCAGTAAAAAAAACATTACCATCAAGTTATCTCATTCAGCATGGTGTTTTGCACAACATGGAAATGCAAGACTGAAGAAAAAAAGGATATTTCAAGCCTAAACAGGGGCAAAACACATTAATATAGTTATCTCCATGAACACATGAGGAAAGTCAGAGATTAACTCATTTTGCCATTTCCTTTCAAAATTGATGCAGTGTGATTTGAATTTCCCTAAGTATGGTAGAAAGACATGGATCATCTTTTATATATGTTTATATCCTAGCCCAGTGTTTCAGGGATTCTGGCATTTATATTTGTGATTAACTCTAAAGCATCTTTCTACGGGGCTTCTTCTTATTTTTTTGTATTTTATTTTTTTTAGTTTTAAAACTGTTTTGACCAATAAATCTCTCTCCAGATGTCACATTGGTCAGCAATGAGGAGGTAAATGGAAACTAATGACACTCATCAAGTTGATGAGGTGAATGATATATTGGATCCAGTCACTTAACACTTTCATAAAGTCAATATCAGGGGAAAAAAAACGAGACTCTTATTATGGTAAACTGTATTTGTACTGTCAGCATTCTGTGATTCATTACAAACCCGTGGCTAGGATTAGGATATTATAAATGGGGGAAAAATGGAAGGCTCATTAATTTTTTATACCCACAGGTGGAAGACATGCAGTGGGCTCATAGAGAACATACTCACCCGGCGTCTGTCTGCAGCCTGCCGTGTAAGCCAGGGGAGAGGAAGAAAACGGTGAAAGGGGTCCCTTGCTGCTGGCACTGTGAACGCTGTGAAGGTTACAACTACCAGGTGGATGAGCTGTCCTGTGAACTTTGCCCTCTGGATCAGAGACCCAACATGAACCGCACAGGCTGCCAGCTTATCCCCATCATCAAATTGGAGTGGCATTCTCCCTGGGCTGTGGTGCCTGTGTTTGTTGCAATATTGGGAATCATCGCCACCACCTTTGTGATCGTGACCTTTGTCCGCTATAATGACACACCTATCGTGAGGGCTTCAGGACGCGAACTTAGTTACGTGCTCCTAACGGGGATTTTTCTCTGTTATTCAATCACGTTTTTAATGATTGCAGCACCAGATACAATCATATGCTCCTTCCGACGGGTCTTCCTAGGACTTGGCATGTGTTTCAGCTATGCAGCCCTTCTGACCAAAACAAACCGTATCCACCGAATATTTGAGCAGGGGAAGAAATCTGTCACAGCGCCCAAGTTCATTAGTCCAGCATCTCAGCTGGTGATCACCTTCAGCCTCATCTCCGTCCAGCTCCTTGGAGTGTTTGTCTGGTTTGTTGTGGATCCCCCCCACATCATCATTGACTATGGAGAGCAGCGGACACTAGATCCAGAGAAGGCCAGGGGAGTGCTCAAGTGTGACATTTCTGATCTCTCACTCATTTGTTCACTTGGATACAGTATCCTCTTGATGGTCACTTGTACTGTTTATGCCATTAAAACGAGAGGTGTCCCAGAGACTTTCAATGAAGCCAAACCTATTGGATTTACCATGTATACCACCTGCATCATTTGGTTAGCTTTCATCCCCATCTTTTTTGGTACAGCCCAGTCAGCAGAAAAGGTAAGTAGAAGGAAATACACTTGACAACTTTTTCCTGGATTTAACATCTTCTTTTAGGATGCTTTTCCTCCTTTTATTTGGTTCACTTATATTCTCTAAAGATGCTTCAGTCTGTGCTATTCTTACTTAGCATGCATATATATATATATATATATATATATATATATATATATATATATATATATATCTCCATCCGTCAAGGTCACATTGCTTTGAATTTGTGTTGACAAAGCCTGATTTTCCATGAAAAACACTTTAATGTGTCCTCCTTGGCAAGGTTGAAGATTGACAAAGCTCACATCACTTTCTGAGTCTCCCTTCCCAGCTCTGCTATCTGCTAACATCACTGTTCTTTTCCAAATGTTAATTAAAAGAAGGAGGAAGAAAGGGCAGACATGGTTCACAGGGGTGAGCTGTCCCCGAGATATGCCACTGCATGACAAATGCCTTCTTTTTTGTTCTAAAGTAACTCTGGGATAAAGCCATTGCTTGGTAATTGTGATGATTTTAGTCATGGAAGCAGAGTTTATAGTGAAATAATCACACACACGTATAAAAACTGAATGGCTTCGTTCAGTCTGAACCATCTTACTATTTCTTCTCAGTCCCCATTCTTGTTACTTTTTCATATGTGGAAGTTGATGATGAGGGTAAAGAAGGCAATCATGGACAATTATATAAAGCAGCTTATAAATTTTAGAAGGCAAAGATCAATGGACTCCCCCAAAGTAATTTCTTTTGTCACTAATCTCTTGTTAATGTTTTCCACATAAAATACTGCTGGTAAAGAATATCTGTATAGGAAGGGAGTGTTTGCTGGGTTGGATGTTGTAGTTCTATGTACAGAAAAGCAGAGAACTAAGGGAACTCTGAATTCCACTTTTCGGGTAGTGGGATGGAGATAAACCAGCTTGAAAAACAGAGGAGAATGCTGTATTTCTGTAATGATAGCCCTTCTGCCCTGATGGGCATGTGAGAGAGTCCTTTCAGAGTGAGGACTTGATTGTTCCATCCTCTGACACCAGAAATTGTGAGAAAAATGAAACGTCATGGGGTAATTACATTTCCCAGGCTATAACATTCCAAGGAGGTTCTGCATGACCCAGCAGAAAATCCCAGCAAATTCACAGAAAATTTCCACAACAACGGGACAGAAAGCTCATTAGTATGAGTATTCATCCCTTCCTCAATCAATGTGGCCTTCAACTATTTTTGGACAAATAATGTACTTCAGCAAACTTGCTGCTGAAGAGAATAAACTTGTGATTCTATTAAATAGGTTTTTTGAAGGAAAATTTTACAAAATAACCATTTTCTCTCAGAACAATAACATTGCAGAGTTGTAGAGGCCCCCTGAGGAGCAGTGATGAAGATAAGAATTTCACAGTGAAATGGACACATGAATATGCCAGAGGGTGGAGGTTGCCCTGTGTTGCTGAGACTGTGGGAGGTGTTCATTTGAAAACCTGGGGGTTATGCATAATTTTATGGGTGTCTATATAGCTATGCCTATGCAGATATGATTGAGTGTGGCTTGCAAAATTCCTTTTTCTTTCTTAGCTTTCTGAAATCAAACTAAATCTAAGAAGCACACTGAAAGACACATTATAAAATATGTTAATGGATTCATTTTGTATTTATAATATAGTTGAATGTGAAAAAGGCTAAAGAAATCAATTAAGAAATGCTAACTCTAGGAATTTTGAGAATATTTTAGAGCCCACAAATTATTTAGTCATGGAAATGTTGAATTTAAGTTAGCTCTACATCAAGGGCTATCATATTATAAATAGCTAAGATTTTGGTACTGAGGTACTTCACATTATAAAATTTTGTATTATCCTAAATCTACATCTGAAAATTTGCTACCTGCTATTCTCTGTCCAAGTTTCTTTTATTATTCAAGACAATACATAAAATGACAAGCCTGGGAAACATAACAAGACCCTATCTCTACAATAATAAAAATAAAAAAATTAGCCGGGCATGGTGTCGTGCACCTATAGTCCAAGCTGTTCAGGAGGCTGAGACAGCAGGGATTGTTTGAGCCCAGGAGTTCAAGGTTATAGTGAGCTAGGATCATGCCACTGCCCTACAGGCTGGGAAGCAGAGTGAGACCTGGTCTCTACCAAAAAAAATAAATAAATGCTTGAGAATGTTTAAGTTTTCACATTGCTTAAATTATTGACATGAATATTAAAAATGAACAAAACTTGTATATCTCTATAAGAAGGCTTTAAATGTTGTATTGACCTTGGAGGACCAAAGAGCTGGTCAGTCCTCCATTTTCTTTTGTACTGTTCAGACAATCAGCCCCATGTTATCAACTTGAATTGTTTACTACAGCTAGCTAGCACACACATCCATTAACCCAGCAGCTCCTTATTGAGCATTGTGTCCGGCATTGAACTAATTATTGAGCCCATGTCAGTCGGCTTCCCTGAGCCTCCTTTGCAAGGCTGAGTCTGGCTCCCAGCCCATGCCTTCATGATGCCTGCCGGCACCAGCAAGGTGCCAGGCTCAAAGTCAGAAAAGGATCAGGCTCAAGGGCGGGGGAAGATGGTGAGGGGTCAGATCTGTGATGAGAAAGAAAACAATAGAACTGTGCATTCTGCAGCTGTGCATTGGTGACACCGAATTTCCAACATGTAGAAGAGCAAAATGTCTTCCAGTATGCATTTAATTGTTTCTTCTCAGAATAACGTCAGAGAATGCATCGAACCACACAGGTCTCTCTGAAATTACAAGAAGCAAGAATAACAACTAAACTTAGTTGAAAAGTTTAGACAGATGTTTTGGAAAACATTTGGGTAAAATGAAGTTATAAAGGACACTTGTAGCAGTTATGAAGACAGAGAGCTTTCTGAAGTGCCTTTATTCAATGATATATCATTTAACTTCCCCACATTCCTTTGTCCTCTGTTTTTGAATGAATCATTTTGAATGAATCAAGATGAATCATTTTTCCCAATAGATTTTAATAACATCATTTGTAACTACTGCTGAATTCAACTAAATTATGGTATAAATGCACCTTTGGTTTCCCTATAGAAAAGTGGTGTGAAGGAAGGGTAGACCACTGAGGCATGGCCATGCAATAACACAAACTCACATAATTGTACTGAAAAGAGAAAAAAATTAAAATGTGATTAATAGTCAGGAGAAGTATCCTTAGGGATGGTAAGGGGCTGTAAGGATGGCAGAAATCTCTAAAACACATATTTTATCATCCTTAATTGGGCTCATAAAATCGAGATAATCAGACAAGGGTTATGACACTGTCAACCTCCAATGAGCACTCTGCCTCTTCTAGAGCATCCGATGGAAACAAAACAAAACACCCTCAAAGTGGAAAAGAAAATAAAACTCAAAAAGGCAAAAAAAGAAAAGAAAAGAAAAAACCTCCAATAAATCTCAAACCAGATTTTCTTCCAGTGGCCTCAGGATGCATAGCAGCTTAAGTCAGAAAGCTGGTTGTCACCTTAGACTCCTCCCTCTACTCACTCCTGCCCCTTTACTTTACTTCCTCTTCTTACTTTTAAAAGTCATCGTTGTTGTGGACAATAAGCAATGTCTGTCTGAATGAATATGTCTCTTAACATATAGCTCTTCTTATAGTCCATTCTCAATAAATGCCTATTCAATGAGCTAATATTAATGATATAATAATATAAATGCGTATTTGTGATTTAAGTTAGACTATAGCACAATGGGAATCTTCTGTAGGCATCTTATTGTAATCTCCATTATAACAATTTTTTTTTTCTGAAAAAAATGGTTTCCCATTTAATGATGGGTCATGTAGATTTTTTTCTAAAAAGTTGTCATTATCACTTATTCTCAAATAGGACTACTACATGTTTAAAGAGAAGAGCAAGCAAGAATTATTATAGTTGTCCTTTGTTTCATCCAGAATTCACAAAGCAAAGGAGAATTGATGCAACTATTGAGATACTTTTGCCATATCACCCCTCTTGTTCTTTTTCTCTATTTATCTACCTTAGGGGCAGAAGAGTGTAGGGGTACACAGGTGTGCCAGTGGAGTAAGAAAGAGCATAAGCTCCTGAATGTGAAATCTTGGGTTCAAATCCTGTGTCTGCTAAATAGCTGAGAAAACATGGGCAAGTGGCTATGTATCTATAGGTGGTAATGAGTTCCCCCTGGACAATACAAATTCCAATACAAAGCAATGTAAAGCAACCCCCTGCCATCACCCCCAGCCCTGTTCTCGAACTAGAGAAGACTTGAGTTCATATATTCTGGGGAAAAGCAGGAAAAGGGTTGATTATTTAAAATAAATACAAACACACACACACACACACACACACACACACACAACTTCTTTTGTCTCTGTATGGTGTGTTTTTTTGTACTAATAACTCATATTTATTTTGCTGAAAGTTAGATGACAGGAGTCATGAAAAGTGTTTCATGCACATAATAGGCAGTGAATAAATGTTGGCTATCATCACCATTAGGCTGTTACCCATGAGGGCAAGGACTTTATTTGATTTTGCTCACCATTTTCTCTTCAGCACTCAGCATAATATTGAGTCTGTAATAGGTTCTTTAAAAAATATTTGTTTAATGACTGAATATATTCGAATGAATTGCGTAGGAGGATGTGATTTGATTTATCCAAGTAATTGTCTCAATTTCACCTGCCATTTAGACCATATCTGAGCAGACCCCCAACTGAAAGTGTTTTCTTATTTTGTTGTTGTTGTTGTTGTCGTTGTTTTTTGAGATGGAGTCTTGCTCTGCTCTGTCACCAGGCTGGAGTACAGTGGCACTACCTCGGCTCACTGCAACCTCTGCCTTCAGGGTTCAAGTGATTCTTCTGCCTCAGCCTCCCAAGTAACTGGGACTACAGGCACACGCCACCACTCCCAGCTAATTTTTGTATTTTTAATAGAGACGGGGTTTCACCATGTTGGCCAGGATGGTCTCAATCTCTTGACCTCATGATCCGCCCGCCTTAGCCTCCCAAAATGCTGGATTACAGGCATGAGCCACTGCACCCGGCCTGAAAGTGTTTTCTTAAACATAGAGGCTTGCCCGAAGAGTAGATCTTACAGATTACAGCAGTTAAAGAGGGCTGTGAGGGAGAGAAGAATCTGGAGCATTTGGAGAGAGGACAGAGTTGTTCCTGAGGCAGTGTGTACCTGCCTTCAAATATTTAACAGACAATACTGGAAGAAAAAAAATATCATCAGAGAGCAGTTGCTGAAATCTTTGTATTATAATTTGGAATGTGAATAATTCTAATATTCGAGAGGTAGTTTGGAGATTAGTAATAAAATTCCTGCTCTAAGGAATAGTCCAGATGAGAAAAGAACAGCCTGAAAATCCTGCGGAAATAGTGTCAATAACCTGGACAAGGATGGAAGAGATTTGCAGAATAGATCAAACTGGAGGAAAATTTTCAGCTGTACCTTGTCTCCTGACATTTCTCCATTTCCTTAAAGGAGGGCAGTAAAAATGATTATCAGTATCCACATTGTATGTTTGTAATCGTTAATCACTGCATATAACTATCTTAGGCTACCTGTTGGTAAACTATATACCATTTTCTTTTCTTTTCTTTTCTTTTTGAGATGAAGTCTCGCTCTGTTGCCCAGGCTGGAGTGCAGTGGCGCCATCTTGGCTCACTGCAACATCTGCCTCCCAGGTTCAAGCGATTCTCTTGCCTCAGCCTCTCAAGTAGCTAGGATTACAGATGTGCACCACTATGCCCAGCTAATTTTGTATTTTTAGTAGAGATGGGGTTTCACCATATTGGCCAGGCTGGTCTCAAACTCCTGACCTCAAATGATCCACCCGCCTCGGCCTCCCAAAGTGCTGGGATTACAGGCGTGAGCCACCGCGCCCAGCCAACTATATAACATTTTCTTTCCTTGTCAGTTCACAGTCATTTGAAGCAGATCCTTTTTAACGGTGCCACATTACAGAACTATTTAATGTATTACGGTCGATTTTTTGTGGACAAGATCAATTATACCAGACTGTTGCAATCTGCTCTGGAAGGGGGAAGTAAATTTTAAAAAAACTGGAAAAGAAAGCATTTATGTGGCCTCATTTATGCTCTTAATTTAAATGATATGCTTGTGAAGATTCAGAGGAAGCATGGAATTCTCATGTAGGGCACATGCAGGCAGGACTGCCAAGTGGCTCTCCTAGGGAATGCTGCCTTATATAAGTTTTTGTTTTTGTTTTTTCTGATTGTGCTACATATTAATCCTGCAGAAAATTACCAACTTTAACATTTGGAGGAATTCTTTTGGGGGAAGCCATCTTCTTTGATAGCACAAATAAATATTTGCTCAATGAATCTTTTTAGATTACACATCCTACTTTTGGGGGTTCTGAGGAAGCTGTGGGGCTGAAGATTACTTAATTTAAGTGTTGATTATTAGTGACATTGTGGTATTTTTCAATTGAAATTGAGTTTACAAACAGTTTGAATTCTCTGCCCAAATTACAATAATTTATGCAACTAGACCACTGGATATTCAGCCTGGGAACTTAGAGCTAGAGCTAACACATCGAAATGGTTGAACTTTCTGAATATGATTGAAAAATCCTGAGGTACTAGATTTGATTAAGACTGAAATGTGAATATTTTCAGATTTCAGTGACCATGACTTTATGTTAAAATGCTTTAGGAGAATATCATATACACAAACCTAATCTTTTCTATACAGACAGAACCTTAATGACACCCAGGACTATTGATAATACAGAATGTAGTGACTGATTTACTTACTATGATTTTGTAAGACACTTTTTATGCTTCAGTAGATGCTTATCTCTCATGGAACATACAGGGTGCCAGGAAGAACAGATTGCAAGCAAACAGTTCCTTTTGGCTGTAACCACATATATATATATTTTTTATGTTGAGAAATGTAAAAGAAAAATCTAAATGTGGTATCATATGGGTTAGTACCACCTACCTTAAAGTGTGGAAAAAATATTTAACCAAGTATTAATATATATTCCGGGCTATCTAAAATAAATTCGAAACAGATTTATTTGAATAATTAAAAGAAATATGTAAAAAGAAATTTAATCTGGTTTCTGGTTCAAGATAATGGCTGGCACAAAGACACATGTATGTCCTCCATCTAAGGTAACAAGTAAATGACAAAAATAATGAGATTTTAAAAAAGAAAGAAGACTAGAAGGAAAGGAGAAAGAGAGGGAGAGAGAATGAGAGGAAGCCATTATATTGTTAGAACAAACATTTGGTAAAACTGAGAAACTCTCAGAAAGTAAAAGCCAGTTGGGTCTGATTTATGGAGAAATTCAAAGAAGGGAAGCACAACCCAAGATGCATAAGTGGTTCTTACTATAAAAGTCCCAAATAATTTCCAAACCTAAAGTCAACATAAAGTCCTGAAGCAGGCATCAGAGTGACCATTAGGGAAATATTTAAAGAACTGCATTTCAGGAGATATGGGCCAGCTGGGCTCCTCACTTCCCCTTTCTGCTCCAACCTTAATGTAGAAAGAGTTCCAGTTAAAAGAAAGAACTCTGAAAAATGGGAATTATGTGAGGACAGAGGACTTCTGTACCTATAAGGCACTGAAAGAGAAAGGGCAGGATTGGAAGTGATTTTATTTCAGATATGGCCAGGGGGAATAGGAAATACAGCTCTACCTAGGATAAGAATATAAGTTTCTCAACTCTTAGAACAGGTTTCTCCTGGGGTAAGTTCCAGGCTGCTTGCTTGCCAATATCCATGCATCTTTAAGAGAAGCGAGCCAGGTAAAACAATCACTAAACTCACAAGTTCATAGTCAGCCCTCTCAAACAAAGAAAACAGACCCCACCAGTAATCTTTGTCATGCAACCTGGTCCTCCCATTATAATTCTACATCAACAGCTAAGGATGGCAGGATTAACTGCAGAAAACCCAGAGCAGAATTTTAAAACACTAAAAAAGAAACAAAACAGCATTAACTGACTCAAAAAAAAAATCCCACAGGTAATTCAGGAAATATAAGAAAATGTTCTTAAAAAACAATTTTAACTAGCATTTTAAGAGTGAATCAAGAAAATATTGAACACAGACCCATACACACACATGCAAGTGGCTATGGAAAATATCAGTCAGGGAATAAGCATATGATCCCAGAAACTAAAATTATGAATGTGAAAATAAAAAGCTGAACAGATGTGCTGAAACATAGAACCAGAGCAGAGATCTAGAGGGCAAAATAAAAGTCAGAACCAGAAAGAAAAGTGAAAAAAAGGAAAATATGAGGAAAAATTAAGACATGTTGAGCATAAATGCAAGATCCCAATATATATCTAATAAACATCCTAGAAGAGGAAACAGAGACAAAGAATGGAAATAACCTAAATACAAAAACAAAACAGAAGGAAGATTTCACAACTGAAGAAAGAAAATTCTTAAAATTGAAAAAATGGAAAGGGCCAAACATCTTAGTAAATTTTCACTAATTGACAGAAAATTCTAGGAACTTTTAGAAGGGAAAAAAAGATACCTACAAAGAATGAACATCAGATCTCATGTGCCTCCTTGAATTCTAAACAGAATTGAGCAAAGTCTTTCTTGAAGGAACCGTGTTTTAAACTTAAAATTCTATAGCCAACCAAACTATCAATCAATGTTAGGCTAAAAATGTAAATGGCCCAGAAAATCTGATGCCTACATATCTACATATGAATTATCCAAAAAAAGGCATGTCAGATATGAGACAGTAAGGCAGTGGCAATCACATATGATCCAGAAGGATTTTTTTTAACTTTTTGTTTAACTCGAGAAAGGATATATTAGACCCTGGTGGTTAATATATTCACAATATATTCATATATATCCATAATCCTTTAAAAACCAGGATTTTAATAATTATGCTTACTCCTTTTCTGCAAGTCCAGTTATGCTACCTGAATGAATCTGAAGGGAATAATATTTAGTAGCCATAATATAGTAATTGCTTTTTGAATTGATATTACGTTGTTAGAAGGAATCTAGAAACAAAATAGAGAAGTATTAATTTATCTACTAATGTAAGTAATGTAAATATTATACAAACAAATATTATCTACTAATGTGAGTAATGTAAATATTATACAAACCCTGTAAATCAAAAATAGTAATATAAATTTTAAAAATTGAGGGGTCTGGCCGGGCATGGTGGCTCATGCCTGTAATGCCAGCACTTCGGGAGGTCGAGGTGGGCAGATCGCTGAGGCCAAGAGTTCTAGACCAGCCTGGCCAACCTGGCGATACCGCATCTCCACTAAAAATACAAAAATTAGCCTGGCATGATTGCAGGTGCCTGTAATCCCACCTACTCTGAAGCCTGAGGCAGGAGAATAACTTGAACCTGGGAGATGGAGGCTGCAGCGAGCTGAGATTATGCGCACTGCACTCCAGCCTGGGTGACAGAGTGAGACTCTGTTTCAAAAAAAAAAAAAAAATTGAGAGGTCTGTGAAAAGGGACAATAGAGAGGGGACTTGTGCAAACACTAAATCACTCATCTTTTTCTGTGAGTAGCCAATAGATACTATCTAAAATTGGTAACTCAAGAGATATGAGTACATTCTTTACACAACAGGAAAAACAAAACAAAAAAACATTCAAACTCATTAATTCTATACAATGGGATCAGGAGATGTAAGATTATTCAAGTATAAATCATCGCATACAGAAGAATTTAAATGAAAGTCTCAAGAAAAACTTTTCTAAGACAACATAAAGGTACATTTTCATATTAGGGGCTTTTGATATATAATAAATTTTTAAAGAAAATCTTTGATGCAGGAATGGATGAATGATTTTGAATTTGTAAAATGACTCAAAATCTTTGGTTGACAAAAATCCTTTTTGAACGTCCTCTTCTTTAGGTTTAATACAATTGCTAAATAAATACTTTTCAATGGCCACAATTTAAGTGTCAGCTTATAGCTGATGATGGCATTTCATCAAAAGTATTTATTAAATGTTTGCTTTATGCAAAAACCTTTGTTTGGTATTCAGAAAAATGCAAAAATGAATAAGAAGTCATCAGATTTTTAAGGGTCAAGTCAGGGGGATAATACCAAGCACAGAAGTGACTGGTCAAGGCAGAGTAAGATAATGGAGGTGAAGTTCACAGTATGACGTCTTGGGACCAGGGATGGTGAACGGATGAAGAAACTGTCCATGAAGGAAGTGGGAATTTAAAAAGGCCTAAAAGAGGGAAAGGAACAGATGCAAACAGCCTCCTAGACAATAGAAATAGTGGGTT
Source organism: Homo sapiens (assembly GCF_000001405.40). Classification (NCBI taxonomy): domain Eukaryota; kingdom Metazoa; phylum Chordata; class Mammalia; order Primates; family Hominidae; genus Homo; species Homo sapiens. The sequence continues at coordinate 126,522,688 of NC_000007.14, read as the reverse complement.
TACACTTTCAGAGAAGGGAAAGTTGGGCATTGTTTGTAAAACCTGTGACCAAAAACCTGTTTTAAGTTTAAGATAGCCACAAGGAGAACTGGGAGGCCACATATTCCTTTTTTCCTTGTTAATAACACACCTTTTCCACTGAAAAAGTATTTTCCAGTGTGGGCGAAAAATTATATGATTACTATAAAACAAGGATAGTCAGATAATTGGGAGTCATTTTATGAAGGGATTTATGCCATGTTTGTACTTCATTTGCTAGGGATTCGAGTATATTTAACCTTTTTGAGCATGAATATGTTCTCAGTACCATTATATTTTGGGAAATTTCTCTGCCAGTGGAGAGTCTGAAGAGTTGCAGGGGATGTGGATAAGAAAAAATAAAATAACAAGTTTGTTGAGGAAATCCAGGCAAGAAATATTGGGGGTTTGACATGTGGCGGTGGAAGTGGAAAGGAGAGGACTCATTTCAAGTTGAATTGGGAACAGAAGACAATGGAAAATGAGATGTTTGCAGTTTATGGCATGTGATTGTGCTTGTAATGTGCAACCTTCTTTGGGGCTGCTACAAGGTTTCTACCCAATTGGACTTCAAGGAAGAGTCATAGCTTTCTCTCTGGTCTGGACTAAAAGAGCAAACCAGTTTTTAAATGGCTAATGACTGCATCTAGACAAGTATGGAGAAGAATATTTGGGCTCAAAATAGTGAAAATTGGGTAAAAATCAATTTGTGTGGATAAAAGCAAAAGTAAAGATACACAGCATGAGTATCTGGTAGATTATGATTTTGAGTAAACAAATCTGCTAAATAATGTGGAAATGAATTTTGATAGTTGAAATAAAAGGCACATTCATTAGAAATAAAAGCCAAATTATTTGTAAATGATGCATCCAATTTAAATATATAATCAGTTTATTATATAAATTTGAAAGTTAAATGGATTTTATATTACAATGTGCTTGGGCAAATTTTAGAGTAATCTTTATTTTTACTATTTGTCATGGTCATGACCAAATTCACTAAATATTTTTTTCTTTACCACAACTCAGTTTTGTGTAATTTTGAGTGCCTTGCATATAAAATCAGAATTAGTCAATTTTCAATTATTCTGTTGTTTTTCTTTAAAATCATTTTTTAAAGTAATATATTGAGTCCATAAGGTAATCCGCAGGGTTCTGTATTTTGGCAGTGTTTTGAATCCTGTTAACAGGGACTAGTTTTCAACCAATCAAATAGCATCCACACTAATTGTAGGTTTTTGTGGGATTTTAGAAGAGGAATTAAGGTTACCATTTTGAAAAAAAAAATAGTTCAAAAATTGCAATCAGTTGAATGTTTTCACTTGGAATTTTAGACTCTCTATGTTATTTGTTCAGTCAAGTGTATCTTGGGAAAAATACCAAGAAATGTATTTTCTTTTGTCTGTTGGCTTAAATCCTATAGAATACAGCTTCCTCTATAACCTTTTTGAATATACACTAAGACTCAAATTACACACACGTATGTACTTATAGCTTCTGCAGAAGATTTCATGTTCTCAGATAAGATTAAATGTCATATGTTTCTCCTGGCAGCTGCTTTCTCTAAAATCCTCATCTACTCAAATTGAATTGAATTGAAAATAGTATTGGTAGATAGTGAGCCTGTCATAAACCCTTAAAGTGTTTACATCAGCAGGCAGCTTATCACTGTAGTGCTGTCCTTTCTTCAACAAAACATTTTCCCCATGCTAAAATGTCCAATCAAATGGCAATTTATCGAACACTTGGTTACACTGCCTATTTATTGTTAAGAACTGACAATAAAAAGCACGAAATAATTACATTCGAAATACAAAAGAAGAATATGTATAGAAGATGGCAAGAAGACTGGCAATGAGTAGAGGGAGTCACTACCATAGGATTATAACGTACATGTCTCCAAAGAAGGCCGTCAAATTACCTGTTTCCACCTCTCTTATTATTTTATATATTTTTTATGTATAGCGCAGGCATAGATTGGTGATTGCTAATGATATGTCCTCATTTTATATCTTCCCCTCCCCTGCACTCTGGGAAACCACATTGCTTTGAATCTTTTTGTTTCTTTGTCTTCTTTATCTCATCTTCCTTCTGTTCAAGTTGCCCCATTTTGGACTTTCTCCCAGGCACTATTCCCTTGACATTCTCATCATTCACATATCTCCTGCTAGAAAAGCTGCATTCGTGCTTTCCTCACTGCTTTCTTAATCTCTGCCCTTTTACGTGTTCAAAAATGTGAACTAAAACAATCCAAAACTGGGATCAGAAAGCAATCCAAAACCCAAATTGTGAAATTAAGCTATCTAAAACCCCAAATGTATCATGTTTAAAATGGTCACTATTCATTGAATGTTTCCTATCATGCCAAATCATGTTATTTATATTTAAACCATTTTCTTTTCTCTAAACTTCTTTTTAGAATAATAAAACCTTCTTTTTAGAAGTTTAGAGAAAAGAAGTTAAACTTCTTTTTAGACTTCTCTTCTTTTTTCCCCTGTTTAGACTCTGTCAACAAATTACAGTGTTTGTTTGAAATTTCTCCTAGATCTATGTTTTTCCTTCTCATTTCCAAGGTCAAATCTCCTTTTGTCCATAGGTCTCAGGCTTAAAACCTACCTTATGTTTCTCTGTTATGCTCAGTGTCTATTTTATTTCCTCCTTTCTATGTCAACATTATCTTTGTCTTTCAGAGATCCAGACTTGGAAGTTGACACCGACTTCTCTTCTTTTTACCCTGTTTAGACTCTGTCAACAAATTATAGTGTTTGTTTGAAATTTCTCCTAGATCTATTTTTTTCCTTCTCACTTCCAAGGTCAAATCTCTAGTCCACATCTGGGTGGAATCTGTTTAATTTTAAGATGCTTATTTTAGAAAAAAATTGCTAGCTACATAAGCACTGATCACTGTACTCGAAAGTGACTTCCAGATTTTTGCCATAAAGTTCTTGCACAACACTTCTTCTTTGTCACTTCTTTTAGATGAGATCAGGCACGTTCAGGGTGGTATGGCCGTAGACTGCCACTTCTTTTATAGTTACTCAATCAGTCCATTTTTGTTTTAACACCGTCATTCTGCTGAATACTAACAGCACTGTTTGAGCCAGAAGTGGCCTGCCATCGTGGAGCTTGAATTCTGTAGAAGAGACTTTTTTAAAGGGATAATTTAGTTACTCAGTAAAAATTGCTATGTGTACTCTCAGTGGTGCTATTAAGGGTTCTTAAAGTAAAATTAATTCCTATTGACTATTAGCTCAAATCCAAACTTTCCAAACTTTATTAATACCACTTTCATTTTGTTATACCACTCTTCATTTCAGTGAAACCAATTTTCTTATGAAATCAACTAATCCATGAAATCTTCCCTATTAATACAAGTTCTAAACACATATGTGCTCTATCTGGATGTCCATTATTTTACATTTCCAGATTTGTGTTCTGTGTTGTTCTTCAGTTATTTATGCAACTATGGTTGTATTTCCATTCAGCGATTCCTCAGGAAGAGATCATCATAATTCTTGTGCATTCTTCCCAACTCTCACTTCTTGCCAGCCCCACAATCCAAGTGCTTTGCAACTAGTTTTCAAGTACAAGGTTTTTGTTGAAATTGATAAAAAGAAAAGAAAAAGGGATAAACATTTTTAAGCCAATTCTGAGTTAATGTGTTCTAAAAAGTGAGTTAAAGTTAAAAGTAAAGGAAATGATTGGCCTGGTAGACAAGAAATTGAGATTCTTTTCTCATTAACATATCTGTGGACTTGATTAAGGAAGTTATCTTCTCTGAATCTTGTCCTCTTACCTCAAGTAAGATGAGAACTTGACTAGGTAGTCTCTAAGGGTCTGTTTAATTCTAAGATGCTCTTATTTTAGAAAAAAAAATGCCAGCTACATAAGAAATGGTCAACTACTCAGAGGCATGACCTAATTTTTAAGCAAATGCACATGAAGATTATTATGCATATTCAGTGAGAGATGCAAATTAATGCAGGAAGCATTTTAGAAGATAAATATACTTAAGGTGGATTATTGGTCTCATAAACCTTAATCAATTGCATTCACATCAACATAGCATGATACAAACGTATGATCCAGAATCCGAATTACTTTTCCCAAGAGCCCTATGGGGTATCTATTGATAACCATATGTTTATGTTTTATGAGCTATCTTAGGCAGAAAGAGAAAAAGGATGCCCAGTACTCAGTACTTTACATTAATTTATAAATTTCTTGCTCTCTATTTGCAAAAATAAAAGTATAGCCCACAGCAGATACCTCTCAGTATATCAGATTTTGCTAGTTGAACATTACCTAACTTTTCTGTGGCACATTCTACTCATCATTACTTCTTGTTTGTCATTCAAAATGTTTTTCCTCTTATGGAAATACATAAGCCACAAGCTGGAAGACTGATGTGACCCCAGAAAAGTTATTGTGTAAAGTAATCTCTTATTAGAAACTCATTTTTTATTTCGCTTCACATTAGCGAGTTCCTTATCCTCTTCTACCACGTTTTCCTCATACTGCCAGTTAATGTAGTATCATAAATTGCTCTGCCTCAATGGCTAAAAAAGAGGGAAGGACATTGTGTCTACTAAGCAGTCCTGTCATGACAAATTGTAAAGTGTTGGTGACAAGAACCAGTTAAGTTCCCTTTTATGTCTTTTTCTCTTGACTCTTCCTATGGAACCTAAGAAAAAGCCAACACTTTAAAGTACTTTTGTAATTGGGAACAAGAAAAGCTGTAATTTTCTTAAAAATAAATTCATGATAGTTTAAGACTTAATTCAAATATGGAAACCATATAGGTGACGAGTTCTCTTCCTTTGGTTGAAAATCCTATGGGGCAATCTATCTAAAATAATTATTTCCCTTAGACTTGAAACCTTCAAAAGCAGGTGCTTTTCTCCAGAATCTTAATTCCCCAAACTCTTATGCCATTATCCAGGAGCTCTATGAAGATATTAGTGCAAGTTGAAATAAGTTTTGATTATTTTGAAAAATAAAGGCCATATTCACAACACACATAATATTTTATATAATCAATTTTAACTGATCACAATGTGTGATAGTTACAAACTTTACACTGTTTAACATAACAACTTGAGCAATTAAATCACATTCAGTTTAATTGCATGGAGGCAGCATGGTATAGTGTTTATAAGCATGGATGTAGAGACTGGATGCTTGACACAAATTGTGGTTTGGGCATGTACTAAGTGACGTGGCATATATTCCCACTCTAAGCCTCAGCTCGTGTCTGTAAAATGGGGATAAAAACAATGCTCAGCACACAGGATTGGTTTGAGTATTGACTAAGACTCCTGCTTCTTCTTACTCGTTTGTTGGTAAGTGAGATGACGAGTCTTCATTTGCCATACTGACCAACCTAAATCCCTTTGGCATTCTCTAAACTCTGCTGTCCCTACTTTTTTGCTGATGCATTTGGTCACTTGAGAAATGTTAAGTTTATATTCTTGTTATGTAAATCTGCAGTAACTATAGTACCTATAAGCATTGTACTCTTCTGGTGTAAAACTGGCCCTAAACAGACACAAAATGTTTCATATTTTCATGTGATTTAATGGAATTGAGCCCAATTATTTAATATCAATTACTAAATTGTTTTGTATTTAAAGTAAAATTATTTTTATGACCGTAATATGACTAAGTAGAAAGAGATATGTTATAACATGATTTGTTTATAAGACTTTTTTTTCTATTCTCCACACTCTAATAACATAGTCTGTCAAGAAATCTTTAAATATGTGTTTTTTTAAAAGAATTCATATATTTGCAGTATTTGATTAAAAAGCATAAACAATTTATTTTCTGGAGCAAAACAACCATAGTTGAAATTAACTTTGAGATATCTTAAATATCTTAGATAAAGTAAGATATATACAAGTAACAGTATTTTCTATTTGGTCCACTTATACTATGAATTCCTAAATCATGGCTTATTTCTCAAATTGCCTCCCATGTTCTCTTTCTTAGAATATTACACTAATTTAAAGTGGTGCCATGTAATCAGGTATTATACCAAAGGGCTCTCTTTCTTGCTGCTATCCTACTGGAAGCATACTTTCTGTCAGGAAATCATAGATGCTTGCTTAGTTTAATTTCATGCAATAGCAGCATGCTTCTTTCTGATTTCTGTTGGCCAAATATTTATTTTGAGTCATTTAAAATTCTGAAAAAAAATACCTTCTGCTTCTATTTGAAACCATTCCAACATCAACTGCAGTTGTATTTGGGTCTCAGTTCTCCATAAGAGGTCTTAACAGATGATCCCACAAATTCTTTTTCAGTTCTACAGAGGAACAATGTTCAGGGTTTCCTAGGATAGGGTTGCTAGACTTATTAAATAGAAATGCAGATGTTATGTTAAATTTTAATTTCAGATAAACAATGGATAATTATTTTGTGTAAATGTGTCATACAAAGTGGCATCCTAAAATATAATTATCTGAAATTAAAATGTAACTGGATGTCCTGTATTTTATCCAGCAACTGTATTCTAGGTTGATGAGAGTAGATTGATAAGATGAATCATAAACAACAAACAAAAAGTTGGAATACTGAAATACTTGCTATAAGAATTTAATAAAATTCTACAAATACATTTAAGGCATAAAAACATTAATCATACAAATATTGCTTAAATTAGAATAAAATATATAAAGTAGACCAGTGTTCCTTGAATAGATGGCATAAAATTCAACAGTAAATAGTTGTGTTAAGCAGAATAAGGGCCTCCCAAAGATGTGAACATTCTAATCACCAGAACCTGTGAATATAATATATTAAATGTCAAAAAGGAATTAAAGTAATAGATGGAATCAAGGCTGCTAATCAACTGACCTTAAAATAAGGAGGTTATCCTAAATTATCCGGTTGTGTCTCAGATATGGAAGAGGGAGGCAGAAGAGTCAGTAGTGCGACCTGAGAAAGACTCAACTTGTCATTGCTGGCTTTGAAGATGGAAGGGGCCATGAGCCAAGGAATGCAGAAAACAGCCTCTAAAAGATGAAAAAGGTGAGAACACAGGTTCCGCTCTAAGGCCTCCAAAAGCAATGCAATCTTGCTGCTAATTTGATTTTAGCCAAGTGAGACCCATTTGGAGCCAAGTTTTGACTCCAAAACTGCAGGGCAGTGACTTTGTGTTGTTTTAGGCTGCTGAGTTTCTGGTAATTTTGTTATAACAGCAATAGGAAACTTATACAGTAAGTAAATACTGTGTACATTATTGATTTAGATGACTTTTTGTATAATTTTCTACTGTTTTTAGACATGACATACAATCCCTTAAGATTATCTTATAATAATAATGATGATTTTAAAAATGTGTTTAATCTTAAACATTTTTCAAAGGATATGAATGTACAATTTGAAACATGGCATATTAAGCTGATATACTATGCATTAAGCATCCTAATTCACATTTGATCATGTGTATAGTAAATGAAGATATATAACTTTGAAGAAAATTTGCAAACCAATTTCAATTATGATATATGATGAAATTAAGATATAGCCATTGCAAAAACAAAAGAACAAAATCCAAAATACAAGTCAAATGAAAGTTGTATATTTTACATACCCCCCAACACACACATTTATATCAGATACTCGTGTGATAAATATGGGAGACCTTCATATAATAATTTTAAAGAAACAAATAGATTATAAGGATTGCAATATGTAATTATAATAATTTAGTAAGTGTACTATTGCTAGTACAATACAAGTTGAGTTTGCTAGCTCATTTTTAAACTCTAGAAATAAATTCCTATCAAACATTCAATGTAATACTAAAAAATTCTTAGAATTTGGTTGATACAGAAATATTAACCCCTCCAAATAATATTTAGAATTTTAATTAGTACAATGAGAATGGTAATGAACAATGCCTAGAGATATACATTTTTATCTAAAATGTATTATCTAAATATATATTCTTATTCATCTCTATATACAGTTTTTATTTAATTTTATAAGCATTGATATTTTCTTGGGTGTAAAATGTTTTAAAGTCATATTCAAAGTTCCTCTTGCCGTGTGTTATCTTCCTGTATTCCTGATCTTATATAGTTTTGCATTCTCTGTCCTCAAGGTGTTGAGTAAAAGCTTAGAGAAAGAGAAGAATACACATGCTAATGCATACTTTGACCACAGTTATACAAAGATCATTTCATAAATATTCACCCATTTTTCTGATAGTAAAACAGTTTCATGGAATTTGTGAGTTGTAAAACAGGGATTTAAATGCAAGTTTGGTTTTGAAGCCTAATGTCTCCAAAGTCCAAATTGTTTAAGCCATACCCACTGCTTCATTTTAAGCATTCACTACAGCTTTATTGAACTAGGCTCCTATAAAACCACATAGAAATTGGATGCATCGTCCTTCACATGGAGTAATATCAGATTTCTTGTTGGTATCCCAATTGCAAGTCAATGAGAGAAACAAAAACAGATGGACCACAACTCCAGCATCTGCGGACTTGCTGGGGCTATTTAAGTCACTAAATGCTCATCTCCATAGGCACTGGGATACTTATTTTCCTCATCTCTGTGTTTCCTGTACCCAGCACTGTGCTTGACAATATAATAGGTAAGCAGGACATTTTATTTGAAGAAATGAACAAATGCATGATTGCACAAATGAGGCTGACTCTGTTCTCTCTACTTTGTTTCTTTTTAGAACCTGATGATTAAAATTTTGTTCTTGAAACACCTAAAAAGAACTCCGATAAAAAGCTACATGTAGGCAGTTTTCATTTATGAAGAGAGAGTAATTCAGTGTTTGGTAGTATACACCTCTGATTATAATCAATTTGGAATCAGTATTTAATCTATTTAGGCTGATGGAGAATTAATATAGACAAACAGGTCTCTAAGTCCTCCTTCTCTTACTACCCATGTTCTCAGTATTTCTAATCTCTCTTTATTTCATAACCTAAAAAACAGGTTTCACTTGACTTCAGTCCTACTTACCTAAGTATAAAAGTAAGGAGAGAGGTGATAATGAAGGGAAATGTATGCTGTGTCAACATGATGATAACAGACAGTAGAGCAACCGGAAGTGGAAAATAAGCTGACATTGTGCTGATGGTGTTAGCCAAGACTGGAAAGTGGCTATGTATACAAGTTTCTTCCAGTTGCATAGTGCAGATTTGCTAGTGCCCACTGAACTTCCTAAGAAGTCCTGGTTTAAGAAATATACTAACATTAGGTAGAGCCAGTGATGGAAATGAAAGCTATCTAGTTTAACTATCCTGAGTTTCACCAGCCTTTGGTGAAATATCCGTGTAGTGTTTGCTGTTTTTATCACTACACATGCTTGTCCTGGGATTCTTAAAAAAAAAATACCCGAAGGGTCAGGTAAGAAGACCACACACATTCATTCTAAACAATATGATCTTACTGCAGGTTTTAAAGCATATGGATTTTAGAAATTGTTTCCATGACTCTTTTTTTTTAAAAACAAGAGCTTTATTTCTTAATTGACAGACTTTGGTACAACATATTAGACCAATTTTTAAAGACTTATTTTTAAAAGCCTACAGAGAAAATAATTCCATTGTCTGAAACATACAGGTATCCAGAAAAGTGGTAATGATAGGAAAACTCTAGGCTTTTTATAGTTGACATTTTGAAACAAAAGGATATATTGGCTCTGCCATTTGTAGCTTTTGGTGTTGTGGTCCATGAAAATAATGGTCTGTCTTCAATCTATCAAGTCACAGACAATGAGCTATAATCTGGCTTTTGTTGGTGTCTGAATTTTTTCCTGCCTAAGAGATGGCCCCAGTAACAGCACCTATTTCCAGGGCAGTTCCCTTCCTGATGGAATAAAGACATTTTGGAGTGGAATAAACTCCAGCAGGTGTAGCAATTCCAAGTCATTCATCTCAGCACTATTCCCAAATCTTTCCATTCAACCTTATATGCATGGTTTGGATGGTCAGGATAAACATTTTCTTATTCTTTGATTTTGCTTTTGAAGGAGTGCTGAGGCAGCCTGGAAATGTCCAAAGCCTCTTATACCTGTGTTTCAGCTGTAGATTATGATGTCTGTGGAGTTTGTATCCCAAGCTGGGGGCATCAGGCAGAGTCACAGCCTAGGATTTGGAGCACATACTGGATGGTTCCGTTTTATACCACAGAGGGATTGATGGTGTGAGCAATAACGGGGAGGCCACAAGAGGCTGCAGCACCATTTGTTGAGAGGTCAGGTGTCGAGAGTGTGGCTCAGACTGGCATACGGCACCTTGTTAACCATGTTCTCCTACCAGGAAATATGGGATCTCATTTGAATCAGACTATCAGGGAATAATATGGAGGTCTGTTCTGAGCCTATAGGGAATCTGCACAAAGTAGCCACCAGCACAGTTAATAATGGGATTGCCTGGGAACTCTCTCTTTCCAGCCATAGCTGAATATACCAGTTGATCAGGTCAATCTTATTCTCTAACTTCCTCTGGGGAGGTATACAGTGAGTCTGGGGAGGTATACACAATGGCCAATTTTCATCCTCTCTGCTGGGGGAGAAGGGAAACAGATCTGAATTGCTATGTTTCTCTCCTCCAATACTGGTTATTAATCTATAAGCAGAAAATGCCTTTCTTAACTTTTTGTTTCCATAGAGTTATCAAGATCCTTAATTTTGAGACTCAGCTTCCTACACCGGCTAATTCTCTGCCTTTTCAGGACTTAAAAGTTTGTTTTAACTCAGTTTTCTATGTGTTCAACTTTCCTTTAGATCCAACCCCACATATGATTTTGCAACTAATTTATTTTACTTTTATTTTTTCTTTGGCCTTTTTGGCATTCTTATGAACTTTATAACTCACAGCCAAACTCTAGAGATTTCCCATTGGATCTCTCATCACTTTAACACTTAGAGTTTTACCAAATTGGCTGAAGAATTATTTCCAGCAGTAACCATACATATTTTCTCGACAGTTTTCTAAATTTACATTGGTGCATGCCTTGGCCTTTGTGCCACATTTAAATTCCCACTTTTCCTAGTACTTGTTCTGATTAACACACTGTTAACACAGTCATTCATTGAAGCACATGCTCTTCATCTCCTTGGTGGTAACTTTCCTCTGGTAACTAGCCTTATGATAACTTGCCTTCAATGGAATAAAAGACATAACCCATAGAGTCACCCTCATCACAATTGGCCTTGGAGGGAAGAATGATTTGAAAACCACAAGAGGTATATAAAATTGCCATGTTGTCTATAGATTTGTTGAGGATGTTTTTATTCTAAAATTCTCAAGGAGATGTATTGCTGAGATGATATAATTCAAATTAACTTTCCTTCAGTCATGTCAAAGTTCATTATATTTATGACTTACTCAGGCTCAGCAGCTGTTGGAATTTGATATAGGTGTAAACCAGAAGTGGTGGGTGATCATACCATAGCAGACCATAATAAACAGCACAGCCCTGAAATTTTCACTGAGCTTCGTCTTAGTGAGTCTCCCAACTACGTGAAGACCATGGGATAGCTGCTACTGGCAGTACTGATCTCCCTACAACCCACTACCTGCTTATAGATATCTCCATAGAGAAAAAGAAAAGGCAGACTTCTCAATATGTAGATGAGTATGAATTGTAAGAATATCTTCAGATGGCTTCTTACCTGTCTGCTTCACCAACACACTTTGACCATGACTATGTAAGAGCCAGGTTTGGAGGATGTGGCGCTAATGAGTCCAAGGCCACTGATTAAATCTCCATGTAGCTCTATTGCAAGCCCTCAAGCTAGTTATCTCTAAAGACTTACTTCTAATTTTGGTCAAAATATTTCACAAATATGTGCCAATGTCACATGGAGGGCAGTGAAGGAATATGTGCAGAGTACAGTGTCAGCACTGAGAGAGCTCTTAAAAGACACTGAGTCCAATTACTCACTAAAAAGTGATGCTAACCAATGCATCAGTTCAGATGATGCCTAAATGCCTCCAGTAACTAGAAGCTCTTTATCTTCCAAGCTAATGTATAACATAGTTGGCCATAAAAAATTCTAACCCTCTTCCACGTGGCAATCAATCAATTCTTTACATATTTGAGGGTAGCCACCATGGTTCTTTGAAATTTATTTTCACTTTAAACATGCTTATTTCCTTCAAAAGTCCTTCAGATATTCTGGTTTTTTCCATTTTAAATGTTCAATAAATCCCTCTTGAAATCTTTGACAAGAATGAAGCAGAGTATGCCAAGAGATATTGGACTAGCACAGGTCAGTTCTCTCAGGGAACTAGATTAGATAGATCTCTTAATGAATACTACGATCACATCACATCATCTTTTATTTGGAAGCCATATCAACTCTTAAATCATATTGAGTTCATTTTTTTTTTTTTTTTGCTAAAACCTATGTGTCTTTAAAGTGTACTTCTGCTGAGCCATGGATAGTGTCCAGTGTCATTTGTATACTTTTTTAAAGCTCATAAAATATTGCTGTATTATTTAGGGAAGAACTTAGAAGAGTCTTCTTTCTGCCAAAAGAAATGTGCAGCTATAGATTAAAAGCATGCCGCAACTTTGTGATCATGTTGGGAATACCTCATTCATATCCTTCCCAGAGGGAACTCAGTATTGCTACAGGTGCATGTCATCTGGACTTGCAGACAATTTTACCTTTCTTTCTAATAGACATCATGTGTGCATGTGTGTGTATGTGCTTAAAGCTTCCTCTTCTGGTATTGCCGGAATGACAACAATGGGAATAATTGTCCTATTTTTCAGATCTTATTTGCATCTATGAAGTTCTATTTCTCACCTGTTATCATCACAATTTTATTTTATTTATTACCTATGTCCTATGTGTAGAGGTGTCTGAGGTCATTTAGGACTTTTCCTGCCCATTTCTCCAATATTTTCTCCTAAATGTCTAGGTATCATGATGAACTGTGCAATCAGATGGTCCTGATTTCAAATTTTATCTCTATCATTTGCTAGCTCTGAGAATTTTAGCAAGATTTAAATCAATTAAGCCTCATTTTAAAAAATCTGTGTAATTGGAGGTGATAATTACCTACCTCAAAGGGATACTGGGGCATTGAATCAGATACCTTCAAGTGCCTGGGATATAGTAATCATTCACTGATTTGTAATAATACTTTTATTATTACTTTGTTTTAATGTGCTTTCTACAGTGTATTTGTCTTCATAATGTGCTCAATTTGTAATTTATTTCACAACTGAATGTGGGCTTTTATTCATCACTCCTCTCCACGTTCAATTTATTTATGTGCGTATCAGCCATTACCTGGACAAATATATAGTTTCTGAATCTCAAAAATAATGACCTTTATTGCCTCAAGTGTCTGTCTTTCTGGTGTCATAAGCCACATCCCAGAAGTCAAAATTCCACTATGTGATATTAGCTATGAAGCCAACCATTCTCTTGCAGCAATAACCTACCTATTTCGATATTTTAACCATATTGAAAATTTAACACTTTTTGGAAGAAAAAGGTGTTAAAAATGTTTATCCTAAAATATTCACTTTTCTGCCCCTGTCTTCAGAGTTCCAATATGCTTTTCAAATTTATTCTGGGCATCATTTGTCCCTCTTGCTCCCAGGAATAATTAGGAAACAGTAGCAATTAGCAAATGTAAGTGACTGCATCCAAGTATATGTTATGGAGAGACAACCTTTTTGTAAATCACCTGGGTCAGATCTGTGTAGAACCACTCCTGGTGATGCCCTCCATTTATAATTACGTTGGTACTTGCAAACACAGTTGCTGTCTGACATGGATCTACTAACAGTACTGATTTATGAAGTGTGACAGAGCTTCATATATTTTATGCCATTCTAGGATTGAAAAGTTCCTCTAAACTCTTCCTTATATACGTCATTCATTCTTCAAAACACATGCTAGATTATTTATTTGAGAGGCAACCCAGTTTTCCTAACTAATTTACCTTTCAACTCTTATTAGATGGCTGTGCTTGACAATTATAAGTATAAATGTTTGGAAGGATCATTTATAACACATTTATTGCTTCTGCTGAAATAAGCTTTTCTCTAAATATTACTGAAAAATACAACAAATAATTTTACTGCACTAAAACAAATCTCATTCATTTATTGTTGCCATGGTTGGAATGTTTGTCACCTCCAAAACTCATGTTGAGATTTAATTGCCAAAGTAACAGTATTGGGATGTGGGGCCTCATGGGAGGTGTTTAGGTCATGAGGTTCCATCCTCATGAATGGAGGAATATCATTTTTAAATGGGCTTTTAGGAATGGGCTCTCTCTTTTGTCATTCTACTTTCTACCATGTGATGACACAGCAAGAGGGCCTTTACAAGATAACAGCTCTTTGATCTTGGATTTTTCAGCCCCCCAGAACTGTGAGAAATCAATGTGTGTTTGCGTGTGTGTGTGTGTGTGTGCCAGTGTGTGTGTGTTTTGATAAATTACCCAGTCTGTGGTATTCTATTATAGCAACACAAAACAAACTGAGATAATAATATACAAAAATATAATATACAAAGGTATAAAAATGTAATTTAGGCCAGAAGCTGAAGTTGGAGGTGTAGATTACTTCTTCAATCATAATTAATGAATACTCTATGATGAGGGTTTATTGAACATCTTCACTTGTTGACGTTCTATACTTGTCCTGCCAGTGCAGGTACTTACTCATTACTTTGAGTAAAACAGTGGAAACATAGAGGGTTTCGAAATGAACAGAGGGGATGGGGAGAGAGAGAACCCAGACCCCAGAGATGATTGGACTAATAGAAATGGAGTTGTTGTTGAACAGACTGAAGTCATGGAAAACTTGGGGGAGGGCCATACAGGGAATTAGGGTTGAAGATGAGGTGTTAGGGGGTATTTAGGGCCAAGTTGCTCTAAAAGAATAGACAAGCTCGAAAAAGAAGGAATTGTTAATAAGAGCAGATGTTCCATTCAGGCCCTGGGCTGCGGACCTTCATCAAAGGGAAGTTGATACTTTAATGTTGCCAATAGTGAAAGGCAAATACAAATTAGATTTCAGAGAAAGAGAAGACTTCAGGAGTTTAGACAGAAAAAAGTACCAGTAAAGAATCAATTATTAAAGCTCTACTTTTTGCAATTTGGCAATATGGATAAATTCACCCAAAGAAATTATAATTTATTACAGGTCATAGTTATGCTAATAACAAACTCTAATTGATTGTAGATGAGAAAAATGATATATTTGTAGCCAATATTTGTTAAGTAATTACTAAGTGCCAGACACTGCTGTTCATGACACAAGTTCATCCTCACACTGACACCATAAGACGTGCTATTTTTATTCAATTTTATAAATGAGATAGATAAATTGACATCTCCAGAAAGGAGGTGATTTGCCTGAGGTCACAAAGATAGGTGAGTGACAGAGCTGGGATTTGAAGACATGCTGTCTGGCTTCTGACATCATTTCTTTATCAGAAAGCATATTGCCACAAGAAAATTACTTGCGGAAAGTAAAAGTAGGAGGACCACTTATTTGGCTGTAGGTGATTTGGAAGGCTTCATTGAGAGCCTCTTTAGATTGCCACAAGAAAGCATATTGCCACGAGAAAATTACTTGCGGAAAGTAAAAGTAGGAGGACCACTTATTTGGCTGTAGGTGATTTGGAAGGCTTCATTGAGAGCCTCTTTAGATATGCCCTCTCCTTGCATATCTGTGACATATTTTGTATGCCCTGCCTATGTAATTTACTGCATTTTATTTTACATATCAGTTTGCATCTGTGTCTTCACCCCTAGATTGTTATTTCCTTGAAGGGAAGAGTTGCCTTTCAGTTACATACATATCCTGTTGCCTAGCAGAGGAAGCACAGAGAGAGGTTGAAGAAATGTTTCTTTTTTTCTTTTTCTTTTTTTTTTCTTTTGAGACAGAGTCTTACTCTGTTGCCCAGGCTAGAGTGCACTGGTGTGATCTCAGCTCTCGGCAACCTTTGTTTCCTGGGCTCAAGTGATTCTCGTGCTTCAGCCTCTCAAGTAGCTGGGGTTACAGGTGCGCACCACCATGCCTGGCTATTATTGTATTTTTAGTGGGGAAAGGGTTTTACCATGTTGGCCAGACTGGTCTCAAACTCCTGACCTCAAGTGATCTGCCCGCCTGGGCCTCTCAAGGTGCTGGGGAGGAAATGTTTATTGAATAAATTATTGAGGCTTAAATGATGAGTATAATTTTCAGAGGTGGGAAGGGGTTTTCTGGGAAAGAATAGTCCCTTCTGGAAGTTTGCAGTCAGAATAGGCAGTAGATCTAATGTCCACATCGTGAAGGTAAGAGTTTTGTAGGGAGTACATTTGAAAGAAGCATCATAAAGTCATGTAGGGAAAACCTAAATGCTCACTGATGGATGAGTGGATAAACAAAATGTGACATATATATGTGTGTGTGTGTAGATACACGTATGTCTACACACACACACACAATCATACGTGTGTATACACATATACGCAGTGGAATTTTATCCAGCCTTAAAAAAGAAGAAAAGCCTGCCATTTGCAACAATGTTAGATGAACCTGGAGGATACTATGCTAAGTGAAATAAGCCAGACACAGAAAGACAAATACTGTATGATCTCACTTATATGTGGAATAGAAAATAGTCAGACTGAAAGAAGCAGAGAGTAGCATGGTGGTTGACAGGGGCTAGGAGGAGGAGAGGAATGGGGAGACAGGGCAAAAGATGCGAAGTTTCAGTTATGCAAGATAAGTTCTTGACCCCTAATGTACAGCATGGTGAATATAGTTAGCAACACCTATTATATACTTGAAATTTTCTAAGAGCGTAGATCTTAAGTGTTCTCACCACAGGAATAAAAAAGAGAAAATATTAAATATGTTAGGTGATGGATATGTTAATTAGCTAAATTGCGGTGATCATTTCAAAACGTATATCTATATCAAGATGTCAAGTTTTACACCTTGAATATATGCAGTTTTTATTTGACAATTATACTTCAACAAGCTGTTCTTAAAAAGCAGATTAAAACTTCTAAAAATTATATAAAGCGGGGCAGGAGACATCTAGAAAGGGCAGACTGGACCTAAGGTTTGTTTACCTCAATTTTCCTTGTTAGGACTTTATTTACCTTCAACTATGTACAGGTAAAAGTAGTTTGCAGAGCAATTGCTCCTTTCTTGCTCCATTTAGTTTGGGGAACCTCAGTTCTTGTCCTAGATTCTGAGGAGTTCTCTGGCCACCACTTGTCTGAATTAGCCTTCATTGAGTAAGGACCATTTTTAGATTGGGGATGTGTAAATGGGGGCAAAACACTTATGAATTTATACATTCTGTAAGAAATCCATGGAAAGAGCTAAAGTCTGTCTATTCGAGAAGATACTTAAGGTATTAACTTGGGGCCATTCTAATTAGTGTTCATGTTAATTAGTGGTTAGATTTATTATAAGCCTACAGAATTAAGACACTAAAGTAAATTTGGGTGTTGCAAGAAGGAACGCAGAACTGTTGTGGTTTTTATATGTCTATAAGTCTGCTTATACACCAAATCCATTTTAGTCCTAGTGAAGGTTTGCTTGCATCCGTCAATATGTAGCCTAATTGGTGACAAGAATTGCTTCTTCTGTTCACTATTCCACTTTGAACACTTGAAACTGAAGAATGACTCCAACTGTGCAATTGAAGCCCTCCATTTTTCCTTCTTGGAATGAAAAACCTCTATAACTTGGCTCCACTACCAGTTATTCATGCTTGTTAACTTGTGATTTTGATATTTTGTATTATAGTTAGTAATAAAAATTTAGTTATTTGGAAATTAGTGGGCAAGAAGCTCTTTTCCAGAGCACTGTTGTAAAATTTGGGGCACCCAATCATGATTATCCTGTGTAAACACTGGTAAATATGTTACTGGAAAAAATATTCAGGGGCAATCAATTAATGTCATATATTCATTTATTTTTATCACCAGCATATGTGATTTTAGCAGAAAAATTGAAAAATAACTGGTGCATTGATTGATTAAAGATGTAATTTTTAAAAACTTTTATTTTGGGTTCAGGGGCACATGTGCAGGTTTGTTATATAGGTAAATTGTGTGTCATGGGGGTTTGGTAGACAGATTATTTCACCACTCAGGTAATAGGCATAGTACCCAGTAGATAGGTTTTAAGTTCTCATTTTATATGTCTATTGATACATAAAAAATTAAAAGTCATCAGCAAAGTCATCAGTACACTGGCACCATACATACACATTATCACCATAAATGTAGAAAATAGGAAATAAATAAATCAGTAGAAAAAGTCCATGTTTTCAAGGAAGGACATTTTGACTTATAATAACAGATGAAACACTGAATTAATATGAGAATAGGAAACTAATAGTGAATTTTAAAATGTTTTCTTTTACATTTAATAAGGGGCTGTATCTTGTTAAAATGTAATATGCACATCTTGACTAGTCAGTCATTATAAAACATTTGATAATTATAAAGACATATGATTCTGTGAAAATAGAGTGTCTGTAAATCACGTGTACATTTCCAAAATGGCTTTTGAAAGTGTCTCACCCAGATATTATCAAACCAAACTCCATGAGAAAAATGAGATGGGCAATAAAAAGGAAAATATTAGTGAAGATAGACTGTTAGTGAAGGGGTAACAGAACAACCCCTAATTCTCAGTGGCTCGTAAGAACAGAAGTTATTTTTTGTTTGTTTTAATTCATGCAAAGACTGCGGTGAATTAGGAGACCTTCCAGAGCCACATCCTTCATGTGATCAATGGGCAATGAGAAATGCTTCCATCTGGAAGGTGAAAGCAGAGAGCTAGAGAATCAAACAGTGGCTCTTGAATGCCTCAGCCCGTAAGTGATAGATGCCACTTCTGCTCAGATGTCACTGGTGTGACCTAGCTACACAACTCCCCTGTCTACATGAGACCTGGGGAAGGAGGGCCTAATACACACTGCTATTTGGTGAGTGGCAACTATCTCTGTCATGGATGTTAACTTTATAAGAATTTTTTAATGTACAGACTATTTTAAAATTTTACTATATAATGCATATTTCTGAAGTACACATTAAGCTAAAAGATTTTAAACCTTTTTTTGTAAATATGCCAGATTTATGAATAAAGTACCACAATATCTGCTAACAACAGATTTGCTAACAACAATGAAACAATTGCTAACAACAATGAAAAAAAGGCTTGCCAGATTTTCCTAGCCTTCTAGTCCTGTGCTCATGTCAATATTTGATAATCCCAAACTAATCCTCATAAAATATAAGTAATTTGGATCTTCTGCTTTCGAAAGTTTGGTTTATGAAAGAAATACTAGTCTAATTAGTTACAGAAACAGTCTCATGTCTGATCAGGCTTTTCCAGAGATACAACTCATATTCATCTTATATTTGTGTACTCTGGCATGACTGCCTTCTCCATCTTGTCCCTCTCTTTGCTGTACTTTTGCTTTTTATTTTATTTTATTTTAATCATGTGAGCCTCATTCCCCCAGATCCAGATATGCTGCTGCTTGATGACAGGAGAAGATGAAGGCTAGCAATCCCAGATCATTTCCTCCTGTTTCAGTGACTCTAGTAGGAAGATAAATACTGTCTCCATTCCTGGAAATCACTTTGGTTGATCTTGTTTGAGTCTCATTCCCTAGCAGTGAACCAATCCCACTTGCCATAGGAATGAGGTCCTCATGAAAGGCTTGAGACTCATGATCATTCCTGTGCTGACATCCAGGAAGAGTCTTTGCTTAACAGCACCACTGGAACCAGCTGGAATATGGAGCACAGGACTGTTCCCATAGAAACAGAAAGGTCCCTTCAACCTATGTCTGTGGATCATGTTTAATAATTATGTCTACTCTTTTAACTCTGAGTCCATATTGGACACCCCAAATTATGTATTATAAAGTACACATCCAGTCAGCAGCATTTTTATGCCTCTAATTTTTAAAATGTTTTAAATAACCATTAAGGTGGAATTAAAAGCATTCTCAAGTCATTTACCAAGAATAAATCATAAGGAATAAGAACCAGAAGCTCTAGTTTGTACTATATAATTGTTTTAAAACACCAGGTATCTGCAGAGTTTTACTGAAACAATCTCAGTACATAAACCAATGTTTTCCTCTTCTGTAAATATTTTAGCAAACTTTCTTTTGAAGTCAAATGCAAATATTCATATTTTTCTCTAAAATTAGTATATTTTTGTATATAGCAGACACTTTTGTGGATTAGAGGGAGAACTAAGCAATCGGATCTATCTGTAACACTTTAAGCAGGTAGATTTGGAAACTTCTTTCTCCCCTCCTCCTGTAAACAGATCTTAGAGGGAGGCTTCTAAACTACATTTGTTTTGATTGTGCTGCCCTTGCATACCTCTCAAACATGCCACCATATATGTGGGTACTTAGCTTGTCACTGTAGAGATGGTGTAACATTAAAGGACAGGTAGCTGTTTGTCATTTTCTTCCATTCTCAAGTGATCACTAAATTACAAGTCTTTTTTTCTTTTTTATGTTTCATTCTTAGAATGAACATTTCTAGCCTTTGCATCCCAAACATTTAAAGACAACCTCACTTAGCCTTATAATGACAGGTTCTTCTCCATTAGGACCAAAAGTTTATATCTAATCCCAACAGGTCATATGGTAACTGTAATCAATCCAACCTTGCTGCTGGTTTTTGCTCTAAAAAAGTAAATCATATCAAGTTATCAAGCCCTGCAAACATTCTATGAGCACCTGTATCTACCAGGCATTGATCATTTCTGTAATAGGCACCCTGCCACTACACCCAGGTCCTTCTGGCTGATTAAAATCTGTACTGCTGACAGTTGGCCTGCCCAGACCTGCCCCGACTCTTCCTGGACCCCATTGACACTCATTCTCCCTTCTTGTAGCAGCCTTCATTGATAGTTATACTGTCAGACACCAACTGCCACCCTGCCTGAACCTGCTCTCTGACTTGAGATTTGGATCTCTTGAAGAGTTAGCTAAGTCTCTAGAACTTGTCCGGCCTGATTCAAAGTTTTCCCAAATCCCCAATGACAAGTATTTGCTCTTATTTAATGTTGTTTACTCACTGTTGTTTCTAAGAAATATTATCTCTGCCACTGTTGCTGACCTGTCAGCCTTCTCCCTTTTCTTCTATTGTCTTTTCCTCTTTCTTCTTCACTGACTGCCACTTTGCCAGTGCTTCTAAGGCTTCACATGGTTAACCAGTCTCAGTGCAGGTATCTTTTGGAGTCTTGGTTCTTCTCAGCTGGGATCATATGAGTAGTCTGATATGTGATGAACACATTTGTTTCCCCTTCCAACTATTTTTTGTTTGAAAATTCAGAAAATGTGATGGTTGAAAAAATCAACTGAAAAGTTGATTTTTGGGTAGCCAATGTTCAATGTGCCTCCATAATGAAGCCCTGCTCCTTTGACTATCCTTTGCCTTTTAAAAAATCATTTTCCACTTCTGTACTTAATTTTTAAAAATCTGTAGAATGGAAGTATTAGCATTTACTTTTGTAACTAGTTCTGCTGTAAAACGTAAGTAATTCATGCAGAAGTTTTGGAAATACACTCATAAAATACATGATATGAGTATGAAGTCTTACCATAATTCAAATAAGTACATTTATTATTGTATGTAAGCAGCATTTTAGAAAGCACTAAAAAATTATAAGAATAAAGGACTGTTCTAAAATAGTTTATAAAGGGTCAGAAAAAATAAACATGTGATTTGATAAACAAAGACTAAGGGAGAGCATAACAAATAGCAAATAGCTTAATGGTCTACAAAATAAGCAAACATTCATACTATGTTAATTTGACATTATTCAATTAAAAAGTCAAACCCCCTTTTGGTTGATACATTACCTCCTAATGTATATCATAATGCATTAAAAGCTATGTAAGGAAAACCTCTATAGATGACTAACAGAAGCTGAGCCTCTGCTGTATAATAATTGGTCACACTTATTCACATTTATTACTACATGCCAAACACCGTGCTGAGTATTTTTTACATATTAAACTTACTGAATATTTTAACTGAATATTTTTCATGCATTGTTTTCCTTCCTACTGTTCTTTTCCAAACATATTGTTCTGATCTCTGATCTTTCCTCTAAGTACCAGAGGTAGAGCTTAGTCCTCTGAGGAAGAATGCTGCCAACTGTGCCAGTTCTTATGGGGAGGTACATGAAACCCTTTAGGAGGATGACAGGAATTGAAGACCAGAAGCAAAAGTTGCTGTTGGGTTAAGGGTTGTTGCTGGGACTCTGGAAGGGAAAAATCCCTTCTCTCCTCCTGTCTTCCATCTCCCTCTAGCACCTTCTATTCGAAGAACAAAGCAGAAATCCAACTAACAAGAAGAAACCTGCAGATGGAACTTACAAAAGTGGAATTTATATAGAGAGTAGAATGGTGGTTACCAGAGGTTGAGGGGGCAGGGGAGAGAGGACAGGAAAAGGGGAAATGTTGATGAAAGGGCACAAAATTTCAGTAAGACAGGAGGACTAGGTTCTGGTGTTCTATTGTACAGCAAGGTGACTATAGTTAATAAGAATGTATTGTACATTTCAAAATGGCTGAAAGAGTGGACTTTAAATGTCTTCATCATAAAGAAATCATAAGTACTTGAGGTGATAAATATGTTAATTAGCCTGATTTGATCTTTCTACGTATATATGTATATACGCACATATCAAAACATCACGCCCCATAAATATATACAATTGTTGTTTTTAGTTTTATTTTTAATTAACAAAGTAATTGTATATATAGAATACAGTGTTATTAACTATAATTACCTTGCTGTGCAGTAAATCACTAGAACTTATGTCTCCAATCTAATTGACCAACATTTCCTTTTTCCCCATCCACCCACCTCCCCCCAGCCTCTGGTAACCACCATTCTACTCTCTACTTCTATGAGTTCTTTAGATTGTCTTCTATGACGTTTTTAAATTCCACGCATAAGTGAGATCAGATGATATTTTTCTCTCTGTGCCTGGCTCATTTAACTTAACATATCTCCCAGCTCATCCATGTTGTCACAAATAACAGACATTCCCTTTTTTTTAAAGGCCGAATAGTATTTCACTGTGTAGAAATACTCAAATGGAAACAACACTTAGGTTGACTATTGTGAATAATGCTTTAATGAACACGGGAGTGCAGACATCCCTTCATCATACCGATGTCATTTTCTTTGGGTCTATACCTAGTAGTAAGATTGTTGGATCATACGATAATTCTAGTTTTTTTTTTTTTGGAGGAACCTCTATACTATTTTCCAAAATGGTTTTACTAATTTACAATATCACCAACAGTGAGTATAGAAGGGTTTCCTTTTCTACACATCCTTGCCAACATTTAAGCTCTTTCATCTTTTGATAATAGCTAATCTAACAGGTAGAAGGTGACATCTCATTGTGGTTTGTTAATTAAAAATAAAATAGAACCTTAAGAAAATAAAAAAAAAAATGTAGTTTGCAGACACTCTTCCCCCAGCACCACAAACAGAGTATATAGAAGAGTGGATTTGGAGAGATTCAAATTTGGAGAGGTTTGTTGAGAGACAACAACTTCATAAACGGAAAAGATAATAAATATGAATTCTGAGTAAATCTCTCATAGATTCTCCCAAATTTCACATCTGTTCTCCCAGGAATTTTTAAAAAATGTTACATATCTAGTAACAAAATAAATATGCATTTGTATTCTTGTCATGATATTTTATTTTATGCCAACAATAAATGTAGAAGAGATTCACTATAGGTCAATAACTTTGATTTCATCTAATTAACAAGTTACCTTCATCAGTTAATGCAAGATAAATACGTAATTTATGACCCATAATCAAATTTCACATAATGAAAGTCCTAATTTGACACATTAGCTACATTATGTCCATTAGAGCTTGTCTTTTACAGGTACTGCCAATGAAGCTTGAATATATTGGTAAAGCACAGGGCAGAAGTAAGGTGGAAAAAGTGAAGAAGTAAATTATGCTATAAAATATTTACCATCAACTGCCAGCTCATTAATCAGACAAAAGCAATAGAGACAGCCAACAGTACATGTCCCCCCACTTTTCTGGAGACTTACTGCCTCCTGTGTGAGTGAGTGTTTTCTGTAGAGCCGTTTTCAGTTGTCTATGATGGTATGCCAGCAAGGGGCTTCCCATGCTATGGTCTATTAAAATGGTACCCTGGAAACCAGGTACTCTTGCAGAAAGCAGAATCTTCTGAGGCCCCCACTAATGGTCATGGGTCAAAGGCTAATACCCTTGCTTTTATGGTCCTGAGAAAGAGCTTATGCCTCTCTTTGGCCCTTAATACTATCTTCCTTTACTTGATCCCACACAGTTTATCATGCATGAGCAGTCAAGATGTTTCTTTTTTCCTTTCTTTATAAGAAACAGTTTTCTAGGTACAAATATACATCAGAACAATTGAGTTTCTTAAAGTACTTGCAGCTTCAATATGCAAAGCTGTCCCTCCGTATACACAGCTCTCCTATGTCTTTTGGTAATTTCCAAGAATTTTTATGGCTTCAGACCCCACCTCTCATCATGAAATTATCTAACCCTTGGAGACTTGTGTCTGAGTTCCTTAAGTTTCCAGAATCCATCCTTTTCTTCTCTAGGAGATATTTCAGGGTCAAGGGATTTCTTTGTCTTAGGCTTGATTTTCTAGCCCTCATCTAAAAATGTATTTCTGTTGCACTCCAATTATTCCCTTGCACTTTATGTTCCATTCAAGAAGCAAGAGGTCCCCACCTACACTCTACTGACAAATGCCCTTTAATGCTTGTCTTTCATGGCTGATCTACTGATGCCCATTTCTCCCTCCGTTTTATAATAGGGCACTCTCAGCATCATAGGTTACTACTGCCTATCATTTAAGACTCACATTTATACATCAGTACATACGGGTTTAACCCAACGTTGCAATGCAGCCCTTAAGTTTTACATTTACCATTTACAGAAAGATTGTAATGTATTCATAGGGGATAAAAACCATTCCATCTAGAATAATTTTAAGAGGTTAAACCAATTATTGGGTTGTTATAATGACAGAAATGGGGCAAGGACATCAACAGGCCAAGGAGAATGTCCAGGCAGGGCAGTTCCAACTGGGACCATCTAATATTATTTCGAATATATCTACATACACAGCCAGTCATTTGACAAGAATAGCCAGTGAATCCCTCTTTAGAAATTAGTAACTTCAGGCAGTTGCAGCTTAAAATGCCAAGTTAGATGTCAGAGTGCTAATGAAAATACCCTGAATTTTGGAGACAGACATACCCAGGTTTGAAGGATGGCCCTCCATCCACTGTTGTTGCTCCCAAGTTTCCTCATATTTAAATAGTTTTTAAGGCTTTTAAGAAAATTAATGAATTGGCAAATGTAAAGTTGAAAGCATAGTACAGTACACATTACTGTAATAATTAGTAGTATTTCTCATGTGTGCCCCCATCATCTTTCTGTAATCTGCTGCATCTTTTATTTTGGAGGGATGTTGGCTCTCTGGTACTCTGCATTCTATCCACACGCTGAAATTGGCTCATAATCACTATGCCCAACCCTTGCTATTTGTGTATGGTATTAAATATTAGCCTATTTCATACCTTCTCAATGATAACATTATTGCCCCCAAAGGGATTAAAATTGGTTATTTGCACAGCAGCAGCAAAAAAAAAAAAAAAATCCAAAACTCATTCTCTTATTATGAATAAAGCACAGATATGCATTCAGTACATAAAGAGGTATACAGTGCATGTATGCTGTTTAAATTTCACCTGTGGGGGGGAGATTAGGAAAATAATGTCTAAAAAGGCTTTTTTGTGAGGAACAATGTGAGAAATCAATTGAGAAACACTCAAGTGATTTAACTACATCACCCCAATTTCTCCTACAACCATCCTACTAGTTCTGCAACTGATTAGACAGGGAAGAACTTGTCCAAAGCCACCGAGTTATTGAGTGATAATCATAGTTTAAGTGCAACTGACCTCTGGATGATTTTACCTTCAAAGGGAGAGGTTGACAAATTAGATATTCTAGTAAAAAACGATGGCAAAAAACATGGTTCCAGTGAACATTTCCTCGTTCAGAAAAGTCTGTTAGCATCTAAGTGCAAGTGACAGATGTGTCTTGGTTTCACAGTAGTGGAACTATTGAAACCTTTGGCTCAAAAAAATCTGAGAACTTCTCTTCTAAAAGCACAAATGGAGCCATCAATACTTCTTGTCATAGAAGAATAAGGAAGACTGAGTTTTAGTTCTACCTGTGTCAGGAATGTGTGAAATGTCACTTAAGGTATGTAGACCTCATTTATCTAATCTATAAAATCTGCAGATTCTCTTTCGTTTCTTCCCTTTCCTTCTTTCCTTCCCTCCTACCTCCTTCCTTTCTTCCGTATATCCATCCTTCCTTCCACACTGTCTCCCTTTCTTCCTTCCTTCCTCCCTTTCTCTCTGTCCTTTCCTTTCTGCATTCCTTTTGTTTTTAGTAGCAAAAATTATTTCCAAAATAAAATCTCTCTGAAACTCTAAGTGTAAAATAGAAGAAACAGAGCTCAGAGAGTCAGAGTCCTATTTACTACCCCCACCCTAACATTCATCAAGTAGCTCAGGACTCTGGAGCCCTGTGGAATCCAGTTAGAAGACCACTGAATTCAGTCCCTTCAGTTTTGAAGTATTTGGCTTTGAGCTTCTACTCTGAAGTAGTTGTTTGAATCTACCAACAGTTACTGTGCAAACAATTTTATCAGCATGCACGTATGCCTAGTGAGATTGGATATTTTCGTTAGCCACCTTGCCAACAAATTTTTCTCATTACCCAAACACACACACATTTATGCATATTTAAATATGTGCTTAAGAAGCAGAAAGATATGAGTTAATGGATTCATTAACAATTGTCACATGAGTAGGCTGAGCTGATCTTTACACATTCGTTCTCAGTATAAGAATTTAACCAGATAGTTGCTGTCTTTACAAACAAAACTTTTGATACCCCTAATGATGAGGACCAGATGAAAAATAATAATTTAAAACTTGTTACTCAGCAGGCACTGTGTATTCATATACTCCCTTACCCAAACTGGAAATCCCAATTAGAATTCTACATTTAAGTTCCTGGGTAGTTGGTTTCTACTCCAAGTTCAGCTCAATATCAAAATTAGAATAAAAATGATAAAAGGCCTTGAGATCCTTCTGGATGTGTCACATCTTTTCTGATTGCTGTACTGTCATCATTGCAGTCTTCTCAGTAGCATCCCCCAATTAATGGATTTTAGTCTACTTACCTCATTTAGTTCTAAAATATTTGTGTCTTTCTTATTCTTGCTTGTATTTCTGGTCTGACTTTGCCAGTTAGGTAAGAGCAGATTTCAGCTTGCTGTGCTGGCTCTAACCCAACTTTCTCTTCTAAAATTTTCCATTAACTGACCTCTGTTTTGGAGCACACACGTTTTCAGATGCCTAACTTCATGCCATGGGACTGTCATATTCTTATTTTTTTCCTGACCTCTTAGCCTTGGACCTGGCTCTGTACCAGAACTGTTGCACAGTTTGCAAATGCTTCTATTATTAATAGGTCATATCCACTTGAAAGATTAAACAGTTATTTAATATGTAAGGGTTGCATTTTATTTGTTTAATTGATTTTTAATTTAATGTTTTTGGTATTATAAAGTCCATTAATAAGAGATCTTAGGAAATTATTTTGCTTTGAACTTAATTGAACATATTCACGAGCAGTCATCTATTTTAACCAAGTATATAGTATTTTCCAATGTTCAGTTTTCTTCAAAGGGAATGTATTTTGTACACTCTTAGGCGTTGTATTTTGTGATTTTAGTAAACTAAGCCAGCAGAGTATCAATGTATTTTCAAGAAAAGTGCAATTTGAAATTCTGCATTTTTAACAGTGGCAGTGGCTATGGCATTCAAATGTACAATTCTATTTTTGAAGACTTGAAGTGTTTTGTTACTTTCTGTCTTTGTGTGTGTGTGTAATGTATGCAGAAATGTACTAGGAGCTCTTTGAAATAAAAAGAAAATAAGTAGAGTGTCAAAGATTTACCTGTCTTCCTCAAGCATTTTCTAAGTGCTTGCAATCAGTTACTATGCTTCTTCTCTGGGCTCATATTTTACTGTTTTTGTTTATTTAAAGAGATAAAAATATAAATGATTAACATCAAGACTTGAATTTTTGGATGTCTTTATCATGTCATAGATGATAGGGCTCCTAAAGCTACCTGAAAATCATTAGAATTAAGTGTATGACTGACAACCTGCGTGTGGTTTGCAGACATTCTCTAAGATTGTTTGAAATGATGTTTTGTTTACATAATAGTAAGTAGTGTGTGCATCTATTTGAGCTAATGGTGATATTGCAACTTTAAAAAATGGTGACAATTTACACTACTTGCATCAGAAGAGTTGTTAGTGTGTGAGAATTACAGTCATGCTGCTGTCTCCCTACAGACTCTAAACCAATTGCACAATTAATATGGAGGTATAAATGAATGAGAAAATGGTCATCTTCATTACTGGTAAATATGTGATGGAAAGTAGAGCTTGGATTAGAGAGCTGAACTCTGGCTTCCTAATACCCCATGCTTCCCCAGTGGCCATGAGTGTGATTCTTGAGACTCATTATCAGAGAGAGGAAGCAGCTCCGCAGAGCTGTGACTTCCCCTGCCAGTCATGCCAGGGAAGCTGCTCCTCATGACAGCCTTCTACAGCCAGCTGATCCCAAAAACATAAACTTGGCAGGGCTGAGTTACGCATTCCTAGTGCCTTTGTCTAATCTTACTGATCAGATAAATTACTCCCCCTTCCAGAGGGAACCATATAGATGTCTGGGTAAAAGACAGATTAGGGAGAACTGCATATAGAGTTGGTAGTTGAAAACTCTAGGGTAGCCATTATTATTCCAACTTAGAAAATGAAAAAGCACCCTGATAGAGGTCAGGGACTCTGTCAAGGTCACAGAGCTAGTCACTGATGGAGCAAAGCTTCACATGTTCTACTTAGGGAGGCTGCGTTAGTCAAAGGTAGCGCAGCTGTAGACCTGTGCTATTGCATACAGCTACTCATTTTCTTCTCACATAGTGGTTGCCATAGAATTTTCAACAGCTCAGTCCCATCTTGTGTTAAAATCTGTTCTTCCGGGAAAGATGATCATTGCTCCATTAGCACATCCCTATTAATCTTTTGGTACATGCTACTCTCTTCTCTGTCTGAGAGAAACTTCACTCAATTTCTTCGAGCCAGAACCGCCTAAGCCTCATGGTCACTGTCCTCTGCTCTGCTTCTTCGCTCTAACTCTGCCCTCTCTCACCACATGTGAGATACTCTGTGCTCTGTATCTGGACAGTGACCCCAGTCTCTCCTGCTGTTAGTCCTGCTGTTGCATTTTGTAACATAGCCCTGCTTTCTTAAAGCTGGATGCTTTCTACCCTCTATTTTCCACTTTGAATAGATTAAGATCAATTAAGATTATTAACCATAAAAAGGGAAAGGGGATTCCATAGTGGAGCAGTTTTACTAGATGAAAATGTTTTATCCACTCTGTTCTCTAATAAAAACAAACAAAGCTCAACAAAACAAAGCTCAACAAACAAAAATTCTCAACTTTATCCAACAAAATCAATACACAAACAAACTTTCCCAATGCTTTCTTCCCTTCGCACATGTGCTGGTGCCCATACTGATATGTTTTACATTCACCCTAGGAAAAATAATTTAATGGACTTGGAGAGGCTTTCCAGGCAATATTCAAATGCATATATCATGTGTCGACTTGTGATTTCTGCTTATGTTACCATTTTGATTGTCTATCACCTCTGCCAAGGAAAAGAGGTCCATCTGACAGAATTACTTAATTTTGAAATCTATATATAAGGAATACCTATCTATAAAGCTATTTACATCTTTATCTGTTAACTCAGTGATTCCAAAATAATAAAAATACCTAAGTTCAAAATATGGGTTGAATCTTAATTCTTATGAAAACAATTCTATTTAGTTAAATGTTACCAGATAGTTACTGTGACCCAACTATATTAATAAAGAACTGGCTTGAGGTGAATTAGTAGGAACAAAGTTTCAGAGACAGAAAACCTGAGATGGAGGCCAGCTTTAACAATCACCCTGTGACCATGCCCTTGTGTAAGTCAGTAATTTCCTTTCTATCTTAAAGTTCTTCATGTATATAGTGTGAATAATAACACTGTACTCATTGATTGTGTTGGGATTAAATTAAGATAATGTAAAAATCTTAGTACAGTTCCTAGCACATAAACAGTTCCTTATAGGCCAGGTGCAGTGGCTCACACCTGTAATCCCAGCAATTTGTGAGGCTGAGGCAGGTGAATCACTTGAGTCCAGGAGTTTGAGACCAGCCTGGGCAACGTGGCGAAACCCCGTCTCTAAAAAAGATACAAAAATTATCCAGGCATGGTGGTGCATGCCTATAGTCCCAGCTACTTGGGAGGCTAAAGCAGGAGGATCATTTGAGCCCAGGAGGTTGCAGTAAGCTGAGATCGCACCACCGTACTCCAGCCTAGGTGACAGACTGAGACCCTGCCTCAAAGAAAAATAAAAGTTATTCAGAAATGTTAATTATGTAATCATTGAATTTTTAAGGCTTGTGGGAATTGAGCATAATTGATACTATGCAATGAAAGAAGGGATGGCTTTTTTATTATTCTTCTCTGAAGTCCACTTTCCTATTTAGATACTGATTCAAACAAATAAATGAGGAAACAGGTCTTGTGGAAATATATATGATCTGTATGAATGATTAAAATATTCTGAAATTTATTGAAGGCTAGACAGGAAACAGTGAGATCCTTTCCACATCCACAGATTCATTATTTTCTTATATTGCTAAAGTTATTTCCAAATATTATCTCATTTATTCTTTCAACAGCCTTTCCTATTGTTAACATGGTTTTACAAACATGACACCTGTGGCTAAGAAAGATAAAATAAATTGGCTAAAGGTTCACAGAAGCTATAAGAAAAGAATCAGGAGAATTCACATGGTCTTTGTTTCCCATTCATTGTTGTTTGTATGAGGCCCCATTACTTCTAACGGTATGAAAATTTGTAAAATTTGTTAAGTTCTGTACATTTACATTTGCATACTTATAAAATGCAAGCACTGTAAATTTGTGAATAATCTTTTTCTTAAACTGAAGTTCTTTGAAAAAGCACATAAAGTTTTTATGAAAATGTAAATGACAAAAACAATATCCATTTCATTGTAGTTCCCTGTAAAATGAAGATAATAGACACACTATTTTAAAACGCTTTTGTTTTTGAACATTTGTAATAGTCCTGGATTAAGTTTCATTAAAATAAAAGAAGATGGGCTACATTGAGAAAATTGTCTAGGGTCTATGGAGAGGAAAATCATGTTTCTGTGAAATAGTATATAACTTCATGAAAGCCATAAGATGCTAGTAACGGTT
This sequence comes from Homo sapiens, assembly GCF_000001405.40. NCBI lineage: Eukaryota > Metazoa > Chordata > Mammalia > Primates > Hominidae > Homo > Homo sapiens. Next base: position 126,491,188 of record NC_000007.14, on the reverse strand, counting down.
GTAGAACAGTGCTTATTTTTGAAATTTCAAGATAAGCCAGTTTGGTTGGAAACATTCAACCTCAGACATCATGGTGGATAGGGTAATTATAGATTCAACAAACTTCACTGATCACTTGAAACATTCTTTCCAATGGTACATCATATAGAAGGTTTTCAATTCATTTTGGCTATTATTGACAAAATTACCATAAAAGGAGAAAGAGTATAAGTTTGGAGTTGAATGGTTCGAAAATAATACTCACATTCAGGATTCTGTAAAGAATTTACTATGCCTTGGACATATTACTTAACCTCTTTAAATTACCTTTTCCAATTTTTAAAATGGGAGGCTACTAGGATTATTCTAGAATTAGAGATCACCTATATGAAAAGTCTACAATGTAGTGTAAGCTGCATAAAAGACGGTGATTGTCTGAGTTTTCCTGAAAGCAGAAGTCTGAGACATAGACATGCATGCAGGCAGTTTATTTGGGAGGAAGAATCTGTGAGGAAACATTGTGACTGAAACAGGGGAGGCAGCAGAGGTGTGTAAGGGTGTGTCTAGAGTCCATGGGGCCTCCACTCTCCTAAGACCTCTGAAACATGGAGACCACCTCCTCTATATATCCATCTGAATAATAGGAGGCTAGAACGTTTGTCCATTGGCATAGTTCTTGTTCTCTAAGGATCTATTTCTTCTAACCTAATTTTAAAAGAAATGACACATGCTTATTAATACCCTTTTTTGTCAAGATGCTGTGATTATTGATTGCCAAAGCTCTCTAAGGCTAGTCTTTCCACTGTTAAGGCTTCAAGATTTTATAAACAAGATGGAAGGCTTTATTCAGCAGAATATGCTACCATTTTTAAGAGAACAGCAGTTGTCAGCATGCAGGGAATGTGCCCTTACCAAGGGCTTGTCTGAAATGAAGAGGTGGTCATATTAGAGAACTTGGATAAGAGGAGAAAGATGAAATAAACAAGACCCAAATGTTGGTAAGGGTAATGTATTAGCCAGAATTCTCCACAGAAACAGAACCAGTAGGCCGCAGATATAGATATGTAAGAGGAGATTTAGTATGGGAATTTGCATATGCAGTTATGGAAACTGAGAAGTCTCACCATCTGCTCTCTGCAAGCTTGAGAACCAGGAAAGCCAGTGGGCAATGGTGTCACTCCCAGTTGGAGGCTGAAGGCCTGAAAACTACAGGGGGGTTGGGAGTAACTGGTCTCAGAGTTCAAAGGCCCAAGAACCAGAAACTCTGATGTCTTGGCTCTGGTGGGGGAGGGGGAGGAATTTGTTCTTCCTTTGCGTCTTGGTTCTATTTGGGCCCTCACTGGATTGGATGCTGTCCACCTAAGTTGGTGAAGACAGATCTTCTTTATTCTGTCTACTGCTTTGCATGCTCATCTCTTCAGGAAACACACTCACTCACACACCAAGAAATAATGTTTTACCAGCTATCTGGGCATCCCTTAAGTCTAGTTAAGTTAACACATAAAAGTAATTATGACACATAACTTTCAGAGAAATTAAGGTTGCTGTGGATGAGGGTAAAACCTTAAAGGGAAAAAGAAAAGTCTAAAGATTTTTTACAAGATCTTTCTTTGTGGTATCCTGTATAAATCTGTAATACGTCTTCAAAGTCTTGTTTTTCTTTACACCTTTCAGATTTAGACTACTAATACCGGGTAATAAGGCGTCTTTGCTTTATGTGGATTATATATGAAATCTGTGCACACATAGTACTTTGCCAATATTCAAATCATCCTCTATGACAAGTACTGCATACCTCAAGGTACTTGGATTTAATTCTCAAAGATGTCTCCATTGTGTGTCTTTAGTTCTTTTAATTGTCATGCTGTGCATGTAGTTATGTTAATAGCTGATATTGATTTGCAGTTAATGTGCAGGACTCAGGGTAATAGCTATGCCAAAAGATTGCATTTGATTACTACATTGTTTCAAAAAAAAACTTTCTCATAAAATACGTCATTTAAATATCAGAACGGGGATAAGCATTTCACTGTTGCAGACATTGGGACTCAAATATGTTTTGTGGCTTCTCTAAATCCATGTGCTTCTTTAAGTCTATACTATGTGGACAGTTAAATTTAGATCTTCTATTTCCTAGCCTAGGTTTTTTCCACTATATATGGCTGCATTGTCATATTTGTATGCTTGAAATTATACACTGCTTTATAAATTGATATTCTATAATATATTAAGTATATATTTGATATATATTAGTTACCCAAAGTAGAAGACATGATAACATAATTTATAATATTAAATGTTTTCCCTACAAATACAATAGGGGCACATGTGTATTTGTGACCTACACTAAAAAATTAAGATTTATAAAATTCAAGATATTATCATCATTATCATATGCATAACTGTGCAGAATACTATAGCAAAGTCAGAAGAACTAAAAATCTTCACCTCTGGAAGTCTGACAATCTAGTTTGGAAGATAATTCTAATTCCCAAAGAAAAATCATAAATAGTATATAAGTGAGTACATATCCAATAGTATAGAAAATAGTTCAGAGATCTGGAATGGCGATGAATTGGACTGGCTCCTGGAAGATTGAATGATTTATATATTGTAAATATTGGGAAGAATGTGAAATTAGAAGATGAGAGGGGAAAAAGGTGTGTTTTACAAAAGTGAAAAAATCTGTTTTACTCAAGGTTATCAATAGAGTGGAACAAGATTGTGGATGGATGTTAGGTATAAGAATTTAGACTTGAGGCTTTTAGCATAACATTTTCCTGAGTGTGACCTGAACACATCCAGGATACCCAAAGACATTTTCAGGGACTGTGAAGAACGATGAACCCTATTTTCATCATAATACTAAACCATCATTTGTCTTTTTCACTGAGTTGACATCTACACTGCTGGCACAAAAGTACTGGTGGGCAGAATTGCTAGTGTGTTAATATGAATGTTGGCACTACCACCAAAACAGTTATTAGTCATTCTGTTCTTCGCTACCATGAACTTCCTGTTTTTTGTTTTTTTTTCTGTCCAGTTACAGCTGAATGCTATTGATAAAGCAAGGAAAATTATGAAGTTTATTAAATCTCAGTTTACCAGGTTTCTACATGATGAGAAAGAAGAACTTCTAATCCTTAAAGTATGATGGTTGCTTCAAGGAAAAGCTCTTATGAGGTTAGGTTGAAAGCTGATCTAGTTGCTTTTTTCATGGAATGCCATTTTTAGTTGAAGGAATGACTGACAGATAATTATGTTTATTCAAACTTGGACATATGGTGGATATTTCCTTGAAAATGAGTGGAGTAAGCTTGTCACTTCAAAGAAACAAACTGACAGTATTTGTTGCCAATGATAAAATGTGAGCTTTCAAGCAAAAAGTAGAATTTTGGAAAATGTATTCCATCACCATGAGCTTGATAGCATTTCCGTTCTTAAATACTTTTTTTGGTGAGATTGGTGACGATATTAACAAGTGTATTTTTTATATTCTATAGTAAAATCTGTCAGCTCAGTGTACGAATGTTTACCAAATGAGAAATGTATGATATTAGGAAATCATCATGAAAAAAGTAGATGCATAGATGAAAGATCCATTTAAAGTGCAAAATTGACCAATGGATTTTAATATAATAGTATAGGGAAAGGTCATTGACATTGTTTTGGCTTCTACACTGCCATTAACCTTCCAGAAACTACCCCAGTCAAGTAATAGGGTAGTATCAAAATAAATAAATCTATAATTATCAGAAAAAGTTATTAAAATATTACTTCCGTCTCGTGTGGTGGCACATGCCTGTAGTCCCTGCTACTTGGGAGGTTGAGAACAGGGACCGCTTGAGCCCAGGAGTTTGAATCTAGCCTAGACAACATTGCAGACCCCATCTCTTAGAAAAATTAAAATACGTCTCAATTTTTCAACCATATTGCGTGTCTGAAGCGGGGTTTTCATTATAAACCTTTACCAAAACAACTTATAGATTAAATCTAGAAGAAAATATGAGAATTTAGTTGTCTTCTATTAAGCCACTAACTAAAGATATTTGCAAAAATGTAAAAAAAGAAGCCACTCCTCAATAACACTTTGCTTTGAAAAGAACACTAAGTATGCACACTAAGTAACTTAAAATGCTTTATAATTTGAGGTTGATAAATTGATATGGTAATTACTGTTGAAACAGAGCACTAGTCTGTAGTACCTCTGATAAAATTTGTGGTGACTGATGCTCAAGTCTGGTTATAAGTGTTTTGGAAATATGAACATTTGATTAACAGCTAACACATTGTGGTTATCTGTACTCTGGACTAGTCAAATTTTGTTTTTCCAGTTTTGCATAGGGACACATTAGTAATCTTTGTAAGCCCTTCAGTAAATCACAAGATCTCTTTATTGAGTCATAACCAGCATTGAGTTGTAATTTTCATAAAATGTATTCCTTGTTAAACATATAATGGGCTTACCTTTGTTATTATAAATAAATACATAATTGTTTAAATATTTCTCAGTTTTAATTTCAAATATGGTAAATATCAACAGACGTAATCCACAAAAAACAAAGCACTGAGGTATCCTCGATATTTTGTAAGATTTTAAAGGGGTCATGAGCCCTATCAAGATTTTTAAAAATTGTGAGATCTATATATGTAGCTTACGAATGGTTCCAGCCTTCAAGATGGTGATTCTGACAGGCTGGGAAGTGTAACCTTCAGGCGAAACCAGAAGGCACTTTGAGGGAGGGGAGAGTGGAACAGGGATATATGCTGACAAGGTTGGCCAAGTAAACATATTCAACAGGTTTGAGGAGGTCTTATGGATATTCACAAAGGGAGTCCTGACACATGCATACTGAACAAACATGTATGTTACATGTGTCCCATGTTCATTTTGGAGTGGAAACGACATTTAAATGCATTACAATTAGGTCTTATATGTCAAAAGGTGAGGCAGGAGCATGAAGGCATTCAAATGTGCAGCCTCTGAGAGCAGGCCAGACTGAGCCCAGTGGTTGGTGGTCTCTTACCACGAGAAAGTTACTGAAATTAGTCTCTTAGTCAATCAGAGCTATGTAGCTATGGTTTGTTGGACGGGGGGTTCAACTGGTCAGTGTCTGATGAATGAGCTGCAATTATATTGCTTATCTAGAGGCCAGGGCTTGTTTACCTACTAGAAAAAGGAAAACCTTGTGGCAGTTATAATAGAGTTTATTCTTCAAGTGTAGAGGTACGTGACTTAATGCTTGCCTTGCATGGCCTTAGGTCATGTTTATAATTTGTTATCTTATTGCCATGAAAAGAGTTCGCTCTGTTGGTTATCATCTCTAGTTTATCATTAATGCTGGTCAATTGTGTTTAAACTGCAAAAAGGAGGGAGTATAATGAGGCATGTCCCCATTCTGTCTTGGCCAGGAACTCAGTTCTTTAAGGTTTCTCTGGGGTCCCTTTGGCCAAGGGAGGGTCCAGGAGCTTAGGACTGTAGTTTTAGTTCTCAGGCCGAAAAGGTTAACAACTGCTAATTTGGCAGAGGGGCAACCACTGAAGATTTTTTAGTCTTCAGTTTTGTCTCCCTTGTACCCAGTGTCTATACTATAATAGAGAGGTCTGATTTTAATTCTTCTTTAAATCCCTTCAAAGGCCAAGCTCTTTAGCATTCCTTAACACTTCCATAAAGGCCCCTATGAAGATCCTCTAGCTTTCATCCCCAGACACCACTCATCATTTCACATATTGCAATTACTTATGGGGATCGAGGACACACCCCACTGTGCTATTTAGTGCCCTCATGCCTTAGCTTGTGCTATTTTCCTCCCCTGGAAAGCCTTTCATGCCCCCCACCCCCTTTTTTTTTGTTGTTGTTGTTGCTGCCTATGTATGATTTGTCTATTAAGACCTTGATTGCACTCATTTCCCTTGGGAAACTGTTAGCTGAACTCCAAATCTGGGTCATGTGTTACCCCATATTATTATGACATTTCTTGATTCTGTGTCCATTTTGTCTAGTGGCTAGTAAGCTTCTTCAGGACAGAGACCTTGTGCTTAACACATAGTTAATGCTTAAAAATGCTTATTGCATTTGCATTTGCTTGCTCAATAATGCTTGCATAATCAATGATAATAAATGCTTGCTTAAAAATAATTAATACAAATACTAGTTAGGAGAGTTAGTCTGATAACCAACTCGAAAATGATTTCAAGTCAGAAAGGTCCATAGTATGACTTAAGCAAAATTCTGGTAAACAAAATCAAGTACATAAGTCAGACTCACTTTTTCCTCCTTGTTTACATGCAGATCGAGTGACAATAAAAAGTTTTCAAAAAAAAAAACAAAAAACGTTTAACGATAGATCCATGCTAGCACAGCCTTACCCAGCTTTCCAAAAATGGGGTCAGTTATTTAATATTTTTAATAGCACGTTTGTTTTACGAAGGCCAGCTCTCACATTTTAAGGTCACTGTTACAAATTTGATTTCCGTGGAAGAGGTTTTAAAGAAACAAAAACTTTTGGAATAAAGATTTAGCATAACTTTAAAAAAAATCACTGTACTAATGTTAAAATATGAATAAATTGAATTTAATTTCTTGCTTGGAGTAAAGTAGTAGTAAGTAAAAGTAGTAGTAAGTAAAGTAATTTAAGTAGTAGTTACATTTAAAAATGAGGGTACTTTCTTATGAATGTGCTCATTGCCCTGCAATGACTAACTTTAAATTCGTCTAGACGTGAGAAACACATTTGACTACAGAAATGATAGATGAGCACTTCTTATTAATATTTCTATATCTTAATGCTATTGAAATGCATGCTAAGGGATCCCAGTCTTGTTGTTTTTTTGCTTTTCTAGATGTCATTCCATTTCAGCTATTTCCTTAGTCATAATGTAGGTCTATTTGCGTACCACGTGGGCTGAGTTTGCACAGCTGTCCTTGCCAAAGGCTGCCCTGCAGTTGCTCCATCATTGGGGTAACCAGCTGTTACTTATTTAAAGCCTCCATCATTTTGTATGACAGAGTAACTTAATTATCCCCTGCTTTGGAGATGCTAAATGAAATTATCTTCAAAACAAGTGCACTTCATTTAATATTTTTCTCCATCAAGTACTTGAACTGTGACATTTACGTCATAAGCACTAAGTAACTAAATGCTTTATAAATTGAGGCCTTCTGATAGGGTAATTATTATGAAGCAAAGCACTTTTCCAAAAGTACCTGTGATAAACATTGTAGTGACTGATGCTCAAGTCTGGTTATAAGGGTTTTGGAAATACAGAAATTTGATTAACAGATAACATGTTTATTTACACTCTAGACCAGATAAATTTTGTTTTTCAAATTTTGGATAGGGATGCATTAGTGGTTTTTGTCAGCCCTTCAGTAGATCATAAAATCTCTTTAATGTATCATGACCAGCAAAGGAAGGAAGGGAGGAGGGGAGGAAGGGAGGGAGGGAGGGAGGGAGGGAGGGAGGGAAATACTAAGGGTAAGTTTTATGAAATTTAATTTTAGTTATATATAAAATACCTGTGATAAACATTGTAGTGACTGCTGCTCAAGTCTAGTTATAAGTGTTTTGGAAATATGAAAATTTGAGTAACAGATAACAAGTTTATATATACTCTAGACCAGATAAATGTTGTTTTTCAAATTTTGGTTAGGGACGCATTAGTGGTTTTTGTCAGCCCTTCAATAGATCATAAAATCTCTTCAATGCATCATGATGAAGGAAGGAAGGAAGGAAGGGAGGGAGGGAGGGAGGGAGGGAGAGAATAGTGAATACTAAGGGTATGTTTTATTAAATTTTATTTTAGTTATACATAAAGTACCTGTGATAAACATTGTAGTGACTGATGCTCAAGTCTAGTTATAAGTGTTGAGGAAATATGAAAACTTGAGTAACAGATAACACGTTTATATATACTCTAGACCAGATAAATGTTGTTTTTCAATTTTGGTTAGGGACGCATAAGTGGTTTTTGTCAGCCCTTCAATAGACCATAAAATCTCTTTAATGCATCATGATGAAGGAAGGAAGGAAGGAAGTTGAAGGAAAGGAAGGAAGGATTTTATTTTATAATTATATATATTATATATATTTAGTTATATATTTATATAACAAATAAATATAGTTATATATGTAACTAAAATAAATTATACATATACATATATATATGTAACTAAAATAAGTATACACATAAACATCTTGGATAAGATATAAATGTTTTTCTTAGTGTGGGTACCCTGTCAAAAAAGTTTAAAAACCAAAATCATGAGACTGTCACATAAACCTTTATAGAATTTACCAGATTAAACTCCTGAACACACTTGTAATCTCACAGATATTTGCCCATGGTCATGTTTTTCCCCTTTAAAATTTTTTTCTATTTTTTAAACTGTAGTAAAGTTACACAGAAGATAAAATTTACTCTCAACCATTTTTAAGTATACAGTGCAGTGATACTAAGTATATTCATATTGTTGTGCAATCAGCACCACCATTTGTCTCTATAACTCTTTGCATCTTACAAAACTGAAATTCTATACCCATTAAACAATATCTTCTCAATTCCTCTTCCCCCCAGACCCTGGATCTACCATTCTGCTTTGTGTCTGTGATTTTGAGTACTCTAGGTACCTTATATAAGCAGAATCATGTTTGTCTTTTTTGTGACTTGCTTGTTTCACTTAGCATAATGTCTTCCAGATTCATTCATGTTGAAGTGTATGTCAGAGTTTCCTTTTTGAGGCTGAATAATATTCCATAGTATGTTTATACCACATTTTGTTTTTCCATTCATCTGTCAGTGGACACTTAAGTTGTTTCCAGGTTTTATCTCTTATGAATAATGCTACTGTCAACATGGGCATACAAATATATCCTCAAGACCCTGCTTTCAATACTTTGTGGCATATATCCAGAAGTGGAATTGCTGGGTTATATAGTAATTCTATTTTTAATTTTATGAGGAACTGCCATATTGTTTTCCAAAGCAACGTTACCATTTTACATTACTACAAACAGGGCACAGAGATTCCAATATCTCCATATTCTCACCAACATGTGCTTTCCGTTTTTATAGTAGTAGCCATCCTAATGGGTATCAGGTGGTGTCTCATACTTATGATTTGCATTTTCCTACTTATCAGTGATGCTGTGCATCATTTTATATGCTTATTAGCCATTCATAATCTTCTTTGAAGAATTGTCTATTCAAGTCCTTTGCCCATTTCTTAATATAGTTGTTTGATTATTTGTTTTTCCCCTAATTTTTAAATTTGAGATACTTTTAGACTTACAAAAGCATTATAAAAGTGACACAGAAAGCTCTCCTTCGTCCTTCTCCCAGCTTTCCCTAATATGAACATTGCATATAACTATGGTAAGTAAAATGATCAAAACAAATAAACTAACATACTAAGAAAACTACCAACTTTATTCAGATTTCAACAATTTTTCCATTAATATCCTCTTTGAGTCGTAAGATCTAACCCTGGATCCCACGTTATCTTAAGTTGTCATGCTTCCTTGGTTTTTTTCAATCTGTGACAGTTCCTCAGGCTTTCTTCAAATTTAATAAACTTGAGAATTTGAATAGTACTGGTCAGTTAACTTCATGAAGTACCCCTCACTTTTCTCTTGATTAGATTGAATGTATATACTGTTGGGAAGATTGTCACACAAATAATACACTCTTATCTTTGTATCATATCAAGGATATGATGTCTTATGTCTTATGTACTAATATGCAGTAATATGTTTTATTACATGTGAATGAACCTTGCTTATTTGCTTAAGGTAGCTTTTTCCAGATTTCTCCATTATGAAGTTATGATTTTTTCATTGGTAATTGATAAATATTTATTTGGAGGAGATTTTTGTAACTGTACAAATAGGTGTTTCTTCTTAAAACATATCCACTAAATTTGTCATCCATAACTGGATCTTGTCTATAGCAATTATTACTGTGATGTTCTAGTGATGATTTTCTACTTCCCTTATTCCTTTTTCGTTCACTAATTGGAATTATCCTTTAAGGGAAAAGCTTTCCTTTCTCTTCAATTTATTTATTCAAATATTTATGTCAGTTTGGACACATAAGTATTTATTTTATTTATTGGTTTATAATCCAATCTAATCATCATATATTTTGCACTCAAATTTTTTAGCTTTGACCTTTGAGAGCTCTTTGAGATGGCTCCTGTTTACCTTTGGCATGCCCCATCATTTTCGTAAAAATTATTTCCTTTAATTTTGTACCCCAAGATGTTCCAGGTTCATCTTGTATTTTCCCGGCTACAACCCTGGGATCGATGTCTTCTACAAGGATGCTGGAGAATGGTATTTAGAAATCAAAATCTGGATGCTAAGTGTGCCCATTACTACTGGGGTGTCACTGTCTCTAGGCTCTCTCAAAGCTAGAAAACATGTATATGCACTAAACCATGGGCACAGTCACCTATTTATTTATTTTTGCATCTATTTTTATATATATACACACGTACACATAAATATATGTTGAAAGCCCTTGCGTTTTACTGATACCTCTGACTTTGAACCAACATTACAAGGGTCATTCTAACTTTTCCTGTTTTCTTGATTGTACCTTCTTTCTCACACAGTGAGAAATTTGGCTCCCTTTATATACAATATATATCTTTATTTGTTAAGCCCTGGTATATGTATACAGTAGCTTACAAATCTAACCCATAGCTCTGTGAGAAACAAATTTACCAATTATAGTTTTTGTGTACAACTGATTTTGTCTTTAACCTTACAGTAGCTAGTCAAAACACCATTTTATTTACTTACTTATTTATTTATTTATTTATTGAGACAGAATCTCACTCTGTCAACCAGACTGGAGTGCAGTGGCACAATTTCAGTTCACCTCAACCTCTGCCTCTCAGGTTAGCACAATTCTTGTGCTTCACCTCCCAGGTAGCTGGGACTACAGGCGTGCGCCCCCACACCCGGCTAATTTCTGTATTTTTAGTAGAGAGAGAGTTTCACCATGTTGGCCAGGCAGGTCTCAAACTCATGGCCTCATGTGATCTGTCTGCCTCTGCCTCCCAAAGTGCTGGAATTACAGGTGTGCACCACTGAGCCTGGCCCAAAACACCATTGTTCAGTTACTCAGGTCATTTCCTTTCTTCTTCACCCACTTCAGTCTAGTTATATAATTTATTTGTAATACGGTTAGATTGATTCGTCACAGTCTGCATTCCACCTTGGGTTGCCATCACATTCTGGTTGATTTTTTTCCCTCTGGGTCATGTCATAAATGAAAATAGATAGACAACAAGTGTTTAAAAGTGTGGAGAAATTGGAACCTTGTATATTGCTGAGATTATAATATGATAGAGCTACTTTGGAAGACAATTTGGCAGTTCCTCAAAATGTTAAGTATAGTTTCTATATAACACAGTGGTTCTATCTATCTATCTGTCTGTCTGTCTGTCTGTCTGTCTGTCTATCTCTCTGTCATCTCCACGATAAAGTTTGAAAGTCCACATAAAAATCCGTACATTAATGTTCATAGTACCATTATTTAAAATAGTCAAAAACTGGAAACAACCCAAATAAACATCAGCTGACTGGTGGATAAACACAAGGTGGTTTATCTATATGATGAAATATTATTTGGCAACCAAAAGAAATTAAGTACTGATACATGCTATGAAATGGATAAACCTTGAAAACATTATGCTACATGAAAGAAGGCAATCACAAGATTGCATATAGTATGAGGCTATTTTTATAAAATGTCCAGATTTAGGCAGATACACAGAGACATATAGTAGGTTAGTGATTACCTAGGGCTAGGGGAAGGCTCATGGAGAGTATTGCTAATGGGTACAGGGAGAATAAAATATTCTAAAATTAGATTACATTTATGGTTGCAAAGCTCTGTGAATATACTAAAAACTTCTGAATTGTGTACTTTAAGTGGATACATGAATTCTGTATCAATAATTTTATTTAAAAATGTCTTAATGCACAACTCTCTTCCATTACATTAAAAGTAATTCAGTTTACCAACACAAGATTAGGATCATTTCATTTGCTTGTGAAGAACAGAATATTATCATATATTTACTAGTGTAGATTTTTAGCATAAAAGGCTAAGGTAGTTGAGGCTTGTCAAAATTTCAAGCAAAAGAAAGTTAATATCATGATTGATGTAGAGACTAAAGATCATCTTCTGAGAAATATGTGAAAATATCTAGCCCATTACCACCTACCCCTCTTTTGAAAACAGATTTACCCATATTTAATTATAAAAATGGCTATTATATCATACATTTCTGCTTTGATCTAGGGCAGTATTGATTCTTCATATTCTTTATCATAAATATATTTTGGTGTTAGTTCATAAGGTGAAAACTAGGAACCCCAATAGTAGAGAGGGCAAGAAGCTTACTAAAAATTAGCACAGCCATTTAGTGTTCGACCTAGTTTTCAAATCTAGGTCTAACTTATCCCAAAGCCCTGATACTTTCTAGTGATTACCAGCATGAATTTTGAGAATGATAACTAGATTTCTCAATTAGCATGCTCATATCATTTGGCTACTTTGAAGACAATTTTATAGCTTCTAAGAGAAATCATTTTTTAATGTAATAAACAGTATGCAAAATATTGCTTTTATTCTGAATTTTGAGTCTAAGTAATATACAAAAACCATGAAAATTAAATAGATTATTTACTGTTAGGTATTAATTATTCTAATTATGAGAAAAATAATCATAGATAAACAGGAAAAAAATGGAAACTGACCAGAGAAGTGATCGTTGATTTCCTTATCTCACGCCAGTAATGTCTCTGATCCAGCTTTGGATATTTAAAGAATAATCTCATATTTATGTTTTACCTTGCTCAAGATGGATTTAAGACAATATGCATACATACTTAAAATCAGAATATTAAAGTAAAAAGTAAATGTGGCATTCAGAACAAAGAAAAGAAAATTAATTTAGGCAAGAAAGGATAAAGCAAGGGATGAGATTAATAATTGTTGTGTGTTAAATGGTGTCTCCTAAAAAGATAGTCCTACTTCCTAACCTCTGGAACTTGTAAATGTGATCTTATATGGAAAAGGGGCCTTAGCAGATCTAAAGTTAATGATTTTGCTCTGTGATCATCCTGAATTAGCCAAATGGGACTTGAATCCAATGACAGGTGTCCTTAGAGTAGAAGAGAAGGCCATGTGGACATGGAAGCAGAGATTGAAGTTATGCAGCCACCAACCAAGGAATGCTTGGAGCCATCAGAAGCTAGAAGAGGGAAAGAGAACTGCATGGCCAACACCTTGATTTTGAACTTTTGGTCTCCAGACTTGAAAACAAACAAAAGAAGCTTCTGTTGTTTCTTCTATCCACCCAGTTTGTGTGAATTTGTTAGAACAGCCACAGGAAAGTAACACAATACTCTAAATAAATTGTCTTGGTAGAAAAGTTTTTAAAATTTCTTTCCTTTTTTCCCTCCTTTCCTTCTTTCCTTCCTTTCTCCCTCCCTTCATCACTCCCTCCCTTCCTCCCTTCTTTCCTTCCTCTTTTCTTTCTTTCTCTTTCGTTTTTTCTTTCTTTCTTTCTTTCTTTCTTTCTTTCTTTCTTTCTTTCTTTCTTTCTTTCTCTCTTTCTTTCTTTCTTTCTCTTACTTCTCCTTTTCTCAGTCTCTTTATTGAGACATAATTGACAAATAAAAAGTATATATATTGAAGATATCTGACATGATGATTTCATACATGTATACACTGTGGAAATAATTACCACAATAAAGATAATTAACATATTCATCACCTCACATAGTTATCTTTGTGTCTGTGTGTCAGGTGAGAACACTTAAGATCTACTCTCTTAACAAATTTTTAGTATACAAAACAGTCACCATGCTGCCACATTAAATCTCCAGAACTTATTTATTATATAACTGAAACTTTGTATGCTTTGACCAACATTACCCCATTTCCCCCACCCACCAGCTCCTGGCAAGCAAGATTTCAGTCTCTGCTTCTATAAGTTCAACTTTTTTAGATTCCACATATAAGTGGGATAATGCAATATTTGTTTTTCTATGTCTGCCTTACTTCACTTAGCGTAATGTTCTCCAAGTTCATCCATGTTGTACCATATGTTAGAATTTCTTTTCTTTTTAAGGCTGAATAATAATCTATTAAAGAATTGAATATATCTCACTTTTAAAATTCATTTCCTGCTGACAGATACTTAGGTTATTTCCATATCTCTGCTATTGTGAATAATGCTGCAATGAATATGGAAGTGCAGATATCTCCTTGAGATACTGATTTCATTCATTTTAGATATATACCCAAAGTGCTAGATTGTATGGCAGTTTTTTTTTTATTTTTTTGAGGAATCTTCATAATGTTTTTCATAATGGCTATAACAATTTACATCCCTATGAACAGTGTGCAATGTTTTCCTTTTCTCCCCATCCTTGTCAACATTTGTTATTTTTTTCTTTTGGATAATAGCCAATCTAACAGTTGTGAGGTAATGTGTCATTGTTGTTTTGATTTGCATTTCCTTGGTGATTATTATTGTTGAGTGTCTTTTCATACACCTATTGGTCATTTGTATATCCTCTTTGAAAAAATGTCTATTCAGGTCCTTTGCCCATTTTAAAATCAGGGGTTTCTTTTGCTATTGAGTTATATGACTTTCTTACATATTTTGGACATAATCCATTATTAGATGTATGGTTTGCAAATACTTTCTCTATTTTCACAACTTGTATTTTTATTTGCTGTTTCCTTTCCTGCACAGAAGCACTTTTTAGAGATGGCTCTTTCTGTTACCCAGGCTAGAGTGCAGTGGCACAATCATAGCTCACTGCATAGCCTCGAACCCCTGGGCTCAAGTAACCCGCCTACCTCAGCCTCTTAGCTGGAACTACAGGCATATGCCACTATGCCTGGCTAATCTTTTTATTTTCATATTTTTAGAGATGAGTATTGCTATGTTGCCCAGCCTCAAAACAACATAACTTGGTTTGTCTCAGACTCCTGTCCTTAAGCTGTCCTCCCACCTCAGCCTCCTGAGTTGCTGGGATTACAGGATGCAGAAGCTTTTTAATTTGATGTAGTCCCGTTTGTTTATTTTTATTTTTGTTGCTGGTGTTTTTGGTGTTGTATAAAAAAACTTTGCCAAGACCAACA
Organism: Homo sapiens; assembly: GCF_000001405.40. Taxonomy (NCBI): domain Eukaryota; kingdom Metazoa; phylum Chordata; class Mammalia; order Primates; family Hominidae; genus Homo; species Homo sapiens. Next base: position 126,476,035 of record NC_000007.14, on the reverse strand, counting down.
TAAAGGAGCTTTTCCCTGTGTTTTATGCAAAGAGTTTTAAGGTTTCAGGTCATACATTTAATGCATTCACTTTGAGTTATTTTTTATGTATGATATAAGATAAAACTTCAATTTCATTATTTTTCATGTGAATATCCAGTTTTCCCACCACCATTTGTTGGATGATGTTTTCCCCATTGCATATTTTTGGAACCCTTGTAAAAGATTAGGTGACTGCATATGTGTAGCTTTATTTCTAAGCTCTTTATTGTGTTCCATTGGTCTATAAGTCTGTTTTTATTTGCACCATGCTGTTTTGATTACTATAGCTTTGTAATGTAGTTTCTAATCAGGCAGTCTGATGTCTTCAACTTTGTTCTTCTTTCTCAAGATTACTTTGTCTATTTGGAGTTAACTGTGGTTCCGTACAATTTTAGGATTATTTTTTCCTATTTCTATTTTTTAAAAGTCATTTTAATTTTCATAGGCATTACATTGAATTTGTAGATCATGTTGGATAGTATGAGAATTTTAACAATATTAATTATTCCAATTCATGAACATGGACTCTCTTTCAACTTTTTTGTGTCTTTCTTCAATTTTTTCATCAATGTCTTATGGTTGTCAGTACACAGATCTTCCACCTCCTTAAACTTTTGTCTATGTATTTTATTTTTTTAATGTGATGGCACATAGAATTTTTTTCTTAATTGGATAGTTTGTTATTTAGTGTATAGAAATTCAACCGATTTTTATATATTGATTTTGTATCCTACAACTATACTGAATTTGTTTATGCTAACAGTTTTTTTCATAGTTTTTAGATTTTCCTGTATGTAAAATCATGTCATTTGTAAACATTAGTCATTTCACTTCTTTCATTCTGATTAGGATGACGTTTATCTTTTTATTCTTGCATAATTGCTTTGGTTACAACTCCCAATACTATGTTGAATAGAAATGGCAAAAGTAGGCACCCTTGTCTTGTTCCTCATCTTAGAGGAAAAGCTATCAGCTTTTCACTGTGAAGTATGACATTAGCTGTGATTTTGTTATATATGGCATTTGTTATGTTGAGGATCTTTCCACCTAATTTGTTGAGAATTATTTTTATCATGAAAGGATGTTGAATTTTGTCAAATGTCTTTTCTGCATCTATTGAGGTGATCATATAATTTTTATCCTTTGTTCTATAAGTGTGGTGTATCACATTAATTGATTTGTGTACATGAAACCATCTTTACATCCCAGGGATAAAACCCACTTGATTTTGCTGAATGAATGATACATTTCATGTGCTGTTATTTCTTACATACCAGTCTTATATGAGGCAGGAAAACCCTCCCCTGCAAGCCTAGGAAGGAAAAAGCTATAGCAGCACAGTAGCTTCCTTCAAGAAAATTCCCTATTCAACTCACGGCCTATCTCTAGGACTCTTTAAAGTCTTTTCAGGATGAACATAGGTTTTCAGCTAAGGATTAAAAATGCATGTAGGTTGGGCATGGTGGCTCTTGCCCATAATCCCAGCTCTTTGGGATCCCAGGCAGATTATTTGAGCCCAAGAATTCAAGACCAGCCTGGGCAACATGGTGAAACCTCATCTCTACAAAAAATTAAACAATTAGGCAGGCATGGTGGCCTATGCTTGTAGTCCCAGCTACTCAGGAGGCTGAGGTGAGAGGATTGCTTAAGCGTGGGAGGTAGAGGTTGCAGTGAGCCAAGATCCTGCCACTGCACTCTAGGCTGGGTGACAGAGTGAGACCCTGTCTCCAAATATATATATATATACACACACACACACACACATGCACAAACATATATGAATGTGTGTACGTGTGTGTGTATTTCAAATACCTCCTTTGCAAATACTTTTTAGTTGGAAATCTAGCACTTCATTTTGGAATGTGGAAAATAAATCATTCCAAATTGTTTTAGGACATCAACTGAAACTGAGATAATTAAATGTATGAGATATTGCTGAGAGAACAATGAATATAAAACGAATATAAAAATGATACATTAGTCCATTTTCATAGTGCTATGAAGAAATATCTGAGACTGGGTAATTTATAAAGAAAAACAGGTTTAATGGATTCATAGTTCCACATGGCTTGGGAGGCATCACAATCATGGTGGAAGGTGAAGGAGGAGCAAAGGCACATCTTACCTTGTGACAGGCAAGAGAGTGTGTTCAGGGTAACTGTCCTTTATAAAACCATCAGATCTCATGAGACATATTCACTACCATGAGAACAGATGGGAAAAACCTGCCCCCATGATTAAATTACCTCCAAATGGGTCCCTCCCAAGACACATGGGGACTGTGGGAGCTATAATTCAAGATAAGATTTGGGTGGGGACACAAAGCCTAAGCATATTATTCCAAGCTGGCCCCTCACAAATCTCATATCCTCATATTTCAAAACTAACTATGCCTTCCCAACAGTCCACTAATGTCTTAACTCATTTCAGCATTAATTCAAAAGTCCACGGTCCAAAGTCTCATGTGAGACAAGGCAAATCCCTTGTGCCTATAAGCCTACATAATCAAAAGCAAGTTAGTTACTTCCTAGATACATTGGGTACCGGCATTGGGTAAATACACCTGTTCCAAATGGGAGAAATTCGCCAAAATGAAGGGGCTAGAGGCCCCATGCAAGTTTGAAATCCAGTAGGACTGTCAAATCTTAAAGCTCCAAAATGATCTCCTTTGACTACATGTTTCACATCCAGGTCATGCTGATGCAAGAGGTGGGTTCCCATGGTCTTGGGTAGTTTTGTCCCTATGGCTTTGCAGAATACCACCCCAGTTCCGGCTGCTTTCATGGGCTGGCATTGAGTGTCTGCAGCTTTTCCAAATACAAGGTGCAAGCTCTAGGTGGATCTACCATTCTGGGGTCTGGAGGACAGTGGCCCTCTTCTCACAGCTCCACTAGGCAGTGCCCCAGTGGGGACTCTGTGTGGAGGCTCTCATCCCACATTTTCCTTCCATACTGCCTTAGCAGAGGTTCTCTAGGAGGGCTCCATCCCTGCAGCACACCTCTGCCTGGACATCAGACATTTCCAAACATCCTCTGAAATCTAGGCAGAGGTTACCAAATCACAATTCTTGACTTTTATGCACCCACAGGCTGAACACCATTTATAAACTGCCAAAGCTTGTGGCTTGTACCCTCTGAAGCAATGGCCTGAGCTGTACATTGGACCCTATTAGCCATGGCTGGGACTCAGGGCACCAAGTCCCGAGACTGCACGAAGCAGTAGGGCCCTGGGCTCTGCCCAGGAAACCATTTTTCCACCCAGGCCTCCAGGCCTGTGATGGGAGGAGGTGCCATAAAGACCTCTGACATGCTCGGGAGACATTTTCCCCATTGTCGTGGCAGTGAACATTTGGCTTCTCATTACTCACGCAAACTTCTGCAGCTGGCTTGAATTTCTCCTCAGAAAATGGGTTTTCACTTTCTATTGCATTGTCAGCTGCAAATTTTTCAAACTTTTATGCTCTGCTTCCATTTTAAGTATAAGTTTCAATTCCAAACCATATCTTTGTGAATGAATGAAACTGAATGCTTTTAAGGGCACCCAAGTCACATCTTGAATGCCTTGCTGCTTAGAAATTTCTTAGATGCAGAAAAGGCCTTTGACAAAATTCAACAACCCTTCATGCTAATAACTCTCAATAAATTAGGTATTGATGGGAGGTATTTCAAAATAATAAGAGCTATCTATGACAAACCCACAGCCAATATCATACTGAATGGGCAAAAACTGGAAGCATTCCCTTTGAAAACTGGACAAGACAGGGATGCCCTCTCTCACCACTCCTATTCAACATAGTGTTGGAAGTTCTGGCCAGAGCAATTAGGCAGGAGAAGGAAATACAGTGTATTCAATTAGGAAAAGAGGAAGTCAAATTGTCCCTGCTTGCAGATGACATGATTGTATATCTAGAAAACCCCATTGTCTCAGCCCAAAATCTCCTTAAGCTGATAAGCAACTTCAGCAAAGTCTCAGGATACAAAATCAATGTGCAAAAATCACAAGCATTCTTATACACCAATAACAGACAGAGAGCCAAATCATGAGTGAACTCCCATTCACAATTGCTTCAAAGAGAATAAAATACCTAGGAATCCAACTCACAAGGGACGTGAAGGACCTCTTCAAGGAGAACTACAAACCACTGTTCAATGAAATAAAAGAGGATACAAACAAATGGAAGAACATTCCATGCTCATGGGTAGGAAGAATCAATATCATGAAAATGGCCATACTGCCCAAGGTAATTTATAGATTCAATGCCATCCCCATCAAGCTACCAATGACTTTCTTCACAGAATTGGAAGAAACTACTTTAAAGTTCATATGGAACCAAAAAAGAGCCCGCATCGCCAAGTCAATCCTAAGCCAAAAGAACAAAGCTGGAGGCATCACACTACCTGACTTCAAACTATACTACAAGGCTACAGTAACCAAAGAAGCATGGTACTGGTACCAAAACAGAGATATAGATCAATGGAAGAGAACAGAGCCCTCAGAAATAACGCCGCATATCTACAACTATCTGATCTTTGACAAACCTGAGAAAAACAAGCAATGGGGAAAGGATTCCCTATTTAATAAATGGTGCTGGGAAAACTGGCTAGCCATACATAGAAAGCTGAAACTGGATCCCTTCCTTACACCTTATACACAAATTAATTCAAGATGGATTAAAGACTTAAACGTTAGACCTAAAACCATAAAAACCCTAGAAGAAAACCTAGGCATTACCATTCAGGACATAGGCATGGGCAAGGACTTCATGTCTAAAACACTAAAAGCAATGGCAACCAAAGCCAAAATTGACAAATGGGATCTAATTAAACTAAAGAGCTTCTGCACAGCAAAAGAAACTACCATCAGAGTGAACAGGCAACCCACAAAATGGGAGAAAATTTTCGCAACCTACTCATCTGACAAAGGGCTAATATCCAGAATCTACAATGAACTCAAACAAATTTACAAGAAAAAACAAACAACCCCATCAAAAAGTGGGCGAAGGACATGAGCAGACACTTCTCAAAAGAAGACATTTATGCAGCCAAAAAACACATGAAAAAATGCTCATCATCACTGGCCATCAGAGAAATGCAAATCAAAACCACAATGAGATACCATCTCACACCAGTTAGAATGGCAATCATTAAAAAGTCAGGAAACAGCAGGTGCTGGAGAGGATGTGGAGAAATAGGAACACTTTTACACTGTTGGTGGGACTGTAAACTAGTTCAACCATTGTGGAAATCAGTGTGGCCATTCCTCAGGGATCTAGAACTAGAAATGCCATTTGACCTAGTAATCCCATTACTGGGTATATACCCAAAGGACTATAAATCATGTTGCTATAAAGACACATGCACACGTGTGTTTATTGCAGCACTGTTCACAATAGCAAAGACTTGGAAGCAACTCAGATGTCCAACAATGATAGACTGGATTAAGAAAATGTGGCATATATACACCATGGAATACCATGCAGCCATAAAAAATGATGAGTTCATGTCCTTTGTAGGGAAATGGATGAAATTGGAAATCATCATTCTCAGTAAACTGTCGCAAGGACAAAAAACCAAACACTGCATGTTTTCACTCATAGGTAGGAATTGAACAATGAGAACACATGGACACAGGAAGGGGAACCTCACACTCTGGGGACTGTTGTGGGGTGGGGGGAGGGGGGAGGGATAGCATTGGGAGATATACCTAATGCTAAATGATGAGTTAATGGGTGCAGCACCCCAGCATGGCACATGTATACGTATGTAACTAACCTGCACATTGTGCACATGTACCCTAAAACTTAAAGTATAATAATAATAAAATAAAATAAAAAAAAGAAATTCTTCTGCCAGATAAATCATCTCTCTCAAGGTCAAAAGTTCCACAGATCTCTAAGGCAGGGGCAAAATGCCACCAGTCTATTTACTAGAGTGTGGCAAGAATCACCTTTGCTCCAGTTCATAATAAGTTTCTTATTTCCATCTGAGACTACCTCAGCCTGGATTCATTGTTGATATTACTGTCAGCATTTTGGTCAAAACCATTCAAAAAGTCTCTAGGAAGCTCCAAAGTTTCCCACATCGTCCTGTCTTCTTCCGAGACTTCCAAACTCTTCCAACCTCTGCCTGTTCCCAGTTCCACAGTTCCACAGTTGTTTCCACATTTTCTGGTATCTTATTAGCAGTACCACACTCTACCAGTACCAATTTACTGTATTAGTCCTTTCTTACACTGCTAATGAAGACATACTCGAGACTAGGTAATTTATAAATGGAAGAGGTTTAATTGACACACAGTTCAGTATGGCTGGGAGGGCCTCGGGAAACTTAGAATCATGGCAGAAGGAGAAATAAACACATCCTTCTTCACATGGCAGTAGGACGAAGAAGTGCAGAGCAAAGGAGTGAGGGGAAGCCCCTTATTAAACCATCAGGTCTCATGAGAACTCACTATCACAAGAATGGCCTGGAGGTAACCACCCTCATGATTCAATTCCCTCCCACTGAGTCCCTCCCATGAGATGTGGGGATTGTGGGAGCTACAGTTCAAAATGATATTTGGGTGGGGACATAGCCAAACCATATCAGATGGAGAAATGGTCATTTTGATTTGACAACATGGGGGTTAACTTGACAAAAGCAGTTTTCATAAAAGAGTGAGGGGAAAGCCTAATTGGAGTAGGTTCAGAAAAGAATGAAAGGAAGGCAAGTGGATTCAGCAAATACAGATAATAGTTTCACTGAATTTTACTGTAGAATGGTGAAAGTTGATTTTTAAAATATTTGTTAGAGAATCTCAGAAGACTTTTCATAAGATAGAATGTGATAGCCATCTACTGGATTATTCTCTGGTAAAATTGAAAATGTAGGTATGTGAGGAAAACAAGTTCCAAGTGTGTCCTTTATTAGGTGAAGGAGATGGGAACTTATGCACAAGTGGGTGTTGGTCTTATATACTAACAACAATAAATGCTGAAACAAAGATTAAAGGAGTCAGTAGATTGTTGGAAGTTGTATAGAAGTTTGTGAAGTTCTCCAATTGTCTTTTCTATTTTCTTTGTGAGATAAGAACTATTTTATCAAATAAAAGTTAAGAGAAGAGGGGGTATTGCAGTTTTTAGGAAAGATACATGAATTAGTCATGTTCTTGAAAGGTAGGATTGAAGAGGACAATCTAATAGTATAGCATGCTGCCTGAGATTCACTTGAGGCTTATCGTTAACCATTTAAAATGAGTCTAATTGACAATAAGCTAACTTTCAGCATTCTGGTAGCTTTTAGCACTTTTGCAATAGAAGTATCAGTGAGTTAGATTTTAGCAGGTTGGAACTTTCTTTTTTGGACACAGACAATGGCAGGAGAAAGGAACAAAGAAGTGAAGAATTTTTCAAAGCAATGCTTTTAATGGCAATGAAATGCAAGACAGATAATGAAGGAATAGATGAATATGAGAGGGCTTATATCCTGGAGTATCACAGGAAATTGTAGGATTGAAGAATTGTTGATGTGGGTAAGAGAAGAAATAGGCTTGAAAAAGTAGGGTAGTGGTCAGAGCTCAGGATGTTTGAAGTTAAGACATTGGCAAGTGTGCAATTATTCTTAAGACAAATGAGAGAAAATGATTATTGCAAGTGAGAAATGAAAAGGATTGAAAGGCCAAGGAATTGGGTGGACTATCAATGTACATGTTGATATCAAAAAGAATAGTAGGGGAGAGAGACAGAGATTTAGCTGGATACAAAACCTTCAAATATTATGTCAATGGTACACTGTCTTTTTCTTGTTATTCAGCATTTCAATTCTTTTTGCACCAGTTGTCTCTCTGGGATTGTAGGCAAGCAATAAGGGCAGATATTGAAATTTTATGGTCAACACCAGATATTCAAAGTGTCCTACAGTGCTTTATGGGCTTCATGGTTTATGAGGCAATTTCATATGCATTATCTTATTTATTTTTATAGTTATCTAGTGAGACAATTAGAGATGATATCGTTATAAAAGGTTTATAGATGAGGAAATTGAAGTTTGATTATATTAAATCATTTGCCACTATATCTATGGCTGGAAAATGATTTAAAAAATTTTTCCATGAGACCAATTTCCACATGGATATGTTCTGAGAATGGTAAATGGAAGTTTATTGAGTATCACAACCAAATATATTGACCTCATTCTTTGACATGTTTATAAAGCCCCTGCCTTTGCCTGAATATTTGTATGCAATGGAATTTTAAAAAATTCTTAAACATATTTGATTTTGTTTTCAGAATACATTTTAATTTTTTCTGCCCTTTGCTGAGATAAACACTAAGTATTTTGTTTTAAGCACACATAGTAATTCATAACATGTTAGTTATTGTAGTAATGCATTATTAAGAGTATACACTTTGTTTAAAAGGAACTAGACTAACTATACTTATAAATACAGATGTAAAAGAGTAAATAAAATAGTGGAAGCAACAATTCAATAGAATTAAAATACTGTCACAATGAGAATATATTAAATATACAAGGAAATCTAGTTATTTTGTCTAATCATAAAAGCCTTAAGATACTATAAATGGAATATGAAAAAAGCATGAAGCCTTCGATATCTGTTCTTTTTTAAAAGAAAAGAAATTGCTGTGAAAACTAGTAATAGAAAAATGCTCTCATTTGCTAATGAAGAAAATTTGTCTTAAAGAATTAAAGCCATTCATAATGATAAGATTCTAGAGGCATTCTTGAAGACTCAGCAACGAAATAAACTAACACAGGAACAGAAAACCAAACACCGCATGTTCTCACTCATAAGTGGGAGTTGAACAAAGAGAACATATGGGCACAGGGAGGGGAACATCACACACTGAAGCCTGTCGGGGGGTGGGGGGCTAGGAGAGGGATAGCATTAGGGGAAATACTTAATGTAGATGATGGGTTGATGGGTGCAGCAAACCACCATGGCAGGTGTATACCTGTGTAACAAACCTGCATGTTCTGCACATGTATACCCAAACTTAAAGTATAATAATAATAATAAAAGAATGTTTATTCCTTAATTTTATTTAGAATTTACCCAGAAATTCAAAACCAATGCAGTATGTCCTGAGGATTAAGTTTTTTGTGTCAACTTAACTGGGCAAAGGGATGCCTTATAGCCAATGAAGCATTATTTCTGGGTATCTTTATGAGTTTGTTTCCAGAAGAGATTAGCATTTGAATAGGTAGACTGAGTAAAGAAGACCACCCCTCCACCAGTGTGGGTGGGCATCATCCAATCCATTGATGGCCTGAATAGAACAAAAAGGTACAGGAAGGGAAAATTCCGTCTCTCTTCTTGAGCTGGGGCGTCTGATTTTTTTCTGCTCTGGGACATCAGGCCTTTGGAATCGGACCAGAACTTATATCATTGGCTCCCCTGGTACTCAGGTCTTTGGACTTTGAATTATGCCCCTGGCTTTTCTGATTCCCCAGCCTGCAGGTGGCAGATCATGGAAATTCTCAGCCTCTATAATTGTGTGAGCCAATTTCCATAATATATACATATATCAATAGGAAATTGGTATTTGGAGAACCCTGACTAATATGGACATTATACAGAATCAAGAATTCTACTTCTTCAAAAGGAAGAGGAAAAATAATCTTTCTTTTTTCAACTATCATATTCCTAGAATATCAACAGACATCAAGTAAATGCTTCTTACATTAATAAGGAATACAATGACCAGATGCATTTTAAATGAAAAAAATCAACATCTCTCTTATATCCTATTAATAACCTGTTAGAAAGTGTGATGGGTTAAAAAATACCCTCTTTATAATGGAACCATTACATTCTTTAGAACAATTCTAACTAAAAAAAAAGTACCTTTTTTAAGAAAATTACAGGATTCCACTGAAAGACTGAGAACAAGATTTTAATAAAAGACACACTTATTGACAGGAAGACTGAAAAAGTATAAAAAGGCAAATTTTTCTTAAATTAACTAAACTTCACTTAAATTAATATCCATTTATAACTTAAAATGCATTATTAGCAAACTAAGCATATAAGAGAATTTATCTAATCTGGTAATAAGTGCTTTATAAAATGCAGCAGATACACTTAACAGTGAATTGCTAAAAGTTTTCTTCCTGGATTTGGGAAAAAAGCAAAGATGCCTAGTTGTTTTTCATACTGAAAATAATTTCTGTTATTCAATATTGTACTGATATTCCTATCTAGTGCAAGACAATAAAAAGAAAAAAGACATAAAGTTTAGAAAGAAAAGGTAAGATTCAATATTTGCAGATGACATAAATTCTGTGTAAAGATATTCCAAAAGAAATTACAGATAAACTATTAGAATCAATAAGTTTAAGAAGTTCACTGAATATAAGATCAATATACAAAATTACATTTCTATATAGAAGGAATGAATACATAAAAATAAAAATATAAAATTTACAACAGCATAAATATCAAATAACTAAAAATATATCTAACAAAATAAATGACCTCTACATCGAAAACTACAAAATAGTAGAGAAACGAATTAAAGAGGACTTAAGTAAATGGAAGTATATAAAAATTCATGGATCAGAAGATTCAATTTTATAAAGATATCAAATACCGAGATTGAGCTATACATTAATGCAATCCTAATCAAAATCCCAGTAGGGATGTGTGTGTGTGTGTGTGTGTGTGTGTATCGAAAACTGGCAAGCTGACTCTAAAATTTTTATGGAATTATACAGGACCAAGAAGAGCGAAGACAGTCTGGAGAAAAAAATTAAGTTGGAAGACATATACTACCAAGTATTGAGGTTTGCTATCAAATTATGCAGTAACAAAGCAGCAGGTATTGATACAAGGATGGAAAAATAGCCCAATGGAATGGAATAGAATTGAGAAACAGACCCCGTCATATATGTTCATCTGATTCATGATAATGGTCACAATGGAGGGTTGTGGAAATTCTTTTTCAACATATGTAGCTGAGAGAATTTGATTATCAAAAAAAATATGCTAGGAGAGTAAGGAAAAAATAATCTGAAAGTGCAAAACTTACCGGTATTATTAAGTACACAGAAAAACACAGACTATTATAATACTGTAATTGTCATGTGTAAACTACCCATCTTGAGTAAAAAGACTAAGAAATGAAGATTAAAAATAACAACTACAACAACTTTTCAAGACATAGACAATACACTAAGATATACATGGAAACAACAAAAACCTCAAAAGTGGGGGGATGAAGTTAAAGTTTAGAGTTTTTAATAGTTTTCTCTTTGCTTATTAGTTTGTTTATGTAATAAGCATTACATTGTCATGAGTTTAAAATAATAGCTGTCATCAGTCTAAAAAAATAAGATGATATTTGCAAGCCTCGTGGCAACCTCAAATCAAAAAGCATACAACAGATAAACAATGAAAAATTAGCAAAAAATTAAAACATACCAACAGAGAAAAATCACCTCCACTGAAAGGAAGTCAGGAAGGAAGGAAGAGAAGACCACAAAACAATCAGAAAACAAATAACAAAATGGCAAGAGTAAGTCCTTACTTATCAATAAAGTAACATTGAATGTAAATAGGCTAAAATCTTCAATCAAAAGACAGAGTGACAGAATCGATTCAAAAATCATAAAAAATAATAAAAAACTACAAGACCCAATGATCTGTTGCCCACAAGAAACACACTTCACCATAAAGATGCATAGACTGAAAATAAAGGAATGGTAAAATACATTCCATGCAAATTGGAACCAAAAAGGAACAAGGGTAGCTATACGTTTATCAGACAAAATAGATTTCAAGACAAAAACTATAAAAAGATGGCAAGCCACACAGTAAAAGAAGTGGAAGATATTTGCATTATACATACAAGAAACTTGTATCCATAATATGTAATGGAGGAGCTAAAGTTGATAAGAAAAAAGATAAATGACTCAATAGAAAATGGGCAAAAAATTTGATCACTTTCAGAAGAAGATACTCAAATGCTCAATAATTATAGGAAAAGCAATTCAGCTTCTTTAATCATAGAAAACTGCAATTTAAAACTGTAACTATATTTTATGTAGTAGAAACACAGCATAATGGCAAAAATAAAAATGTATATATATAAACACTATATTTAAATGAAGACAAATTTGTAGTTATTTTTTTTCTTAGATATTCAGAGATTGGCAATAGTTGTTTCCAGAGACAAAGAAGTTGGTTACAGGCAGTGTCAGATTTGAACTAGCTGAGGGAAAGAGGTCAAAAGAGAAAGTTGTACATCAGGCACAAGTGCAAAGCTGCTGACATAGGAATTTTAGGCTATTAACTTGACAGCCCAACTTCCTTTTGGAAATGCTGTTATATAGACTTCCTTTCCTATAAACTCCCTCTGGTACTGAAGGCTATATGAAGTACCTGAAATGATTCTTCCTTGAAAATTTAATAAAAAGCCTAGCTTGGTGCTTTCTTTCCCTAACCAAAGACCGAGGTCACTGAACCTAGGAATAAATTTAATGGCTTGGGATTATATTTGATAGACTAGACACTTTGTTAGAACATCGTATTAATGTGCACAAGGTCAATCGTTACAATCCATCTGAGGATACTGTAATTTCATTTTTCTGCCATAGCCATGGAAATCATCTGTCATCCTTCTCAGTTTTCACTTGTTCCTTAGTCAGAGGGGCTGACTAACCAGTTATACGATACGTATCCACCACTTGTAGGAAAATAATTCAAAGTATATGCACTGAGTATACAATTTTATTTCCCACTCACATAGTAGTCTGAGGTAGTTCCTGGTTGAATGGCAATTTTCTTCCATGGAGTGATTCAGGAACCCCTATGTCTTCCATCCTATAGCTTTGCATCCCCTGATGTCTCTTCATCATAAATAATAGAATCAGCAACAGGAGGTAAGAGTTTCTAGGGAAAAGTGCACACACATTAATTCTGTAAAACACTTTTATGACATTTATCATCTTGTTCACATTATATAGGTTGAAAACCAGTCAAATAACCACACTACATCTAGTCAGAACAGTCGATGACTGGCCAGGCACTCCCCAGAAACAATCCAATACAATGGAAGAAGGAGTACACATTTTGGTGTCCTGTTAGCTACCTATGCCACATCCCTTTTCCCTATTACAAATGTCTGTCTTTTTCTCCTGAGTGTCATCTTGGTAAAATGCTACATTTATAAAGTTGCTTGGTAAAAATAATAAAAGGAAAAAGAAAGTATAGGACCATTTTTTGTATCACATCAAAAGAAAGAATACTCAATATTTCCTCCACGACAATAAAAGTTTTCACTTGAGTGCAATTATTCTGAAAACTGAAGCATCAGTAGTTTGTACATATTTGGAACTCAGCCTATCAGATTTACTAATGGAATAATTTATCCACATAATTCTTTACTCCTACTCTTAGGAACATAGTTTTAATAATAGCATCCAGATGGCCTTCCAACTTAAAAATGTTTTATGTTCCAAAATTATGCTGGTAAATTGACTGGTGGCATTTGAGATATAATTTTATACATATAATATTACATGTGATAATTGTCTTTATGCCATCCACAAACGTCTATCTAACTAATTGTCTAACTGAAATACAGGACCTTTGCAATGAAAACTGTAGTAAATATTGTTATTGTGATGTGGGTAATTACCATAAAAATCCTAGAAATAAAGATTCATTTTGAATATAAAATATTTAATTAAAATTTTTAACACCATAATATATAAAACAGCTATTATAACTGCACATACCTTGTCTGATAATAGCTAGATGTGCTTTTTTATTACTGAGGAAAATACAAGTTACCCTATTTAATACCTATATTTTCACACTTGGAAAAGTTCACATTCTGTCACAGTAAAGTGTGGTAAAACTTAACAGCCTCAGTTTTAAAATATACTTGGAACAAGTCATAACTAGTTTTATTGCAAAAGATTCCTGTACACATTTATATTAATTTTGGTACCTTGAAAGGCTGCCTGGCAAGCCACTTCCATAAGGAAACATGCATTATGAGAAGTGAGAAATATCCATCCCTTCTACATATTTTTAGTTACTTGTCACTCCTCGACAACAATGCTCACATCACTGAAGCATGTGACATAACTCTTTATATTTATTCTAAGGGAAAAATGAAATAACTTAAAGGAAAATGCAATGCAATGTAAACAATCTCTTACTAAAAACAATACATTAAGCCAAAAGTATTTTACAGAATGTATTACAAGAAACTAAACACAGTATTGAAGATTCTAGCTGTGATCATGAGAATGAGATGTAGAATTCATCCGAAATAACAGCATCATTTGGGATTGAGAGCAAGCCTAGGTACCAGAGCCAGAACCTCCAATGAATGAAGGCAACTGATGGCAGATACGGGAACAAGGATGAAAGAAAGAGGATGTAGAGTTGAATGTTAAGACAGTTTCAAAGGCAGGATATTGGAGAAAAAGACAAGTCTGTAATGACCTGGAAGCAGCAAAGGTGAATAAAGGATGGTCCAACCTTATCATCTTCCCTGAGGAATATGAATTGAAGAAATAAAGACAACCATGACTTGAAAGTCTGGGGTGGAAACAACTCTCTTGGAAAGAGCAGTTTCAGTTAAGACCACAAGGGCAGAGGCAGGGAGAAGAGGCTGGGGATAGAGAGGAGTTGTGGTTGTGGGTTAGGAGTACAAAGCACACTAAAATGGATTTACAGGTGAGAGATGTATAAAGAATTGAGTGATTTTCAATAAAATTCAGAGTATTCTAGTTGGTTCAGTGGAATATTGTGTCTGAGCTGCATCACTTTGGGAGCAGACTGGTGATTAGAGGAGTAATCTGCTGTCCTTATTCTCAACAGAACACAGGGCTTCAGTAAGAGAAGACTCAGTCAGACTGCTAATGACCTAAGGACTATTCAGGACCTAAGAAGGTTGTCCAGTTGATCTGGGTGGGGGCAAAATAGGTCATCTGAACCCAGGACATCAATGAAGTTAATGAAACTAGTAGCATAAGGCACTATGCTCATCAAAAAGAGGGATATTTCAGATGATGTCTGAGTTCACTGTCCTAGGAGATTTAGATGCCTAGGGCTTCTGAGTGACTAATGGCTCTAAAATATACTTACAAGTTTCTTGGTTCTGGCTCATACTTCACAACTCTCTTGTTCTGAGAACTTATGTCAGTTGCAGGGCTACCAGCAAGGTAATGACTGTCATGAAATGGTCCTAGAAGCTGTCTCAAACTGTTGTGGGAGGGACTTCGGGCTAGTTTCTCATTGAAAATTGTACATAAGGCTTTTCTCCTTCACTCTCTTGTATTTAGCTCTTTCAGGTACCTGGTCACGGTAATAATCTTAAAGCCCTGTAGGTGCTTTATTCAGAGTAATGCCTCTGCTAAAGCTGGTGAGGATTTTCAGCCGTAGATAAGATTGTGCAACAACTAAGCTCTCTTTTACATCACAGAGCTTATGGAATAATGTGCAAGAAGAGGACTTTTTGTCTGTGGTCTAGAGTTATGAGTACTGGTCAAAGCCTTCTCCACCTTTCACTGGTAGTTATTTGAGACCTACAGTTTCTGAGGTTGTGATTACTGGGTGTTTTAAGGTTTTGACCTATTTGAAATGATTTTGTCTTTTCCTGAAAGCTGTCATTACCACAAATAATTGAATCTTCAACATGGGGCTCTTAGTGCCAATTTGTGTAATCAGTACACACTGTAGCAGATTACTGGTCTCATATTAGTGCATGCTTCATCTTGGCTAGGTATAGTGACTTGGAGAGGTCACCATATGTATGGATAAAGTTTTAATTTTCTGGAGTGCTTCAGCCATAGCTAGTATCCAAGCAGACCCATATATCTACATCAGACATGATAGTGACCAATTATAGAAAGTTCTAAATGTCATGTCTGAGAATTTTCCTCTCTTGAAACCTGGCTACTTTGACCTTCATGGGAATCTTCTGGAGGCTCCAGTCCTAGCACTAAGATTTTCTTATACCCAGGAACATCTCCCTATATATTGTCTCAGAGATGTAGTAAGTCTAGGGCTGTCAGGATCTAGGCAGACATAAAAAGAGCAGGTAAAAATATTGCTGAATCATGGCAGGTCATGATCCTTGAGTTGTGAAAGATACCATTTATCAAGGTGTGGAACACAGAAAGGGTTCTGAGTCTTTGAGGCTGAGTTGGAAGTGGTTAGTTGTCTTATGCTTTCCACCCTTTCAGATAGAGTTCCCTTTACATCTTCCTCAACTCTCCTTATCATAGGGCTGTCCTTAGTAAAGGGGCCAATCTTAGCAAATATCCAGGCTCCCCAGAGATAGCCCAGGGATAAGGGGTGAGTGGAGCCTCTGCATTGCCACCGTAATTAGTTTTTTCAGCACGTTGGGAAAAGATACCCACCATTATTTTCTTCCTTTCAAATAGCAGCAAGACACTATAAAATATTAGAAGAGGAGATTAAACATCAGAAAAATTGTCTCTGCCACTATATTTGCCATGCACTTGCATCACTAATTCTGAAAAGGACTGTACCCTACCTAATACACAATGAAAAGCAAAATAAAAATGCTGATGTAAGTGTCAGAGGATGAGAGGTAGGGGAACAGCATAGGAGCTGGGGGTGAATACTTTCCTTGTTTTCCTTGTTCTCACTCCATGGCTGGCTCTCTCTCAGGCAGGGTCATCATCATTCTGTCAGTCACGTACTACCTTTCTGATTTACTCACCATAGTTTTAGTTCCATATAGTTTTGTTTTGTTTTCTCACTTCTAATATCTATTTCCTGGGCAATCTTGCATTTTTTCTAGATGTATATATTTATTGGTGTAAAGTTATGCAAAATTTGCTTTTAGAATTAAAAAAACTAATTTGTACTGGTACTTACATCTTATTTTTCATTTCTATGTGGACTTATCATATTACCAAATATGATATGGTTTATGAGTACTATAGTTTTCTGTCTTATCGCTTTCTTCTTTTATATCAAATACTTTCTTCTTTCTCTGTTGAGTTTACTTTTTTTTTTTCTATTAAAGTTTACCTAGTTCCATGATTAATTTTTGAGATTTCCTGCATCCTAAGATTGCCATTTTGGACTTTAAATTTTCCTTCAAGCACCACTTAGGTTGTATCCACAAGTTTTCATACATACTGTTTTCATGATTATTCAATTTCTAAATAGTTTGTACTTTCCTTTTTATAGGAGTTACTTACAGGGATGATATTTGGTTTCCAAATAAAAACTCATATTTATTTATAAATTATAATTTTAATTTGATTACCTTTTTAGGTGAAAGGATATAGTCTCATGTTTCCTGTTATGAAAATTTTATTTTTGTTGCTGGATAACCTAATTCATAATTGATCTCTGTGAAGCTCATTTATGTTTTAAAATAATGCAGTGAAAATGATAATTTTATTACTGACTTATTCAAACTATTCTTAATTATATATTGTATAATCAAATTTCTATCTTTGAAAAGATGAATTAAAATCTCTCATGATGGTTATGGATTTGTCTATCCTTGCATTTCTATAATGCGTTGCTTACATACATTGTGATAATGGATTAATTGTATGTGTGTATATATATTCTTTGCATAATTTAATGATTATATCTTGCATTCTATTTTGTCCTATATTAATATTACTTTCCAGATTTCTTTGTTTACATTTTCCTGGCATAGAAAATGTATTTTCAACTTGGCTTATTATAATCTTTATATATGCTTTTCTCTTTTGAGAATACAATTTAAAATCAAACCTGATAATATCTGTATTTAAATAGGGAATTTAGTGTTTATAATGAAAATTAATGATTTATGTTTGCTAATGTTTTCTGTTTTCTTTTTACTATGTTCTCATGTTTCTTTTTTTGTCTTCTCTGAAATTATTTTAACTGATCAAGTTTTCTCTCATTTTTTTTCATTTGATAGTTCAGGAGTTTTAGATACTATTTTCATTTTTTTCTAAGTTGCTCTTAAACTTTAAACATACACTTTATTTTTTTTTTTGGCTAACAACATTTAGAAGTAATTTGCTGGCATATTTTTAAAATCTTATATCACATCTTCTTCCCTTTTTAGGAATAATTACCAAATTATTGGTAATTTATGTCTTGTTTCTTGTTTTCTTGGTCAACCTTGTGAGTGGTTTAATTTTACAGTCTTTCCAAAGATTTTTTTTTTTAGCTTTGTTGATTTTCTTTATGTTACATTTGTGTTCTATTTTATTGACTTTTATCTTTATTATTTCCTTCCTTCTATATTGATTGGATTTAATTTTCTCTCCCTTTTCTTTAGTTTTTTGAGATGAATAATCATATCAAGATTTCTTCTTTTGTGTCTGCTTTAGCCCATGACTTTTGATATGTTGTATCTTATTATTCAGTTCAAAATATTTGCTAATTTCCATTGTTTTTCTTTTGACTTATGAGTGATTTAGAAATGTATTGTTTAATTTTCAAACAGTTGGCAATTTTCTTTTGTTATTTATTTCCAACCTAGTTCTATTTTCTAATCTGATTTCACATTAGTCAGATAGCATACCCTGTATTTAAATCCTTGAAATTTTTTAGGATTTCCCAGAATGTGGCCATCTGGTAATTTTTTTCTGTACAATTTAATAGATTATTTTTCATAAGTTTTGGAAAATTATTGTCCAGTGTCTCTTTTAAGTGTTTCTTTTTATCTATTATATCTCTCCTTTCTTTCTAGGACTTAAGATTCATGTTTATTCAAATTTTGTATCATGTTTTATATATCTCCAATAATTTCTTTCTGAATTTTAAAAATATTTATAGTCTCCATCCTTCACCGTGGATATTTTTTTTACTGATTTATCTTTAATGCATCAGTCATTTCCTGCCATGTAGCTAATTAGTTATTAAACTCATCTATTCAATTCAATTATTATATTTTTCACTCCTATAATTTTTGACTTCAATACACACACACACAGGCACACACACAGACACATTCCAGTCCTCTGATGAAAATATCGTATTATGTATTTTCTTCAATACATTTATGTTAAAGTTTTGTCTGAGAAGCCTGGTTCTGATCATCTGTGGCACCATTTCTGTCACCTGTTTAGTTTTTGTTGTTGTTTGCCCACGGTTTTTGGTCATTTGTTTTTGTGTCCTAGCATGCCTGGCTGGTAATCTTTTATTGAATAACTGACATTGTACATTTTAAAAAAATGTAGATGTTATATATATTGTTATTTCCTTCTAGAGAAGCTTCAATTTTCTACTAGTCGGCAATTGAAATATATATATCAAGACATTTCACCTTGATATAATCTGGGATTGGGATAATTCGAGGATAAGTTTCAGGTTTTTATGGATTTGTCTATTTCTGATTTACCTTTCCTCCTCAGCAATATCCCTTTAGATATATTGGCTAAATGTCTGATATTTTATGAGTAATCATTCTCCTCCATGGACCTGAATTCTAACTGAATTCTCTCTGAATCTAGATTATGTTTGATTTTTTTTTTTTTTTTTTTTTTTTTTTAGCTTGCTGCTTTCTTACACTTAGGATTCAGCAAAGTCTCAAGGGAAAAAAAAGGTATAAAATACCCGGTTTACTTCTCTGTAGTACCCTAGAATTGTGGGTCCTTAAGTCCTGATTGCAATGATAACCCCAAATTCCAGATTTTATCTCCCTAGTCCCATGAGACTGCTGACAGGTCTGTCTAAAGATTTCTGTCTTTCCTATGTAGAATCAGTACGTTACCTGGGAATAAGAGGCAGTGGAGAGTGCTGGACATATGTCAATGTGCTTTCTTTTTCCTTACTAGGATCTTGGTCCCCTGAGTCCTGGCTACCTTGGTTCTCCTCTGACACCTCCAAATAGTCTTTTTTCCCTTAACTTTATGATTGTTTTATAGTTATTCTCAGAAGTTGGTTTGGTTTGATTATAGCTACTCCTCCATAGCCAGAATCAGAAGTCCTTCATCTACTGAGATTTTATTTTAATGATTAAAATGTTAGCTTATATGAATTTATTTGATATTTTTATGGATTTGTTATTTTTTTTTCAAAACTTCTCTAAGATAACAATAATTTTAATTCCACAGTCTTCCTTCTTTAGCTCTATTGGATCTATTTTTGTATGTTTATATTATTCTCTTTGTAAGGTGTCTTGATTCTCCTTAAGTATTTGCTAATTCTTGGTTGTCAGTTCATCTGTATTTGAATCCACCTTCGCCTGCCTGCTGTATTGTCAATAGCCTGTCTCTGGTGCTATAGAGGTGGAATGGTGCCTATGCAGCAATGTCTTCTGCATGTAGGGAATCCCTGTTCTTTCTGGTGGCCAGTGGTTCATCAGAGACTTTTCTGCTCCAACCCAGTGCAAACTCAATGCTAAACATCATTTAAAAGATTAACTTATCCAGCTCTTCAGGCCCATATTCTCAGCTAGATTATTTTGTCAAGTTTAAGAAGATGTAATTATAAGAAAGCCAGAGCTGTTCTAGGATCCACATGAGGCTTTTATTTATGAAGAAAGTAGCTGATTAATAACAGCAGAAACCCTCTAATGCACAACTAAATATTAATTGAAGTGCTTTAACTGTGCCTCTATTATTTAGAAGAAATTTGGCCCAAATCTATTAGAAAAGGGATGCTTCTCTGATTTGGAGAGGACTCAAGTCACATTAATCCTGCTCTTTCACTTCTCGGTGTATTTATGGGGGCCAGATGGTGTGTGGTAAGGATATGGGCTTTCAAATTAGAGAAACCTCAGTTTGAATCTACACTTTATTTTCATGTATTGTATGACTTTTCAAAAGTGACTGTGTCTCAAAAATGACTTCTTCGTGACTGTGTAATTCTCAAAAATAGACTTATTCATTCCTACCTTACAGGATTAGTGTGAGGGGTTAAATAAGTGCATAAAAGTTTTGGCATAATGCTGTACTTGATCCTCAATAATTGATAGATGTTATGGTTGTAGTTATTGTACAGTATCTAAACTCATCGTTTTAATCAATATCAGACATCTTTGAGATTCTATTGGTATATTTAACCACAACCAACTACTATCACAGAACTTTCAGAACTTTTTCAGTGATATCAACTCCCCATTCCTGTTAGTTTTCCAGGGCTGTATCACACACAGGGTGGTTTAAACAATAGAAATCAATTTCCTCATACTGCTGGATACTAGAAGTCTGAGATCAAGGTGTCAACAAGGTTATTTTCCTCTGAGGCCTCTCTCCATGGCTTATGGCTTGTAGATGGCCATCTTTTCCCTGTGTTATCACGTGATTTTCCTTCTGTGTGTCTTGTGTCCTAATTTCTTCTCCTTATAAGCCCATCAGGCATATGGGATTAGGGACCACCAAAATGACCTGATTGTAACTTAATTACCTCTTTAAAGACCCCGTCTTCAAATGCAGTCACATTCTGAGGTACTGGGGGTTAGGCCTTCGAAATACAAATGTTGGAGGAGACACAATTCAGCCCATAACACCATTTTTCTTGATTCTTACTATATTAAGGGATATCACCAGAAAAAAAAAAATAGCACTTTTAAAACATCATGTGCCTCCGCAAAAGCACCTGCACTGAGTTACTGAATCAATTATTTTGTCTTTAAAAAGGGTTATAGAGAAAATATCTATCTGACCAAGATTTAGTGCCTTTCGCAAAACTACAGTTGAAACCATTTTCATAATTTTACCAACTTTCCTTAGATAACACAACCTGAATTTATTATTTAGCCTAAAATTTAAATTCTAGCAAGGCTTCCGTCTCTAGGCAGTGATAAATATAGGATTCAACATATTTTCTCTTTTCCTGGCTTCTAGAACTATAGACAGATAGATAGAGATAGAGATACTTTAAAATATAGTTCAGAGATAAATTTTGTTCCTGAAACAATTGTTTCCTCTTCCTTGCTTCTTTCTAAACTAATTTATACTTTTATTTATTTGTTCTCTACCTGAAAATATTATTATATTTTGATATCCGTTCAAATGATAATAATTAAAGACATCCCCATTGCTGTTATTCCCAGTTCTGTCCATGCTGCTGCAGTGATAAAGGGCCAAAAGTTACCATGGAAGCAGAAATCCACGAAGGAAAACATGAGCAAAAATACCTGTAAAGGAGGAATTAATAAGCACTGAGAGAGTAGACACCTTGTATTAATTTTCATATACATATCCCAGTAGAAAATGCAACATCAGTTTACTTATTTACTATATTTCTGTAAATAATTCTCATATATAATAATTGAAAATTAAAGACCACATTTTATTTAATAATGCCATAGTTTTAAAAATTTACTCTGTTTTTAAATTTTCCATCAGGCTTTAATAAAAACAAATTATTTACTAATCCAAATATTAAAGATCACTTATGTTTAATTATAGTCATTGTAAATCAGATAGATTTTCTCCTTCTTTAACAGATCTTGAGCTTCCTTACGTGGTTCTTTCCTATCATTAGAGAAGCTGATATTCTGCTTGTTGGTTGATGCTGTATCATTCTCTTTAGCTAGTTTCCACCTCTCCCAATCATTCCAAGGTTAAGGGTTCAGAAAGACCTCACAGGAGGGAGAACAAGCCCTGCTCTGCATCTGTAGTCTTCCTTCACAATTCTTTATTCGTAGCTTTTGATTTGACTCTTCATGTTGCAAATATGTGTCCTGAGCCGAAAGGGGATGTGATAAGTGACTGCAAATGGATTACAGACAACTGGTCTCCACCTCCACTAATGAAAACACAGTGCAATGTATCTGACCTGCTGCTGGGTCAGCAGCACTGTGATTTCTACCTGACAGGAGAAACACAACACTCAGGACGGTGATTTTTCCCAGAGTTAAATTGGACTATAATTCTTTGCTGTGGTGACTCTAAAGTTTCCCACAAACATAAAGTATATTTCCTTATGAATAAACCATTTTGCTTGTATGTGTGTGTGTGTGTGTGTGTGTGTGTGTGTGTGTGTGTGTGTTTCTGCTATAAAGGCTAAAAGTCTTGAAGCTGATTTTGAGAGAGAAGTAGTGTTAAGCGTTTCTGACGTGGAGAATGAAGGAAGATGAATAGAGAACAGGTTGTCAAGGTTAAATAATGACAATAAAGCTATCCCTTATTAATTAATATATCCCAGGCTCTGTGCCACTGTGTATATATGTTGTCTCACTAAATCCTTTGATTTAAGTCTATGAAAACTTAGAAGTAATGTGAGTGCCTGACCCTCAGTTATACAGTTAACTTGTTTTGAGGGCAGATCCCAGAGCTCTCCTATTCCCAAAGTGAAAACGACTGACTTTGAATTATACTGTTCATTGCTGATGGAGAGCAAAATGGCCCATTATTACCAAGTTTACTGTTTAAAAGGGCATTATGTTTATCTGCCCAAGATTACATTTCTCTCCCAGCCTAGAGATTGCTATGAAAAAGAATGGAGTCCTCCAGTCCTCCAGTTTTCTGATATTTTGTAGTTTCAGTATCTGTTTTTTTTTTTCCTTCTTGGAAATACATGAGTTATATTCCTTAAAACCCAAATTTGGGAGTATGAACTCACACCAACTCAAAAGATTATAGAGAATGTCTGTTATCCAAACAGTTTTCTTTCCTTTTTTTTTTTTATTATACTTTAAGTTTTACGGTACGTGTGCACAACATGCAGGTTAGTTACATATGTATACATGTGCCATATTGGTGTGCTGCACCCATTAACTCATCATTTACATTAGGTATATCTCCTAATGCTATCCCTCCCCCCTCCCCCCACCCCACAACAGGCCCTGGGGTGTGATGTTCCCCTTCCTGGGTCCAAGTGTTCTCATTGTTCAATTCCCACCTATGAGTGAGAACATACCATGTTTGGTTTTTTGTCCTTGTGATAGTTTGCTGAGAATGATGGTTTCCAGCTTCATCCATGTCCCTACAAAGGACATGAACTCATCATTTTTTATGGCTGCATAGTATTCCATAGTGTATATGTGCCACATTTTCTTAATCCAGACAGTTTTCTAAGTGCTGAGTTTACAGCCGTGAACAACACAGGTAAAATTCCCAATATTCATGGAATTTTTATTCTAGCTAGGGGAAATAGGTACCACATACATTAAATGAGTAAAATATATAGACTTTTAGGATATAATGTGTTAGATACTAAGGAGTGTGATAAAGCTAGGAATACTGGTAGAAGGTTGGGGGTTACAATTTTCAATGGTGTGTTCAGGAAAGGTCTCACTGAGCTGGGGCATTTCAGTAAAGACTTGAAGGCAGTGAAGAGGCAAGCCACCAGATATAAAAGTCTGGAAGTAGAAGCATGCCTGGTATGTTCCAAGATCAGCCAGGGAGCCAGTATGGGTGGAAGGGAATGAGTAAAAAAAGAGTAAACCAGAGGAGTTCTCAGAGGATCTTGTGGACCATTGTCAAGATACAATCAATGGGAAGTCATTGGAGAGTAGGCTTTGGAGAGTAGGAGTGACCTAATTCAGTTTATGAATAATGGGATTATTCTAGCTTCTGTGTTAGGATCAATCAAATGCTCAAACAGAAGAGAGCAAGGGCAGCAGGAAAGAGAACACTAGGACAGTTACAGTACTGATCCAAATGAGAGATGATGATGGCTCTGAGCAATGTAACACCAGTGGAGACATTCTGAAAGTTCTGAGCAAATTTTGAAGGTAGAATCAATAGGATATGGTCATAGATAGGGTGGGAGTATAAAAAAGGAGTAAAAGACAATTTCAAGTTCCCTGTCCACCTGCTCTCCCAAGAACTAGAAGCACGGTATTAATGAGATAGGGTAGACCACTGGGAGATCAAGTTTAGGGATGAAGATTGGGAATCAGAGGCTTGTTAAGTTTCAGATGCTGTCAGGCACCGAAGGGAGTGACCCAAAAGACAAATGCCTTTCCTAAGAAAAGCCCGGAATTTGTCAGTATATAAGTGATTTTTAAAAGAGGACTAGCTATATAATTTGTGGAACCCAGTAAGAAATGAAAATGCAGGAGTCTTTCTTTAACAATTATTACAGACTTCAAAACATTCGTGGCAGAGCATTAAACCAAGCATGGGGCCCTTCTATTACAGGGTCTTGTGTACAAGTGCACACCCATGAAGCTTGTCTTGGTTTAAGGGTGTAATTCTAATATGATCAGCAAGCGAGTAAGAGACAGAGAGAAAAAGACTAAGCAATGAAACTAGGAAGATATTTAATGTAAACAAGACAGGAACAAAATAAAAACGTTTGATATGAGCTTGGTAGTGGTTTCAGGCTCAGCCAGCAAAGCTGAATGGTTGCCTCTGGTTTTTGCAATTTTCAATTGCTAGGGGAATTTTATGAGTTTGGACTTTTGCATGATAGATTGATTTGGGGTGTTACCACCCACAGGACAACTCCAGTTTCTCTATAAACTTCTTCATCTTTAAAAAAAAAAAATCACTTCTAGTAGTAAATGGTATTTTGAAGTCCATTGGCTGCTAAAAAGCAAAAGAAAACCCATTTTTTGATGCAAGTTTCACTTTGGCAGACACGCAGATGAGGAAGTAGAAACAGAAGCAGAGAAATACAGGCTGTCAGTGTTAGTGTAGCTTTCTAGCTGGTCAAACGGTATGCAAAGCAGCCAAACAGAACCTGGTGACTAAAACAAAGTGGTAAGATTAAACCATCGAGGGCAAAACAGAAATAGTCAGGAATAAATACTGAGTCTGTTTCTTATCACGTGGCATAAAGTTGCTTTGAGTGTTAGGTTTCATAATAGTTTACCTTAGTTACTAAGGGGTTGCAAAAATACCAGGTTGGATGTCAGAGTCTGTGGTGGTCTGTGCACTGGCAGCTGGTTGAAAGCAAAAGACTGACCTTTATCCTGGAAAAATAAAATCTCCTCCCTCCTCACTCTTCCTGGAGTCTTTAATGATACCACATCATGGCCTACGTTGAGTAGACCTTGATATGTACAAATGACCTATCCAGAGTTTGAAGAGGGAACTGTAATAGGTCCCAGAAAAGATTTCATATTAGTATGCTCCATTGTCACAGCTCACCCCTGGCTTATCTAGAGATTGCTTAAATCTGCTTCAGGGCATCTGACTGCTTCAGGTTCAAAATGTCCATGGGGCATGGAGGCAGAGTAAGTAACAAGCCATCAGTGCGTGTGATAGAAAAGATAGTCCCCATCCTCTGGGTGTTAGTATTTTGGAGTGACAGGGCCAGGAGGGAGCACGTAAGAGAAGGCTGGGAAAGAGAAGATTATTATTGACATATCCAATATCATTGCTAGCATCTCTTGAATTTTTGTGGGTTAGTGGGAGTTAATACAGTCCCCTCCTGCATTCTGATGAGCTGTAACTTTGAGATAAAGAGCTGTTATATTATTCTAAGCATGTGGCCCAGGCAGTAAATATGGTCTTGAGTTCACATTTGGACAAAATTTTATTCTGTCTACATTGAAGTGAGATTACAAAGGCCTTTTCCTCAACATCGTATAGTCAGAGCCTGGCTATCAGCTCTTCTCTAAACAAAACTGGTTTGAATAAGTGTGTAATAGGTCCTTCTTTTGTCCTATACTCCTGGGAGGATACTTTGTTAGCATATTTTTAGATGCAAAGTTGTAGGGTAAAGAATGTTTCTTGAGCTATCTTGTATCTGTAAGAGATTTTATAAATATATCATGCTACCCTGTAACTCCTCTATGAGAAAAGTATTACCCCCAACCCCACCCTGTGACATAGATAAGAACTTACTGTTCAGAGAAGAAAATAAGATACCATATTTGTCCAATAACCAGGGAAGATTGATTGGTTTAGATTGTAGCCTGGGAGGTTGGTTTGGGGACTTTAATCACCCAGAAAATAACTCTAGAGTTTCTCTGTAAACTTTATCTTTTAAAAAAATGTATTTAAGTGGTGGTTCAGAATTCATACCCAGGTCTACTGGAACATATTCCTTCCATGGCCCTGTAACAAATGCTAGGCCACTGTAAGGTTGTGGACTTAGGGTATGATTTTGTGGATTTCTTTAACTTTTATTTTAAGTTCAGGGATACAAGTGCAGGTTTGTTATATAGGTAAACTTGTGCCATGGGGGTTTGTTGTACAGATTATTTTTATCACCCATGTATTAAGCCTAGTACCTGTTATTATTTTTCCTGATCCTCTCCTTCCTCCCACCCTCCACCCTCCAAAAGGCCCCAGTGTGTGTTGTTCCCCTCTATGTCTCCATGTGTTCTTATCATTTAGCTCCCACTTATAAGTGAGAACAAGCAGTATTTGGTTTTCTATTCTTCTGTTAGTTTGCTAAGGATTTTGTTAGATGCCTTTCCTGTATTAAACTCACATTAAAATTTTTCAGAAGCTGTCTTAAGAAAGTACATAATTAAGATCAGCATTTTGGTATAATTTGAAAGTATAGCGTCCAATGAAGAGCTTGCTACACTAACCATGGTACTATTTAATTCTAATATCTGTGTTTATTACATCTTTCATTGAGTTGGCTTGCCAAAAGGATAGACTGCGGTAATTTATTTAACGAGGAAGCTAGCATTCCAAAGTCCTCTTCATGTCTAATATTTGGCAGGATTAAATTTACTATATATCGCAGAAATTATTCCAAATAAGAGAAGACTATTATTTATATTTTTGGTAACAGAGAAAATGTATAGGATGTTTATTACAAAAATATTTTTATACTATTTGGACTAGTACTATACATGTTAGCAAGACTAACAGATTAAGGCACATTTAAAAAATCCAACTAATCAGTATAGATGTTCCCATCATTTTATGGCTGTTTCGTCGTTGGATTTGTTTGTTTGTTTTTAGGCTAAATTGACTTGAAAGAGTCTGACTGGTGGTTTTCTATTTGACTGGCATTGGAACATGTATGGGTGTGGTTTGTACTTTGCCACATTCTTTTCTTACCTTTATGTCCTCTCTCTGCAGTCAATTTTCTATGTAGGTTTTTGCAGCAATGCTAGCTTGAAAATAAGCAGGAATTCAAAAAAGATTAACCAATACTTAGGAAGCTTAGGAATGTTTAAAATAATAGGTTGCTTAAAAGTAGATGGCAAAACTTAGGAGATTTATAAGCCGTAAACGTACACATCCCTATTTCATTGGGATGGTCTTAATTGTAGTAAATCTTGTAAACTTTGTAGTAAATCTCGTTAAAGCATTTTCCACACTTAAACAATGAGCTCTTATGCAAGGATGCAAGGACAGCCTTAGTGGCAGATGAACTGGGCAGTAAATTCAGCAGTGTGCATGGTATGATTTTATATCCAAAGACAGTTTCTTAACTTGTGCCTCACATCCTGCTCATGGTTTGGACAGTTCTTTACCGCAAGGTTTTGCCATCTGTTAAGAGAAACCTTCTCCTCTAGGAAAAGGCAACACTAATGCTGATTCAGTTATTTACCCTTGAGGGCGAATGGTTTTTTTTGTTTTGTTTTGTTTTGTTTTGTTTTTGATTCTTTATTTAAAAGGACACAATTAGTTTGGTCTTGAGGATTGCCAGATGAGATCTAACTAGTATGATAGATGTTAGCAAGACTAACAGATTAAAACATATTTAAAAAATCCAACTAATCAGGATCATATTCAGAGATGTAAATAGAGTGAACAGATCTATTAATGAGGGTCGTAGATATGACAAAGGGAGAATCTCTTTACAGTCTTAAGATGTGGTTTCTCCGTGGCCTCAGTATCCCAAGTTATTTGGGGAAAATTCTATTTTGAGCTCAGGACATGAAAAGTGGAACCAGATCAAAGGTTTTTGTTTCTGTTTTTAAAGAATGAAATACTGCTGTTTCTGTTTCTATACCATAACCAAAAAAGAAAAAGCCAAAGCAGTGATTTTAGCTTTGGTTTTTTTTTCAGATTCTTAACCTCTAGCTTGTAGAAAGAAAAACCTTCCAGAAAGAGCTCTCTCTGTAAGTATCAGAGCAGTCGATTTCAGTGGGATAAGGGCAAGCAATGAGCACAGGGGGAGAATTTCAGAATGCAGTGACCGGGACCATATCCCAGTGCATATATCTTGGAGGGAGGAGATCTTACATATTTTATAAAAGCACCTGACTTATTTCGATATGATGCTATCACTGAGAACCTTCTGGAAGTGTTCTTTAGAGGGACTGTTAAAAAAAATCAAGCCCTTATGACATGCTTGTGATTTTTGGTAGTTGGAATTATGTAATGATGTGAAGATGCAACCACTAGCATTATTCAAGCACAGGTGTGTAAT
This sequence comes from Homo sapiens, assembly GCF_000001405.40. Lineage (NCBI taxonomy): Eukaryota > Metazoa > Chordata > Mammalia > Primates > Hominidae > Homo > Homo sapiens. The sequence goes on along the minus strand of NC_000007.14, from coordinate 126,446,824 downwards.
AGTGATGTTCTGGAATGTTGCACTCCCACTCTATTTTCACTATGTATACTTACCTTCTGGGTTAAACTTATTGCTACAATAACACTTGGCCCACTAGTACCTTCTAAAGAAGTTCTGTGTGGCATTAAGTGTTAGTGTTTTGCCAGACTGGTTTGGTCCCCTTCCTTATGTATGTTTATTTATAATCTAAAAAGGAAAATAAACTCCACCAGCTTGGTTGTTTGTATTTTTATTTTAATAAATTGGGTTCAATAAAAAAATAACCTTACTCATTTACATTTGCAGGTTAGGACACAGGAATGGTTGACTATAATTAAGGACAATTTCAATAAGTGCCTTTTAATGTGCCTTTAGCAGAGAAGCTGGAACAATTTTAGAAAATAGTATGTTATTTGCTTTATCTCCTACTGTTAGGCTTACCAACAGTGATTCTTTTTTTTTTCTTCCCTCAGATGTACATCCAGACAACAACACTTACTGTCTCCATGAGTTTAAGTGCTTCAGTATCTCTGGGCATGCTCTATATGCCCAAGGTTTATATTATAATTTTTCATCCAGAACAGAATGTTCAAAAACGCAAGAGGAGCTTCAAGGCTGTGGTGACAGCTGCCACCATGCAAAGCAAACTGATCCAAAAAGGAAATGACAGACCAAATGGCGAGGTGAAAAGTGAACTCTGTGAGAGTCTTGAAACCAACAGTAAGTCATCTGTAGAGTTTCCGATGGTCAAGAGCGGGAGCACTTCCTAATAGATGTACGTTGAACATTCTTCTCCTAGTCTTGGGGATTGTGCTACATGTTTCCAGGGGCATGATGGTACTCACATACCGTGACACCATCACATTTAAAACCATTCGAAGCAAATGGTCTCAAGATGAGCGGCTGTTCTACAGAGTACAAACTTGCTCACAAAATCTCTTTTACAAAGCATGACATTCAGATCTTTCTTTTGAAGCATTACAAAGCTTGGTATTTGAAAGCGTCATCTTCTTATAAAAATTATCTTTTAGTACTTGGAAACAATTCCACAATTTTTCTTGTTCCATACTGGGTGCTTTTTATAGTATCAGTAGTTTGCTGATACTTACAGAATATCACTACAGATCTTACACATATAAATGATGTTATTTGTGCCTTTAGGGAAATGAGAACTCTAGTTAGCCAATATGTTTAGTTAAGTCACAGTTAATACTTGTTTCTCCCACGTGGTCCCCTTTCCTTGGGCTTCCTGAGGGCTTCCCTTGACTTCCCTTCTTGGATATATTAAGATAATTAAAGTTCTTCTTTAAAAGCCTCATGATCCTGGAAATAGAATCTTTTCTACAACCACCTTTCCATTTTTCTTTTCTTTACCTATTTTCGTCTCTACAGTCCACCCAGGAAAAAGCACATGATAACAATACACAGAAATCTGTGCTCAACCAGTAGAATTTAACTGATCTATTGAAGCCCATCTTGGTATCTATGAAAGAGTGGCAAATAATTTGAAGATTTGTATGGTAAAATACCAGGAAGCTGAATATGGTAAACATTACAACCTTTACCTTACTAGGTTCTACAGATGAATCAAAAAAGAAAGAAAAGCAAAGGTACTTGTATTAGAGTGGCTTCCAGTCTTTTGGAATATAGCATAGGGATTCAATATTTGTTTTTTCTGTTTGAAACAGGAGCTTGCTCTGTTGCCCAGACTGGAGTGCAGTGGTATGATCTAGGCTCACTGCAGCCTCTACCTCCTGGGTTCAAGTGATCCTCCCACCTCAGCCTTCCAAATAGCTAGGACTGCAGGCATGTGCTGTCATGCCCAGCTAATTTTGTTTGTTTGTTTGTTTGTTTGTTTGTTTTGTAGAGACAGGGTCTCACTCTGTTGCCCAGGCTGGTCTCTAACTCCTAGGCTCAAGTGATCCTCCCACCTAAGCCTCCAAAAGTGCTAGGATTGCAGGTGTGAGTTACCACACCCGGTCAGGCATTAAGGACAAAATCCTATGCAAAAATATTCTCTTCCTCTCATATTCATCCAGCAGTCTGTATCCCCTACTCTCCATACTTTTGACACTAAATATAAGAAAAAACTAAAAATTAATTTTATTTGGTTTAATTATTATAGCAACTTATGGTCTACATTCCATCTACAAACCTTCTTTTCTATCAAGATTTCTAGATAAGCATTGTCTACTCTAATTTACCATACACAGAACTATCCTGTGATAGTTAATTAGCATTGCTTAATTAGACATATTGGTTTCAGTTACTATCAGCTTACCTGGAATCATTAGCCAGATTGGTTCTAAAAAGATTATCTTCGGGTCACCAATACCAAATTTAGTCACGTGTAGAGAAATGAACCTTACAAGAATTTCACAAACACCCTCCACATATTCACCTTTCTGCAAACATGAAACCTTGTGAAGTAAGAAATATGCGAAGCAAGGTAAGGATGGGCTTTAGTAACAAATCATTACAATCATCTCTGAGTATAGGTAAGCAATTTACTAATGATAAACCTATTTCGGCTCTTAGCAAAAGGTATACTGTAACTGCCATTAAAGGCATCAAAGTAGAATGCTTGTGATTTGAGGACAGAATTTTACCTTTTTTCCTACCTTGACAGCATTAGTGTAGGAAGTTGAAAGCTATTATAGGATGCCAATAAACTGCTGTTGGCCAGTGATGTAATTTGAACACTGGCACTTCTCACTATGACTCACCAGAGTCTATTGTTTTACCTGTTTTTCTCTTTTTTTTTTCTTTTTTAGCAGCAATCCAGAAAACTTTATAAAATATGGTTGCCAAATTAAAGAACCAAACTTATAGTGATATAAATACCAGTCATTCAGACTCACCTTTGGAAAGTGGTGGAGAAAAAATTTAATAAACTTTTTCACCACTTTAAAAGAATAAATACATGCCCTGAAAAACAAAATTCTCAGTATTGATAAGAACCAATCTCATATTATTGAAGTAAATCTCATACAGATACTGTTTTCCTTTGGTTATTTTCTATTAATGTTGAAATGGAAATTATATAGCCTGCATGTATTTCTCTATTTTCTCTAAAATAAGAATGAAAGATTGCAAAAACAAGGCCTATTTGGAGGGTAAGCCTATAATATTCTGGAGGAGTCAGATGCTCACGTTTAGAAGGTGAAGTAAAGTCAAAAAGTAAATCAAGATAATATCAGTTACTGCCTGAAAAAAAAGTTTAATTGTACTTTGGAGATTTTAGTGCATTGATCTTTTACAGGAGTATAATTTAGGTTTGAATAAGTTGGGCCGAAGTAAAGTGATTACAGTGTACTCATTCAGGAGAGAAAGATGTGTGACATCTTCACACATCCTTCCACAATCCTACTCCAGATCACCATTTTTAACCTTTGTTCACTTCCATGGCCATCCTACAATGAAAGGGTAGATCTGTGTTCAAGATTTTAAAGTTTCAAAAGCTACACAGAGTAAATATAAGTAATACGAAGCTGGATGGGAAACCAATGAGTGTTGTGTTAGTTGCTGAATTTGCAGACTATAGTTTACATTTTTAAAAAAGGTCAAGTGTTATTTCACAACAGAGTGCGAGGGGAGTTAGAAACAAAGTTGATATATATGAATTTTGCCAACTGTACCCAATTAACAAATGCTGTACATAGTATTCTTTAAGCTATGTTCATGAATAATTCATGAAAACAGCTGCTGCTGGAGGTAGATTTGTTTTTTCTAGCTTATGAACACAGTGTGATGCACACAAGGAAATTAATTTACTGTTGCTGTGCTCAAAAACTGATTTTCATATGAGCATATTCATCAGCACCGTGAAAAACATCTCCCTATGAACTCATTGGTACATCTCTGATTCATTTTGCTCTATAATACTTCTGGGATAAAGATTCTTGCGAGGTATCTGCCATCCACAAAGTTTGTCCCTTATCATTGCTTTCATGTTGACTAAATCATCTGATTCCAGAACCTTACACTTCCTTTTCTAACCAGTAGGAAAATTAGCATTGCTGTCCTTTTGTGAATTGTTTTCTCAATTCTCAATAGAATTCTACCATTTTCTTTCTAGAAACCATGTTTAAGAGTTCAAAAAATAATATGTTAATTTTTAATTAGCTACAGAGCCCCAAAGTTAGAAAGATCCTTAAAACTGATCTAATCCAAACTGCCATCTGTTGAATGGACATCTTCTGAAAACTTTATTGTTCAAGATCTATCAGCTCTTGCTACTCTATTTCAACCATAATTCTTTTTCTAGCTATATACAAATTTTATAACTATTTCATACATTTTAGTTATTGTTGAAAATATTGAACAGTGTAGGAAGTTGGATGACCCTTTTAACAGTCATTTTTATCACTCTTATGACAATTTTTCTCCACCTTGTCTGTGAAGATTATATGAAAGTCCTTCAAAAGCAGAACTGAAGGACAGATTTTATTTTCTTAGAGGAAATTTAGAGGCATACGAGAGTATTATATAAATTAAAAATAGAAAGTAAAAGTGAGTGATCATAGAAAATCATTGTGTTTCACTTCACACCAAACCAAATGTAACAAATATTTTACCTTTTGGAAAGGTTAAGTAGAAAGTAAGACTCCATTAGGTCTCATGTATGGTTCATGGAAAGAAAAGAAAATAAGGAAGGAAGAAAGGAAGGGAGATAGGGAGGAAAGGAGGGAGGGAGGCTGGTTCTATATTGGTTCTTCCAGACTACAGCTGTTCCATCCCGATCTATTCTGCTTTTGACCTTACAGGAACACAGTATTGTAGGTTTTGAACCAGTGATAAAACTGAGGCCCAGTAACCTGGCCCAATGATTTTTTTTTTTTCACGCATTTTGCAGGGAATAGAATGTAATTTAAAACCAGGTCTAAAGTCTACTTCCTTTGCAGGGTGCCACAATAATAACCTAGAAGGATAAGCAATGTAGATAAGATAAGCAGATATGTCAACTATTTTTAGCCTGAAGCTCATAATATTCAATGAAATAAAAAATAACAACAATGAAAAAAACATCTATAGTAGCACTTCTTAGGGCTATCTGAGTTAATTTTAGTGGTTGTGAACTTTGTATGAACTTGGTCTCTGGTAAGAACTTGTCTAATCCATCAATAGTGTCACTAAGATGGAATGAGTCTGATTGTCAGTTATTTCCGAGGAGGAACTTTACAATTTCTAGTCTTATTCAATGTTCAATAAATAAATTATTTTCTAAAAATCTGTTTCATCCTGAATTGGATTCATATATTGAAACACATACATTCTTTGCTTTTTAAAGTATCTTTTATCTTACGATTATTCATTCCAGAATTACATGAAAAAATAGGACATCACATTTGAATTTTAGGACAGAGATTCATTGCATCACATCTTTCAACAATACAAAGGAATTATTTGGATTTAGATTTATATTCTCCAGAAGCTTAGGCATGAGTATAAATTTGGCATAATATCTCTGTAATGGCCTTACAATAATGAGTTTTACTTTACAGTATGTTGGCAACAGAACAATTAAACATTTCTTTATTTGAGTCTTTATTTTCTTAAATTTTATCTTCATTTGTCTCCTTTTGATGAAACCAAAAGAAACCATAAATATGCATTGGCAATTCACATGTTTTCTATATATTTGATATTTTAGCATGTTTACCTCTAGAGTCTAAGATTATTGTGTATTTTTAAGTGGAAGAGGTATTCATTCTCATAGGACAGCTAATTATAATTACTTACCTTTCTTGGTCATTACATCAGCCTCTAAGAATTGAGGTCTTTGACTTAGGTAGTAAAAAATATTTTTTATATTTTGTAGGACAGATAATTGATCTGTTCTTTCATTTTACATATGTGCAAATGTAAAATTTTACCAAAATATTAAAGATTAGCACTTTTATATTTTTAGTTTTCTAGTAAATATTTATATACTATAAATGAGGCTACTGATTTTGACAGATTAAAATTGCTGCAGCATTTTTGTTTCTACTGTCATTTAATTTTTACTACAGTCATGGATTGCTTGATGACATGTTCTAAGAAATGTGTTGTTAGGCAATTTTGTCTTTGCGCAAACATCATACAGTGTACTTACACAAACCAAATGGTATAGCCTACGACACACCCAGGCAATATGGTGTAGCCTAGTCTATCTAAGCTACAAACCTGTACAGCATGTTACTGTCCTGAATTGTGTACACAGTTGTAATGCAATGATATTTGTATATCTAAACATATCTAAACATAGTAAAGATACAGTAAAAATAGAGTATACAAGATAAAAAATGGTATACATGTAAATAGGGAACTTACTATGAATGGAGCTTGTAGGACTAGAAGTTGCCCTGGATCTTTAAGTGAATGAGTGGTGATTGAATGTGAAGTCCTAGGACATGGCAGTACTGTAAATTTTTTTTTTTTTTTTTTTTTTTTGAGATGGAGTCTTGCTCTGTTGCCTAGGCTGGTGTGCAGTGGCGCGATCTCGGCTCACTGGAACCTCTGCCTCTCGGTTCAAGCAATTCTCCTGCCTCAGCCTCCTGAGTAATTGGGATTACAGGCATGTGCCACTATGCTCGGCTAATTTTTGTATTTTTAGTAGACACAGGATTTCACCATGCTGGTCAAGCTTGTCTCAAACTCCTGACCTCGTGATCCACCTGCCTAGGCCTCCCAAAGTGCTGGGATTACAGACGTGAGTCTCTGCACCCAGCCACTGTAGATATTATAAAAACTCTACACTTAGACTACACTAAATTTATTTTAAACATTTCCTTTTTCAATATATACTATTTTAGCTTACTATAAATTTTACTTTATGAACTTTTTATTCTTTTTAAATTTTGACTTGTTTGTAATAAAAACTTAAAACACAAACACATTGTCCAGCTATAAAAAATATTTTCTTTATACCCTTACTCAAGGATAGACTTTTTTCTATTTTTATTTATTCATTTTACTTTTTAAACTTCTTGTATTAAAAACTAAGACACACACACACACACACACACACACACACACTAGCCTAGGCCTCCACAGGGTCAGGATTATCAATATCACTTCCATCTCCATATCTTATTCCACTGGAAGGTCTTAAGGGGCAATAACACACATGGAGCTGTCATCTCTTGTAATAGCAATGCCTTATTCGGGAATACCCCTGGAGGACCTGCCTGAGGCCATTTTACAGTTAACTTTATAATGTATAAGTAGAAGAAGTCTACTTTAAAATAATGATAAAAAGTATAGTGTAGTAAATATTTAAACCAGCAACATAGTCATTTGTTATCATTATCAAGTACTATGTACTGTATATAATTGTATGTGCTATGCTTTTTCATGACTGGTAGTACAGGAAATTTGTTTACACAACAAACCACAAACATGTGAATTATGTGTTGTGTTATGTGTTGTGTTGTGTTATGTGTTCACTGGGTGATAGGAATTTTTCAGCTCCATTATAATCTCATGGGACCACCTTTATATAATGCAGTCTGCTGTCGAGCTCAAATGTCGTTGTGCTGTGCATGACTGTGAATGGTTTAAAAATAATGAGTAACATGCTGTAAAAGCTGGATATTATTAAAAAGTCATTACAGGACTTGAATTTTAAAATCATATTAACAAAAGGATGTATTATTATATACTATTTTAATTTGTCCTCATTTATCTTAACAGCTTCCTCTACCAAGACAACATATATCAGTTACAGCAATCATTCAATCTGAAACAGGGAAATGGCACAATCTGAAGAGATGTGGTATATGATCTTAAATGATGAACATGAGACCGCAAAAATTCACTCCTGGAGATCTCCGTAGACTACAATCAATCAAATCAATAGTCAGTCTTGTAAGGAACAAAAATTAGCCATGAGCCAAAAGTATCAATAAACGGGGAGTGAAGAAACCCGTTTTATACAATAAAACCAATGAGTGTCAAGCTAAAGTATTGCTTATTCATGAGCAGTTAAAACAAATCACAAAAGGAAAACTAATGTTAGCTCGTGAAAAAAAATGCTGTTGAAATAAATAATGTCTGATGTTATTCTTGTATTTTTCTGTGATTGTGAGAACTCCCGTTCCTGTCCCACATTGTTTAACTTGTATAAGACAATGAGTCTGTTTCTTGTAATGGCTGACCAGATTGAAGCCCTGGGTTGTGCTAAAAATAAATGCAATGATTGATGCATGCAATTTTTTATACAAATAATTTATTTCTAATAATAAAGGAATGTTTTGCAAATGTTGAGAGTTGTTTCGTTCCAGTTTTAAAGCTAGGGAAAACTCTTCTTTCTAGTTGGCACTTCTGCTGTTTTTTAGCTCCTTCTATGAAAGCCCTGATGTTCTGAGAAAATATTTCTTTGAGGAATGTGTTTTTGTACATTTGTGTGCATAAGAGGAAGACTGTCTTTTATTCCTATATTAAAAAGCATTATTTGTGTAAGACTTTGTGAATATTTCAAGATTTCTGTGGTAGCTTTTCATAGTAACTGCTTCTTTTATGAAGAATCAAGCAATAGTTTGAGGTAAATTGCTTTGAGTTAATTAACAAATGATGAATTAAACTTTACTTTGGAGAACAGAGTATGAAAATTACCATTTGAAAGTACGTCAAAACATGTCACTGAAATTCCCCATTACATTCCTAAATCAAAACTTTTGCATAATGAAATATCCTGTGGTATGTAGTATTAACCTTTTCTCACCTGGGCATAAAAATCACTGAAATCAGTGAAGTAATGGGCCTTACCTAGTACATTCTTCAAAGCAGAGAATTAGCATATTTATTCCCTTGGCACCACTAAAGAAGCCACAGTTCAGATAACATATCAGTGCTTTCTTATTTTCCAAATGAAAACATTCATTGGTTCATGGAGCAGTATCATTAAAGAGAGAGGAAACAGGGAGCCTGTCTCATATTAATAAACCATGCCAGAATGGATAAAAGGAAGCTGATAATGGCTTTCAAATCTGTACCATTTTTGTCACGGGCTCCTCTATGCCATACAATCCCAGACATCCATCAAGTCAATGGATCTCCACAATCATTTTGTTAGTGAATGTTCTCTCTGCTGAGTTAGCTTGGATGGCTCATTGCACTCCTTATAGATATAAAGAGCTGTCTGTGCGCTCTAGCTTCAACCCAGTTACTGACAGTTACTTTATCTAATAGAGAAGGTTGAAGTAGCATAGCGCAGGTTCCTTCAACATACAGTGACATTTCCTAGATAGCACAAAGACATATTGCTGCATGTAGACGGAAATGTGTATCTATTGGCTTTTTGTTGAGTTTCTCCTAATAATAATGGTTGTTTGTAGATAATATTTAAATCAAGGAGTAAGGGCATTATTTTCAAGTTTTCAGATCATCTGAATTACTGATAATGCAATCCTGTAATCAGGATCCTAAACCCACTTCTAGGTGTGCCTTTCTAGATAAGACCTAGACTAAGCAAAGTAAACCCATTACTGCATATTAAGTATATTGCGCCATGTAGGTCAGTACCAATAGCCATACAAGAAGTAATTATAATTGTATTTTAATTTTTAAGTTGACAATTTTTTTTTCATTTTGGAGATCGTTTGTGGTTTATAAGATGTTTTTTACTTCATTTTAACTAAGCATCTATATGTTTTGTTGAGAAAATTGCTTGAATTATATAAGCCTTGCATTTCATTCAGAGAGCAAAACTCAAGTATGTTTTTATTTACTAATTTCATTTACTAATTGACTCTAATCAGGTTCAGTGCATGTGACAGGGTGATTATGAGAGCTAAGCTGGCTCTCTCAGGCCAAATGTGGGTTTTCATTATTATTGTTACTTAAAAAAAATGTCGAAGTTTTAGGAAGAAAAATAAAATACCAAGCATAATTCATGATATTTCAAAATTCTTCTTCCTACTATCAACCTACCAACGGGTTGTTTTTCCTAAGTACTTTAACAAATAATTGATACTTGTTTGGGGTTAAACAAAATCTTATTTAATTCACAATAAAGTTAAATAATAGCTCTTGTGGATTTACATATACCAGTCATCCCTTGTAACATTATCTCAGTGGGAAACATTCTGCTGATGAAACTACCACCTTTTTCAGGCAGTGGGAGGATAAACTCCCTCAGCCTCTTACAGTAGGAGCTGGAGAATTCTTCCTTCCACTGTGTTTATTTTCTCAGGGATTTTGCTGAGGGCTTGAGAGGTAGTCATATAGGGTGGGACAATGGCGGTGAGGTATCCTGTAGGAGGGATTTAGTATGTGCCAGTAGTGGATCATAAGTCCCATGCTTTAAAATGAACTGTCTGTGTACTATAGATAAGCAAATGCAAAGTTGCATGGAAAAATGCACTATTATATTCTTTAGAATTGACCTTGTGTTTTATTCTGGCCAAGAAATGTCATTATCTAATCTCAACATGCCAGAGGGAATGCTAAAAATGTAGCCTGAGGTAACATGCAGCAAAAGTCACTAGTAGACAAGGAGAGATATATTAGTGTGACCTTGGACCAAATCTGACCTCAGTTTTTAAGATAGTTCTAGCTTATAATGGTTAATATTTAAAAATGTCTAAATCAATGATAAATTGATATGCCGCAAACTAATCTTATTTTTAAACAAAACTACTCATAAATTTAAACTTGAGGGATGACTCTTTGAACATGAACAGGAACCTAATAACTCGATTTTTAGTGTTTATCATAAATTTTTACACAAAATGTGGCATTTCAGAAGAACAAGATTTTGCTTTTTTAGAAAATTAAATACCATATTATATGAAATCTTACTAGGAACAGAAGTTTTTGTCATTTATGTTTTCTTCCCCTTTTAACACAATATATTATTTACCAATATTTCTTGACAGTGTAGAAAGAATATTAACAATTTTCTAAACTATATTAGTCAATACCGATGTTTTATTCAGTCAGCAATTGGAAGAAATCACATTCTTAAATCCTATTATGCAGCCTTACCAATTTTTATCATTTCATTTTTGAGTTTCTCCTAATACATTCCTAAAAAAAAAAATTGGTTGTTTGTATTTTCACCCACCTTCTAGAATGAAATGGCCAGAAGTAACAATGAGAATGCATGCAAGAATGAGTGAGAATACCGAATTATCGAATACTTTTCCTGTATACAGTGATCTTTAGAAATGATTCTTTTTGATTTTTTATTGTTCTCCTTTAATGAAGATGAAAATAGTGTAGAAAAATTTGCCCACAGCTAGAAAAATAAAATATTTCCTTAAGAAGAAATTACTGTCTATGAATACTCAGAAAGTTGCAGACTGCCACTTGTTAAGTGTCATATTACAGGGATAGTGGGAGAAAACAGCACATAATTTTATTTTGTAAAAAACCTATTTTCTCTGACTATTTTATTATAGTTTTTCAAATTTTTTTGTATTATAATCTTTAGTGGTAGTGTTACTTTCGGGCACCTTTTTAAAAAAAGGACATTCAGAATATTTTTGTTCGTTGAACTCAGTCTCTTATCACCGTAAAGTCTAATATTTTATTTTGATTTATCTATCTGTTTTAAGAGTGACAAGGATGGACATAAACAAATTTGAACTATGAAGTGTTTTTTCTAGTTGCCTACTGCTTAGGTGGTTATGGTAAAATTAATTTTTACAAATAACTTGTTACAAAGTCATAAAGTAACAAGCATGGATCGAGGCCTATGAAAAACCAAGAATTAACCATGTAATAACTTGGATGGGAAGAATGGGTGATGCGTTTACAGAAAACGGGAAAGACAAATGATGAATGTAATGTTTCAGGTTGTAAAGTAAGCATTATCAGGTTACTTGCCAATCGACTATGTCCCATTAGGTAAAGTCAATAGAATATAGGTTAATTTTGAGAGCTAATAAAAAATATCAGTGTTAAAGTATAATTTTGTAAAAGTTAAAAGCAACTCTTATAACAAAAGTAAAATGAACACGTCAAGGATTTTATTCAACTCATTACCTAATGAGGGAGCAAATAAGATCTTGAAACTAGTCCAAAGAGCATTTGAGAAGCTAGTTGTATATATATCTATATCTATATCTATATCTATATGTTATATAATATAAATAAATATTGAGATAAATGAGAGGATTAGATACAAAACTGGTTTAGTATCCTACAGTATAATAATAAACCATAACATTTCAGGTTATATGTTCCATTGGACAGACATTATTTGCATTTCTACTGAATGAAACTGTACTAAGTAACCCCTATACCTAGAGTTGTAAAGTAGCTTTGTTGATAGACTCAAATGAAGCCCTCTACGGAAAGAACAGCCATTCATATTTTTTGCCTATTGCTAAATTTTGGATAATTTCTGTGATGAGTGATAATTTATTGCTTTACTTTCCCTAACTGTAAACATTACATTGGCAACATAGGAATAATAAAGATCACAAACACACCTAAAATTACATGAAGATAAGTCAGTAATGGAGAAGCTCTGGTATGTGGCTGTTGGAATTACTCTTTCCTATCTCAAATCTTAACTGTATCTCCAATTCAGAACTGAATTGTGTAAATTGATAAGGTGAATAACTGGGAATAAAAGTGTACTTGCCTTCAGGTAACACCACTGACAGTTCCACAAATAATTTTTGAAAGTATGACTTATTCCTTTTGTCCCCTACATACCGCCATCTCTAGTGAATAATTTCTCTCCTCTTTTGTAGTATATTCCCCTAAAATGGGAAATCAGCTTTTCAAGAGTGTCCCTGAAGATGACAAACTATGGATAGTTTACTTTTTTCCATGAGTTCCTTCTACTTGTCATTGGCTATCAACCCTGGCCCTTCCTAACAAAGTCTTCAAATACTGACAACTTCTAGGCAGGAGAAGCAAGAATGAAAGAAGCCATCTTAATCGAAGATGGGGAGAGGAAACAGGTATGATTAGTGGGGCTCTGCTTTTCCATAAACATCCTAGAATTTAATAACCTCTGTCTATCCCTTACTTCTGTCTGGCATCCGAAGCTCTGCAGAGCAGGATAATGGTGAATGTGGGGCCATGGGACTCTCTTTCCATAGGGAGCCTGTTTTCTGAATAGAATCTTAGCAGCTCTGTAGCTCAATGTTCCCTTTGAAGATCTTTACTAACCTCCTGGAAGAAGAAATGAGGCAGCACAAGGCAAAATTATAAAGTAGATGAAATGTGGCTTATTGACTTTTCTGTTTTTTGGATTTTTTTCCCCTCATGATGTTCTCCAATTTCTTTTTACCTCTTGCCAATGTCACCCAGGTGGCCAATATCTTCAGTATACATTCTAGGTACTCAGAGATCCCTTTCCTAGTTTCCATCCTCTGACTCACTATTACTTTCCTCTCTTCCAATAATTCAACCCCAATTACTTTTCTATGTCAAACTTCCCTCCATTCCCAACACACACAGATATCATAGAGGCATATCAAAGGCCCCAGGAGAAGCTGTCACAGTTGGATTTTAAGTAATAAACAATATAATTAAAATTGTTTAATCATTTATTTTGTTCAGAAAGTACTGAGTACCTGCTATGTAGCAGACATTGTGTAGGTGCTGAGAATATAACAGTAGAAAAAAAGCATTGGCTGCCATCATGGCATTTATATTTCTGTAGAAAAGATGAATAGTAAACAAGATAAATACACAAATGTACGGTATGTTAGAAAGCGAGAAATGCTGAGAAGAAAAATAAATCAGGGAAAATGATGGATAGGAAAATAAGAAGTAAAATTGTGAAGTGAAGGGCAGGGTTGAAATGTTAGGTAGGATGGCTAAGAAAGATGACATTTGAGTACAGGTCTAAAAAGATGAGGGGTTAATCTAGGCAGTGTCTTGGGAAAGAGAATTTCAAGCTAAGAGCGTCAAGGAGACAGCCCCTGAAGCACCAGCTTGTCTAGACAAAGCAAAGGTGAAGGAAGTTAGGGGTGGAGTATAAGATCTTGTATGGCCTGGTCAGCCATTGAAAGACCTTCACATTTCACCCTTAGTGATAGGAAATCATTACAGGATTTTGAGCAGAAAAGTAACATCGTAAGTATTAATTTTAATTGAGTTTTTCTGAATTATCTGAGGTGAGATTAGCCTTAAAGAAGCCAATATCAGGAACACAGTCTTACCTTAGAAGATTTTTGTATAATCCAGGTTAGAAATGATCATGACTGGGACTGGGCAAAGCAGTGGAGGTAATGAGAAATGGTCAGACTGTGGAAATTTTGAACACAGATCTGCCATCAGGATCTGCTGTAGTTTTTATGTTGTCTTCTGGTATATAAGCTCCCTGTCTTTCAAGTGCTTGCCTTTTTTTTCCATTCATTATTTCATCCATTCAATCATTCACTTTTTTATTCTTACAATAAAAGCAATGTGAAGAATCATATATTAATTATTATGTGGAGGTACAAGGAGCTTACTAACTGGGAGTGATGATAATATCTAATAAAAACAATTATAATAAGGATAATAATAATAGTTAAGATCATCAGGCACTTATATATCAGACACCTTGCTAAGTGCTATGGAGTAGGTCTGACATTCACCTTATGGGTTAGGTGCTATTATTATTCCTATTTGTAGATGATGAACTGGAAGCAAAAATTGATTAGCTAACTTGCTGTAGGTCATAGCATACATAGGTGCACAGCTGGGACTGAGCTGCAGTTTCAGACAAAATGTGCCAAATGAGAGTCAGAACAAAATGTTGTGGGGGCCAGAATAGAGACACTCCCATTCAACTGGAAAATTAGGTACAAGCCTGTGAAAGAAATTCCTGGAATTCTTCGATTTGGTTGTTGATGTCAGCATTTCATGAATTACAACCTGTTTCTAGAACAGTTATCAAATCTTCTTGGCTTTGGGAAATAGATTTAGGTTGGGGAATACTCTTTGGGTAAATTCAAGTTAGTGTCAACTTTTTATTTGACAGTTTTCATTTTTATTGATTTGTCCATAATATGAAGTTTGTAGTTACCCATGCACATCACAAGACCAGATACAGAATGTAGGCCCTTTTCTTTTCATAGTTCATGATTTGTTATATTATATTGAAAATTTTTCAAGTAATATGAAAGAAATGAGAAAAAATGACAATACTAATTGAGGGACTTATTTACAACTTAGGTTCACAAAAGTTAACCTAGTTATATAATTCAGAAATTTATCCAAATTGTTTGTAAGTATGCTCTTGTTATACCCCTAGGATGGCAAGCTGTGATTGTTTCTTTCATGCACAAGTAGTTTCTTGGGTAACTAGTGCATCAACTACTTCATAATGCACATTATTATTATAATGTCTTCCAAACAGAAAGATCAGGGCCAAAGATTATTAAAACTCAATGTCAAATCATTTCCCAGTAATTGAGCCAAGAATAGGACCTAACAATCCACAATACTGGGCTAACACCTCCTCTCCTGGACAACATGACCCCACCATCACCACTGCGTCTTGAACATTGTTATTACCTAATATTTACTAGACCCGCAACCTTAGTATTGGTGTTAATAGAAACTGTCTACATTCCCGAAGTCTTTTGCAATGGAAACTCTTGGCAGAGCAAAAAAGACAGACTTGGCAATAATCTTGCTAAATTTTTCTGGCAGTTCTAAACCTTCTAGGTCACAGGAGAGAGGTAAGGTGTTTGGATACTTAGCTGACGCCTTTACTGGATACATCAACCAACTTAGCCAAAAAGGTTTTCTAGATGTTTTAAAGTTTTAACAGTCTAGGTCCTATCCAGTCATCTTCAATCCCCAGCACGTGCACACGTGCACACACACACATACACACACATACTAACGTGGGTAATGATTTTTAAGAAGCAAAAGCTAGGCCCCGTTTGAGTCACATGAAAGAAAAATTTCAAATGTGAACATTGTTAGACCCATCTTATGTTGTAGCCAAGATTTCAGATCATGCATCTTTTACCAGCAAGGATCTGAGATCTGAAATAGATGTGTAATGGGGCCCTGAGGCTGTTGGACAAGCACAATAGTCCACAATGGCTTTATGGAGTGGGTCACTGAAACAGAACACAGAAGGGTTTCAGTGTTAGGCCTTAACTATTATGAAGTTGTAATAGCCTATTGTAGCAGAAACCTCTTATCAGCAAGTACCTAAATACCAATTTACACAGTAGGGATTTTTAATTAACAGTGACAACTGTCTCTTATTGATGAGATTACTTTTTACTAGTGACAAATAAGAGAAGAATTCAGCTGATTCAACATACTTAATTTCTAAATATATTGACTATATAATATTCAGATACAATTACCATATTTGTGGGTCTCATTCTGCCTACAGAATATAAAAAGTGGTATATTTAATATGAAAAATAAAGAGATAATTTCTTAGTACATTCCTTATTGCTGTCAGCTTTAGAAATTCACAAGTGTGTTAAAATATATTTTAACTTAATTTTCACCATTAATACATAATAATGATTCCTTCTTTCAATCAGTATATGTTCTGAGGTCAGTATTAAAATCCAGGATGAAATGGCTTATGCAGAATTAAGCTAAATAAATATTTAAAATTGCTTTAAACATGTAGTAATGACAAAGTTCAGCTATACTATGGAATTGAAATCTTTAATGGACATATTTTGTTTAAAGGTTGTGCACAGGTCACTTGCATACCCGCATGCTAAAATTTTTCTTTTTAATTTTTCGTAGCTGGATAAAATCAATTTATGATTGCATAGAGCACAGATACTTCTTTTCAATGGAAAATTTAGCAGCAAATATTTAAGGTATGTTCTAAAATTGTATAATTTTAAAGGATTAATATAAATGCTGTAAGTATGATATGGTTGGTCCACCTACTAAGTTGACTGGCATTATATTTTGAAGCATAAAATACAAAAAGAAGCATGTATATCATATACCAACAGATGGTGCTGATTAAACTAAAATATTAGAAGCCTATATAAATATATTTGGGCAAGTCATTTTACAAGATAGGTAATGAGCAAGCAGGGAGCTCAGTTCTCATGTTTCTGGTGGACACATATGTTATCATTTCATCATGCTCGGTATCATAGAACGACCTAAAACTAGGCCTTTTAAGATAGTGCATCAATCTATAAGCCTAAAATTAGTTCAAAATAAAAAGTTTTAAAAGGCAATCCATAAATATGCCTTTCTTCTCTTTTCTGATTAGTAACCGCTGGCCCCAGCAGTTCACTTTGAGGGTGCATAGGACACAAATATTTCAAAAAACTTACAAAATGAAAATGCTTTAAATATAGTTTTAATCCAGTACTTCTCCAAGAGTTGTCTGAAAACCACTTGCATCAGGATTAATTGGAATGTGGTTTATAAGGTAGATTCTGAAGACCTGCTGAATTCTACTGAATTAGAATTTCAGAGTGTAGGACTCTAGATTTTAAATTAGTACCTGTGAGAGTCCAGTACTCAATATATTTGAGAACCATTCGATTGGAGGGATAAGTTGAAGGAACTCTCTCATATACACAGTGCAACCTAAGTATATATTTTTTTTCTGTTAAACCTTATTATTTTTAGCCTAACTTTGATCAGTTCTTTGTACTGCATCATGATTACATGTAAATATATGAAGATTTTAACAGAATATGAAATTACAGTAGTGTTTAAATGACCAAGACTCTTTATAGTTCCTATATGATATGAAGACTTTATCTCAGTGTTCTTCTTAATCTCAATGAAAAGTCTTTTCCATACAGTAGTGATTTATCGTTCTCTATTTAATAAAGTCTAGAACCAATAACATTTACTGTTCAGTCTGGTAAACTTGAAAAGACTTTCCTATGATCTAACTCTCCCCATTCCAGCACCATACCCTAATGGGTAGAATTGCATTTAAACATGCATATGAATAATAGGGATCATCGTCCCACCAATATTTTGCTCTTATATCTCAAACAAAGACATAGTTTGTCATGTCATGGGTCACTAGGGAGTAAATATGGCATGGAAAATCGATTAGATTCTAACTATTAGCAATATAGTAATATATAATGAGTCTACTTTATGGATATTACAAATTATTCTTTAAGAATCCTTAAAATGTTGACCTGTGTGCATACCTAAGTTTAATGTCATCTCTCTTCTTGTTCCATTTTCCTCCTCATGTTACCAAATATGTTTTTTTTCTCTTTCTCTCTTTTTAAAAAATGGTGGAATGCATTTTTGCATAAATAAAAAGTACTTATGTACTCATGATGTGTTTTTCTCAGCACTTTGCCTCTCTGTGACATGGAGTAAAGCCTATTGAGACAACAGAAGCTCTCTCTATTGAAAAGTCAGAACCTAATAAACCCTCTCTGAGAAGGACCTCTTCCCTAGTTGAATAGTTGGATAATGGTGTGTGGTTTGTCATGCCACTGTCTTTGTTTTCTATGTATGCTAACAATTGTCTTTGCATTTAGGTCAGTATGATGTAATACTCTTTAAAGGCAATGGAACTCATTCAGTGTTAAAATAAGCATAGTGATCAGACATAGAAATAGTTTGTCACATCCTGTTTTTAAGGTAGATTATGAAAACCTGATGAATTAGACCTACTAAATTAGAATTTCAGGGTATAAGGCTCTAGATTTTAAACTAGTACCTGTGAGAGTCCAGTACTCAATAAAATTTGAGAACCATTAGGTTATATGGATGAATTGAAGGAACTCTCTTAAATTACTGGAGTGTTACTCCAATAATTTGATCTGAGGGCAGTCATAGTTGAACAGAGATAGTAACAAACAAGAATAATCAGATGAACGTGAACTGAAATCATTATACTATAGAAAGTTTTGAAGGAAAAATAGAAAGAACTAAGCATGTTAAATTAGAAGACAAGACTTAAGTCGAGAGAAAACTAATACCAGATGCTTGGGCTTGCTTAGAAGAGGGATTGAATTTGGTTAAGTTATAAGGCATATTAAAACTGTCTCTCAGTGTTACAAGGTTTCAGACAGAAGCTCTATGAGTGTCTCTTAGAAATGTGCAGAAATTTCTTGTTTTAAACCATCAGGTGTGACTAGATGACCCTTCAGTTTATTCCAGCAATCCTGTGCTGCTCACCTACGGTGCGCCAACCACCCTGCTAGGGGCTGCAAGGAACACAAAGGAGAAAAGACACCGTCTGTTTTCTCAACTGTGATAGACGTTAGAAGAAAAGCAAAAAATCCTATGGGGTTTCACAATAGGGATATGTTTAATCGCTAAGATTCTCTTGATTTGTGAGTCCCTTTTGAGATTCATCATGCAGTTATTAGAGTGGTATTGAATAGGATTCAAAATCTATCAACTATCATTAGCCTGGAAAAGAAAAATCATCTTAGATAGTAGAGGACTTAAGTCAAGTCCTCTAACAAGTATACCATGAGCAGAGACTGGCATGGGTAAATGTGGGAGATTACAGGATGTTTCTAGAAAACTGTTTTTTAAATATCTGCTCAGGATGACTAATATGCCAGCGTGATGCACGTCTTGCAGGTATACATGTATAAAATCTATATTCACTGACAAATAAAAAGCAAACATGAAAATGCAAATATAAGCACATTAAAATTTATTTTAAAATGCAATCTCATTGATCTGTACTTTAACAGCAAACCACATAGATCACATTAAATAGTTTTCTGACTGTCAGCCTAATATAAATTTCAGCTTTCTGGACATGACGTGATCTATTTTTGTTTTGTTTTGTATGCTTTTCTTCTCTTTTTGTTTTTTAAGCTTATGCCTGTTATTTCTGAACAAAGCTTCATGAAATGTTTTTGAACATTGTTGTGGATTTTACTAGATGGATAGTGCTAACCCATAGTAACCTGACAAGGAGAAAGTTAGAGGAAGACCTACCTCAACCTCACTCTTCTTCTGCCCTCAGATCTCCTATGGATGTCTTCTATTGGCGGAACCCAAGAGAGCTTTTTGATGGCTTCCATGTGTGTCAGCCTGCAAGGCACACAATACAGTGTATGAAGCTAGAGGGTGCTCTAGAGAGTTCAATAAAGTAGACCATTGCTTATTGTTTGCAAGCCTCCTTTCTATGTATTTGGGATACAATGATACTGTGAACAGTCTCTGCCCTTCAGGAACTCAGATGAGTAAACAGGGAAATTCCTAGTGGTTTTGTGAGTATTTTGTTAGAAATAGACCTGGGAGGCTCAGAACAAATAGAAAGGACTTAACCTATAGTAGCTTCCTTCTCCTATGCACCATCAGTATTTATATAAAACCACAATTGCCACAAAAATAAAACAGAATAAAGATGAAATTAATGGAGTAGTGTAGTTTTCAAGTCCCATTTTGCCATCACAAAGCTCCAAATCCAGGGATATTTTTCTGAATCCAGCTGATTATTTATTTATGCAGGCTGCATACCTCATTCTATTGCACTTCACAGATATTTTGCTTTATACAAATTGAAGTTTTGTGGCTACCCTCCCTCAAGCAAGTCTAGCAGCATGATTTTTCCAACAGCATGTGCTCACTTCATGTCTCTGTGTCACATTTTAGTAATTCTCAAAACACTTCAAGCTTTATATTATTACTGTAATTACATCTGTTATGGTGATCTGTGATCAATGATCTTTGATGTTACTACTGTAATTGTTTTGGGCAGCCATGAAACCATACCCATAGGATGACCAACTTAACTGATTAATGTGCATTCCAACTGCTCCATCAACCTCCGGTTCCCCCATTTCTCTCCCTTTCCTCAGGCCTCCCTGTTCCCTGAGGCACAACAATAGTGAAATCAGGCCAATTAATAACCCTACAATTACCTCTAAGTGTTCAAGTGAAAGGAAGAATTGCATGTCTCACACTTTAAATCAAAAACTAAAAATAATTAAACTTAGTGAGGAAGGCACGTTCAAAGCTGAGACAGGCTGAAGACTAGACCTCTTACACCCAACAGTTAGCCAAGTTGTGAATGCAAAGGGTAAGTTATTGAAGGGAATTAAAAGTGCTGCTTCAGTGAACTCATTAATGGTAAGAAAACGCAACATTATTGCTAATATAGACAAAGTTTTAGTGGTCTGGATAGAAGATCAAACCAGCCACAACATTTCCTTAAGCTGAAACCCGATCCAGAACAAGGCTCTAACTCTTTTCAATTCTAGGAAGGCTAAGAGAGCTGAGGAAGCTGCAAAAGAAAACTGTGAGACTAACAGAGGTTGGTTCGTGAGATTTAAGGAAAAAACAACCTGTGTAACATAAAAGTGTGAGGTGATGCAGTAACTACTGATGTGGAAGTTGCAGCAAGTTATCCAGGCAACCTGGCTAAGACAATGAATGGAGGTGGCCATACTAAACAAAAGATTTTTAGTGTAGATGAAACAGCCCTCTTATTAGAAGAGGATGCCATCTAGAACTTTCATAGCCAGAAAAAAGCCAATGCCTGGCTTCAAAATTTCAAAGCACAGCCTGATTCTCTTATTTGGAGCTAATGAAGCTGGTGACTTTAAATTGAAGCCAATTTAAAGCCATTGGCCATTCTGAAAATCCTAGGTCCCTTAAGAATTATGCTAAATCTACTCAGTCTGTGGTCTATACATGGAACAACAAAGCCTGAATGACAGCACATCTGTTTACAACATGGTTTACTGAATATTTTAAGCCCACTGTTGAGATGTGCTTCTTAGGGAAAAATATCCCTTTCAAAATGTGGGCTACTCATCGACAATGCATCTGGTCACCCAAGAGCTCTGATGGAGATGTGCCAGAAGACTTGTTTTCATGCCTGCTAACACAACATCCATTCTGTACCCCATGGATCAAGGAGTAATTTTGATTTTCAAGTCTTATTATTTAAGAAACACATTTTTGTAAGGCTATAGCTGCTATAGTGATTATTCTCAAGGATCTAGGCAAAGTAAATTGAAAACCCTCTGGAAAGTATTAATCATTTTAGATGCCACTAAGAACATTCATGATTCATGGGAGGAGCTCAAAATATCGACATTAACAGGTGTTTGGAAGAAGTTTATTTCAACTGCCATGAAAGACTTTGAAGATTCAAGACTTCAGCGGAGAAAGTAACTGCAGATGTGGCAGAAATAGCAAGAGAACTAGAATTAGAATCAAAGCTTGAAGATGTGAGAGAATTGCTGCAATGTCATTTTAAACTTTAATGAAAAAGGAGTTGTTTCCTTGGATGAGCAAAAAAAAGTGATTTCTTGAAATGGGATCTACTCCTGGTGAAGATGTTGTGAACATTGTTGAAATGACAACAAAGAATTTAGAATACTGAGTGAACTTAGTTGATAAAGCAGCAGGAGAGTTTGAGAGTATTGACTCTAATTTTGAAATAAATTCTGTCGTGGGTCAAATGCTATCAAACAGCATCACCTTTTACAGAGAAATCTTTCATGAAAGGAAGAGTCAATCAATGCAGCAAACTTCATTGCTGTCTTATTTTTAGAAATTGCCACAGCCACCCCAGCAACCTTCAGCAACCACTACCCTGATTAGTCAGCAGTCATCAATATTGGAGCAAAAACCTTCACCAGCAAAAAGGTGACTTGCTGAGAGCTCAGATGATTGTTATTATTATTAAATAATAAAGACTTTTTAAAATTAAGTTACGTACATTGTTTTGGACATAATACTATTGCACACAATATACTACAATATAGTATAAACAAAACTTTTATATGTACTAGGAAACCAAAAAACCTGTGTGAATTGATTAATTGTGATATTTGCTTTATTATAATGGTCCGGAACAGAACCTGGAATATCTCCAAACTATACCTGTAGAAAAGAAAGATACAGGTTAAACTTCTTAAAATTTAATATTTAACATTGTCATGGCTAAACCCACTTAAAACAACCTTAACAACAAAAAATGAGAGGAGAAAGAAATATGTTTTGTTGCTCCATGAATCAAGTATAAGTTATGATTTATTTGCCAGAAAGAAAAGTCCACTCCCTTTTAGGTTAAGAGATGACCAGATAGATATTTTATACAGCAGGGTTTTGTTCTTGTTTTTATTTCTAGATCTCAGACCCCTGACCCCAGAAACGCAAGGGCTTTGATTTTGTGAGGATACAAAAAAAAATCATTCATCCTTTGGGCCTTGACTACTTTATCTGTAAAATGGAAGTAATAGACTTTCTATTTCCTTCAGAAGACCTCAATTTTGATAACTAATATGAACCTCATAAAAAATGTTTTGAGCTCCCTGGAGGTCAGCTACTTGCTGGGATAAAGTGGGTTATTATAACAGCACTTCTTGAGCTATTGGTACTTACAGCAAACAAAAACAAAATATATCATGTCCTGTTGAAACTGCCCTTGGATAGAAAGAGTGCAATTATCCAAGGTTGAAATTGATTGCAGAGTGTCTGTGAACATCTGGACTTTATAAAGTGTGTCTTTGGAGCCCTAAGATCTGTGGGCTATTTGCAGAAGCGGACTGCTCTTATAGAAGAGGTGAGAATAATACACTCTTCCTGTTTTTGAACATTTTAGTATCTTGGTAGGATCAGAAAAATGATAAAATTCCTTTTCCCCTGCAGTCTCAGCCATAGCAATGCTGCCATTTTTAAGTGAGGGGATGAAGGTAGATTTTTCTCTCTTTTGGAAGAATCATTAGTGTAACCTTTAAAGAGAGGCAGCAGATGTGGAAACAGCACAGGTTGTTTCAGGCAACTGAATTTCAAATCTGACTTTGACAGTACGTGTGGTATTAAATCAATCTTCTCAGGTCCTTCATTTATGAAACCAGACCCATTGAACCAGACCCTCTAGAAGTGACTTTCAGGCTCATGTCTTTGGAGAAAGTTTCATAGGGGACTCTGATGAGCAGCCCATTCATTGGAGTAGGTGAAGTTCGTAACATAATTTTTCTGTTTAAGAAATGGTATTTTGCAGCCTCATACCGTTTCTCCACAACTCTTCAGATCTCCAGTTCAACTCTTCCTTTTCCATGTCAAAAAAAAAAAAAAAAAAAAAAAAAGGGAGAAATTTGGCTGTATAGACTTATCATGGGCATAGCAACCACAATCTCAGTCAGGCTCTGCCTCTCCCATGGGCATGGAAAAAATGGTGATGGCATGAGAGATAGTTCTGTTTTCTTATCCTGTATAGGTTAAGTTAAAACAGAAACCATTGGTTAGCTAGCTTCTATTTCAGCCAATATTCGTAACCTTGGAATATAACCCAAAAAATGAAAAGCCATTTGATCACCAAGAGTAGGGTTAATAAAAAATAACAACCTAAAAATAGGGAGAAGAGAAAGTAGAAGTAATATTTGGGTCTTGTTCTTGGGTACCTTGAAAAGATTATTTTAAAGGTGGCATTTGTTCAAGGGATGCAAAGATGCAGAATCTTGCCCTCAGGCACAACTGCTCCTCTAAGAGTTCCCTGGGAATACACACATGTGTGCACACACATACACATGCACTCACACACAACTGAGGCAAGGAAACAAAATAACTAACCATTACCCTTACCGGCTGGAGTTGAAACCTAAATTCCAAAGCAAGACCTAGAATATTTGTTCTCAAAGTGAGGTTCCCAGATCAGTATCTAAGTATTACCTGAAAACTTATTAGAAGTGCAAATTCTCAGGCCTCATCTCAGAACTACTCAGTCTGCCATTCTGAAATGGGGCTTAGCAGTCTGTATTTTTTAAGGAGCTCTGCTGGTGATTTGGACTCGTTACTCATATTTAAGGACCAAATACTTAAAAGAACAACATAAACTACGGTCACGAGGTCTTCCTACTTTCTCCAAAGTCTATCCCAGGTCTTTGGTTTTAAATTCAGAACTGAGGGTTGGGCGTGGTGGCTCACGCCTGTAATCCCAGCACTTTGGGAGGCAGAGGCGGGTGGATCACGAGGTCAAGAGATCGAGACCATCCTGGCCAACATGGTGAAACCCCATCTCTACTTAAAACACAAAAATTAGCTGGGCATGGTGGTGCGTGCCTGTAGTTCCAGCTACTCAGGAGGCTGAGGCAGGAGAATCACTTGAACCCAGGAGGCAGAGCTTGCAGTGAGCAGAGATCAAGCCACTGCACTCCAGCCTGGGGCCTGGGTGAAAGAGTGAGACTCCATCTCAAAAAAAAAAAGTTCAGAACTGAGGAAGGTAGATGTAAAGTTAGAGGAAAAGGACTGAGAGGTAGAATAAAAGAAACCATTTACTTCAATGCCCCGAGGGAGTTGCTGATTTGGGATGCCTGCTCTTGATCTCTTCAAACCAGGGTAATAGCTGTTGGACTGACAAAAAAAAAAAAAAAAAGCACTGGGGATGGAAAAGTCACTGATTACCCACAAGGCAGACTCACCATTGTGCTTAAGGCAATAGTATTTTTGGACAAACTTCGCTGAACATCTTTACATTTATTTTACTCTCTGATGTTGTTTTCATTAAGGATGACATGTGAATGAAGCACCACAGTCCTTAAGTGTGTAGGGCTTCTAAATATCTTAATCTTGTCCTAGAATGGAGGTGAGAGGAAATAAAAGACAGTATGCACTGAAGAGTGTTAGAGAGCTAGCTAGCAAGCCTACTCATTTGCAGTTAGCAGACATTGATCGACTGTCCCCTTACTATTCAGGTTCTATAGACATTAATGAAGATATGAACTGTAACCATCATCTTTTTGCTCCACATTTACCGGTTGCTGCTTTAAGTCAGTATTCTCAACCTAATGTAACAACTGATCTCATTGGGTAGAGAGGGTCTTACCCTTGGGGAGGAGTGAGGGCTACGAAGTAAGGTCACAGTCTTCCCCTAGATGTTGACAGCTCTTATGTACTCAGGATGTCAATTTTCACAGTGCACACTTCTTATTGTCACTCCTGCACAAGAGAGAAAGAAAGTAAGGTCAACTTTAAATCTGCTAAACTGTTTGAAGTTGTATAGCCTGTGACATTGGCCAAACCAATGCTACTTCTAAGGCAAAGCCATAGGTGACTACTTAATTTTAAGATATTAAAATTAAATAAAATTTAAAATTCAGTTCATCAGTTGTACTAGCCACATTTAAAGTGCTCAGTAGCCACATGTGGCTGGTGACTGCCGTACTGGACAATGCAGATATAGAACATCACACAGCTGGAGGTGTGAGAGGGAGTTAAAGGTGAGGGTGTGGTGATCATTTAATATTAATAAGTCACATATCACAGAAGTGACAATGTGACGTATAGATTCCACTTAGCATCTCTGAACACAGGGCACGTGCTTCTGTGTTGGAGGTCAATCAGAAGGAGACTATCCTGCACCCTAGGCCATTAGGAGTTTCAGGAACACAGCTTTATAATCACAGAATCTCTCTGTGAACAGAGTTCTGTCCTATCATCACCGAAGAGAGCCACTGACTCTGTTTCCCCACCAACCTTACTCCCTATGCTACTCTCTGCATCCTTCCTTTATTTTACAGTCAAGACCCTTATCATGGGCAAAGTCAAATAAGCAAGCATAACTAACTGCCTGCAATTCCTATTTACCCCAGTCTTATTGTATTTACAGTACTGTCTTTTTGTTTTCCCAGTGATGCACCAGGAACCATTCACCTGATAGGCATGGAAGGTCAGCATATCTTTCAATTTTTTCTAAACCCTTTTCTCAGATTTCCTTCGGGTCAGAGCAATTAGAACATAGTGAGCAATGAGGACTGAGGTGCTAGCAGTCCCTTTCCCCCACACCCTACGTTTACAAGATAAATATGTATCATATAAAACAATTGCATTTTTTCAGCAACCTTCTTTTTGCCTCATATTGCAAGATAATTGTGAAAAGAGGGTGAGGAAAAAGAGGGAAATTTCTGGATTCCCGTTAGCAGTTTTTTTTTCTTGAAGTCAACGGACTAGCGATGGTTGTTTTCTCCAGCTGACTGATGAGCATGGAAGGAGAGTTAACTGAGTAATGGAGCTAATTGCATATGTAGAATAATAAGCAAAAATCATTTAACAAATACCATAGATACTCCTGGCAGCTGTGTGTGTCTATGTGTGTGGGTTTTCTTTGCTGATGTGGTCTGAAGGCCATTTCTGAGCTCTACCAGTCCAGACCAATTTATGTGATTCTCACCTGGAATAGAATGATTGTAAAGCATTATGCAGCACCATATTTCTGCATTTACTTATCAGCAACTCTGTTTCTGAAAAGATTGAAGGGAAGTTTTCCCTGTAAAGTTTAACACTTTTGAGAAAAATTAAATCTATAATCATATAAAGGGTGGCTATAAAATCATAAAACTGAATTCTCAATTCACACACCCAATCAATCTCATTAACGTATATCTTGTAAATAGACAAGTGTTTTCCACGTCAGATTTATGTTACTTGTCATTTATATAGAATACAATATAATTTAACAGCATGGCCCAGGAATATATCAGATAAAAAGTAAAATGCCTTGATCATTTATAAAACAAAAATTGACTACAGTTTATAAATGTAATGGACAAAATACAGCAATGACAGAAGTTAGAGTCAAATTCTGTACATAAAAATTGAGTACAAGCAGGCACATGCATAGTAAGACTCCTCCAAATTATACTAATTGGGAGACAGGATAATCAAATCTGGGAGAAAATCCAAATTACAGAATATGTTCGATTAAGAATGCAGTCTTGCTATACTCAAAGAAATGATGACAACAACAAAAGTAATTGCTGACAAGATATTTCCAGGTACAGCCTGACCTCTTTTAATCAGCATATTTTACTGCAAAATGAGTAGAAGAATGTTTCATTGGTTAGGAGGCAGATGGCGAAACCAGATGAACTTTCAGGATCTTTCCAGACCATGACCCATGATTCCATGATCTTTAAGTAACAACATCTAGTTACGTAAAACGAATTAATGTGATAAAGCAGTTAAACACACTTCTTTCAAATAGGGTAAACATATTTTCTATAATATTCCTTATGCTTTGCTTTTCAAGAGAGAGCATAAAGCCAAACTACATAAAAGGCAGGTCAAATTATAATATATTTCAGATTAATGGAAAATGAATTAATAAAATTCTTATCTGATAAATATCTTCAATATGCATACTTGAGACCAATGATGTGGTTGAGTCCCAGTTCTGTCTCAAGTGATTGTTTTACAATCCCTTTAACCTCTAGCAGGGAGTTTAAAGCGCATCATTTCTGAGTGTTCTTTCTTGTCTAATTCTGCTTGTGTATATGCAGTTTTAATTCCCTTGCAATCTATACACAACACATGACATTAATCCAAAGGAATTTAGGGGTTACAGTTCATTTCTTATTAAATTGACTTATTTCTTTAAACCCAAAAAAGCAAACTCATCTGAAAAATTATTGTGTTTTTCTTTCTATCATTGGTGGAAATCTTTCTGATAGTAATTACTTTTATATCTAATCTGAAAAGTGCTTTCATAGTGGTCTTTTAATGTTAGACCTTAAGAAAATAACACGCAAAGAGATTTTATGATACTCTCAATTCCAATTGTCCCGCTGATGGCCTAGAACTACTCTGTGGCAAGAACAAGACAAGAAGCCAATGACTTTTTAGCAGGCTTGTTGGTGAGGTGCAATACCCATAAGCATGTGTGCCCTGGGAAAACCTTAATACAGGTGATATGGTGGAACTTGTCCTACCTGTCATAATGTTGGGTTTCTTCAACATTAGTGGTAGGTTTTCCTCGTCTGCTCTGGTTGCTATAACAACAGAAAAATTTCATAACCTGGGGGCTAAAACAACAGACATTTATTTCTCACAGATCTTGAGGCTAGAAAGTCTATTTAAATGCTGTCTGATTTGGTTTCTAGTGAGAGCTTTCTACCTGGCTTGCAATTGGCTATCTTCTCTTTGTGTCCTCACAGAGTTAGTTAGGGGACAGAGGAAAAGCTCTCTGGTTTCTTTTTATAAGGGAAGTAATCCCAACATGACGGCCCGGCTCTCATGACCACATGAAAACCTAATAACCTCCCAAAGGTCACATCTTCAATAACATCATGTAGGATATTGAAAGTATAATGAAGATATAGTATAAAAGTATAGTAATGATTATCCTTTCAATATCTTATATGATGGTATTGAAGCTGGAACCCTTGGGAGGTATAGGGGCTTAAGGCTTCAACATATAAATTTTGGGGGAACACAGCTCACTTCAAAGTAGAGTAGAATTCTTGGGGAGCACGATAGCAGGGAGTATTCACAAACAGAGGCCAGAGAGCAGAAAAGCGGCATCTTGATTAATTACTCGATTCAGCTGACTTCTCCAGAGCTTATACACCTTAAGATTGTTTTAAACTTTGCTCCATGTTATAAAGCCAGCAAGAATTCGAAAGAAATCCTGAGAATGATACTCTCCCAATAATAAACGAATTAAGATTGGAAAAGTTATATACCCAATGTATTTCCTGAAAGTTGTGTGTTTTCATTTTGAGGAAAATGAAACACTAAGTAGAGAAAATATTTTCATTTTAGGTACGAACTGAAAATATAACCTCACATTGGAGAAAGGCCTTACTTAAAAAAAAAGAAAGGATAGCCTCTGCCTACTAAGTATTCTGCATTCATGTATCACTCAGTTGCCAGATTTGCGAGAAGACTGGGTTCAGTTCATAAAGGCTGACTTCCCCATTTTTGATTGTTGGTCTAACTACCAACTGGTCAGTCTAGTGAAATCAGTCAAAAGATTCACTAAATTTATATATTTACATCCAGAGTACAATCCTCAAAATGCAAAACAGTATTTTCAGTGATTTAATCATCTTTTTTTCTGACATAGATCATTCCAAAACACTTCAGTGCATCTTGTTACCATGACTGCAAGAACACGGGGGATCTTGGTTTGATAACAGTATCAACCGACCAATAGTACAACTTGTTTTATTTGGAAAGTTTGAAAATAGTTTGACCACAATATAAGTGGTTCTCCCCATGATAGATAGTTTGTTTCACTAATATCTCTCTTCTTCAATATGCTTGTCAATTTTATAGTAACTGTGACCTGCGACCTTGCCAAGGTTTATGTTTACTGGATCAGTAAAAGAAGTATGCCATACTGAAACACAGGGAAGAAAAAAATAACAAAAATATGACTTTGGAGATGAGCAAATACTGTATTGATATTCAGCTACAGCTTCTAAAAATGCTCCAGGATGTTTGGAAATTGCATTTCTAGATGTTATGGGCTTTGGGTCTTTCAACCATGTAATGAATATATTTTTTCCTCCATTTATTTATTATTGGTAGAAATTGAGTGATGGACTTTTCCACTGATGCCCCTGTCCATGTTTATTTTCTCATTACTCCAGTCAGCATTGTTATCTGACAATACAAAACAAGTTACGTTTGGGTTGATATACAGAAGCAATCCTTCTTTCAAATGATTTTCATCTGTCACCATCATCTCTACTAAGATGCAGAACAGGGAATGACAGAATGATTGGTTTTATCTATATTTTTGGTTTATTTTTCTTTGAATGGCAGTCCCAGAGAGCACAATTTTCAAAGTAAAATAACAAAACTATGATTATTTCAAATGGCAGGGTCTGATGGAGGATTATAAATTCTTGGCTGAAAGTGCCAAATACTTTAGACCAGTAGCTGGAAATTGTATTCTGGAGATTGCTTGGAATCGGAATCTCTGCTTCTCAGAATCTCTTTCTTCATTTAAGAAAATGAACTGTTTCCTAAAAATGGCAGAAGGCCAAAAAAAAAAAATAAGGAAAAAGGAAAAAAGAAAAAAAACATAGCACCAAATAACAAGGTGAAAGCAAATTCAAGTAAAATTGACTGTATGTTTTTCTTCACATTGGTTGCACTTGCCAATAGTACTTTTCAAAGGTATGCTTTGTCGTTTTCCAAAGAGAAAAAGGTTTTATGAAGCCCATTTTAACTTCAGTTTTTCAAATGATACAAATTCAAGCACAATTACATACATCTAATAAGCTTAAAATGTATTTATTTTCAACCCCTAACTGCAGGCTTATCGCAAATTAAATACTTGATAACAAAGAAGAGCTATATGGTAGATGCAAACAAAGCTGAGGTTAACCTACTTAAATATGATGAACTCCCCAAACAAGATACTTGTTTCTCAGGCTTGGGGGTTGAACTGAGCAGTGACAATAGGGGAATATTTAGGAAAAGATGGAAACGATGTCTCAAATACTTTGATCAACATTCTTCTTTGGCTGTCATTTACAGCAGAACAATAACAATATTTTCAAACCTAAATGAGAATATTGCTGTGCTGAACCATTTCATGTTAAAATGTAACAGTGGGTTGTCTGACTGTTTGCCTTCTAAATGGGTTTTTAGACTAAGAAAAGCCTAGAATGCTGAGGGCAGCTCTGTTTCCATAACCCACAAAATCTGACCTAATGAAGTCAACCACATGTCACCTCATTCCTTGTTGGTCTATGATAGCAGAAAATACCCAGGGAGATTGGTGTGGCTGATTTAATACGAAATTATCTGATTTCAGTGAAAATATTCTGGCAATCTTAATGAGCATCAAATTGGAGACTCCACTGATCCCCCATCCCTTTTGCTTAATGCCAAAACAATACATCTTAGGACTACAAGCAATGTTAATACTTACCAATATTTACTCTAAAAGCGGAGGGCTTCCCAGGTTCCTAATCACCTCTGAGCTATGGATACAGCCAATCCAGATGGTCCAGGTTAAAACAAGTCTTGGATCAAGAGTATCTAAATTAATGAATTGGATTATTGTGATTTCAGTAGATTCTGCTTTGCTTCGCTAGTAAAAGGCAAAACCTTGTATTTCTTTTGGGAACAGTAGTGTGATTCATCAAGCCATCAGTGGAGAGATGGATGTTCAAATTAATTATGAATGAATGATGTTTAGTAGGTGGTCTTTAACATATCGCTAAGATAGAAAAAAATTAAATAGATGAGCATTTTACAAATCAATTCTAAATGTGATTGACGTCATAGATATGTCTGCTTTTTGCGGTCTGAGATAAGAGGACCAAGAAACTTTTCCCATGAATTGCTATTTTTTTTTTTTTTTTTTGAGACGGAGTCTTGCTGTCTCCCAGGCTAGAGTGCAGTGGCACGATCTCCGCTCACTGCAAGCTCCTCCTCCCGGGTTTACGCCATTCTCCTGCCTCAGCCTCCCGTGTAACTGGGACTACAGGCGCCCGCCACCAAGCCCGGCTAATTTTTTGTGTTTTTAGTAGAGACGGGGTTTCACTGTGTTAGCCAGGATGGTCTCGATTTCCTGACCTCGTGATCCACCCGCCTCGGCCTCCCAAAGTCCTGGGATTACAGGCGTGAGCCACTGTGCCCAGACATGAATTGCTATTTTTAACTAAGCATGCTTGATTACTTATTTCTTATTATATTTGGAGGGTAAGCAATGGAGAGGCAAGGAAAGAAGAATAAAATCCGTGAGTAAAATAGATATGGCAAGAGAATAACTCAAAGCGAGGAGCATCTTTGAATGATTTTATTCTACCTGAAGCAATTGAAACATTATGGAAAGATCTTCTCTGTATTTTTTACCCTATCTCAAAATATGTGTGCAGCTCAAAAACAAAGATAGAGGGGTCTCTTGGCAATCGTTTTGATCACTTCAATGGGTCATTGAAACGATTCATAAAAAGTAACAATTTTTAAAGTTGTTCTGAACGTTATATTACACATTAAAGCTACAGTAATTTTAATTAAATAATTAAAAACTTGATATTTCTATTATTTATATATGTTAAAAGAAAACCAAGATGATACTATGGAAACCAAAAATCACATGGTTGCCAAATTTTGCCAGTACCATTAAGTAGCTCTAGAAACAACTTGTTTCTATCAAAAATAAAACAATAGGTAGTTTTCTCTAAAAATAGGCCACTTGAACAGTTACATGTAGCTAACATTGCACATTGAGGGCTTTTAAAATTAATTTCTTTTTTTAGTTTTTAATTTTTGTGGGTACGTAGTAGGTGTATATATTTATGGGGTACCTGAGACACTTTGATACAGGCATGCAATGTATAATAATCACATCATGGTAAACGGGCTAAAGCATTTATCCTTTGTCTTAAAAACAATCCAGTCATACTTTTTTAGTTATTTTAAAGTGTATCAAAATAAGTCTTCTGTAAATGACATTTATTCTTAAATTATTTAAGAAAAGCTGTAAGTTTATTTACTATCATCCAGCATAAGATAAATGACAGCATGGAATGTGGCTTGTGACATATTGTCCTAATGTCCTTAAAAACATGTTAAAAGAAGAAACAAGTTATTGAAGAGCCAAGGGCTAAGGAATAAAATTTGGTGTTACTATCTGTGTCTGTTAAAATCTGCAGAGACAACCACCCTTCTAAAGGCCTTCTTTCTAAAAACAATATATTATTTCAGCTATTTGTTTATTTTTTATTGACAAAAATTGCACATATTTATGGTGTAAAACATGCTATTTTGATATATGTAAACATTGTGGAATGGTTAAATCACGCTATTCAAAATATGGATTACCTTATGTACTTTTTTGTGGTTAGGACATTTAAAACCTCTTCTTTTAGCAATTTTCAAGTATACAATATATAAAAGCTTTCTTTTGTAAGAGGGGTATTTTCCTAATGAATCAGGTCAGTAATGGAATTGAGACTAACTTCTCTGGGCCATCTCTGAAGAGACAAAATTGTGATTATAATTACTGATAATATGTGAGTTGAAGTTTAAATGTTTCAGCTGCAGTAAAACATGAGTTATTTTAACATAAATCAGTCAAGCAAAAATGTTGGATATAAAGCTTACCTCCACACATTAAAAAAAAGCTTCCCAAAGGCAAAGATTTTCTTCTGTTTTATTTACTAATGAATTCTAAGCTACTAGAACCATAAGTATACGGTAGGCACTTTAGCAATTAAATATTTGTTGAATAAGGAAATGAATGAATAAGTAACAAGCAATGCATGTGATATGAATAAAATATTCAACAATCCTTCAAACAATTTATATGGATTATCTTCTTTGCTGTACTACTGTATATGGTATTTATATTATCTTCATTTACACGTGAGTAAACTGAGGCACAGAACGATTAAGAAATTCACGTGAGTTCATTATCTTTTAAATAGTGTTGCCAGGTACTCAGTTGCCTGACTTCAAAACCCACTCTCTTAATCACTTCCCATTCCACAAATGCAGGACTTATGCTGTTTCCCTGTACCTAACCCTTACCTTTTTAGTATCGGGAAATGTAAGTCAAAGTTAACTGTTAAACATACGTCAAAGCTCAATGATAAATGTGTTTAAATGCATCTGCCATTAATGATATGTTTTTTTGCATACATCTGTAGCAATCAGAATTGATAAGATCTAATATCCAATGCTGGCAGGCATGTTAATTTTTTGACATATTTTTACAAACCAGCATTGAAGCTTATATAATTATTATTGGTTGATCTAGTTTCTCAGTTTTCTGTAATGTGAAAAGAATTTGGGACCTAAACTATTCATATTTTACAGTACCACAAAAAGAGCTACAATCATCATTCCAGAGCACCCTTGAACATTCTAAGTGTCGATTTAGCTTTTTATTTGTCACTTCTGTAAAAGCCTAGGTTACATTACAAAATTTAACAGTTTTAGAAGGAGAGAACATAATAAAGTAACAGGAATGCCAATATTTCACACAGTGGGTCTCAGGAAACCTGATTCATGTTTTGATGACATTCATTCCCTGTTCTAGCCAAGCTCCCATTCCAGCTGCACCTTGATGCCAAGTCAACTGGATGCCGACCAGACTAATCCTCCTCTGGAACTAGAAAGGGTTCAGCATATGATTAAACAGGCCAAATTTTCTAATGATGTTTAGCTGTTTCTCATCTGAGTAAAAAATGTCAAAGATGCCTTGGGCACCATTTAAACATTAAGCCATACACAGCCACTACCAATACAGGTGAGACAGGGTGAGTTTCTGTTCTCTCAACTGCCCTAGTAGCTTTGGTTTGCAGTTTCTTGGTGTGAATGTGTACTTGGCTCGAGATTCACTCCAGCCTTACTTTTCATTTCCATCACTCGCTTCTCCCTCATAACTTTCAATGTGCAGGGAAAGGGATTGTGCTCTTCCATTTCAGTAGTTTTATTATGTTTTACTTGAATCAAGATAATGTTCAAGTTCCAAAAATATTCAGATTAGGGTAGAGTTGTTAGCTTAAAAGAAATCCCCTGAAATTAACCAGAGTTATTTATTTTGAGAAATAAATCGTGAACCATGAG
The DNA here is from genome assembly GCF_000001405.40 of Homo sapiens. Classification (NCBI taxonomy): domain Eukaryota; kingdom Metazoa; phylum Chordata; class Mammalia; order Primates; family Hominidae; genus Homo; species Homo sapiens. The sequence continues at coordinate 126,411,688 of NC_000007.14, read as the reverse complement.
TGAAGCAGAGGCACCTGAAAGAAATCAAGGGTGGTTTACCAGTCCAAGTTTAGAATAACTACAGTCAGCATTTAAGAAGGAAGGAAGAGAAAGGTTTGGCATTAAATATTAAAGTTTGCATAGTGAGGCAGGCAGAAAAGACTTGGAGACCTTGAGCACCCAGAGATGTTAACCATTCCACTTCTCTGCCAGAACTTGATGAGAAGGAAAATCAGCCACACTGCTGAATCATGCTTTCATTTTCATTTTTTACTTTTGTGTTTTTGTTGTATTTGAAATGATAGCTGCTCTGGTAAAGACTTCTAATTGTTGTTGAATATTCATTATCCTCCTCTTATATGGTAACAGGCACTTCAGTTTTTAGCTGGATATATTCCTACCTGTAACAAAGACCCTATTTCATTTTTCCCATGCAAATGGTGTGGTGGCCGTGAACCTTCTCTTCTCTCTTTTACCTTCCTGCTGTTTAAAACACAGATGTGCACAAACAGCCAGCTGACTGCTGGCAAATAAGCAAAACCAATTCAATGGAAGAAAGAGATTCTTTTTAACAAATAGTGCTGAAACAATTGGCATCAACTTCCAAAAAAAGTGAACTTTGACCTAAAGCCCGTGCTTTACACAAAATTAACTCAAAATAGATACAAAATGTAAAACTATAAAGCTTTTTAAACAACATATGGGAGAAAATCTTCATGACCTAGGGTTAGCAAAAAATTCTTAGACATGGCATCAAGTCATGATCCACAAGAGAAAAAAAATATTAAATTTCATCAAAATTAAATACTTTTGCTCTGGGAAAGACTATACTAAAAAATGAAAACACAAGCCACCGATTAGAGAAAACATTTGCAAATCGTGTATCAGGCATAATACTCATATCCACAATGTTTAAAGAACTCTCTACACCCAACAGCAAGAAAACAAGTAATACAATTAAAAAATGAGCAAAGTGTTTCACAGATATATTATCAAAGACAATATTCGAGGGACAAATAAACATAGTAAAAGATGTTCAATTAGCCCTTAAGAAATGCAAATGAAAGCGACTATGAGACACCATACATATCTATTAATATGATTAAACAATTTTAAATATATGTCAACTACTGACAAGGTTGTGAAGAAACTGGATCTCTCTTACACTGCTTGTGGAAACATAAATGATACAGCCAATCAATAAATTAGTCTGGAAGTTCATTGCAAAATTAAACATATACTTACCATAGGAGCCAGCACTTGCACTTTTGGTTATTTATCCTAGAGAAATGAAACGTGTGTGTGTGTGTGTGTGTGTGTGTGTGTGTAGATGATAGGTACATAAGACCTGTCTATACTATTTTTGCTACTTTCTGTGAGTCTGAGTCTATAATTATTTTAAAACAAAAACGTTTAAACAAAACATTGTTGGTTAATGCAGTTATGAAAAGGGGCTAGAAAGAGTTAAATGAACAATTAAATAAATTTCTTGAGTAAACAAATATTTATAATATTATGTCTTCAATTGTATGCAGAAAATATTGTTAATAAAATAGAAATTTATTTCAAAGGTAAAACAAAAACAAAGATAAAAATAAACAAAAAAGCACAATCCAGATATAATGGTTAGAGCTGCTTGCCTGGACTAGAAGGTGAAAGTTATCTTTAAATAATAGCAGATTGACAAGAGAGAAATCATTGTGGGGCTACCCTTCAAGCCCTGGAGAGCTTATGTTTACAAATGATTTTATTTATATACATCTTATTTATGCCACTTTTATATTTTTATGTCTCACAAACAAACCTAATATATCTACTCATATTATAACAAGTATACAACTATATTTGTTAATATATAAGAACAACCTAATCAAATATTATTGCATTTGATATAATAGTATACAAATATGTATATATAATATAATATTAACACATAATCAAATATAATTAGCATTTATTGTCCAGGCTACGTTGACTCAAATAACCAAAAGTAGAATCCAAATTTACCACTTTGCTTATTTGTTTACTGGGATTCCACCTGATGTGCTTTGCAGCTACTCATGATGTCAGCAGCCTTTATCTCATATGAACATGTGAAAATAACACTGTTGAAACTTTTATGGCTTTGAAGAGCACACTGAATGTAATCACTATGTTTTCTTCCCATTTTCTTTAACATGAGAGTGCAATATGAGATGACACTATGTAATTTCAAGAGCTCATGAATTCTGACCCGTAACATGAAAACCCAGCTCCTCTTGAGGCTGAGTAAGTATCTGGCTATAGTCTAAGACAATGTTTTTGATAGCTAAGTGACTTATATTTGATATTGTACCCAGATCCCAGGGCATCCTCTTTCATAGATTTAAGTTTACATATTTAATATTTTATAACTTGATGATTGGCACCCCACTTTTATTTTATTGGAGTAAAATTTAGACAACTGATGTCATTCAAAAGAATATAATAACAATAGGATGTTATATGGGACGAATTTCTTGGTGCTCACCTTTCAGTACAAACTGGCTGACCTCTCTGGGTGCTGCTGGCCCCTGGAAAGTTGCCCAGTAGCATCCTCCCTCATTGGTATTCTCAGGATTGTCTCCATTCATGGTCAATGTCCCTGTTCTTCTATTCTGATCATTTTACACTGAGTATCCTTCAAATTAGAATTATATATGACCCTGTATTAGTCCATTTTCATGCTGCCAATAAAGACATACCTGAGACTGGGAAATTTACAAAAGAAAGAGGTTTACTTGGACTTAGAGTTCCATGTTGCTGGAGAGGCCTCACAATCAAGACAGAAGGCAAAGAGGAGCAAGTAATACCTTACATGGATGGTGGCAGGCAAAAAGAGAGAGCTTGTGCAGAGAAACTCCAGTTTTTAACACCATCAGATCTCATGAGACCTAGTCACTGTCACAAGAACAGCATGGGAAAGACTTGCCCCCATAATTCAGTCATCACCCACTGGGTCCCTCCCACAACCTGTGGGAATTATGGGAGCTTCAAGATGAGATTTGGGTGGGGACACAGAGCCAAACAATATCAGACTCCTAAATTAAGGTTTATACATTATTTTCTTAAATAACCTTTAAGCGTGTGTCACATAGCTCAGAGCACAGGACATTATACTTCACTCCTATTTTTAGCTTAATTCTCAATGTATTTTTTGACCTAATAGAGAATTTTCACTGGAAATCCTAAAAATCACAGAAGATGTAAGCCATTCCAATTCATAAGCAACTTCAGCAAAGTCTCAGGATACAAAATCAATGTACAAAAATCACAAGCATTCTTATACACCAATAACAGACAAACAGAGAGCCAAATCATGAGTGAACTCCCATTCACAATTGCTTCAAGGAGAATAAAATACCTAGGAATCCACCTTACAAGGGACGTGAAGGACCTCTTCAAGGAGAACTACAAACCACTGCTCAATGAAATAAAAGAGGATACAAACAAATGGAAGAACATTCCATGCTCATGGGTAGGAAGAATCAATATTGTGAAAATGGCCATACAGCCCAAGGTAATTTATCGATTCAATGCCATCCCCATCAAGCTACCAATGACTTTCTTCACAGAATTGGAAAAAACTACTTTAAAGTTCATATGGCACCAAAAAAGAGCCCACATTGCCAAGTCAATCCTAAGCCAAAAGAACAAAGCTGGAGGCATCACACTACCTGACTTTAAACTATACTACAAGGCTACGGTAACCAAAACAGCATGGTACTGGTACCAAAACAGAGATATAGACCAATGGAACAGAACAGAGCCCTCAGAAATAACACCACATATCTACAACTATCTGATCTTTGACAAACCTGAGAAAAACAAGCAATGGGGAAAGGATTCCCTATTTAATAAATGGTGCTGGGAAAACTGGCTAGCCATATGTAGAAAGCTCAAACTGCATCATTTCCTTACACTTCATACACAAATTAATTCAAGATGGATTAAAGACTTTAACGTTAGACCTAAAACCATAAAAACCCTAGAAGAAAACCTAGGCATTACCATTCAGGACATAGGCATGGGCAAGGACTTCATGTCTAAAACACCAAAAGCAATGTCAATAAAAGACAAAATTGACAAATGGGATCTAATTAAACTAAAGAGCTTCTGTACAGCAAAAGAAACTACCATCAGAGTGAACAGGCAACCCACAAAATGGGAGAAAATTTTCGCAACCTACTCATCTGACAAAGGGCTAATATCCAGAATCTACAATGAACTCAAACAAATTTACAAGAAAAAAACAAACAACCACATCAAAAAGTGGGCGGAGGACATGAACAGACACTTCTCAAAAGAAGACATTTATGCAGCCAAAAAACACATGAAAAAATGCTCACCATCACTGGCCATCAGGGAAATGCAAATCAAAACCACAATGAGATATCATCTCACACCAGTTAGAATGGCAATCATTAAAAAGGCAGGAAACAACAGGTACTGGAGAGGATGTGGAGAAATAGGAACACTTCTACACTGTTGGTGGGACTGTAAACTAGTTCAACCATTGTCGAAGTCAGTGTGGCGATTCCTCAGGGATCTAGAACTAGAAATACCATTTGACCCAGCCATCCCATTACTGGGTATATACCCAAAGGACCATAAATCATGCTGCTATAAAGACACATGCACACGTATGTTTATTGGGGCACTATTCACAATAGCAAAGACTTGGAACCAACCCAAATGTCCAACAATGATAGACTGGATTAAGAAAATGTGGCACATATACACCATGGAATACTATGCAGCCATAAAAAATGATGAGTTCTTGTCCTTTGTAGGGCCATGGATGAAATTGGAAATCGTCATTCTCAGTAGACTATCGCAAGAACAGAAAACCAAACACCACATATTCTCACTCAAGGAATTGAACAATGAGAACATATGGACACAGGAGGGGGAACATCACACTCTGGGGACTGTTGTGGGGTGGGGGGAGTGGGGAGGGATAGCATTGGGAGATATACCCAATGCTAGATGACGAGTTGTTGGGTGCAGCGCACCAGCATGGCACATGTATACATATGTAACTAACCTGCACATTGTGCACATGTACCCTAAAACTTAAAGTGTAATAATAATTAAAAAAAAGATGATATCTTCACAGACATCAGTGATAATCCGACAGGACAGTTTGATCATCTCAATTAAATATTGGTTTCTTTACCTGCTGTAAGAGAATACAGCTTCCTTGCAGTCATGTCTCTCTCTATTTTAACCTATTTTATTTATGACCACATAGCAGAAGATCATAGTAATTTCTAGAAAGATCAAAGAGAAATAATTTAATTTGTTCCATTTACTAGTTAGCATCTTTTATGATACCATGTCAGTATTCTCTAATTAATGCAGAAAAATTTTAATACTTAGGCCAGTAAGTATTAAGTGTTATAACTAGACAGTGAGAGTTACTTGGGAAATTATGACCCCCTTCCAGCAGATACGTTCTTGTTCTTTTCATGTTTATTTTCTGAGTACAGAAAATAAGCCCAACAGTGCCATCACTCACACTCATTGAACTTTTTCTGAGTGAATAAATAAATGTGTGCATGAAGAAAATGAATACTGGAGGCTGATGCTTGCTCTCTGTCACCAAACTAGCTATAATCCCAGCATGTATGGTACAAAATAATAAACTATTATTGTGGCACTGGGTTTGGGCAGGATTGGATAAATATTTTCAAGTGAAAATTGGGTTTCAGGAGATGAAAAGACTAGCCATAGAGAGAAAAATTATAAAACTACAGATTGCTAGAAGAGAAAAGCTTGAGTTGGGCTGTGTTTAAACATAAACTAAAGGAGAGAATCAAAACAAATATATCGATATTTGGAAAGTATATATTTGTATTGAGTAAATAATTAAACATAGAAAACTCTTCATTGTGAAAATAAATTGTTCTTTGTACCATTTTCTTGTTGTTGTTAATATCTTAGTCTCTCCATTTTCCCATTCTGATTCGTAAGAAATTTCTAATCATCATGATATGGAAAGCAAGTGCTCTATACATACTGTCCCGTGATCTTCGCCCCTGACCTGTTCAGGGTTCTCACAATTCATGAATATTTTATTCAGGAGTATTGAGAGCTTGGCCATCATACTCTCTACTAATTGTAAAAAGAACTTCCAACCAAACATTATTTTCAAATTTAAGATTAGGACCCAATTAAATCCTGCCTTTTGCCACTGAATCATCCACACTTCATTCATCTTCACGTAAATGGTAAATTTTAATATTGTGTGATTATGATGCTATTTCCAGGGAATAAGACAACATATTTGGCTCTTTTCCAAAAGTATCTAAGGTTTTACAAGAATTGCATTTGTCTGTCTTATACAAAAAGTTGTAGATGATTTCTCTTTTTCTTTTTGAGGGGAAAGAAGATTAAATACATATTCAATGTCTTATGTATATAGAGCTGTTTTGATTCTTTCTTAAAAATAATTAAGATGTTTAGCACAATTCCTATGTGGTGCTTTAAAGGTGAGAGTCAGTTAGATAGTCAGTGATCTGACTAATCGCTCCATATATTCCAGCAATATTAAACTAAAACCAGTTTATCCTGTGTTTTCCAAGTTTCAGACATGTAAGTCTAAGAAAGAACACTGTCAAAACGCCCATAAACTCAGACATAGTAATAAACTTCACATGTCAATTGGTTTAGAAATTCTCTGCTGATTTTATTCACATAACCATTAATTTTAGTAATAACTAAATAATAACTAGCTAGTAAATCATACCAACGTGTTAACAGTACTTTAGCGGGAGAGGATTCAAGTAGTTTTGTTGGTGTAGAGGAAAAACAGCAGCTTTAGAGTTGCCAATTGTTGTTTCGTGTTCTCTAGAATACAACATTTTTAGCTTAATTTTGAGAGGAAGTTGTACCTTATCTTTGAGGAAGAGGAGAATGGCATTCATAGATTTTTTAAAATTTTTCTAATGTAAAGGCCAATATCCCCAGTCTGAAAGGGAATAATTAGAGGCATGAGAAGAAAAATACTGGTGAATAATAATGAAAAGTTTATTTTCTTTCAGATGAATTTGAATTTTGAGATGGTTTACTTTTAGAGAAATAAAGACAACAAAGTTGCATAAAGCAACAGAAGAAAGCTTTTGTTTCTTCTCTAGGAACCTCATGAGGGTGAGAGTCTTGACTTCTGTCAGGGGAGTCTGAGGCGGTCGGTCACTCCTATGTGGTGGGTGAACTGGCCTCTTGAAATGACAGTAGCCTGGGGGTTGGGAGCACCTTCATTCAGTAGAAGAATCTGGAGGTATGACTGGGAGTATACATTTTTTTTCTCAGTTTAGTTAACTTTTTTTTTTAACCTTTCTATTGTCCCCAAGATTTTGATGAATTTTTGTTAAAATTGATAGCCAGGTCTGAGAATTTCTTTGGACAACTGAGAGAAGAGTTTGTGTTCTCCTTTAGGATGAAATAGTGTAGGAGACCAGGAGTATTTAAACTAACTTGACCGTAGAACAGAGGACAGCCAGAGAAGAAGGAAGAAGGGACTAAGTGACCATTAGGCTGCATAAAACACAAATGCATTTGGTGGAGTTTTTCTAAAATCGGAAGTGGCAAAGGCTTGGCTTCCTCTGACCAAACATGCTAGGCAATTTAGGTATTATAAGAATAATCCTTTAAGCCTGGAGAAGTTGCGGATGAGTTATAGAGAAATATCTGGTTAAACAGACAAATAACAAATTGAGCTGAACAGTTTCTGGTAAAGGCCATTAAATAAGGAAAGAGTGAGCGTGTAGTTAGTTGATGCTTAATAAACATCATTATTTATTCAGCTACATTTTTTGAAAAATAATCATGTTGAGTTTTGGTATACTGATTTACATAAAAAAATATGTTTAATCACAAATGGTATTATTTTTGAGACACAGGTACATGGAGCACAATCAGTATGCATTCTAAGATTAATTGATTCAAAGATTCAGTTTGAAGATGATGAGACTAAAGAATACCCCACAGGGCTTAAGGCTTTAAGACACTAAGGCTGTGCTGATAAAAACAAAGCTAAGTGATTAATCAATCTAATAAATTAGATTAATGCAGGCAGTCAACCTGGATAACATGAGGGAAATATTCTTGTTTTCTTCAACAGCAAGTATTTTTGTCTGTAATTGTTCTTAATCATTCAAACAATTGAATTAGCTTTTTTAGTCTGCTTGCATGAGTGACTTTTCTTGACATAGTTTGTTTTCTGTGAGTTAAATATTTCATTTTTGAAGGTTTTCTATCATATGCCCTACCTTTGTTGGTGATCATCCAAAAGTTGTCCTTGTGATGTGATTTTCCCCATAAAACATGTATCATTTCAATTATCTGATTTTTCCCCTTTCTTCATTTTATTAGTATAAATTCAGTGATAGCCACTCATATTGTGACCTTGATTTTCCTGTTTAAATCTTACTTTATTTTCTCCATAAAATTTTCATTTACTTTGTCTGTACATTTATCTTAATTAGCCTTTAGTTCTTTCAATTAAGTATATCTCTATCAATGTTTGCTATGACCAGGACAAGCGGAGGATAACAGTGCTATGTTAAGTAAGTATGAGTCAAATAACTACAGCCCCAGGAAAGCTATGTCTTTTTCTCCTCCTTGAAAGCCCAAGGACCAAGAGAAGGACAAGTGAGGTTATTAGAATGAGAGTTATACCTTTGTATTAGAGCCAAGGTTTACAGCTGTCCTGTGAGTTCATTTGAGTAGTCATCAAGAAAGTCATTTATTGCTGTGATGATAATGTCAAGCACTTGTAGCTCATTAAATGCAAATCAGATATTTACAGAAAAAACTCTCTGAATTTTGGTGAAATATATCACTTATTTTGAGTAGATTAGAAGGTAGACCTGACAATTCAATCGGGTAGGAATTTAAGAAACAAAAAAGCTGCTGCTCTGTTTGAGACAATGTATTAGACTGGGGAAAAATAACACAATATCTAGTAGTATTTGATTTTCCTATTTCTCTGCTTTTCCATGGGAATGGAAAGTAATATTAAGAAAATGTAGAAATCCAATCTGCATTTTTTGTTTTTGTTTTTTTTTTTACTATGGCCAAAAAGCTCCTGTGAGATATATTTCCCCAAAATGGAAAGAATATGTAACTTACAGAGGAAAAAACATTTCTGATGGTAAGGCATAAATATGTTCAGACATCAACATTTATAACATTTCTCTTAATCTATATAATTTTTGCTGAGATCCTATTTTATTTTTCTCTGCAACCTATATGATTTGTTGACCCATCTCTACTTTATAAGATCCTTGAAGAAACGTTGTTTGCTTTACTACTATAAATCGTAATTTTATTACTTTATAAATCTTTTCTTTCTGACAAAATGAAACTATAGTTCAATATATCCAGCTAACTCCTATTGTTTGTTAACAGGAAAGTACAAGTAATAGAAGAAAACAAAAGAAAATTAATATATAGGTTTAGCAGAAACAATTTTTTTGAATGGTAGACTAAGGCTACAGAATTAAACTCATCATCAGATTTTAAAGTTGCAGGACATATTAAAAAGGATATTGCACAATCTCTTTATTTGGCCAGTCTAGAAACTGATGCTCAGAGATCTTAAAAATACTTGCCTCAAGCTGTTAGATAAGAGTATTATTAGCTGCAGGGTCTTTCCCTGACCTGAGGCTTAGCTAGAGAAGGATGAAGAAGAGGGAGATATAATTTATTGTATCTTAAACCTACACCTAAACCTCTGGTGCTAGGTTGAGGGAGATGGCATCATCTCCAGGTTCTACATGGAGAGTAGAATCAAGGGTCTTCCTTTTCCCTCAGTTATTTAATTGTTACATCCCCGTGTTTAAGCCAAAGCCCAGTGTGTGTGATAAATAAACCTAAACTCTCATATCTGACTTTTAATCACAGTGTACTCTGCTTGAGGGCTAGGAAAATGATAGGCTGTTTTATCATTTTCCCCCTGCCTTTCACATACACCTTAGCTTCCTCTTCTCTTTGATCAACTGGCCTTGTGACTTTTGGTCCCAGCCGACCATTTCATTACTGGAAAATTCTGTGTTAATACAATAAAAGGGATAGGAAGAAAACAAGGCCATTAAGAAAAAAAGGGCCATTGTCTCATACTGCAAAATCCTATTTTGAATGCCCACAGCAAAATATTACTTTACTTCTAACACTAAATATTCTTAGGGAAACCTAATGAAGCCCCAGAAAGATGGATGCGTTAGGTGAAGGTTAAAGAAAACTGTGGTAAAGAAAGCATATTAATAATTTTCAAAATAGAATTCTGATCACATTTTTTTCTACAAAAACAAATAACCCAGAAAGAAATCACTAGGGAGATGCCTAGATCGAATGCAAAATTCTACCTCGTAAGTCGCATACCCTTGTGCAGACAGCTGAAACTTACTAAAGGGATCAGTCACCCAGTGGGGACTTGAATGATTCTTCCCAGTTCTGTCATTCTGTGATCCTAGTCTTTTTTAGGACACTTATGGTGGAGATCAATTGCAAGAGAAAGTTCACTTAAAATCTAAAAACAAACAAACAAAAAAAAATTCAAAAGCTAGCAACAACTGAAAGAGGTCAGTCTTATATTTAGCCCGTCTTTGCCTTTTAGCACCTTTAAGTAATTAAAGCCATTTTAAGGTTTTTTAGGTATGCTTCAAGTATTTTCTTATGCTGTGTGCTTTTCACTGTAGAGAGCAAAATTTATTTACCTGATCTGTGGACTGACACAATCCAAATGAACTTTTGGAAGAATAAGGAAAAGCTTGATACGTGAGGATGGCTCAACCTGTAGGGGTTTATCCTCTGTTAGTGTTTAGATCTCCTTAACCCCTCAGGATGCCATTTCCTATAATTGTTTTTCGAATAGCTCTAGTGATTTTAACAACCTTGCCTGTTAGTTTTGTTTTTCTTTTTTTTTTTAAGTGTTTCTGATCTTTCATGAAGAGACGCTTTCTGACATTTGCTTTGATTTTTCTCATTTAATTTTCATTTATGCCCTTGTTCCATTATTTGTAGGAGATGAGAAATGGAAACTTTGGATATAATCAAGGCTTTAAAGAGTGTATGCACTTCAGTTGAAACCTCTTACATTTTGTCTTGTGTCTATTTTTTAGTGTGAGAATATAAAGGAAAGTTAATGTTTAATCAAGGTCTTAATTTTTGCTGTTTTTAAAATTAACTTTTAATAGCCTAGAAATAGTGGCTATAATTCTAATGCCACCTGGGTAAGAAAACTCATATCCATGTATAAGTTTTCAATATGAAGTGATACTGTAAACTGATAACAAAAATATTGCTTTGACTCTGAATCTTCCCATGATAGAAATTAAAATAAATTAGACATTTTCACTTTTTAAAATTAGGTAATTACATAACATCAGTCATTGGTTTAATGATGTTTAGTGACCTTATGTTGTGTCTATTCACCAGGATTTCAGCTGTAATTTAGTTAGCTTTGAATCAGGAACATTTCATGCTGTAATTCCATTTATGTACCTAAATTTAACAAAAGCAATGATTTAGTCATTTTAACCTAAGTAAACAAAAGATAATATAATACAGATGATCTGGAAACCTCAGAGAAATAGAACTACACATTCATGAAAGCATCTTAATGTGTATTTTATGAAGACTTCAAAGTATAGGACCAGGTCTTCTTAAATCTTGCTAAGAAGTTTTTTCCTCAACTGGTATTAAAAGAGCATGCCTTTATAGATTTAAAATTATAAGAGGTGTAAAAACTTTGAACCAGGATTTTTAAAATTCATTCAACAAATATTTATTGAGTACCTACTATGGATTAGTTTCTGTTTTGGTCATTAGAGATATAGCAAGAAAACAAAAGCAGGAATACATCTGGAAATGAGAGCTCAGTTCTAGATTCCTACATGAAGACCATGCCATGGAAATGAGAGCTCAGTTCTGGATTCCTACATGAAGACCATGCATGTCACCCAGGACAGAAAGGTCAAGGAAACAAAAGAGGAAGTTCCCAGATTTATTTCTAGATCTGGCCATAGAGTAACTTTTTCTAATCTATTGGGTTTCTTTTTTAAGATTTTTTAAAAATGTAAATAAACAGAGATACAGAAAAATATACAAAACAAACATACAACTTAATGAATTCTCATTATACCATTTGCATAAAGGAATAGATTTATGCCCAGAACCCTCAAAGGCTCTCTATTGCTTCATACCATCAGAATAACATCCCTCACCAAAAAAGTAACCACTTTCTTTCCTTTTAGTCGCTTTTTTTGCATTTCCTTAGAGTTTTATTACCTTACTATTCTAGTAACTAGAACAGAGCCCTGCAAATAGCACACACTAAGTTTAACAAGTTAAGTCATTGATGTTGCATTCTCAAGTCTGCATTGTTAGACACTGTTTAGTCTTGCTCCTGTCTAGTTTTATAATTGTTTTATGTTTTGATGAATTTTGGGTGTGTCTCTTAAGTCACTATTACTCTGTAGTTTCTCCCTCCATCCCTTACTTTTCACTGCAATTTATTCATTGAAAAATTAGGTCCATTTAGCCTGTATTTTAATATTCTTCTATCCCCTGTATTGCCCACAACTTGGCAGCTGGAGTAGAGGTTTGATTAGACTCAGGCTTCGTCCCTCTGGCAACACTACAAGCTGTGTCATGTTCTTTTATTAGAAGGTACATGCTGTTTGGTTGTCTTTCGTGTGATATAAGCAGCTGTGGATGCTTTGACCAAATCCATTAATTTGATAGGAGTTGTAAAATGGTCACATTCTACTGTCACTTATTTTTCATTTATTCATTGAAATAAATCTATAAGTAGAGGCCCTTCCCCAACTATTACTTGGTATTCAATAATATTGGTAAGGGAGGATAAATGTTCTATTATTTCCTTGTATTTCCTACTTCTTACAATAGTAAATTTGTCACCCATCACCTTCTGAAAGTAGCTAATCGGTTCTTTTTTCTTTCTTGCAGCATTATGAACTCATAGATTTAAACACGTTTGATGAGTTTCAACCCATTTTTTCATTTTTCAATCCATTTTTTCAATCCATTACTATTATTATCCTTATTGGAATTAAAACTGTCCCATATTTGGCCAGTGGAAGACTCACTCCTGTGTCTAGCTGTTGGTGCTAGCTGGCAGCTGGGGTGATAAAAGTGACTGAGTCATGTGTCTTTCATCATCCATTAGGCTAATCCAGACTTCATCACAGTGGTTGCAGGGTTCCAAAAAGCAGTAAGCAATGGCAAACCTCATTGTGCAGGTATTTGTTAAGTTTCTGCCTGAATCACATTTGCTTATATCAATGTTAGCCAAAGGAAGTTGCATAGCCAAGCACAGGCTCAGTGTGGGAGAAAATACTTCACATTGGGATATGGAGACAAGACTTACTGGGCCATTTTTGTGATCTACCATATGATCTAATTTTCTATCACTAATACCTTACTCTTTTTGCCTAGATTCCTAAAGCATTTTTTAAAAATTTCAGCTTTTATTTTAGATATGGGGGTACATATGTAGGATTGTTTCAGAAGTATATTGAACCCAGGTAATAAGCATAGTACCCAATAGATAGTTTTTCAACTCACAACCTCCTTCTTTACTCCCCCATCTAATAGTCCACAATATCTATTATTGCCATGTCTAAAGCATTTTTTGTCTTTTCCCTAAAATCTAGTCATTTTACTAGATTATGTATCTGGGCCAACATTGTCTGGTATGTACAGAATATGTATTTTGAAATCTTCTCTTAATCTTTTTTTAAATTTCATGAAAGTTTTCTTGAATTATAATTTTTAGTATTTTCTTCTCTCTTGTTTTGATATTTCTTCTGGTACTCGTATTATCCATAGGTTAAGTCTTTTTTTAAGTCTACCTTCAATACATGTTGCTTTTTCTTGAATCATTTTAATATTTTTATTTCATTATAATTTTTAAGATTTTGTTGCTTTTCACAGTTTTATTTCTCTGGAGTGATCTGTTGGGCTCATTTGCTCTTACATTCTTTGTAATTTCTTCTTAATTTCTGTATTTTTTTCTTTATTTGTAATTCTTTGAATTTATGTTACTTTACTTTTGTTTTCTAATTTTGAGTTATATTGCTTTCATATTTGTATCTTTTTAATGTCTTTTAGCTCATTTTGAAAATTAGATTATTTTTCACATTTGTATTGCATGTACCTTATTTTCTTTGTTCTTATAATAACTTTGTATAAATTCGACTTTAAGTTGCTCATTTTTGTTGCTCATTTGTTTTGTGAAAAAGTAGTTTTCCTGAACTTTTACAGAAAGATGTCGTTCAGAATAACTTTCTAAGATTTCCTGCCTCTCAGATTTTTATCTTCTCTATTTTTATCTGAACCTTCTCTTCCTTCGTCTCTATTATCCCTACTTTGCTTCACTTTAACAGTATTTTCAGAGGCCTACTCCAGTGTGCAGGCCTGAGTAGGAAGGGAGCCCAGGCTGGTCAGTTTTGAGAGTTCATAGCATCTGGACTAGTTCAGGTTTCATCTTCTATACGGAGCCCTTTGCATACCAGCTATTAGGCTTGTCTAAACCCCTCCTTGTTTAACCTGCTGTTCTTTTTGGTCTGATGTGCTTTCCAATGCAGGTTGTTGGCTGTTAGGAGATTCTTCGGTTCTTAGATTCTTCACACACTTTTGCTTTCTTCTGCTCTGTCCCACACAGGTGCTAACACAACGCACATGTGGTTGTTAGTGCTTTTTTTTTTTTATTTTTCCCTTTCCCACTTGTATTTTGGAGTTCATGGAATATATCTTGTCATTTAGTTCATTGTAAATTTTGTACATTGGTTTTGGGGTTTTGCTATGTGATTACTTGACTGTTTTACAAAGAGTTTTGGGGAGATTCATAAAATATGCAGCATGGCTGCCGTGCTCTCCAGATACCCTTACGTTCCTAATCTTTTGATTTTCCCAACTTCTTCATTCCCTCCCCTATCCTAAGCTCAAAGTCATCTACAACTGATATTTTCCTTCTCAAAAGTTAATTCTTTAGCCCGGCATCACGAACTATCCTTTTGAGGTCATATTCTATTGTCTAAGTTTTTTTTTTTTAAATAAGGATGAGTATATTGTTTACAGGTGAATTAATTACAGATTATTTCCTCCCACTAGCCTAAAACATTAAATACTAAATGTCCGATAAGAGTTACTTTGGATGATTATTGTCACTGTTCATGTCCTTTTGGCAACCTTGCATACATGTTACAAAAGGAGATAAAACTTGGTCTGGATAGCAGCATCTCAGGAAATTGTTGACACTATATTTACCAGATGGAGAAAATAGAAAGTAGGGCATTGCTTTCTCTAACCTAATTCTAAAGTATGCATTATGATTAAAGAACACATAAGGAAGAAAAAAAAATCCTCTCCCAATGAAACATTTCACAATGTTGTCTTAAAGTCTCATTCTAATACAACAGGAAAACCAAATGTGTAAAACATGACAGGGGAATAGAATAACTTTATCAGGTTTAGGGACACGAATTGGTTTTTTGTAGTGATCTTCGCTCTTTTTCCCTTTTATAGTGGTGAGTTTGCCACTTCACAAAAAGGATGTAAAGTTTTTTTCTGATCCTTCTTGGGATCAGTGGTAATTATGCATAATAAGAAGCCAGGATTAGGCACATTGTCTGTAACAATAAAGGAAAAAGAAGTGAATTCATACTAGGTGCCTGACTCTCATGATTGCCATGAACTTACCAAATGAACTTACTGAAATATAAGCAATTTCTAAGAGAATAATCAGCATGTTTTCTTTAATGCAAGAACTAAATTACCAAAGTCATGTTTATTCATTTACAAGTAAGTGACACATTTCTATACTCACCAGGAGAAAGTGGTCCATGCTGAATTCAAATTAAGAATTGCATGCCTCATGTTTACAGATATTTTCTAATTACAAAAATTGCTGGGAACCAGTCTTTGATCTAAAACCTGTCAGCCTGCATTGAATTACAATATTATTTGCCTCCTTTATTCCAAAATGACAAGTTTTTATACTCTTTATAATGTGATCTGAAGTACCTGATCAAACAAAATATTATTTGACGAGCAGATATAAAAATAGTGCAGCAATACTCTTGTATTGGAAATAGTCTTAAAATGCCTTTCATCTGACCAAGTTGCTTGAGATATACCTCTATTTCAAGTGTTCCAGATCCAAGCAATTGATGGTGGTGAGAATCAAAGGCCCAAAGAAACAGTACTAAATCATGATGATTGTTTTTAAGGAGCAAAACAAAGGTAAGTTGTCACATACTTTGGACTTCATTTGAAACATGCATCAATACACTTATTTTAAAAGTCAGTATTTGTTTAGCTTAATGCAATTATAACACTTAGGATTGTTCTTGCTAACATTAGTAGTTGTGTGTGTGTGTGTGTAACAATATATCGATGAAATAGATGAGGAGTCACAGTGTCGTAACAAATAAATATCCCTTTTCCTCATACTCTTTCCCTCATACTGTCAGTTTTGCCTCCCCAGATATATATATATGTATAGATATATAAATATAGACATCTATATTTATATCGATATATATTTACATCTATATAAATATATTATACCTATATATATTTATATCTATATAAATATATTTATATCTATATCTATATAAATATATCTATATCTATATAAATATATTTATATCTATATCTATATAAATATATTTATATCTATATCTATATATATTTATTTTGAGATGGAGTCTCATTCTGTTACCCAGGCTGGAGTTCAGTGGAATGATCTTGGTTCACTGCAACCTCTACTTCCTGGGTTCAAGCAATTCTCCTGCCTCAGCCTCCCAAATAGCTGGGATTACAGGCGTGTGCCACCACGCCCCGCTTATTTTTGTATTTTTAGTAGAGATGGGGTTTCACCATTTTGGCCAGGCTGGTCTTGAACTCCTGACCTCAAGTTATCCGCCCGCCTCAGCCTCCCAAAACGCTGGGAATACCGACATGAGCCACCGCACCCCAGAAAGGTATTTATGAACACAATTACCACTCCCTGTAGCGGCAACAAGGGCCTGGGATTTATTCACAGTGGATGGAACTGCAGATTATAGAAAAAGCTCATTTTGCATGATAGAAAGAAAGGTTCATGACTCATTGTAATGTCGAAATGCACTGGCCAGAAAACAATGCAAAAGGCTTCAGTATAAGTCAGAATACACTTACTTATCCACATGAGTACAGTTTATGTGTTCCTACTAATCTGTACCCTTCTTATGTATACTTAACTTCCTTTGCAACTAATTTACTAATTTCTACTGTTGGCTCTGCTCTTCTGAGGTGGCAGATATTTTCATAGAGCCACTCAATTCTCGCTGGTGACTACTCTCTAACTTTCATTAAAGAAAAACAGTAGGTTAAATATCTGTGTAGTATCTAAGGACAAGGATGCCTATGTAAAATGTTGCTAAGGACCTAACATTTTTAGCTTTATATCTTGGATTAGTGTCCAAACTTACACTGAAGAGAGGCTTGTAATAATTTTAAAAATGGATTTTCTAGCATGTGAAATCCTCAAGATAAAGTTTATTTCAAGTTTTAATGTGTTGTTACAGATGTAATATTCTATCATGACAATAAAAATACTAATCATAAATTTAAATAATCACTGAATTCATTTTTCTCAAGTTATATTTTATCTTATCTAAAATAGCCTAGTTAGCATGTTCAAAATTATAAACTCCTCTTCCAAGTACTCTGGGAACATGTTCACAAGAATACCTTCAAACTTTCTTAATTTCTTCCTCTATTTCACCACTGCCCTCTCTGAAGTCATCAAAGGCCTCTTGTCAGTCAAATGGAGTACCCTCATTTCATCTTTTCTATTAGTTCACACTATTGATAACTCCCCTTTGTTCATGCTTTTTTTTTTTTTCAAAAAGTACTTGAGTGTCCTCTCTGTGGTAGACATGATTTTGGGTATTAGTGATGAAGTGTTAGCCAAAACAAAGAATTCTCTGCCCTCATGATGCGTAAAGTTTTAAAGACAAAAAAAATTCAATAAAATGTCAGGTATTGATAAATACTCTGGAGAAAAATAAAACAGAATAAGGGGAGAGGATAAAGATTGTATTCTTGTAGGGCTTTTTCTGGTACTATATTCTGATTTTGGACCTGAATTAAGTGAGAGAGTAACTAGCGTAAATATCTGGAGGAAGATATTTTTAGGCAATAGGACAAACAAAGGCTTACAATAAGAATGTATATTCACATTTTTGAGAAGCTAGTTATGGTGGTGAGAGAGAGTGGTTGAAAATTAGATTTGGAGTATATAGGGCCTGAGGCCATGGTAAGATTTTTTTTTCTTTTATGCTAAATTCCATGGGAGGATGTTTTGCAGGGAATGGTGTGGCCATCAGGAGGAAAATTCTAGAAGGGCCTTTTTGGACATTATGTATAGAGTCAACTCTTGAGAGAGAAGAGGGGAGAGAAGGAGAGATAGACACACACAGAGAGAGAAGTGTAGTGAATGTGGCAAGAATAGAGGCTGGGAGACAAGGTGGAATATGATACCCAAGTTATCCAAGTTTGTTATAATGATTACCTAGGCTAGGATAGAAGCAACAAATTTGGTAAGAAGATCAAATCAGGGAATATAATTTCGAATATACAGCTAAAAACCTTTAATGGAGCAGATGGTGAATGTAATAAAAGAGGCAAGAGTGATGATTCCAAAGTTTTTGGCCTGAGCAAATGGGTAAATGTTGATGATATCTGTTCACATAGAGACAGTGAGTCAGAAACAGTATAGCATATATTTGTGTAGTGGAGAAGAACAAGGAGTTTGGTTTCAAATGTATTTCAGTTTATTATACAGACAAGTGAAAATATTAAATAGGATATTAGATAAAAGTCTTGGCCAGGCATGGTGGCTCACGCCTGTAATTCCAGCATTTTGGGAGTCCAAGGCAGGTGGATCACCTGAGGTCAGGAGTTCGAGACCAGCCTGGCCAACATGGTGAAACCCTATCTCTACTAAAAATATAAAAAAAAGTTAGCTAGGCATGGTGGCAGGTGCCTGTAATCCCAGCTACTCGGGAGGCTGAGACAGGAGAATTGCTTGAACCCAGGAGGCAGAGGTTGCAGTGAGCCAAGATTGTGCCATTGTGCTACAGCCTGGGCGACAAGAGCAAAACTCCATCTCAAAATAAATAAATAAATAAATAAATAAATAAATAAAGTTTGGAGCTATGGAGGAATTCAGGTTTGTAATTGTAAAAATGAAAGTTATCAGTTTATAAATAGTATTTGAAGTTATAGATCTGAAGGGAATAAGCAGAGATTGAGTGTAGATAGAGAAGTGAAGAGGTGACAAGAGGTCTCAAACCTGAATATTGGTTGGGAAGAGATGGAGAATCCAGTGAAGGCTACGGAAAAAGGGAGGTCAGTGAGTTAGAAAGAAAACATCAAAATGTTCCTCCTAGAGACAAAGCAAAGAAAGTTTCAAGAGGGAATCATGTCCAGTGCTTCAAGAAGGTCAAGAAAGATGAACATTTAGAATTTACCTTTGGGTTTGGCAATGTGCTGTTCATGACATTGACAACAATAGTTTTGATTAATTGTTAGAAACAGAAGCTTGCTTGGTGTGGGTTAAGAGAGAATGATCAGGCCGGGCGCGGTGGCTCACGCCTGTAATCCCAGCACTTTGGGAGGCCGAGGCGGGCGGATCATGAGGTCAGGAGATCGAGACCATCCTGGCTAACAAGGTGAAACCCCGTCTCTACTAAAAATACAAAAAATTAGCCAGGCGCGGTGGCGGGCGCCTGTAGTCCCAGCTACTCGGGAGGCTGAGGCAGGAGAATGGCGTGAACCCGGGAAGCGGAGCTTGCAGTGAGCCGAGATTGCGCCACTGCAGTCCGCAGTCCGCAGTCCGGCCTGGGCGACAGAGCGAGACTCCGTCTCAAAAAAAAAAAAAAAAAAAAAAGAGAGAATGATCAGTCATATAAAATGAATGACATTTTAAATGCTTTTTTCAAAGAGGGAGGGAGAAAGAGAGAGAGAGATATGTGGTAGTAAATATTACATTGAAGAAGGAAGAGTTAAATTTTTGAAGAAAATCAGAGAGGCATTCTATGTCATATCTTCCATCTGGCAAATATAGAAAAGCAAGCCTACACTAAAACTTTGTAAATGACATGTGGATCCACTAGCTTGGATCCATGGGAAAACAGAATGGGAATGAAAGTAAGAAAGATCAGTTAGAATAGTGTTTAGGATTTTTGCTTGAAATAGTTTCAGCAGTTCTAGGACTTGATGTTATTGTTTAAGAAGTTTATGGCCTGGCGCAGTGGCTCACGCCTGTAATCCCAGCACTTTGGGAGGCCGAGGCGGGCGGATCACGAGGTCAGGAGATCGAGACCATCCTGGCTAACATGGTGAAACCCCGTCTCTACTAAAAATACAAAAAATTAGCCGGGCGTGGTGACGGGCGCCCGTAGTCCCAGCTACTCGGGAGGCTGAGGCAGGAGAATGGCGTGAACCCTGGAGGCAGAGCTTGGAGTGAGCCGAGATAGCGCTACTGCACTCCAGCCTGGGCGACAGAGCGAGACTCCGTCTCAAAAAAAAAGAAAAAAAAAAAAAAGAAGTTTATGATACATACACATATAAAGGTGGTTTAAAATAATCAGGAAGGACATTGTTTTTATTGAATTATTTCCCTAAAATTCCTACAATTCCACTATCGTAGACTGAAATGTTGCTGTGTACTAATGTGTCTCAAATTTAAAACAATACTTCAAATTCATTTCCTGAACAATAGACCTCAGTTAACAACTGCTTGCTGCATATCCATAAATGGATTTCCCATTGATACCTCAAATTGAGCATGTTTAGAATCAAAATTGTCTTCCTGAAATCTGCTTTGCTCCTGTGATCTTCTTTCACATAACAGTTTTACCGTTTTCCCAACACAGTGGTTTGTAAACTTGACTGCATTGACTTTGCTGTTCCCACATCCATCATTTACTAAACTACCTGTGTGGCATCTCCTACTTTCACTTTCTGATTTCCATGTATACTGCCAGTGCCTTAACTCATCCCCTCCATTTATTATCAGTGCTCAAACTGACCATGCAATGGATTTCTTTGTCCTGTATTGTCTTATAATTTAGCATTTCACATTGTTAAGTTATTCTTGTCATCTACATGTAGCATCATATCATTTTTAACTTTCTTCAATCTTGTTGAATATCATTATGTAAGGAAAATAACTCCTTAGGGTAACTTTCAAGATGTTTAGGCATTTGGTTTCCTTCTGATTTTGAAGGTAAATAATTTTCTGAAACATTGGACAGCTGGGGAGTGGAGAAAGGAAACAAATGATACTAGGCACGGAATTTGTTTTTTTCCCTAGATTATAATATGGTCTTGTCAATATTAAGATGAGTATGAGGTAAGAAAGCCCAGCTGCTTGTAATTTTTTCTATTGAAAGTATAATTGAATGCATTTCTCCTGAAAACTGATGAGAATCCTAATTATCAAAGTACTTGAATACAGCATAAAAGTAAGCTTCTTTAATCCAAAAAAATCCTAGTTTTCTTTAACAGTCACTAGCAGCTGAGTGTCATTCCCCACCACGCCCCAGAGATAAGACTGATGTTATAAAAGAGAAATAGAACTATTGTTAAGGTATTCTGTATTCTTTAATTAAGGTAATGAGAGTTATAATAATAATACACTTAATCTAAATTAATTGTTTGGCTCATTCTTGTCCCATTTAATCCATAGTCCATTCTGAGAGGTTGCACCTGCGCTGCTTGATCTCAGTATCTATCCTCTGTACCCTACCCTTCAGTCTGTGTCATTTGCCCATGTTTGTTTATGTTGTTGCCTCCACGTTCAATGTCCTTCTCTCCTTATTTCACTCAAATTTCAAGGTCCTTTAAAATACTCCTTCCATTATAGAGGCTGCTTTCTGCAGCACTTTGATTTTGTCTTAATTCCTGCACTTACTTTAGTTTTTCCTTGTGCAGAAGTTAACTGATTATGTGTCTGGGGCTAACCACATCTTCATTTCTCTATCCTCACAGCAGCTGTCATAGCGTTGTCTTACTCCAGGCAGTTGATTGTGTTTGCAATAATGGGACTTAATGGACCAGCATACACAGGAGCATCTTTCATTGTAACAGTGTACTTCTAGAGAGGTATATCTTCTAAAGAGACCGTGAATATTTCAATTCAGGGGATTTGTGATTCTAATAGGGGAAATAGGACTTTTTAAAAACAATTTGAAAGTGTACAAGTCAGTGGATTTTAGTATATTCACAATGTTGTTCAATCACCACCACTAATTCCAGAACCTTTTCAACTTTGCTCAAAGAAAATCCTAAACCTCCCAATCAATCCCTCACCCTATTTCTTGGTAATGACTAATTTACTTTCCATGTCCATGGATATGTCTATTCTGGATATTTCACATAAATGGAATCATATAATATGTGGTCTTTTGTGTCTAGTTTGTTTACTGCACATAATCTTTTGAAAGTTTATCCATATCATATAGCATGTATCAGTATTTCCTTTATTTCTTTTTATTGATGAACAATATCCAGCTGTACAGATCACCCACATATTGTTAATCCATTTAACATTCTGCTGCCATATTTAAAAAATGATTGACTAATCTAAATTCATGAAGATCTACTTTTTTTCTAAGTGTTTTATAGATTTAACTCTTCTGTTTCAGTCTTTAATTCATTGTGAGTTATTTTTTACGTATGGTGTAAGATAGGGATCCAGATTCATTATTCTGTATGTGGATATCCAGTTTTCCCAGTACTATTTGTTATAGAAATTATTCTTTCCTCATTGAATAGGTATGTTCCTTTGTCTAAATCAACTTGAACACAGATACATGGGTTTATTTCTGATATCTCAATTTAATTACATTGATCTATATATCTGTGCTTATGTCAATATTTCACTTTATGACTACCGTGGCCTTGTATTAATTTTGAAATCAAGAAATATGGGTCCCTCAATTTTGCTCCACTATTTCAAGATCATTTTAGCTAATTTGGATCCTTTGTATTTCTGTATGAATTTTAGAGGTTTGTCCTTTGTCCCTTTCTTCAAAACAAAAAAAGACAAGATGATATTTTGATAGAAATTGCATTAAACCTGTAGATCAATCTGTCATCTTACTAATATTAAGCTTTCTAACCCATGAACATGAAATGTCTTTCCATTTATTTGGGCTTTTCACTACTTTCCAAAAATGTTATATAGTTTTCAGTCTATAAGTCTTGCACTTCTTTGACTAAATTACTCCTAAATATTTTATCATTTGGTATTTTATTATGAAAATAATTATTTTCTTAATTTCACTTTTGGGTTGTGCACTCCTTGTATATGAAAATACAACTGATTTTCTATATTGACCTTGTATTCTGCATTTTGATAATTTGTTCATTAACTATAAATTTATTTTTGTGAATAAAATTTTTTTCCTATAAGATCATGTAATCTATCAATTTTCAGTCTGAATACCTTTATTTATTTTTTATCTAATTATCCTGGCTAGAATTCCAGTACAATATTGAATAGAAGTGGTGATCCTGGACATCATTGTTATTTCTCATCTCAGGGGAAACACTTAGTGTTTCACCATTAAGTCTGATGTTAGCTGTGGAATTTTCACATATGCCCTCATCACTTTGAGAAAGTTCCTTTGTATTCCTAGCTTGTTTAGTGTTTTTATCATTTTGCTATTTTTTTCGGTGTCCATTGAGATGATTGTGTTTGTTTTTTCCTGTAAATCATTAATAAAGTTTATTACATCGGTTGATTGTTGTATGTTGAACCACTGTCGCATTCCTGGGATAAATCCTACTTGATCAGTGTGCATAAGGCTTTTACTTTTCTGCTGAATACAGTTTGTCAGTATTTTCTTAGAAGTGTTTGCTCACCCTTCTATTTTTGGAAGAGAAAAATTGGTGTTAATTCATCTTTAAATTTTTGGTAAATTATTCAGCAAAGTCATCTAGACCTATATGTTTCTTTCTGGAAAGCTTTTCGATCACAAAATCAATGACTATTTATTATAGGTCTTTTCAGGTTTTCTACTTCTGTTTGAGTCAGTGTCAATAGTCTGTGTGTTTCAGATATTCATCTATTTTATCTAAGTTATCAAATTTGCCAGCATTTAATATTTATAGTACTCTTTAACTATTCTTTAATTTCATTATAGTTGATGGTAATGTCTCCACTTTCATTCCTGACTAGTAATTTTACTCATTTCTTTTCTCTTGAGAGGTTTAGCTAAAGGATTGCCTTTTAAAAATCTTTTCAAAGACCAACTTTTGGTTTTGTTGATTTTCTGTATCGTTTTTCTATTCTTCATCCTATTTGTCTCTGCTGTAGTCTTTATTATTTTCATCTTTCTTCTTGCTATGCCTGCCCTTCTTTGCTTGGTTTCTAAAGGTGTAAAGTTAAGTTATTAATTTAAAATGTCCTTTTTAATATAGTTGATTATTAGGAATTTCTTTCTAGGTACTGCTTTTGCTGCACCTCTTAAGTTTTGTTATGTTCTATTTTTTCTTTTATTCCTCTCAAAGTATGTTTTAATTTCCATTGTGATGTCTTCTTTAACTTACTGGTTTAGGAGTGTGTTGTTAATTTGCACATAGTTGTAAATTTCCCAAATGTCCTTTAGATTGTGTATTGGCTTCTAATTTTATTTCATGGCTGTCAGGTAAATAAATAATAAATAAAATAAAATAAATAAGGAATCTTTTCTAATTTATTGAAATATGTGGCCTAATATATGATCTGTTTTGGACAAGATTTTATGTACACTTGAGAAGATTGTGGATTCTGCTGCTGTCATGGAAACTGTTTTATAAATGTTTGTTGGGTTTAGTTGCTTTATAGTGTTGTTTGAATCATCTGTTTCTTTTCTGATATTCTGTCTAGTTGTTCTATCTGTTATTGAAAGTTGAGTATTGAAGTCCCCAAATATTATTGTTGACTATCTATTTCTCCCTTCAACTCTGTCTTTTGTCTTTGTGGGCTTCATATATATTGAGACTGTGCTTTTTGGGAAATGTATATTTATGCTTGTATATTCTTGATAAATTGACCCTTTTTCATTATATAATGTCCTTTGTAACATTTCGTGTTCTATTAATAAAGTCTATATTGTCTAATATCAGTATAAAAACTCTCTCTCTCTTTTGGTTACTGTTTACACAGAATATATTTTTCTATCCTTTGATTTTTTAATTAAATTTTAAATTATCTATTTCTGAAAAAATGTTAGAACGTTATTTTGAATTAGACCACATTTGTTTTTGACACATTCTTAACCTTTTTTTGGGATATGATATTGAAATTTTTCTTTTATCCCTTCAAATTGGTCCAGTGTTCTGGTCCAATTTTTCCCATTTTAAACCGTGCAGAGTTTGTCCTTCTGAAAATAGTGTTGGGTTATAAACCATGCTGGAAATAGAGGTATGAAAGTCTAGAATGACTTGCTTGTATATTAGACAGGGACTTTTATGTATTTTATGTCCACAGCCAATGAGACAAGGCTGAGACATATTTTTTCTTTGCTAGAGTAATTAAGTTTGAATAATAATTTCTGTTCAAAATGTAATTTTATTTGAATTTTAAAAATTTATGGCAAATTAATGCATAAATACAAATTGGTGTCAGAGTGAAGACGTCAGTAAGCATATGCATCAACTTCAACAAACACTGCTATGAACATTTTCCAAATCTATGTTAAGATAATGATCATGGTGGTAGTAGTAATAGTAGTTATACTAGTAATAGAAGTAATAGTAGCAGGAGCAGTAGTGTCAGTGATGATGGTTGTAATAAATAATAATAGTAGCCATTTAGCACAGTTCTAAACACCTCACTTATAATCACTCATTTAATCCTCACAACAGCCCCATGAGGTTGGTACTATAATTACTCTCATTATATTGATGAGAAAACCAAAGCTTAAGAAATTTAAACAACTAGCCACTACATTCATATCTAGTACGTGGAATATTATAGATTTAAAACAAGAAATTCAGTAGTTTAGGAGGGAAAGAGCATGTATAACTCAGGATCGGGTAAATAAGAAGACTCGTGAGATTCTATAGGGTAACCACATGCAAGGTTTTAGTAAAACTAAAGGATAGGAAAGCAAAATATTTTCTTTTTTTATTATTATACTTTAAGTTTTAGGGTACATGTGCACAACGTGCAGGTTTGTTACATATGTATACATGTGCCATGTTGGTGTGCTGAACCCAGTAACTCGTCATTTAACATTAGTTATATTTCCAAATGCTATCCCTCCCCCCTCGCCCCACCCCACAACAGGCCCCAGAGTGTGATGTTCCCCTTCCTGTGTCCATGTGTTCTCATTGTTCAATTCCCACCTATGAGTGAGAACATGTGGTGTTTGGTTTTTTGTCCTTGCGATAGTTTACTGAGAATGATGGTTTCCAGCTTCATCCATGTCCCTACAAAGGACATGAACTCATCAGTTTTTATGACTGCATAGTATTCCATGGTGTATATGTGCCACATTTTCTTAATGCAGCCTATCATTGTTGGACATTTGCTTTGGTTCCAAGTCTTTGCTATTGTGAATAGTGCCGCAATAAACATACATGTGCATGTGTCTTTATAGCAGCATGATTTATAATCCTTTGGGTATATATGCAGTAATGGGATTGCTGGGTCAAATGATATTTCTAGTTCTAGATCCCTGAGGAATTGCCACACTGACTTCCACAATGGTTGAACTAGTTTACAGTCCCACCAACAGTGTAAAAATGTTCCTGTTTCTCCACATCCTCTCCAGCACCTGTTGTTTCCTGACTTTTTAATGATCGCCATTCTAACTGGTATGAGGTGGAGTATAAAAGACTCTGCAGCAATTATGCTTTGCCTCTCGTGAAGCTGAGCCAGTGATGTAACCAGTTGTTACATCACCATTTGTTGAGAAAGCAAAGTATTTTCAACAAAAGTATTTTTTCCCCATATGATTAACCAGTTGTTACATCACCTTTTGTTGAGAAAGCAAAGTATTTTCAACAAAAGATGATATAACAACTGGTTAATCATATGGGGAAAAAGATAACTGTGGTTACCATTTCCTACCATCCAATAAAGCGCAACAGGGGAAAGCACAGACAACCATAGACCTGAAAATTTAGAGCTGTAGTCCTCCAGGTTCTTTTCTTCTTTGGATTTTGAACTACCAAGATATGCATGAGATAGCTCAGCTTCACGAGAGGCAAAGCATAATTGCTGCAGAGTCTTTTATACTCCATTGTCAAGTAGCTAAAGCCAGGTGATGTAACTAATTAAACCAACACAACACCTCCAGTGTATACATTTATAAACTACATAGACAAGGGAGTAGTAGGTGTCTCCAGATGTGCTTCAAACTTTTAATAACATATCATAATCATTTGCTAGTATATCGCATCCTTATAGTGACCAAAAGTCAGTACCAGACTTTTAGGCAACACACATGTAAGCGTAGAGCTGCCCAGTTCAGCAATAAAATAATACCATCCTTAAAAAGGCAGGATAACCAGTCTGTCTTTTGATGATCAAGTATTTTAAACTTTAAAAGTTCAATGTTTAAATTTTTTCTTTTTATTGTTATTGCTTTTTTTACTTTCTAAGAAAACTAGTGCTACTCCAATGTTGTGAAAACATTCTCTGATATATTCTTTAAATTATTCTAGAGACTTATAATATATCATTGATGATTAAATCTATCCATATAGAATTTAATTTTGAGGACAGTTAGAAATAGAGACCAATGGTCACTTTTTAAAATATGGTTAATCTGTTATGGCACCATTCACTTTTCCATTTAATTAACTGTGCTTCTTTGATTAAAATCAGTTGATAGTGGAAGTGTGGGTCTGTTTCTGAACTTTCTAACTTATTATTTATTTTTATTTACACCAGTACCACACTATCTTGACCCAATAGAGTAGGTTCTGAAATGAGCTGGTACAAGTTCTTCAACTTCAAGATTTTTTTGGCTATTCTAGGCCCTTTGAATTTTCATAAAACTTTTAGAGTGAAGTTTTCAATTGTACCTGGCCAAAAATGGGCTGTTGGGATTGCAAAAAAATCATTTTAGACGAATGAACGTCTTAACAATATTGAGTCTACCCATCTATGAACCAGTTGGCTTACCATTTATGTAGGTTTTTGCTTTTGTTTTTAATATTTCTTTCACCAATATTTTGTGATTTTCAGGGTAGAGACTTTGCATGTGAGTCTTTAAGTTTCTTCATAGGGTACTTTGCATATCTGTCATTAAGTTTCTTCATAATAGTTTTATTTTTGATGGTATTACAAATGGCATATTTATACTTTCATTCTCCAATTATTTATAGCTAGTTTATAAAGAAACAATTGTTCATAAAAGCAGAGAATAGAACGGTTGGGTGGTTACCAAAGGCTGGAGGAAGAGGGACATGGGAATGTTGTGCAATTAGTATAAAGTTTCACCTACAGAAGATGAACTAGTTCTACATATATGATATACAGCATAGTGCCTATTGTGCACTTAAAATTTTTAAGTGCACGGTAGATCTTATGTTAGGTGTTCTTACCACAAAATCAAACACAACAAAACCTGATGGATAAAAGAAAACTTCGGATGTAATTGATATGTCTATCACCTTGATTGTGGTGATGGTTTCATGGGTATATCACAGGTCCAAACTCATCCAATTGTATGCATTAAATATGTGGAGGACATTTACCCCAATACAGTTGTTTAGAAATACACAATTGACTTTTGCATATTGGCTTTATGTTCTGCAAACTTGTTAAATCACTTATAATTTATAGTAGTTTATTAGTAGAATCATTAGGATTTTTTATCTATGCGATGTTATTGTCGGTGAACAAAGACATTTTATTTCTTTCATTTCCATCTGTGTGAGATGGAAAAGTTTGGTTAAACAAACTGAAGATATATATGTATACCTCATACAGATGGAAAAGTATATAAAGTGTATATAAAATGGGTATTGAGCTGACATTTTCTTCTCTTTTGAAATGCAAATATTGTGGCGGGAATAAGATCCTAAGAAGTTGAAAGGCAGTTACTTTTCCTAAACATGATAGGAGTATAAAATGTTCATTGCACAAGGGTCCTGGAAGAGGGCTCAGTGGAGCTGAAATGTGGCACATGGTTACTGGGTTATGTATGCTAGAAAGTGTTTAGAGTGGGGCTGGATTACCCTGGTTAAAATGGGAATGTTTTGCATTCATTGGATTTATTTTATAAGCAGTTACCTTCTACCTGGAAGAAAGAGTTAATGGGAATAGGGAAACTAAGAAGAAAGCACTGGACAAGAGAATGGGGAAAAGGTGCATTCAGATACAGAGAAAAGTATGATGGAAAACAAATTTTCGGTTTTCTTTATAATCTCAGTGTTATGACTTTTATCCATTTTTCTTTATTTGCATAACTTCAACTATTAGTACAGTATAAAAGATAAAGGACCACAGTTCCTTCACCCTTCAAATGTATGTTGAACATATATAAATACTAGATAATGAGACATAAAAATGATAATATTCAGTTTCTGTAATTTTATCACTTTTGGTGAAACTCTCGTCCTCATGCTCAGCCATGATATTAGGGTGGGGACCTGACTTTAACTACAGCCATTTTCTGTTCCTGACAGTGAATTTATTTGAATAGACTCAAAATCCACATTCCAACACAGCAAATAGTTCAGATATAAGCATGTGGTTTAGTTGGGGTAAATAAACAAGATATTTTCTGGATATTGGTTTATAAAACCTTTATTTTTTGTAGATGCTATTGGAGATATTACCCTTGTGGATGGTAGGTTACAGTGCTAATATGAGTGGGTATAGCTTGATTTGAATACCCTATAGGAAGGTAAAAAAAAATGACAAAGAAACAGAACTGAAGCCCTAAGAATACTCTGAAAGTATTTGTTTACGTTTAGTATAGTTAAAATTAAGAGGTACTGTATATGGGTATGTGTCTGTCTATGTGGTGATATGGTAGAAAATAGGGTTAGGACACTAGGAAGCAATATTTGAGCTAAACAATGAAATAGTTTTGAATGTACTCAAAGTTTTGGTCTTTATCCTTTAAGCATGTGGAGCCATCTATGATTTTTATAGGAGGAACAAATATTTTTTATGACAAATGTCAAATTATACACCTCTGCAGCTGGAGATAAAGGAGACCTAAATTTTGAATTGCTAACGTCCAGAAAATTTTAATATGCAATATCGTCTCTGTATAATCACAGTGAAAGGTGTAATTAATTGAACATTGTCAAAGTTAATTGCAATCTGAATGGTCCAGGATGCCATACTTTCTGTCAAACTTAATTTGAATCTTTTTAAAAGGTAAGTCACTTTTTAATTGGTTTGAAGTCTTCCCCACAGCATGCCTTTCCATCTGAAATCATTTTATTGGGAACTGAAATAAAGTGATGTGCTTGACACAGCTAAATGAAGCACATCACCATTGTACCTAACAGCTAGGAAGTTTAAACTGACAAGAGCCTTGTAAAAGAATCATTGAAAAAGTGGACTTTGAAGTAAGGGTACAACCAACAGACACCTGTTTGGCCTTGGCAAAATAGGGGGAGTTTTCCTTTTCTATACATCTTTTGTTCTCGTGTGTCTACTTAAGGAAATAGAGTTTTCTCTCTTATTTGTAGTTCATAAGAGAGCTTTGGGTATCTAAACTACTAAAAGCAGATGCAGTGAACTGAAAACATATATAGAACTATATAATCCATTATTTCAGCTTTACGTTCTGTAATTTTGATGAATCTGATTCTCTCTTTGCCTCAATGAGAATAAAGAATTACAAAATAGATATAAGGTTATATACCACATTATTTTAATTTTCTTTTCTGTATTTACAGATGAAGTTGATTTTCCTCCCACCCCAATAAAAATAAAACCTGTTTTTTCCCACTCATCCACATAACTGTAATTGACTGCATCACCTGCTGGTCATATTGGAAGAGTCACGTATTTCATTTTTTAATCACTTGACAGATTGTTGCTTGTATATGCAAATATGTTAAAATTCACTTATATCCATCACTTCCACATTCTCAGTCCATATAATCACTATTTCTTAATAAATACGTGAATCAGTATTTTTGTTCACTGAATCTTTTGACCTAGCTGCTTCCTGGGCCATGGCGAAATTGTATTTTCTTACCCTGTCTGAAGTTAGACATGATTCTGTGTGACTTCCTTTGGTCAATAAAATGTGAGTGGATATGATGTATGTTATTTTCAGGTGAACGCTTTCTTTTAGGAAGAAAAAAAATTTCCTTAATTTGTTAAATTATTTACTAATATTCTCCAGCAAAAAAACTGTTCACTACTGAAATCTTTCTCATTCAGTCAGGGACAATCAAAGATACCCACTGTTGCCGCATCTACTTCATATTTTACTGGACGTGTCAGCAAACAATAATAACATAAACAAAGAAAAAAGATGTCATGATTAGTTAAGGAAATCACAGGGCTGTCAAAACTGTTATCACATGTGATTAAATTATTTTTATAGAAGACAATATCAGATATAGAACATTATTATAATGAACATGTTCGACAAGGTGGTTGGATACAAGATCAACATACAAAATAAATTATATTTATGCCTATTAGTAACAGTGACCATCCTTGCACTCTCAGACAAATCTTGGACTGGCTACCCATTATCTGTTGACAAAAACTGACCTATCTTGCTATTCTATGCTAGGCTAGCCATTGTTCCCTGACTTGCACATCATGACCTATATAGAAAGACAATCATATTTGTTTAGAAACTAAAAGGCTGCTTTTGGCCAGTGGGAAGCAGCCACAAATAAACCATTTGCGGCATATGCTCTTTCATATTGATAAACTACCTTGAAGCTTACAAAGTGCTTTCATAGACTATTTGTAGATGTCTATCCTAGCAAATAGAAATATGCAATCATCCGCAATGAATCTATTTTTAAATAGACCTGGTTAAAATAATGATTCTGCATATGTATAACCATCATTTGATACACTCTCCTGGCAACACAACCTACTTAGAACTGATGTAAAATCTTATAGCTTATTCCTGTTGTAATACTGATGGAAAAGCTTATAGCTTATTCCTATTATAATACTGACTTGGCTCATAAAACCATTCATACCCATGCCCATCTGCCCCAAATATCTTTCTTTTTGCCATATATACGAGAAACAATGTTGAGACCAGGTGGTTCAATATGAATCAGGCTTGAAATAGTCTTTTAATATTAAGACCTATAAGATGAGCTTTCTACAACCTTTGGTCAACATTAAGCATTTTCAGGGTAGAGTGAAAAACAACATCAACTATTGCTTATTATTTTGAAAGCTTTGCTATAGTACTTGTTTTAAAAAATGTGGCTGAATAATTTCTCTTTCAGACTTGTTTTTTTCTAGAAGTTTATAAATCCACACATCTTCATCTAAAAATGCATATGATTTGTATTTTAATTTCATTTTAGCCACAATTTTGGGCAGAAGTAGGGAGATAAAATATTAATGTTAAAACAGTATTTACACTCAGGATTCAAACTCAGAAGATTTGTAAATTCGTTTCCTGCATTTCCCCCTTCTCTGCCCCATTTCTTACCATTCAAAGGATTTTAACCCATGTCAGAGCTTTTTGTCATCTATTAGGAACTCAGTGACTCTGGTTTGCTTGCTTCATTTACCTGCTTATTTTGGTGTCCATTTATCATTATTTTTAACAGCTGTCAGCATTAAATGTGATTTGCTACATCAGCCAACTCACACAGCAAATGCAAATCCTTTTGAATTTCACTTGCAATTTCTGGACTTTGCCAGTCCTTTCAGTTTTGCTTTTTCAGCACTACTTGATTTTTTGCCATTAGGGACAGCGATTTTTATTGTTTTAAAGGCAACAGAGACTAAAACAGGCATGTTCAATTAGACATGGTTCTTCAGAGATATACAAACTAGAGCACTTATATTTCAACAACTACAGTCTACATAACTAATAGGACTTTGCTGTCCTGTGACAGATAATATACAATAATTGGAATTTTTGATCCTATTTGGGGAGGGCAACACCAGAAGACAGTTATGTTTGCATACCCTTTAGGTTTCTCCAATGCTGCTCCATGATAGCATTTAATTTTGATTTAAGCTTTTAGTTTACTATTGTTTGCTTTTATTTCTGAAAATGATAATTAAGACCACATTTCTTTGTGAATATTCAAACATATTATTATTTAGAAATTCAGCTTTCTGTTTGCACAGTATTCAATTTTAGCACCATTTTTAAGATTTTTAATGAGATTTACAAGAGCTAACATTTTAAAAGCCCTTTGGGTACAAAATTCAAATTGTTTTATCTTTTTTTATCATAGATCATAATTATATGTGTTCATATAGGCAGATTTCCAAAGCTGGGTGAGATACAAAGCCACACGTATACGTATTTTTTTTTTTTTGCCTTCTGTATAAAGAATGGCAGACACATTTATTTAAAGTCAAAGCAGAATATCATGGCTAAATGCAGATGTGTTAAGCTAAGATTATAGTCTCTTAATTGAAACACCTAATAAAACTAATACCAATTAGAAAAAGAAGCAAAATAAATTCATTGCTAGTAATGGGATCATATGCCCTTAAGCCATAAACTTCAAAACCGTTAATCAGTGAAAAGCAGCAAATCAAGTGAAAATGATTCAATGTCAGGCCCTTTCTTCTTTGCCTACCTCTTTTGTCCCCTTCCTGCACATGCCCATTCAGAGCCTGAAGTTGTCACTAGGAAAGCACAATCCTTTTCCGGAGGGACCATCACAGGCTTGCTCATGTCGCTGGTCAAACGTGGCTGCATGAAATCTGGGAAAGGGGGAAGAGAGCAGCACTGTGGTTGGCTCAGACCAATCATGGTTCAATGTCTGGGCCCAGGTGCATGAGCTCCAGAACCAAACTGGTATTCTTTCAGCAAAGAGTGGGGGCAGCTGTATAATAGGGATGTGACTCTGTGTCTACCACATTTATTTTCTCCCAATGAGAAAAAAAAGACAGAGATAGGATCTTTCTCTCTTTCTTCTTCATACTAGGGGAAATAGGAATGGCTGCTGAGGAGAGATGGGTAAAATGGGAGAAATAAACAACTAAGATTCTATTACAGAAACCTAGGATTTATGGTTCCTTGTGGAATTGGAATAATCTCAATATGTATCTCTGTGGTGAGCTGAAAAATGTACCCTCTCCTCCCAAAAAGGCAAAAAAATTCACATCGTAATCCCTAAAACTTTACCTGTCAAAAAAGGATCTTCACACACATGATGAAGAATTTTGAGATGGGGAGATTATTCTGTTTTATGCAGATCAGCCCTAAATACAATCACCTGTATCCTTGTAAAAGGCAGAGGAAGATTACACACACACACACACACACACACACACACACACAAACACGAGACAGATTGAGAGAGACAGAGACAGTGTATCTGGGCAGAATGTGAATACTCAGGCCACAAGCCAATGAATACCCAAAGCCACCAGAAGTTAGAAGAGGTAAGAAACAAAATCTCCCCTAGGACCTCCAAAGGATATACGGGCCTGTTGATACCTGTATATCAGCCGAGTAATACTCATTTCAGACTTCTGCCCTTCAGAACTATGAGAGAGTAAATTTCTGTTGTGTTACACCACTAGGTTTGTGATAATTTGTTGTAGCAGTCACATGAAGCCAACACAGTCCCTTCTGGGAATATGGCATAATCCTCATTTCACAACTCCTCCCTGCCTTTGGCTGGGGTAGAAAAAAAGTCTCTTCTTCAACTGAAAAATCCTCTTTCCATCTTATTTCATTTGAAAAATAGGAAAAAGTAGATAGTTTGTGAAGTCATTACCTCAAAGCCCAATCATTCTGGAACCATGTTTTCTATCCATCCATTGAAATTATCTTTAACAAACAAGCTAATGACTGCCTAATAACAAATCTTAAAGAGCATTTGATTTTTAAATGTTTACCTTTACTTTGCTGAATTTGAGAAGATTTATCCTTTCTTCCATCTTAAAACTCTGTCTTTACCACAGTGATTACACAGACAATGCTTTCAAATTTTTCTGTCTGTAGCAAATTTATTTCTCAGGAAGGTTTCCTCCAACACCTGATCTTTAATGTTATTTATTCTAAGTTTTCATACTTGGTCCTTTTCAGTTACTCTAGAATTCACTCTGGACTTTTTCCTCCACACTCTCATGAAAGCAATGTGAAATGAGTTAGCACAGACACATGTAAAACAAGTAATGTATTGTATCATTAAAGAAGCATAAAGTAATTATCTTTTATTCCATTATTTCCCATTTTTCATTGTGAGAATTTTGCTTTCATTTTACTGAGAACATGCTGCTAGTTTATGAGATCAAGTTTATAGTAAGAAAAAGGAAGAAAACTTCTAAAAAGACAAATACTGTCTTAATTAAGCAAATACACACTAGGCTAATAGGATGCTCAATTCATGTGAACAAAGCTTTGCTAACATTTATGTAACATGGCACTTTAGAGTCATTAATGAAATGTTCATAATACCAGAATGTATACTCTATGCCTGTATATTTACCCTTATTTCACAAAAGAAAACATTGATATTAGGTGAAATTGACAAGTTTAAAATTCATGACATGGTTTAGTGATCTGTATCTTTCCATGACATATGAAAGATGTACTTGGAGTGAAACAGTTTTGTATTTGTCCATTATCAAGCTGCTATGAAGAAATACCTACGACTGGGTAACTTATAAAGGAAAGAGGTTTAATTGACTCACAGTTCTGCATGGCTGGGAAGACCTCAGGAAACTTACAATCATGGTGGAAAGAGAAGCCAACATGTCCTTCTTCACATGTAGGCAGCAAGGAGAAGTGCTGAGCAAAGGGGGAAAGGTCCCCTATAAAACCATCAGATCTTGTGAGAACTCACTATCATGACAACAGCATGGGAGTAACCTCCCCCATGACTCAATTATCTCCCACCGGGTCCCACCCACAACACATGGGGATTATGGGAACTACAATTTAAAATGAAATTCGGGTGGGAACGTAGCCAAATCATATCAACTTTCCCTCAAGTATTATTATAAAGAAGTCTTTATGTCCAAGGTTGTAGGATTGAGATTGGCTTGGCACAAATGTAGTGGAGTTTCTTATGCAAGCGGAGTTTCAAGAATGTAGGGAAACTCCTTTATTTCCTACCCTAGCCCCAGATCCCTTTACTAAACCTAAGACTTCTCTCATAGAGCTTCCTTGTTCTACCTAAAGTCTTTAGTCATTTTTAAAATTCCATACCTATTTTATAAAGTAATATGTTGACTGTTATCAGTACATCAAAGAGCATTTAAACTTTCCAAAATATTGTTTCTGAATGTAAAAAATGTATAAATTAATAGGTCTTATATGCATTGAAACCATTTGTGGAAGGACAGAGTAAGGGAGGAAATGTGAAGATAATGGTTGGTTGGAATCTTCAACTCTTCTAAAATTTTATCTAGGGGATGAATTATAACTATGGACAATCCTGTCCTGAGCCGATAAACATCTTTAAGTAGCATATCAGCTATAACTGAATTTCATTCAGTAGACAAACTATGTAACATGAATCTCGAACTATGTACCAAACAAAATAAAAAGTTAGCTTTATATTGTGAAAGTTATCAGCATCAAAATGGAGTTACTTGTGTTACAAACCCTGACAAACAGAGCCAGGGAAGGCCATGAAGAGAGGGTCTTCATGCACAAATGCTTGAAAACCAAAACGTCACAGAAGACTCTGCAAAAATCATTACCTTGTATAAAGGTCATCACAACCTTACATAAAAAATACTTCTGTGTAATCACATCTGCCCAGAACTCCCTGCCCAACCTCAAACTGGTACCACCCTTGTTATTGATCCTTGCAGCCAAGGATAATTATCTCAAAACAATTGTGTAATCCTCCTAATTATTCCTTTAAATCTTTGTCTCCCTTTACTTCTCTGAATAGACACATAATTTATTATGGCACATGTATTCCCACTGCAAGGACTATTACTGAATAAATATTTTCTCTTAGAGAGTCTTCCTCTCGTTATTTAAGTTGACAATAGTTTCTATTCTTTTTTTTTCTCAATTGCCTTCAGCTCAAACTATTCTTTTCTGTAAGAAAGAAATATGTATTTTGGAGACTTGCCCTGCTTCTTCAACACATATTCTTGCAGCACACATATCTGTAGGAAGTTTAGGCTTTTAATAAATTCTATGTACTTAGAAATTATGAAATGAGTAAGATTTCTAGAGAAATGCTCGAGAAAGTGGTTTTAATATCTAATTAGATACTCAAAAAGATGCCTGAATAACCAATCATATTTATTCAAGTATATGTAGGTACTGTATGTGTTTTTTGGGGTGGGGGGGTGGGAGGGGGTACAGAGTTTCACTCTTGTTGCCCAGGCTGGAGTGCAATGGAGTGATCTCAGCTCACTGCAACCTCCTCCTTCCGTGTTCAAGTGATTCTCCTGCCTCAGCCTCCCGAGTAGCTGGGATTACAGGCATGAGCCACCCTGCCTGGCTGATTTTGTGTTTTTAGTAGAGACGGGATATCTCCACATTGGTCAGGCTGGTCTTGAGCTCCCGACCTCAGGTGATCCACCCGCCTCAGCCTCCCAAAGTGCTGGGATTACAGGCGTGAGCCACCGTGCCCTACCCTGTATGTAGTTCTTAATAAAGCAAACATATTGTCTGCCTTAAATGAAATGTTGTTGGTTTAGTGGACTACTTGCTTTTAAATATATTTGATGTTTTTAGTCCTATATACTCCCAGTATATGTCAAAGAATACATAGATATGAAAGGAATTTTATACTTATGTATACATTTCTAGAATAATATTTAGACATAAAGATAGAAGAAAGTATTTGGAAGTTGATATTTCGAAATGAACAGGGAGTTTCCCTAAAATTTGGAGGATACATTAAACTGTCAATTACCTGTAAATTAGTGAAACAGTTTGGATCTTTTATATTACTATTTCTTGAAAATAAGTTCCTAAAACTCTGTTCAGAAAAACTATTACCTGACTGAAAGTCAGAAGACATCAAACATCAAACTGCTGAAAAGACTAGGAAAAGACTAGAAATTTAATGACGAGTTAATGGGTGCAGCACACCAACATGGCACATGTATACATATGTAACAAACTTGCACGTTGTGTACATGTACCCTAGAACTTAAAGTGTTATATATATATATATATATAAATTTGTTATATATATATATATATAAATTTGTTATATATATATATAAATTTGTTATATATATATATATAAATTGGTTATATATATATAAACATTGGTTATATATATAAATTGGTTATATATATATAAATTGGTTATATATATTAAAGTGTTATGTATATATAAATAAATAAATAAAAAATATATATATATATATGGGTTTATTTGCTGGTCCAACCCCACAATTGAACTGCAGAGGGCACAAATCAGCTTTCAAGGAGGGTGTAAGCAGATGTCAAGTAATTGAAGAATACAACCCATTAGTGGCTACTAAATATAGGAAAAAAATTATGCTCAGAATTAAAACTTTTGTGCAGTAAATGGGGAACATTACTAAATCTAGTGGGAGGGGAATCTACTGTGGGAGTGTTAGAGATTAGAGTAAAAATTAGTTTAAGGGGATTTGAGGACTGTGGTCATCTTAAAGCAATTGATTTGGAAGAATAAAGGCAGAAGAGACAGAAGAGTGATTCTTATTTAAGAGGCACAGTCCTGGTAGAATAATTTATTTCCTTCTGGGTATATAGTCAGTAGTGATATTGCTGGGTCTAATGGTAGTCTGTTCTAAACTATTTGAGAAATCTTCAGACTCTTTTCCACAGTGGCTGTGCTAATTTACATTTCCACCAATAATGTATAAGCGTTCTCCTTTCTCTGCAGCCTCACCAGCATCTGTTGTTTTTTGACTTTTTA
Source organism: Homo sapiens (assembly GCF_000001405.40). NCBI lineage: Eukaryota > Metazoa > Chordata > Mammalia > Primates > Hominidae > Homo > Homo sapiens. The sequence goes on along the minus strand of NC_000007.14, from coordinate 126,372,631 downwards.
ATAATAGCTATTCTGACTGGTGTGAGGAGGGTATCATCTTATTGTGGTTTTGATTTTACGTTTCTCTAATCATCAGTGATGGTCAGCATTTTTTGTATATTTGTTGGCTACTTGCATGTATTCTTTTGAGAAGTGTCTGTTAATGTCCTTTGCCCATTTTTAATGGGGTTTTTGGAGTTTTTTTGCTTGTTATTTGCTTGGTGAATTCTCTATTGATTCTGGATGTTAGACCTTTGTCAGATGTATAGTTTGTTCACATTTTTTTCCCATACTGTAGCTTATCTGCTCTGTTGGTAATTTCTTTTGTTGTGCAGAAGCTCTTCAGTCTAATTAGGTCCCACTTGTCAATCGTTGTTTTTATTGCAATTACTTTTGAGACCTAGCCAAAAATTATTTTCCAAGGCCAATATTGAGAAGATATTAGCCTTGAGGGTTTTTGTATCTGTTTATCACAGAGATTAGTCTGAAGTTTTCTATTTTTTTGTGTCTCTGCCAGATTTTGGTATCAGGCTGATGCCAGCTTCATAGAACGAGGTAGGAAGGAGCAATTCCTCCTCAATTTTTTAGAATAGTTTCAGTGGGATTAGTATCATTTCTTCTTTGTACATCTGGTAGAATTCAGCTGTGAATCCATCTGGTCCAGGACATTTTGGTTGGTAGGTTCTTTATTACTGATTCAATTTCAGAAGCTGAAATTTCAGGGTTTCAATCACTTATTGATTCAATTTTCAGAGATTGTGTGATTCCAGGAACTTATCCAATTCCTCTAGGTTGTCTTCCAGGATTTTAATAGTTTGAGGTCTTGCATTTAAATCTTTAATCTATTTTAGTCAATTTTTGTATATGATGAAAGGTAGCGATCCACCTTCAATCTTCTGCATATGACTAGCCAGTTATCCCAGCATTATTTATTGAATAGGGAGTCATTTCCCAATTGCTTGTTTTTGTTGGCCTTTTTGAATATCAGATAGTTGTAAGTGTGCAGCTTTAATTGTGAGCCCTTTCTTCTTTTTTTCTTTTCTCCTTCTTTCTTTCTTTCTTTCTCTTTCTTTCTTTCATTTTCTTTCTTTCTCTTTCTTCTTTCTTTCTTCCTTCCTTCTCTCCTTCCCTCCTTCCCTCCTTTCTTTTTCTTTTCTTTTCTTTTCTTTTCTTTCTTTCTTTCTTTCTTTCTTTCTTTCTTTCTTTCTCTTTCTTTCTTTCTTTCCTTCTTTCTTTCCTTCCTTCCTTCCTTCCTTCCTTCCTTCCTTCCTTCCTTCTTTCTTTCTTTCTTTCTTTCTTTCTTTCTTTCTTTCTTTCTTTCTTTCTTTCTTTCTTTCTTTCTTTCTCTCTCTCTTTCTCTCTTTCCCTTCCTCCCTTCCTTCCTCTCTTCCTATCTCTCTCTCTCTCTCTTTCTCTCTTTCTTTCTTTCTTTTTCTCACTCTGTTGCCCAGGCTGGAGTGCAATACCTCAATCACAGCTTACTGCAACCTCTGCCTCCCTGGTTCAAGCGATTTTCTCATTCCTCAGGCTCCCAACTAACTAGGACTACAGGCAGTGCCAGGCTAATTTTTGTGTTTTTGGTAAAGACTTGGTTTCACCACGTTGACCAAGCTGATCTCGAACTCCTGGCTTCAAGTGATCTGCCTGCCTTGGCCTCCCAAAGTGGTGAGATTACAGACATGAGCCATTGCAACTGGCCTATTTATGAGTTTTCTATTCTATTCCCTTGGCCTATGTGTCTGTGTCTCAATATCAAGCTGTTTTGATTACTGTGGCTTTATGGTATAGTTTGACGTCAAGTAATGTGATACCTCTGACTTTGTTCTTTTTGCTTAGGATTGCTGTGGCTATTTGGCTCTTTTTTGGTTCTATATGAATTTTCTAATAGTTCTTCAAATTCTGTGAAAAATGACATTGGTAGTTTGGTAAAAATAGCATTGAATCTGTAAATTGTTTTGGGCAGTATGGCCATTTTTATGTTATTGATTCATCTAATCCATGAGCATGAAATGTTTTTCTATTTATTTGTGTAACCTCAGACTTCTTTCAGCCATGTTTTGTAGTTCTTCTTGTAAAGATCTTTCACTTTGGTTAGCTGTATTCCTAGGTATCTCATTTTCTTTGTGGCTATTTTAAGCAAGATTGTGTTCTTGGTTTCACTTTCAGCCTGGACTTTGGTGGTGTACAGACATGCTACTGATTTTTGTACTTGATTTTGTATCCTGAAACTTTACTAAAGTTGTTGAACAATTGTAGCAGCCTTTTGGCAGAGTCTTTAGGATTTTCTAGATGTAGAATCATATTGTTAGCAAAGATAGTTTAACTTCTTTTTTTTCCTATTTAAATACCTTTTCTTTCTGATTACCCTGACTGGGACTTCCAGTACTATGTTGAATAGGCATAGTATGAGTGGGCAAGTTGTCTTGTTGCAGTTTTTAAGCAGAATGGTTTGAGCTCATTTAGTATAGTGTTGGCTGTGGGCTTGTCATATGGCTTTTATTATTTTGAAGTATGCTCCTGTGATGCCTACTCTGTTGGGGGTTTTTAATCATGAAGGGATGTGAAATTTTATTGAATGTTTTCCTAAATCTATTGAGATGATCGAATGGTTTTTGCTTCTAATTCTGTTTATATGGTGAATCGCATTTATTGATTTGTGTATGTTGAACCAGCCTTGCATTCTGGAAATAAAGCCTACTTGATTGTGATGCATTAAGTTTTGATGTGCTGCTAGATTCAATTTGCTAGTATTTTGTCGAGGGTTTTGCATCTATGTTCATTAAAGACATGCATCCGAAGTTTTATTATTTTGTTGTGTCTCTGCCAGATTTTGGTATCAGGCTGATGCTGGCTTCATAGAATGAGTTAGGAAGGAGCCTCTCCTCCTCAATTTTTTGGAATAGTTTCAGTAGGAGTGGTATCATTTCTTCTTTGTATATCTGGAGAATTCACCTGTGAATCCATCTGGTCCAGGACTTTTTTTGGTTGGTAGGTTACTTATTACTGATTCAATTTCAAAAGCTAATATTGGTCTATTCAGGGTTTCAATCTCTTCTTAATTCAATCCAGGGATGTGTCCTTTCAGGAATTTACTCAGTTCCTCTAGATTTTCTCATTTGTGTGCATAGAGTTGTTTATAGTAGTCTCTGAGGATCTTTTATATTTTTGTGGGGTCAGTTGTAATATTACCTTTGTCATTTCTGAGTGCGCTTATTTGAATCTTCTCTTTTTCTTTGTTAAGACACACACACTCATATACTCATCACTGCGCTATTCACAATAGCAAAGACATGGAATAAACCCAGGTGCCCATCAATAGTAGATTGGATTTAAAAAATGTGATACCTGTAGCATCATGAAATACTACACAGCCATAACAAAGAATGAAGTCATGTCCTTTGCAGCAACATGGATGGAGCTGGAGGCCTTAATCCTAAGCAAATTAATATAAGAACAGAAAACCAAATATCACATGTCTTCACTTATAAGTGGGAGCTAAACATTGAACACACGTGGACATAAATGTGGGAACAATAGACACTTGGACTGCTTGGGGGGCAGGTGGTAAAAAACTACCTATTATGTACTGTACTTACTAACTGGATGATGGGATCTGTACTCTAAAACTCAGCATCATGCAATTTCCCCATATAACAAATCTACACATGTACTCCCTGTATCTAAAATAAAATTTGGAATTTAAAAAGAGGCAGTCAGGTGCAGTGGCTCACGCCTGTAATTCCAGCACTTTGGGAGGCTGAGGCAGGTGGGTCACTTGAGGTCTGGAGTTCAAGACCAGCCTGGGCAACATGATGAAACCCCATCTCTACTAAAAATAAAAAATTTAGCTGGTCATGGTGGTGCGTGCCTGTAATCCCAGCTACTTGGGAGGCTGAGGCAGAAGAATCACTTGGGCCTGAGAGGCGGAGGCTGCAGTGAGCCCAGATTGCCGCATTGCACTCTAGCCTGGGCGACAGTGTGAGACTCAGTCTCAAAAAAAAAAAGGGGGGGCACAGCTCTCTAATAGACTATTTCAGAAATTCTTGGAAGAGGAGGTTGAAAAATAAAATAATCTACATGGGTTAATAATATTTAATAAAATGTAAAATGTAATGTGAGGAAAAGTTGAGTAAATTTGATGCTAAGAATATATTTGCCATGCTTAAAATTAAGGCACTAAATGAGATAGGTAAGATAGAGAGGGTGTATATATAAAATAAACACATTGAGCAATGCAATGTTGATGATATTGGTTTTTTGGCTACCTCTGAACAAATCTTTTGCTGATATGTGTTTCGTCAAAAGTGAGGTGCTTCTCCACTAAAAGAATCTATATCAAGTTGCTGATATTGCAGTGGATTTATTGTTATTAATGATCTGAACAGGAATATAGTTCATTTGAACTCCCGTTTGCTCCTGAGACAGACAATCTATTTAAAACAATATTATGATTGAGTGGACATAGTTGAGAGGACTGATTAGGAACTACTTCAACCTGGAAAATGAAGAATTCATTAGCTTAATTTTCTGGTAACAAGTCTTTTGAGCCCTTTTAACCAGCACTAAGTTGTCATGGTGAGGGCGAAAGTTAATAGTGGAATGGGTGAGGATTCTGACCCAACTCTCTCAAGCAGTTAACAAGGTTATTCTGCAATAGAATTGAATTCACAGCTTTATAGAGCTTGCAAGGACAGGGATAATTTTTAATACCAGAAACTTAAAACAGAAGCATGTCTTTAGGCTTTCTGAAAATTCTGACTTGTCTTGCAGTGCTCTTCGGTATTTGTGTGTGTGTGTGTGTGTGTGTGAGGATTGTGCTATGGCTCATTCAGTATCTCATCATAACAAAAACTGTAGCAAGTACTTCCTTTACTTTTAAACTCCAAGTGTATTTTGCACTTTACATACAAATGATACACATAGTCAAGATTGAGGGTTTTTTTTTCTTTCTTCTTCTGTCCCCCTTCTCTTCTTCATATAAAAATATAAAAGGCCAGGTGCGGTGGCTCACACCTATAATCCCAGCACTTTGGGAGGCTGAGGCAGGTGGATCATGAGGTCCACAGTTTGAGACCAGCCTGGCCAACATGTTGAAACCCCGTCTCTACTAAAAATACAGAAATTAGTCAGGCGTGGTGGCGGGCACCTGTAATCCCAGCTACTCGGGAGGCTGAGGCAAGATAATTGCTCAAACCCAGGAGACAGAAGTTGCAGTGAGCCGAGATCACGCCACTGCACTCCTGCCTGGGGGACAGAGCAAGGCTCCGTCTCAAAAAATTAATAAATAAATAATAAAAAATAAAAATATATCATGAGACAAGACCAACAGTTGAACTATGTTCTCTTTTAGATCAAATTTTCTTGCTTGTTTGACTGAAATCTACATGATCACATTTATTTATCTTAAAAATAATTTAATAATATGATAGGTTAAGATGTGTTTTTAGTGTGATTCACATATTCTGTATACGGTCCTACACTGTAAATGTGGTTTGTATAACTCACTGGAAGTGTTTCATAGGGAGTGATTTGTCTTACAAGATCACTAAAGTAAAAGAGATCAAGAGGGTTGAAGTAAAATCTCAAAGGATTTTCCCTAGAAGATGGACATTAGAGTTTACCTAAGGAAAATAAAAAGATACATTCCAATATAAACATTCTCACTGTCCCATTATTTGGGTTAAGCTGTAGGTCACTGCATAAGCTTTGTGTATATAAAACATGTATTTCTTTTATGGGTAGCCTATCATTGCATTTATGATCCTTGACCTATATCACCAGCACAATAGAAGAGCTTTATTGCAAATAAAAAATAGCATTTTGTATTGTAAAATCATTGAGGTTTTTAAGTTGGATAGAGGATGAGCATGTGCACATATGTTGATACATAAAGAAGTATAGACTCCTAGGTCTAAAAGAGATCTTTAGACCTTATTAATTTCAGTGACTTTAGTAGTGTTCACTTCAAGCTCCAAAAGACTATCAAAGAGACTCTCAACACTCTTCCCTGGCCTGGTGCCTTTGCAGGTTTTTATAATGGTTTTAACAGCTTTATCACATTCAGGTTCCTTTGTGAATCTCCATCAGCTGTTTCCATTTTTACCTGCACACACTTTTCCAATCAATCTAAATTGCTGGGCAGGGCTCATTAACGTCTTTTCCCAGCTCTCTCTCTGCTCATTTCTGCCACTTCTTATCTTCAGTAAAACCCTCCAGATCTTGAATGACTTTTTCCCTTCTATTTTTCACTAAGCAAGTCATAATGATATTTTACTCATTTTAAAATTTGAGACAGCAGGACAAGCACTAGCTAACAAAATGGGTTATAAATAAAATGGGATCTATTCAAGCCTAGAAGAACTTTCATTCACTGAAGGTCAAACTCAACACCATGGAATTCTACTGGACCAAAACCTGTGAGTTTTTTTCCTGTAACTTGTTGATTTTTAAAATGTAACCTCTATTACATTTTTACATAATTGCTTATGTATTATTATTTTAGAAGTGTTTCCTTGGTACTTCATTGACATAGATCCAAAAGTTATTTAACAGAATGTGTTTTAAAACTGATTCGACTATAAAAAATTGGATCATTACCAGTGACAGCAATTATTAACATTTCATCTCCAAGACTAAAAGGAGGCCATTAAACTTCACCTATGGTCTGTGATGTCGAAACATATATATATATATATATTTTTCAAAGTCACTCTGCAAAAACAGTAATAAAATAATAAAAGTTTTTTTACATTACTGATTATCATTGTGGTCTTAAAAACCTTATATTGCAAAAATGTACATAATTTTAGAGTATAAGGAAATGTAGAAAATAAAAATTACCTGTTTTATTACAATCCAAAAGGAAACATTGTTAAAATTTTGGTCTATGACTCGCTTCAGAAAGATAGATATAAATTAACCTAGGGAAATGTTTCTATGAACTTATTTAAACATACATTATTTATATTTTATAAATTTTTTAATAATATGATGTTACAGGTATATACCATTTTATTATTAACTTCTCTAACTTAAAATTCATGACTCCCTTCACATATTAACACACATACATTTGTAATTTTAATGACTTCCTAACATTTCATTGTATGATTATACTATGATTAATTTAATATCTCTTCTATTTGGAGAGATTTAGTTTGCTGCTATTTTAAATAAATTGTAATAAACATGTTCTTTTTTGTGATATGTATATCTCTATAACATAAAGCTACATGCAAAATTGCTTGATAAATAAGTACTCGTGTTTTAGATTTTTGCTTTGCATTCCCAAAAAATCTTCCAGAAAACTCTTCTAATGTATATTCTCAATAGATATGTATCAGTATTCATTCCTCACACATTTAATAATACTTATTTCCCTATTAGGATGGCTTAAAACCAAAATACATATATTGTCATTTTAACATGTAATCAATATAAAAATTGAGATATGTAACTCTCTCTTATACTAAATCTTTGATATGTTTGTACTTTATATTTCCCCATCTCAATTTAGGCACTGTATTTTAATTGAAAACCCTGAGTTCATATTCAGATTTTATTAAATTTACAATAGAAAAATGTATCATATACCCAAGTTGTTTAAAACATACTTAACAGTTTGCCAATAACTGAATCAAGTGCCAATTTTTAAATTAAAATTGAGATTACTTTATTTCAAATACAATTAACATTTCAATCACACTAGCCACATTCAAGCTCTATTTGGCCGAGGGCCACAGTATTGTACAGCACAGATCTAAAGTCCTTATTATAATGATCAACAAGACCCTATATCATCTGGCCTCCTATAAACTGTGGCCTCATTTCTTTCCATTCTCCTGATCATTTACTGCACTCCAGCACTCTCGATTTGGTACTGTCTCTGGAAGAAAGGATGTTTGTATTAGCTATTTTGTATGTTTGTTTTAGCTATTTTCTCTGCCTACAATGCCCTTTCCTCAAATATCCTCATGGGTTACAATTACAACTTCCTGTCTTTGCTTATATGTCCCTTTATCAGAGACAGCTTCCATCTCTACGACCCTTAGCCTGCTTTATTTTTCTCATAATACTAATTTCCTCCTTGTATTAGTCAGGGTTCTTGTAGAGGGACAGAACTATATATGTATATATATCCTATTAACTTACATGATCACAAGGTCCCACAATAGGCTGTCTGCAAGCTGAGGAGCCTGGATTGCCAGTTCGAGTACCAAAACTGATGAACTTGAAGTCCAATGTTCGAGGGCAGGAAGCATCTAGCACAGGAGAAAGATGTAGCCTGGGAGGCTAGGCCTGTCTCTCCTTTTAATGTTTTTCTGCCTGCTTTATATTCTCTGGAAGCTGATTAGATTGTGCCTACCAGATTAAGGGTGGATCTGCCTTCCCCAGCCCACTGACTCAAATGTTAATTTCTTTTGGCAACACCCACACAAACACACCCAGCATTAATACTTTGTAACCCTCAATCCAATCAAGTTGACACTGTGTATTAACCATCACACTCCTTTTATCATCTGTCTCCCTTCTCTAGAATATAAGCACTGTGAAGACAGGGACATATGCTTACTGCTGTATCTTCAGTGCCTGGCAAAGAGCAGATGCTCTAGTATTTGCTTAATAAGAAATGTCATTTGTAGCTTCTAATTATTAATAAGTCCCATATGTGTGTGGTGTGTGTGTGTGTGTGTGCACATTACTGCTCCCCCTCATCCTCTTTCTTCTTTTTCTTTACTTTTCGGTATTATCATCCATCTTAAGGATCACTTCCCCTTACCCTAATTCTTATCATGTATTCTATTACTTTCCTTCCAAATTCAAATTTTTACTGATAGATCAGTGGGTAAGAAACACTATCACTTCAAACATGGGGTATGTCAACCTTAAGCATTCAAGTAAATATACTTAGGAATTAAAAACTCTTGATAAGAAGTATTTCGGACTAGGATTAAACAATGGTATAGCACACACATAAGTTTCACCATATATATAATGATAAGTGATGTAAACAATGAATTATCTCCCACTTTCTCTGTTAGCCAAAAATCAGTTACTCCCAAAATAGACCTTATCTATGACTCTGTAATAGATAGTTATTACAACCTCATGCATATATGTATTTTAGAATTGTTGACATAATGAATATTTGGCTCAGAATTCATCATATAATCTTAGAAAATTATATGAACAGTATTAAAATAGGGATTAAATCATCAATAGCTATATCAGTCATTTATCAATCAAAAAACTTAGATCAGATTTATAAATATTTACCATAAACACTGGTGATTTATATAATGCAAATTTTTAATTATAACAAAGTACCCATAATTAGGGAAAAATTAATCATCATTTTCAGAGAGCTCTCTTCTGTTTTTACTATATCTTCTACAATCTTCTTTCTGATGCATTTCCAGTGATAATAGAAAAACTAAAAAAACTGTTTTAATAAAACTAATCATAAAAATATTTATCATCCTAAGGTAAGTTTACATATACCAATACCTCTTGTCATATTGCAAGATTATTGCCCTCAGACATAACTTTCTCATTTATCCATTTACTTAATAGTACCTGCAGTTAATCTTCCAAGTTCTCAACAGGATAATGCCTTCCTATGGCTAACACTGCCTTTGTTATTTCAGGATGGGTTTCTCTAGTGCTTTCTAATTAAATCTCTATTTGAAGACTCTCAAGGGAGTCAGGTCATAAAGCTGCTCATTTGTAGTGAAATTGAGCATATGGAATGTGTAATGTTGGTCTCATAGTTCCTGGAATAGCTCACTATTTGCTTCGGGTTTGAATTCAGGATCCAGCTAAACCCCATTTTAACATAGCTCACACATAACCAGATTAAATGGAAAATTAGAATTATATAGGGAATTGAAATTTTGGGTTATATTTCTTAGCATTACCCATGTGGTTTCTAATGTACCTTCCCCCACATCTTTGTCTGGTAAACTTCTAGTGACCCTACAAGACCAAGAGATATTTCCATTTTTCCTTTGAAAACCTTTGCAGTTTTCACAGGCAGTTAGTGGTGTCTTACTCTGACATACCACAGCCTTTCCTTCATGGCTCTATGTGTAGCAACCTAGACACTTGTAATAGCCCTCTTAGCTATTTCTACCAGCTACAAACCTAGGATTTATTCTTGACTCCTTTTTTCTCCTTTCATTCTCCCCTAATCAGTCACCAACTACTTTGCATTTTATCCTCAGTAAGTGTGGTAAAGAGAATAATGGCTCTCTACAGATGTCCACATTCTAATCTTTACTATTTAATCTTGGACAAACTCTATAACCCTTGTGCTTTAAGTTTGTCATGTGTAAATTGAAGATTCTAAAAGTACACTACTACCTGCTTAACAGGGTTGTGAGGATTCAATGAATATATACCCTTAGAAGAGTGCCTGGCAGGAACTAAGCACTTGAAAATATAATTACTATAAGTTATAGTTCTTTACCTGCATTTTCTCATTTGAGCCTTAAAAGCACTTATAAAGTGAGTATTAACAGTATTTCCAATTGCAGATGAGGAAATTGAGGTTTAGAGAAGATGAATAACTGTGGGGGTCAGTTGGAGGAACTCAGCAATTGGGCTCTAAGACATTGGTTTACAATATTTATTTGGATGATAATATAATTTTTATTTAATCAATTTAGAAAAGATTTTTGTTAAAATTTGAGATAAATTTTTCAACTCAAACTGCTAGGCCCTTATATACATAACAAGCCAATATCTCTTAAAGAACTGGAGATTTGGAGACAGGCGAAGGACAATTGTAAATTCTCTGCCATAATAATGACGCTAAGCTATTTACATTTAAGGAGAATTGGACGCAGATAAAAAACATACTCTATGGGCTCAAAGTGAAATGAGTAAGTCTGGTATTCAAATTCAATCCTTTCTTAGATCTATAGCATAACAGAATTATATGCATTAAGAAATTAGTAGCTTAGATATGTTACATGAATTTTGCAAGAACCAGTTAAACATGTTTCTTTTAAATAAAAAGTAGCCAAGCACTTTTAGGTAAGAAACTGATATTGAAGTAAAATTATTCCAAGAAAAAAAAGAAGTTGGCCTAAGTACTGTAAACCAAAAATAAAATTCTAAGCCCCCCCAACCAACTGAATAGACCCCCTCTTGGCCAAGCAGATCCCCTCAAAACCTGAAAAACTGGTTCAGGCATGGAGGGAAGGGAGGGGCTTGGACGTATCTCACTACACCCTCCTCCCTTTGGAGTTTAGACACAACTGGTCAGCATTAACATTAAAACAGAGATCTGAAGATTAAGAAACAGACTCTTTGTAGCAATAAGATGATAAATTTCAATCTGACTCTGGTATAATATCACATGACAGATAGCAGACCCTGAAGGAAGTTGATGTATTTTACCCCAAATTATATTTCTTTGACGTATTTTGAAACGGCCCCTGCAAAGCTGTCTCTTGTGATGGAAATTTACATTCTGTAGAGAATCTTCTTCCCTTACTAGGTCTTTTTGGGAGATTTTGACACCTTTTAAGGTCCAGTAAGAGACATTCATATCTATTCTCTCTGAAGCCTGCTACCTGGAGGCTTCATCTATATGACAAGATCCTTGGTTTCCACAATCCCCTCCACCTTATCTTGACTCAAGCTGACTTCAACTCTTCAGGAAGAGTTTAACTCTTTCAACCAATTGCCAATCAAGAAATCTTTGAATCGACCTATGACCTGGAAGCCCTGTGCATGCCCCACCCACTTCTAGGTGTCCTGCCTTTCCAGGCTGAACCAATGTATACCTTACATGTATTGATTTATGTCTTTGTGTGTAACTTATGTGTCCCTAAGATGTATAAAATCAAGCTGAAACCCAACCACCTTGGGCACATGTTCTCAGTACCTCCTGAGGCTGCATCCCAGGCCATGGTCCTTAATCTTGACAAAATGAATCTCTAAATTAATTAAGATCTGCCTCAGATACTTTTTGGTTTACAGTACCTTGGACCTATTATTTCTCAAAATTTGAATTCATTCTTAACTAGCATATTTTACTCTATCTTTATGAACTTTCACTTGAACACATGTACACAAAATGTTCTAAACTTCAAGTTCATGAGTTAAGGCTAATGTGAGACCCAGCAGATCAAGGACTATAAACTATGTTTATATTTCCAGCACCCTGCTGGCTTATTTATTTATTCATTCAACAAATACTCATTACGGGCTGAGAACTGTCCTTAGGTCTTGGGACATGAAAAAGACCAAGACAGTGAAAGAGTTTAGGTTCTGGTCAGGAAGGATAAGCATTAAACAAATAAATAAGAAATTGGTACATAATATCACTGAAAAAAATCTCAAATAAATGAGTGTTAAGTCAATACTTCAAGTTTACAATTGTTAATTACTTTTTGATTTCTCTATATTTTATGTGATTATGATTTTGGAAAGTAATTTTGAAAGTATTTTTATTTTTCAGATAGAGGAACTGAGAAATCTGCGGATTAAACTATCCAAGTTTACTCTTCTAGTTACTGATAAGATAAAAAAGGAGATATGTGTCTTTAGATTATTCAATATAAATCTCATGCAATTTTTATAATTGCTAAAATTATCTTTACATATAAGACATGTATATATACACATTCAGACATATAAGACGTATGTATACACATTCAGACATATACATTATAGATATAAGGCACACACGTAGCAACAATTTTAGTGGGCTATATCTATACTTACACTGTGGCACTTTAAAAACCAATAGCTATTCTGACATGATACCATGCCCTAGGCCATATTCAAAGTCTATTCTTCTAGAATTACAATTTTAGGAGCCAAATACAATTTAAGTAAAAGTGGTTGGTAGCAAGGAGAAAGAATTATAGATTATATTTATTTTTTCCTTGCTTGTCCAACACTGTTTTTGATTTTTTAGTTCAATTCCTGTTCAAATGATATGTAATTAACAGATCTCAATCTTTGTTTGAAAATCCTCAATTTTTTGTTTGAAATCCAAAGATGAAGAAAACAAAAATCAAATATTAACTAACTCTGGAAACCAACCAAATGCCTACAGTTTCAGAGGAATGTACTAACTACAGGTGATAGAAAGTCTTTGAAGAAAAAACAATTTGTGGACTGCCTATTCTCCGTCCATCTACAAGTAATATAGAAAAAACAATTTAGTCTTCTCGTACTTTCTGCCCAGTAATTCAGAGAAACATATTAATACCAGTGAGAAAGCTGAGTAGTCATCCTTCTATCCTGGAGGGAATAGTTCCATGTCACCCTTCGTTACCTTCCCTCACAACACTCTGATGCCCAAGATTGCCAAACTGATTTCTCCAGTTGCTGCCTCATTGTGGAAATTGAAACTCCCAGAAAGTCTCCATTAAGGTCCAGTAGATCTGTGGGAGATGCAGCTGGCTAGATACTAGAACTTGCCAAGCCATTGAGAATAATACTTGTGCTCCAGCTGTAAATCTAAGAACACAATTTTATCAGGTTCCAAGTGGACAAGGAGTGGGGGCCACATGCAAACCGTATTTCCTCTCAGCTGGCAAATTCTGAGGTTAGATCACCTATCTTTGAAGAAAAGTAAACAAGAAACAACAACAAAATGGGTGAAATTTTGGAATTACCCAGTACAACAATTCTAAAAGTTATTAGGAAGTAATTAGAATAAACTTCAAAAGCTGGACTTGTAAGTTAATGAAGATGAGGCAACCATGAAACTGGAGCAGAAAGTCATAGAAGAATTACTGAGATAAAATACAATGGGAGAATCTTTTTAAAAATCAACTAAATGATATCTCATTGTAGTTTGGATTTACATTTCTCTGTTGATTAATGGTATAAAAAAGTAGAAAGAATGAATAAGACCTACTATTTGATAGCATAACAGAGTGTCTATTGTCAATAATAACTTAATTGTATATTTTAAAATAACTTAAAGAGTGTAATTGGGAGGCTGAGGCAGGAGAATCACTTGAACCTGGGAGGCAGAGGTTGCAGTGAGCCGAGGTCGCACCATTGCACTCCAGCTTGGGTGACAGGGCGAGACTCTGTCTCAAAAAAAAAAAGAAAAAAAGGAATTGAATTGCTTGTAATTCAAAAAATAAATGGATAACCCATTCTCCATGATGTGCTTATTACATATTGCATGCTGTATCAAAATACCTCATGCACCCCATAAATATATACACCTATATACCTACTATGTATATACTTACCATGTATTGTATTTTGTGCACCCACAGAAATCCAAACTAAAAAGAAATTTAAAAATCACCAAAATAAGATGCAAAGGTGACATAACTGAGATAGAAAAGGGAACGATGAGAAAAAAAGTGAAAAATATCTAAAAAAAAATGATGAAAAATTGAAATCCTCATTGGCAGCTACAAGCAACAGAGTTGATGTTATAAAGAAATCAAAAATGGAACAAAGAAAATAATGAGGACAAGTTTTGTTTTGGAGGAAGGAGAATAGGAACCCAACTAAAAATAATACATTTTCTTGAGGCAGAGAGCCAAAGGTTCGGAATGAAAACAATGAAGTTACAATTAGTAAAAGCCTAATGCAAATCACAAAAAGAAAAAAACAAACAAACAAAACCACTCAAATATTTTTTTTAAACTCTCCTCTGGTTTCCATGTAAAATCAATGGAAAAACTCATACATCCCATACATTTCACTCCCTGTTATGCCCCCAAATGTTATGTTCCCTGAGACAAGAAAATAAGAAGTTTTAAAATTAAGGGAACAGGATTAAGTGAAGAGTGGAGGCCTTTCTGCTTGGGGTTAACATGTGTGCTTGTGTGTATGCATGTGTGGATCCATGAAGTATGGATAGTGATTGGAGGAGTGTTCGGAATCTTAGAAGAATAGAGGTAACATTACCATCCACCAGCAGACTGCAGTGTGAGAGCTTCTAGATCAATACTGGTTGAGATAAACAAAATAATTTAAGCAGATATATTAGAAAAGTTGGAGAGTTATGTGACAATTATGTATTCTAGTCCCTTCATCTGCAGGATCTCTACCATGTTTTTAGGGCACCGGTGAGGGATTTCTTACTAAATGTTTTACCCTATCTGGACTCTACTCACCTGTCCTTCATGACATTGTATCAGCGATTGCTGCCTGTTTCCCATATCAGCCATTTGTAGGATGATGGGGGATAGAAGGTTGTTCCATGCTAAATATTGAATTAAGGTTATTGTCCTCCCTTATTAGACACATGGAGAAAGAAGCAGACAGAAGGAAGAAAGAAGAAAGAAGCAGACAGAAGCTAAAAGACAGGTAAGAAAAATATAGTAAGTAGAAAGCATGTACGAACAGAAGACTAAGTAGTGGAAGTCATGAGAAGGAGGGAGAATCAGAGGAACTGGTTGCTTACATTAGTCACCTCAGGCCTGAAGGGAAGGGAGAAATGGCACTCAGAACCCAGAGAGGGTAGCTGTCTGGTGAGTGACCCTTGTCCAGAGCCATGTGCCATCATTGAGGGATGCAGTCAACCTCCAGCAACACAGCATGGAGGCAGAAAACCTGGGAAATAAACTGGAGTCATTTTTCTTCTGCCCTCCTGTCTCCTACTGGTGCCTCCCTTAGGTAGAATCCAGCTTGAAACCAGAGGACAAGAAAGCCGTTTATGGTTCATATAAGCCAAGTTAGTTTACCAGGGCCCAGGGCACTAGGAAAAAACAACAACAAAAAAATCAAAAAAATCAAAAGGCAACTTTGAACCAACATAAGCAAGGAAAAAAATCTGAATTATTGTGATGAAGAGAAAATCTTACAAATAACATATTTAGGTAAATAAAATATTTTACCTATAAGGATTGGAAGATTGGTTTCATATGTACCTTAGAACTGTCTTTTTAAGAAGTTCTTTACTTGAAGATTAATGCGTGAGCTTCAGGCAATTCTTGAATTATAAAAGCCCATATAAAATTTTGTTACTATTTTGAATAGAATACTTGTTTTCTATGTAGAGGCCCTTTTACTGAATTCTTAAAGATGTTTAAAACCAAAAAAGTTCAGAAAGAGAGATCAGTCTAAATTCATGATGAAAAGATTATGAGCAAAGAATTATATATTCTTTTGAATTGCTTTTATGTAAGATAGAAATAGAAGACAATCCTGGCCATAAAGTATTTTAGAAATATATGGCTTCAGTGACCTTGGAAAAACTCACTTCAGGCAACAAAACAACACCAAGATTAAAAGCACAAGCATAAGAATACCGTGAGATAGAAAGCAGGTAGAGAATATTGAAACTGATTAAACATAAGGTTAAAATAATTGGTCTAATTATGGTTATAATAATGGAACCATTAAAAATAAGTGTATAATATGATGTAATTTAATAGCAATTATTTGTGTACAAGTGACCAGTCTATTGTAAGAACACTAAGTTTGTGTTGGGGGAGGGAGAAAAGTGGGGTGGTAGAAAGTAGGGGATAAAAATAAAGCATTCTAATTTTATAGTCTTATATAGAGAATAAGCAAAAGATGACTTATTTTTGATTAACTTGAGAAGTATATAATGAATCATGTTTTTGAGAAACTTAAAGGAAATCATTTGAATATTTCAAGTGCATGAATTACAAATAAATGTAGAATCAAAACATAGTTCATGTAGTAAAAGAGAGAAAAAAATAGGTGAGAGAATAACCAAACACATAGGTTATGGAAACATCTGTATAAAAGTAATATAGCCCCATATTTTTAAAAATTCAACTATAGGCTGCTCTTAAGAAACACAATCTAGGAAAATTAGAGGTTGGAAATTAAAGAATACACAAAAACTAATTAGGAACCTATAAATCAAATGCATAGGCAATGACCATAATTTATGAAAAAATTGAATTCAAGGGAAAATGCATTAAAAAAAACAAAGGATTTTATTTCACATTGAAAAGAAAAATAATTCATTCAATGAATTTTTGTGTGCTAAAAATCAAATTGTATAGCTCAAATATGAATATAGGAAATTTACAAAACAGAATTGTGGAAGAGAATAATTAGTATGTTCTTCACCTTTGAGAGATGTCAAATATAAATAAAGATATAGAAATTGTAATGTGTTCCTAAAGTTGAAAAGGAGATATCAAACATTTTAATAAAAATATAAAATGTTGCTGAATTATAATTATAGTAATAGGGACAGAGCTATATCATCTAAAATGTAAGATGGAAAAACTGAATTCAAAGATATTATATGTGATTTTTCAATTTATATAGGGATCAGTGGATGGGAGGTGTAGGGAGGAAGGACTTGCAGTTTGATTGTAAATTTTGTCTAGAAGAATAATAAATATTTGATATAAAAATAGTATCTTACAGTGAGGGAAAACCTACAAATGGTGACTTAACAAAGACCAAGATAGCGGTTCCCTTTATATACACTCAAAATAAATTTGAGCATATTATTTCAGCTTGTTAGCCACTGGCCAGAACTGCCACACTGTGATGCCTAATTGCAAGGGACATTGGGAAATAGTTTGGTCGTTAAGAAAAATGACAAATAATTGAATACAAAATTAGGCAAATTTCTATTCAAGGTAGCGACATGCATATTTTTTCAGATATTTGACTGCTGTTGTAGACGTTAATTTTATACATTTTTAAAAATTATTATTACAAAAATATTTTGGGTTAGTACTGATTTGTTTATTGATTATAACACCAGAACTATATAATTTTTAAGATTATAACACTTCAATATGATGCAAATGTTAATACACTTAAAATACATAATGTATAACACATTTCTATCTTGGTCTTTGTTAAGTCACCATTTGTAGGTTTTCTCTCACTGAAAGATACAGTATATCTCAATAGAGTTGTTTCACTTTCTTTTTTTAGCAAAAGAGCTGTATTTGTTTATATAGATTTTTACTGTAATCAGAATGTGAGCTGAAGTTTTACACAATAATAGAAGGCATTGATATTTTAATACATTTTAAAATATTTTAGATATTTTAAATAATATAACAAATACTCAAGACCACCAAACTTTAAAAATAAAATATTTTAAATATTTTTGAATTTCTCGATATACTCTTTGCTGATCTCCTTTTCCTCTTCCATCTAATATAACCACAGTCTCCAAGGGAAATAACTATTCTACATTTGGTGTTCACCATTCCCATGTTCATCTTTCACTACAAAGGTTGACATATGTTGTTTTATGTTTTTAAAATTTAATATATAAGGTATCCTGTTGTATGTATTCTTCTGCAGATTGCTTTCTCTCTAATTACCATTGTTTGTGAGATTAATTCATGATGATACATTTTTCACTGTAATACCGTACTCCATTAGAGACAGTATTGTAATTCAAGTATCTATTTTCTCTTTGATGGTCATTTGAGTTTTTCCTCTTATTTTCCTATTAAAAATCAATGCTGCTATGAGCAATCTTATATGCCTTTTTGTGGACGGATGATAGTTTCATTAGTGTATATCTGGTGGTAGAATTTTCGTGTCATAGTGTATGTTCACCTTTGCTAGTTTTTGCCAAATTGCATTACAAAGTTAAAGATTCTACAACTGTGTATCAATACTTTGCATTGTTAAATTTTAAAACTTGCCAATCTATTAAGTATAAAATTATATTTCTTTTTACTTTGATTTGTGTTTAATTTTTAGTACAAGTATGGCTGAGTGGTTTATGTGTTTTTAAGCTATTTAGGTATTCACATCTGTGAGTTTCCTGTTGGCATCTTTGCTCAACTGTCTTTTCAATTATTTGTCATTTTCTTAATGAATTTTTGGATGGGAATGCAGTCTTTAAAAATATCTTTAGTTAATTTTAACTAACTGAATCTCCATAAGAAAAACTTTTACTTCTCTATTGGTTGTATTTATTGTTATATATCAATCTGTGTCCCCAAGTCATAGTTTCAAGTATAAAACCTTGAGAGACGGACAGACGTTTCTTATTTTGCCTCCGTGTTCTGTCTTTCATAATTGGAACATCCACCAGCTGACAATCTGAAGGGGATAATATTAATACAACAAGGAGAATTTTTTGCACTCCTCTTTATTTTTCTCTTGTGGCTGGTTGTAATGCAAGATTCACTACAGGCTCTTGTAGAATTGCTAACATAAAAATACAGGGAGACCTTAGCTGCAGGAACAGATCAATGAGGCAACCCTTGCTACTCCTGCCCTGTGTGGGTGACCACATTCTAGCACTCTGCCTTAGCTCACTCACCACTGGACGCTCCTCCACAGGCCCCTGGGAGGTTCCTGAGCCACATGTATTTTTCATCAAATATTAGGGTTCACAGTCTCTGACGGTAAAAAAAATCAATCTACACTGATCTTCATTTTATATTTTGTAAGGAGACTTGGTTGTATCCTTTAAGCATGTGGGTTTTGTATGATAATATTTAAATGATTCAAAATTCAAAAGGTACAAAAAATGAAAAAAAAAAACAAGAAAAAGTCTCTCTCTCGCTTTTAGGTCATCCCTTCTTTCACTCGGACAACCAACATTAACAATATCACATGTAATTATATATATATACATATAATCATTTTAAAAGCATGATTACCATTCTAGTCACATGGTTCTGTATTGTGGTAGACAGAATAATGGCCCCTGAAAACATCCATGCCCTGATGTCTAAAACCTGTGAATATGTAGATCTACATGGAAAGAGGGACTTTACAGATGTGAATAAAGTTCTGATCACATAAATGCTTAAAGGCAGAGAACACAGTGGTGATTAGAGATGATTAGAGAAAGGAGTGACTGAAGAAGGCTAAGAGACTGGTGTGATGTCACTGGCTTTCAAGATAAAGAAAAAGAGCCATGAGCCAAAGAATGTGGGTGTACTCTAGAAGCTGGAAAAGGCAAGGAAGCAGATTCTCTCCTTGGTCTCCAGAAATAAATGCAACCCTGAAAATACTTAAGAGTTGCCCCAATGGGACATGTCTCAAACATCTAACCTACAGAACTGTAAAATAATAAATTTGTGTTATTTTAACCCTCTAAGTTTGTGTTCATTTGTTAGAGCAGGAACACTAGAAAACTAACTAATACATGCTCCTTGCTCTTTTTCATTTTTTAAAAATAAAGTCATTCCATATCAGTATAATTATGTCATTCCATATCAGTAAAATTGATATACATTTGTACAGTAAAATTTCATTTTATTATTAAACCATGGTCACATTTGCTATAGCCTGAATGTTTGCTGCCCTGGCCCACCCCTGGCAAATTACTATGATGAAACTTAATCCCCAATGTGATGGTAATTTGGAGGCAGGGCCTTTGGGAAGTCATTTATGAATGGGATTAGTGTCCTATAAAAGATTCTGGAGAGATTCTTGTGTTTTTGTTTTTGTTTTCTTGGAGGAAAAAAGTGTATTTTCTTGCCACATCTAGAACAGTCCAGCTCAATACTCTCCTAATTCATTTCCTTGCATATATTTGTCTTTTCAAATCTTCTGGACTGATATTTAAATCAAAGGAGAATCCTTGATTCTGGAGAGATCTTTTGCCACAACCTCTTCCACTGGGTGAGATTGCAGCAAAAAGACAATCATCTATGAACCAGGAAGCAGGACCTCACCAGGTATTGAATCTTCCAGGGTTTTAATTCTGGACTTCCTAGCCTCCAGAATAGTAAAAAATAAATGCCTGTTGTTGATAAGTCACGCAGTTTATGGTATTCTCTTATAGCAGCCTGAATGGACTAAGGAACTGCTTACTGAAGACTAGTGAAGTCTTTTCTCCTGCTGTTTTAAATAGGAGTACAATAAATACCCTTGCGCAAATAGCAGCTTTAAAACATATAATATTAAACATAGGTGAAATCTCAAAAATGGAACTAAGTATTCAATGGGAATGTGCATTTTGCATTTTAATTGATATTTTCAAATTAGACTTCATAGAGGTTGTTTCAGTTTATATTCTGTGTCTGAAAGTGCTGTTTCTTCATGACTTTGATTACGAAGTATTATATTGCATATTATCTGTATCTACTTGATGGCAAATAAAAGGAATTCTACTTTTAATAGATCTCTATTTACATGTTTTAAAAGTTATCTGTGGCTGGGCGCGGTGGCTCACGCCTGTAATCCCAGCACTTTGGGAGGCCAAGGACGGCAGATCACGAGGTCAGGAGATAGAGACCATCCTGGCCAACATGGTGAAATCCCGTCTCTACTAAAAATACAAAAATTAGCTGGGAGTGGTGGCGGGCGCCTGTAGTCTCAGCTACTCGGGAGTCTGAAGCAGGAGAATGGCAGGGAGGTGGAGGTTGCAGTGAGTGGAGATCCTGCCACTGCATTCCAGCCTGGCAACAGAGTGACACTCTGTCAAAAAAAAAAAAGTTATTTGTATTTCTTATTCTATGAATTTTCCTCCTTCTTCTTTCTTCCTTTCTTCCTTCCAATGAGTTGTCCAAGTTTGTTTCTGCTGGGTTGACAGACATTTTTCTTATTGATATATCAATGCTTTGTATCTCCTGGAGAAACAAACTCCTTTCCTTTGGCTTTGCTTTTTGGAATCTGTGTGTGTGTGTGTGTGTGTGTGTGTGTGTGTGTGTGTGTGTATATGCATATAAATATATATATGCATATAAATATATATATGTATATATGTATATGTATATGTATATATATTTATATCTGCATCAAATATATATATTCAAATATTTTTTCTGGACTTGAGAATTTTATTTCATTTTAAAAAAATCTTCCCCAATGTAATGTTTTAGACCACCATAGATTATTTAGTTTTTTTATGATTTCAACATTTATATCTTTAATCCATTTTCTTCTGCTAAAGTTATGAAAAAACTTTACCTTTACTTTTTGCCAGAAGCCCATCTAGTTGTTCTAACATCATTTATTGACTCTCCATCTACTTAATATGCTCTTTTAAAATAATTTCCTTTAAAATCCAAGTTTTCTAATTGTTTAACAATGAACTTATTGCGTATATCCAAATGATTTAACTTCAGTTTACATCAATTATATTAATATTTATTAAGCTCTTATAAAAGATAAAATATTTTCTGTATTTTTATGAAAGGATTGATAATCTAGTTTAATATAACTCAGTAGGAGATTCAGTAGACCACAACTGGATTGACTGTCCCATATACCACCTTTTTTCCAGTGCCCACACCTGTCCTACAAGCTTTTCTTTTGGGAAATCATTTGTCTTTTCCTGGTTCTAGTCATGGTCTGATTGTACTGATAATCATGGTATTCTATCACCCCAGACACAGAGCTTAAAATATGATTTACCTTGGTCTAGTCTTGGAGAATAATTCATCCTCCTGGCAAACCATATATAAGTTTGTTACTGTTTATTTATGTGTGTGTTTATTTATTTAAACTTTGCTAGACGAAAAGAACTTTTTCCCACACTGGTCAAGATATAGAGAAAATGTGATAGTGGAAGCTGCCAGAGAGGCTTGTTTTTTAGTTGGCTGAAAAATGTAGTCTGAGGGAAGAAAGTTGACTGATAGAGAAAAAATGAGGCAAGTAAATGTCCTGGATAATTTTGAATCTGTGGTTTAAATAACTATGGTCCAGATTCTTGTTCTACCCAAACATTTTTTTTATGTGTGATCGATGTTAGTATCTTTCCAGATCTGAGTACACATCTGCCTTTTTATTGACTTAATTTTAATTGATTTGAATGCTTGATATGTATAATTATGACTAAAGCAAGAACACTTTTTTGAATAGCACATTTTTCTCCTAGAAATTATATTTAAAATATTAATAGTTTTATTATTAATAATAATGTACCTTGTCCATGTTCAGTGCTTTAATTTAAAATATTATGCATAATAACTATGTATATTTTGCTAGATCCCTAGTGTCAGGGATCTGGTTCTATTTTGAAGGTATATATTCTTTAGACTTTAGATTAGATAGAAATCTGGGAAAATCATGATCTGGTGAATAAAACAGTAAACTGGCACCAAGTTACTTTCCAAATCCCAATATTTAACATTCAACTGCCAAGTGATTATGAGTATTTTATAAATTACATAGAATAACACGTGAAGCACATAGTGCTTTTCTTGACATGTGATGGGACATCAAAAATAATAATTATTTTATATCTTAAATGATAACAATAGGTTTATTATCTTGATCTCAAAAAGTCCCAGTCATAGCCTACCATCTTTCATTGTCTCATCAAGTCTAACTATTGTTTGCCTGGAATGGAACTGGGCAATAATGGGGAAATAAAACATTTTGTTGGATTTTTAATGAGTATTTCCCAGATATTCAACTAGGATACTGCCGTCTGATACTACTAACACATGATACACCCCTGATATTACTGCCCTGGTTCAAGCTCTTGCCACATCTAGAACAGTCCAGCTCAATACTCTTCTAATTCATCTCCTTGCATGTATTTGTCCTTTCAAATCTTCTGGGCTAATATTTAAAGCAAAACTATAAACAATTTACTACTTTTTGATGATTTCAAAATTCTAACAGTATAAAATACAACCTATTTAGTATAGTTTCAATGAAATAAAAAAATCTCAAAATGTTTTCTGTTACATTATATGCCTTACTTTGCCTATTACTTGTATCTTCAACTGGTGCATGCTATAAATTGGATAGTGTTGTAAGGCATTAAGGACTTTCTAATGAATTATTAGGTATTGGAATTTTCTATATTAGATATTTTTTTAAAGTTACTATAATAAACAGACATGATGAGAATTAAGAGTTCCTATTTCAGGTAAATTGAATACAACGGGAGTTCTTAGAAAAACATGAAGAATAATTGAGTTATTATAAAACCAAAGAGTTAGAAGATTTATAAATTAAACTCTCTGAAGCAGCTCCCTGACTGAACAGCTGATTTTTCCAAACTGTGAACTCCAAGAGTTAAGCATTATGAGCATAAAGTAATCACAAGAATGTCTCACAAACAGGCTTAAGGCTAACAGCATCTTTAGTAAATATGCTATTTTCAACTGGAGCAGCAAGTTGATACCCAGGTTGATACCTGATTCTTGCAATAGGAAACAGAAAACATTATCATGAACTCATAAAACACATGAACTACTAGCACGAGTCTTATATTTGGGAATCACTTATTTATGAAATTAAAAATTTCTATCCTTGGAAATGTATTTGATTGGAAATTATAACTCTGAATCAGTTTTATCTCTATAAATTGTATTTGTTTTAGCTAATCAAAGAATTAAAATCAGAAAAACCCCCAAACAATTGTAAACCTAGATCCCAGAAACTTGAGGCTCTATTAACACCTTAAATTAAATGTCCATAGACTCACTGTTATGGACTGAATGGGTGTTCCCCCCAAACTCATATGTTAAAGCCCTAACCTCTAATGTGACTCTATTTGGAGAGAGGGCCTGTGAGGAGCTGGCAAAGGTTAAATGAGGTCATAAGAATGGGGCCCTGGTTTGATGGTATCAGTGCCCTTATAAGAAAATATACCGAAATGCTTGTTCTCTCTGTTACGTGAGGACTCAGTGAGAAGGTGATGTTTACAAGCCAAGAAAATCCTTGCCAGAAACCAGATTGGCTGGCACCTTGATCTAGCTTCTAGAACTGTGAGAAAATAAATTTCCGTTGTTTAAATCACCTATTCTTGAACTCTATAGTAGAGGGAAGTGATCTTAAAGAAAATGCTGATATTGGAGTTATATATATAATAATATATCCCAGAGGTGTCCACTCCTTTATGTCCCTTCACTGGTCCTTTTACTACCTAATTTAGCCCTAAAGTATAGGTTCAAAAACTCCTCGCTGTTCTCTAGGTCTTGTGAGTCTCCTTGCCCAGAACTGCTTTGACCAGGTGTTGAGAGACTGAGCTGTGTTCAGGACATTATGTTGGCTCTTGTGATTGGATGACCCGTGAGTGAAGCTGATGTTACTCAATGACCCATCCCCAGTCCATCCTCTAGCTCCTGGGCATTCACTCACATAGGACCCTAATAGTGCCCCCCATCCCAGTCCACTGAATTCATTTCTTCCTGGGACTCCTGCCAGACTCTGAGCTTTCACAGGGACTGAACTCAAACATTGAACTCTGGGACCCAGTATCTTTCTTCTATAATTTGATTTTTACCCCTCGCTTACTTGGGGTTGATCATTCATCCACAAAAGCTTGATCAATTATCATAAAGAGGCCTTAGCTCTCAGAACACAAACACAATTGTCCAGTTTTGAGAAGGAGAAAGATTTGCCTTCCATCCTGGATGGGAGTGAGTACTATTTTGTTACTTCATAATACATTTCTCACTTCCAGAAATGGACAGAAGAGTTTCTCTCTAAGTCACAAAAAACAAAATGCAAGATGAATCATCAGCAATGCAAAAGATGGCTACACTTACTTGTTTGAAGGCCTTTTTCACTCACTAGATTACCCCTCCCTAAAAACCAGGCTGATTAATTAACTTTGCATCATAGGACCTAGTACCAGTACAGAGAAAATACTTAGTAAATGTTTGTTTAATTAATGAATAAATACATAAACAGCCCCTGGCTGGAATTGTTTTCTCCAGGAGAAACTACTAGAGACTACCCAGTGTCTTTCGCTTATGCTATTTTTTAATACCATTCCTTCATTATCAGCAGTCCAGCCCAAGAGATTTCAATTCCATGGCTTTCCCTGTGACGATTCAAGACCTTCTTCTAGCTAGTCCCCTCTCCATGGCTCAGGCATCGGCAGCTATCCAGGACCACGTTATTCAAGCCATCCAGGGCCACTTTAATTAACAGCCATAGTTTCAGGAAGGAAGTACCAGACGAGTCAAGGTTAGCAGAATATGCCACCCCCAAATATGTCACTTTCCATACAGATTATTTTGAGCTAAAAGCACTAGAGAAACAGCAGTTGTAAGAAAAACATTCTGACCTTTTTTTTTTCTTAAAAGCAGGATATGAAATTCTCATGTGAAAGATGTCCTTTCTATACCAAAGGAAAGCAACATTTTTATAGTCAAGGACAAGAAGTTGAGACAGAGGAAATTGTTTACAAACAGACCCTGTTTTTTATTTTATTTTATTATACTTTAAGTTTTAGGGTACATGTGCACAATGTGCAGGTTAGTTACATATGTATACATGTGCCATGCTGGTGTGCTGCACTCATTAACTCGTCATTTAGCATTAGGTATATCTCCTAATTCTCTCCCTCCCCCCTCCCCCCACCCCACAACAGTCCCCAGAGTGTGATGTTCCCCTTCCTGTGTCCATGTGTTCTCATTGTTCAATTCCCACCTATGAGTGAGAATATATGGTGTTTGGTTTTTTGTCCTTGTGATAGTTTACTGAGAATGATGATTTCCAATTTCATCCATGGCCCTACAAAGGACAAGAACTCATCATTTTTTATGGCTGCATAGTATTCCGTGGTGTATATGTGCCACATTTTCTTAATCCAGTCTATCATTGTTGGACATTTGGGTTGGTTCCAAGTCTTTGCTATTGTGAATAGTGCCACGATAAACATACATGTGCATGTGTCTTTATAGCAGCATGATTTATAATCCTTTGGGTATATACCCAGTAATAGGATGGCTGGGTCAAATGGTATTTCTAGTTCTAGATCCCTGAGGAATCGCCACACTGACTTTCACAATGGTTGAACTAGTTTACAGTCCCATCAACAGTGTAAAAGTGTTCCTATTTCTCCACATCCTCTCCAGCACCTGTTGTTTCCTGACTTTTTAATGATTGCCATTCTAACTGGTGTGAGATGGTATCTCATTGTGGTTTTGATTTGCATTTCTCTGATGGCCAGTGATGGTGAGCATTTTTTCATGTGTTTTTTGGCTGCATAAATGTCTTCTTTTGAGAAGTGTCTGTTCATATCCTTTGCCCACTTTTTGATGGAGTTGTTTGTTTTTTTCTTGTAAATTTGTTTGAGTTCATTGTAGATTCTGGATATTAGCCCTTTGTCAGATGAGTAGGTTGTGAAAATTTTCTCCCATTTTGTGGGTTGCCTGTTCACTCTGATGGTAGTTTCTTTTGCTGTGCAGAAGCTCTTTAGTTTAATTAGATCCCATTTGTCAATTTTGGCTTTTGTTGCCATTGCTTTTGGTGTTTTAGACATGAAGTCCTTGCCCATGCCTATGTCCTGAATGGTAATGCCTAGGTTTTCTTCTAGGGTTTTTATGGTTTTAGGTCTAATGTTTAAGTCTTTAATCCATCTTGAATTAATTTTTGTATAAGGTGTAAGGAAGGGATCCAGTTTCAGCTTTCTACACATGGCTAGCCAGTTTTCCCAGCACCATTTATTAAATAGAGAATCCTTTCCCCATTGCTTGTTTTTCTCAGGTTTGTCAAAGATCAGATAGTTGTAGATATGCGGCGTTATTTCTGAGGGCTCTGTTCTGTTCCATTGATCTATATCTCTGTTTTGGTCCCAGTACCATGCTGTTTTAGTTACTGTAGCCTTGTAGTATAGTTTGAAGTCAGGTAGCGTGATGCCTGCAGCTTTGTTCTTTTGGCTTAGGATTGACTTGGTGATGCGGGCTCTTTTTTGGTGCCATATGAACTTTAAAGTAGTTTTTTCCAATTCTGTGAAGAAAGTCATTGGTAGCTTGATGGGGATGGCATTGAATCTATAAATTACCTTGGGCTGTATGGCCATTTTCACGATATTGATTCTTCCTACCCGTGAGCATGGAATGTTCTTCCATTTCTTTGTATCCTCTTTTATTTCATTGAGCAGTGGTTTGTAGTTCTCCTTGAAGAGGTCCTTTGCGTCCCTTGTAAGTTGGATTCCTAGGCAAGACTGGTTCAATATATGCAAATCAATAAATGTAATCCAGCATATAAACAGAACCAAAGACAAAAACCACATGATTATCTCAATAGATGCAGAAAAGGCCTTTGACAAAATTCAACAACTCTTCATGCTAAAAACTCTCAATAAATTAGGTATTGATGGGACGTATCTCAAAATAGTAAGAGCTATCTATGACAAACCCACAGCCAATATCATACTGAATGGGCAAAAACTGGAAGCATTCCCTTTGAAAAGTGGCACAAGACAGGGATGCCCTCTCTCACCACTCCTATTCAACATAGTGTTGGAAGTTCTGGCCAGGGCAATTAGGCAGGAGAAGGTAATAAAGAGTATTCAATTAGGAAAAGAGGAAGTCAAATTGTCCCTGTTTGCAGATGACATGATTGTATATCTAGAAAACCCCATTGTCTCAGCCCAAAATCTCCTTAAGCTGATAAGCAACTTCAGCAAAGTCTCAGGATACAAAATCAATGTACAAAAATCACAAGCATTCTTATACACCAATAACACACAAACAGAGAGTCAAATCATGAGTGAACTCCCATTCACAATTGCAGACCCTGTTAGAAGAATTCTCATCTGTCTTTGTCCTTTTCACATAGCCTATTTTCCCACAATTGCCTCTACCTTCTATGTAAACATTTAGGTTTTGCTACATCTTTGGGTCTTCATTTTCTTTCAAGGGCTCCCACATCACATAAAACTTGTATAAATTTGTATGGTGTTCTCCTGTTAATCTATCTTATATAAATTTAATTCTCAGGCCCAGAAAACTACCCTAAGGTAATAGACATACAGTTTTGCCTGCCCTATGCTAGCATTTTCTGATCTCGCAGAACTTTATCCAAGAAAAAAACTAATATCTTTTTTTTTTGGAAAAAAAATGACTTTTCTAAATTCTTTTGTGTGTTTTCTTTTGCTCCACTCTGTTTGTTCCCTTCCTAGATAGAGTAAACAAAACTTTGCCCCAACCCTTTGGTCCTGCCCACTCCTCGGTGGTAAGGGAAATGAGTTTCTTAATTAACGCTCATTAGGCACTGAACAATGATAATACAAGTAGAACCCTAACCAAAGGTCCCGCATGTGTCCTATGTAAATACGCATGGCCTGGAGTGCTGCCTTCATCATCATTTGTGAATGGCAGCATTGGAGAGATGAAACTTGGATCCCTCCCTTAGACCTGAGGTTTTTAGCCACACAGGCAGCTCTGCAAAGTACAACTATTCTGGTCCTAAGTAAATCTGTGGTGTTGCCTGAGCTGTGTATTTTGGAAAAATTCTCATGTGATTCTGATGTACATGCCTGGTTGTCTTACTCCTAAGTACTAATCACCCCCAATCAAACAGTTGTGACTTCAAGCAATAGCTTTGCCACCTCCCAGTTTTCTATCCACAAGAAAGTCCTATAACCTTTATGACCTCGTTAATAAACTATAGAAAACATTGCCTCTGTCTCAAAATGTTTGTGAATATCAAATGATATAATGTATCTACAGTGCATAGCACATGGACATGCAATAAGTGAAATTATTATTATAAAACTGAGCAGTGTGATCCTGTTCCCACTGAGTAGATGAAAAATGTATCTATTCATTATGGTAGTAAACAGTAATAGATATCTTTTAGAGCAAGGTAGAGCTGATGCGACTTTGAAATACTTTATTCTGGAAAAGCTCATTTGGTCAAAAGACAGTCTTAGAATGAAATACAATAAAATATAGGCTTTAAGTCCATGGAAAGAGCTATCACAGTACTCAGTGAAATTCAATTTAATTCCTTACCTAAGCTTATAAATAAGTGCCGTAGTTGCTTTTCTCCATTTAAAGTGCTTTCAGCCAAGACAAACAACTCAAATCCTTTTATTTTCCCTTAGTCGCCCTTAAATGAACACCTTAGTTATTTCTGACATCTCTAATCCAACCTGGAGTCCTCCATACATTCTATAGCTGCTATTTATTTTCTCCAGAGTCTAATAGTTACTGTTCTTCTAAAAGATAAATTCAGAATCCCCTTGCAGATTTCATGCTTGTGGTAGCTTCAGGTCAGGGAATTTACCTCAAAACCCATCATGTTACTGAGCAGTAGACTCAAGTTCCTTCATTAATGAAAAGGATATGAAGCTGGAAGGAAAACTTGCCTCACTCTTTTCCAACTAAGGGATGAAGCAACAATTGTGGAATCCATACCTGGTGATTAATTGCAAATTTTTGAACTACAACACAGAGGGCTACATTTCACAATATGACATAGGAAACATTATAGAAGCAATAACTTTAGAGGATTTCAGACTAAGAAATCACTTAATGTCACAAGCCAGGAAAGCCTATATTCCCCATCCCATTGTTGCAGCTCACAGTAGAAGCAAGTTGTCCAAAGATGGCATTCACTGATGAGAACTGTAGCCTACAAAGACATTCTTCTCCTAACAGGTGGCTGTATTAAATATCCTTTTCCTTTTTGAAGAGTCATGATTGTTTTTTAGTATAATATAGCATCAGTTAATTGGTAATATATTTAAAACAGAGATAGAGTGACAAATCTACAACTGATAAAGTTAATAATTTAATTATGCTTTTCACACAATGGTAGGTATAAATTGATACTTGTGTGAATTTTGGAAAGTTTTAACTTATTGGAGCTATCTTATTGTAGATTAAATGTTATATGAACACTATGGAGCATGCCTCAGTGAGAAAACAAAATGAAAACATCGTCCTTTAGTCATTTTGGTTTCAGATCTTAATAATTCTAAATGAATGAGGAATTCAACAGATGCACTGTAACAACATATGCTAGTTTCTAGAAACGAGCTGCACTAGTTTTGTTATGTGAATGTGTGTAGGTGGTACATATACAGTCATGCATAATTCTTTATCACGTTTCATAGTGCGAGTTCAGATATTCCCAATCAAATGTGGCTACTTTAAAAATGTCTCCCTGTTCCACCAATAACTTCCTGAAGTATTGGTTGTATTCTAAAAATTGAAAGAATTTCCATTTCAATTTTAAAATAACAAAAATGCTTCCCTAGAACACCCAAATTATATGTTGTCTACAGCAATGTCATTTTTTAACCATTTAATTTTTCTGCTTTTTAAAACATTATTATTAAAATCAAAGTAATGCATCTTATGAACGCTGATTAAAGTGTTAAATTTATTTAATTTTTAAAATAAATATTTGAGTTCCTATTATAAGTCAGGCATTTTTCTAGATACTGGGAAATTAAATGATAAACAAAACAAAAACATAAAAACTCATATTCTAATTGAGCTTATATTTATTTGGGGCTCAGATACTCAGGTTATCAGATCTTAAAAGAAAAGCAAAGTGAAGAAAGAAGGACTTTAGGGGATGGGAACAGGGGATGATAGTTGCAATTTTAAATAGGATGGTCAAGGAATGCTGAGAAATGTGACATTTCAACAAATATATGAAGGAGGTAAGAGATGAGCTAGGAGAGTATCTAGAGTGAGCATTCTTGGAGGTGCATTCTTGGAGGTGCTGAGAAAATGTTCTAAAAGGGCGCTCAGGAAGGAGTGCTTCTGGCATGTTTTAAAAATGGGAAGTAGTGCAGTAGGTTGGAGTTAAGGGGAAATAGTAGGAGAGTTGGGGATAATGTAGGACACAAGCCCAGGAGAGGGTGTGCTGTGGGAGGGAGGAGGGGCAATCCTGCACAGCCTCCTCGGGCCTTGTCAGGACATCGGCTGTTACATGAGTGAGCTGGGGAATCAAAGGAGGAACTGAGGGCTACAACCTATGTTTTAAATGAGCTCTGGTTTCTTCACTTCACTTCTTCATAGGGTGAGCAGTGAAGAGGAGAGACTAGTTAGGAGGCTATCGTAATAATTTGGATGACAGTGTCCTTCCATGACATGACCCATAGTACTAAAAAACTCAAATATTTCCTTACTCATCCCCTAATTCTTCTTCCCTGAAAGGACTTCCCTTTATACTTCTGGTTCCTTCTTCTAAAGAGTCTCAATGATACTTCATTTCTTGATTTATAAAGGTTAGGAATTATCCAGTCACTTCGTGTCTTGGGAGAGGAAGATTTAGATCTCTCACACCACAACCTTTCATGAAGGGATTCCCAAATATTCATGATCAGAGATCTTTTCTCTGAAATAATTTTTTTTATTTTCCTCAGTAAAGATTTCTTCAATATTCTACATGCAGAGCAGGTTTCTGGCTATCAATGTTGTGGGAGCAGCTGTGATAAAGGAAAAGCTCCCACAATTCAGCATGCAGACTTGAACGTCCCTTATTTTATCCCTGAGCTGTAACCTGTGAGCCTGACATCCCTGACTATGGAGTGCTCCCGTTTAATTACTCCGGAAAATAAACCATAGACCTGTGATCATGTTGTTTGTCTGGAGAGGGAATGCAAGGAGTCAGCTCCCTCATGTACAGCATTGGTGTGGGTCAATTTTCTCGGGGCTCTGCAGGGCAAACTGGCTCACTTCTTGTCAATATCACTGCAGGGATTTTTAGATTCTAACTTCCTTCACTTTGTTGAGTCCATCAGTACCCTTATAACCATTTACATCTTCCTGATTTCATGTCCTTCTCTTCTCATTCTCCTTTTATGTGTAAACATTGCTGCCATTTAAACGGAGTTCAGAAAAAAAAGGAGATAAAGTGATACGGAAAATTGTGATGCCGAAGTTTAGTATCAATTTGACTGGGCTGTGATGCTGAGTGATTCGTTCACACATTATTCTGGATGTTTCTGTGAAGGTGTTTGTTGGATGAGATTAACATTTAAATCAGTGGACCTGAGTAAAGCAGATTACTCTATAATGTCATGGGTCTTATACAATCAGTTAAAATCCTTAATAGAACACAGACCACCTCCCCTGAGCAAGATGGAATTCTGCCAGCAGACTGCCTTCAAACTCACGCTCAACTTTTCCCTGGGGCTCCAGCCTGCTGGCCTACCCTGCAAATGTTGGATTTACCAAGCCCCCACAGTGATGTCAGCCAATTGCTTAAAATCTCTGTTTCTCTCTCTCTGCACTACCTTGCTCCACACACATACACGTATAGACACTTCCTGATGGTCTGATTTCTCTGTAAAACTCTGACTAATACATCAATCCACCATTTAAAAATATATGCCAGGGAGTATCTTTTTTCCCCACTGATTCACTTCCCTTACAGATGTTTCTGTACTTCTTTCTTATAAAGACCAGCTTCAGCTACTTTTAATGATACATATCTGAACATAGGTAAACCCCAAATGATCATTTAAGTAAAGGTTTTGATATTTAGAATTGGGCAGTTAGAGAAGCGATTTCTCACCTAACGTTTCCTTAGCAAGGCTTAATTCTGCTTATTTTACCACACATGACAACTACATTTCACATTCCAGGCTAACGAGCACTTGAAAGCCAATGCTTTGTAATTCTCTTCCCATTCGAAACATAGGAACAGTACTAGGCAGTAATTTAATTAATTATATTTTTATTTAAAAGACCAAGCCCACAAGTACATTTGGTCTGGAACTTAATTTGCTTGCAGATTTTTCTCTCAAAAAGACCCAATTCTCTCTCTATATTTTTCTTATAATTTGATTTCTTTCAAAAATGGCCATAATATATGATGATGAGTTGGTAAATGACTTCTAATAAAATTAACTTTTGCTTGCTTGTGGATCAGACCTGCTTTCTCATCTTTTCATTAAGATACTTAAACCGGTGGAGAAAAGCTACACTTCTTAAGGTTAAGGGATGTGTTTAATTCACAATATAACTGTTCAGTATATACCAGACCTTAGGCTAAGCTACAAGGAGTAAGGCCATGAAAAACCTACTGGCATAACTGGGAAGACACACTTGGTTACAATACAGTATGATATGAAATATAAGAGGGATAAGCATAACAGTCTATGAAAGTAAAAAGATGAGAGCAACTTAGTAACAGAGAACCAGGGAAACAGATAATGTTTTGGGAAGAGGTAAAATCTAAATTCCCTTGAATGATGAATGGTTTCCTAGGCTGAGAACCAGAGGAGGACATTCTGGTGCATGCCATGTATAAAGATATGGAGCAATTTGTTTCATTGAGGGATCAAGAAAATGCTAAGAATCATTTTGGAATTTAAAACAGAGTTAATGAAAGTTAAGATTTTGCTGGGAGGGAAGCTGACAAAGAATATCTTGAAAACCTCAACATTTCTAGGTTTGACTCTAGTAGTGGATGCTGTTGGTGCCCTGCCCATATACCCTGCCCTATTCACTGAAAAGTGGCCAGTTACCAGCACCTGCATTCTTTGTTGGAGAGCCTTCTTTGATTTCTGAAGTCCATTTTGCTAGTGAATACAGCAATCTAAAAAGGGGAATTATTGCTCCCTGTGAGCATCCCTTAGCCATTACTCTCAGGAGCTGGTATTTAAATACTCCTGCTTCCTTGCTTATTTAGTGGGACAACAATGAATATATTCTATACTTGTTCCTATAGCCCTTGTAGCTAGTTTAAGCTCCAATTTCCCTTAGTCAGATCATCAAGATGAGATGCCAGCACTGTTGATGGCAAGTGGGTATGATGTAGTATCACAATTATTAAGAGGTTCACTCATGCCTCTTTTATATATATCTGCATTGAGATATAGGTAGAAGATAAAAGTAGAAGAAAATACATTGCTTATATAATACCTCTAGTATTTGAGACATCAATGGTAATGGTAAGGTTTGTGTAGGCAGTTGGTTGTTGTTAACTGTCATTGAAACATGGGAAGAAAAACAAGTGAGAGACTCAGGTGAGTCAACTACTAATTCAAGGAACAGTATGAACACCAGAAGGTCTTTGGGTAGCATTTACCATGACCTTTATCTTTTTAATCATAGGGCAGAATACATTGAAATCTAGGTTTCAGGTAGGATTGTGAAATTAGTGGATTTGCAAAGTCTTTGTTAGTCTTCTGTGCTAAATTCAGGGCCTTAAGACCTAGGATGGGGACATTAGATGGATGTGATTCAGAACAGGCTGTAGTCTTAAGTTTAGTTCAGAAGATCCTTTACTATGTTCCCTGGTAGAAGCATATCCATCTCTCAATATCTAAGCTGGTAAAAACTAAAGTTGTGAGAAAGGAAATCACAAATGTCCCAAGAGAATCACAAGGAATAATAATGAGAAGATTTCCTCTTACTTCCACACTTTGGTTCCAGACCCATGTCTTCCACTTATCAGGGACATAACACCTCATAATCACCGTAGTTCTTGACTGATTGCATGCAGTCCCCAAGCGAGTACCTCAACAGTGCCTTTAAGGAGACATTACAATGTTCTACTAGGCTGGAAGCTTCTGGGAGTTGGGAAATATGGTAGAACCAGTGGATTATCTGGTCATGTGATCATTGTTATATCTAACTTCCCAGCAGTAAAGTAGGTTCCTTGGTCCAAGGCAACAATTATGTAAGGTGAGACACAACTGAGATAGTCATGAATCAGACAGTCCGTGAGCCATTCGATAGTGATGATGGCTGAGGCCCTAGATGTAGAGGAGGTAAATGCCTTGCATCACTCAGATCCACTTTTGATCCATGTTAAATTTAATCTAGCCTGTCAGTGGTTCTTTAAGTTGGAAGTCACTCAAGCAAAAGAAATAGAAAAAAAGAAAGAAAGAGAAAGACAGAGAGAAAGAAAGAAAGAAAGAAAAGAAAAGAAAAGAAAAGAAAGAAACTTACAAAAAGAACTTTAGTAGGGTAAGCTATTATACCTGCAGCTTATATGATTATTTGATTATACCAACATCAGTTCCTCAGGAAAAATATGTTTATCATCTTCCTTCTCTATCAATCATTGTTAAGGTTCACTAATTCTCCACTACTCCTCAGGTCTCTATTCTTGAGAAATCAGAGCTCTTGGTGAGTTGTTGC
This sequence comes from Homo sapiens, assembly GCF_000001405.40. Taxonomy (NCBI): domain Eukaryota; kingdom Metazoa; phylum Chordata; class Mammalia; order Primates; family Hominidae; genus Homo; species Homo sapiens. The sequence goes on along the minus strand of NC_000007.14, from coordinate 126,336,986 downwards.
TACAATTGGCCAGTTATGTTTACCACTAGATATGATGGCACCGAGAGGCTCCACAGTGGATCAATCCCTGACTTCTCTACTCCATATGTCCTTCATTAAGTAACAAGTCTATCACCTGATGAGAATCAGTCAATTACCACTGCCAGTAATTATTTGCTTCCTCTGCTAGTCTGTAGGCATGATGGACCCATGTGTTAGGAATGATTGCTGTCTCTTTAAGATGAATTAGCATATTACTGCACTTTTCCATTGTGGTATAATTTTATAGTTTAAGAGATTTTATTTATTTTCAACTATTTAATAAGTGCCCTGCTGTCACCCCTGTGTGCAAACTACAATTCAATGTCACTGAAGATTAGCATACACCAGAAAAAAGCTGGCAAGAGATAATTCTGGCAATATAATTAGAGACTAATTTGTGAAGAAGTTTAAAGTACATACAGTAGACAATGGGATGCTATTAAAGGATGTTTAAGCAACGAAGAGGTAGTCCAGGTGTATGATTTTGAAAACTAATTAAAATGGCTTGGAGGGTTGAGGCTGGAGGAAGACAAAATGGTCAGCAATCCAGCTGAAGACCTGAAGAAAGGCAATAACAATTAGATAGAGGCGGGTGGAACAGATTGGAGGAATAAGTTCCAGAAACGGATGTTCAACTTTGCTAACTAATCAGGTATGGGGGCTGAAAAAGGAGGGAGTCTCCTAATTGAGTTGGGTTTGCTCTGATCTCTCAGCTTTTTCTCATCTCTCAGTTTCTGTTGCCCGTCACTGAAGACTCAGAGGAGGCCCAAGACTCCCAAGGAATGGGAAATGTAGCTTTCTAAAACAGAAAACATGGGAATGTTCAAAGCAAGTTTGCTGAGGTGCCGAGATACAACAGAGAGCATCCTCCTCCTCAAAAAAAGAAATGCCGAAGTGCCAAAACCCACCACCTCAAACTGGATACATTTAGTATATGATTGTAGGGATTGTGCCACAGGTACATACATATGTTCAAACTCATCATATGTATACACATGTTCAAGGTGTATACATATGTTCAAACTCACCAAGGTTTCACATACATTAAATATGTACAAGGTTTTGTTTATCAATTATACCTCAATAAAGTTTTTTTTAAGTGCCAAAGTCACACATTTTCTGAGGCTTTAGCTAAAAATGGTCTCTTGGCTTTTGAGCACCTTCCCCACATCTCAGGAACTTAGGTATACAAGCTTTAGAGATTGTTGGGAGGGAGGATTTTAGAGGATAACTTGTGAAATGTTTTATAAATACCTTCCCATATGACTACAAAGAAGAAAGATGTGTTGCAGATGGAGGATACTAGCTCCTCACTTTACATCTGCTGAGGGATGCTTCATAGGGACGACTTGTACAACTTAATACGTATCTCTTGAAGATGGTCGACACAATGAACTTAAAGTCTTAGTCCTATTATTTTTAATGGTCTAATAAATACAATAGAGACAAAAGTTAAATTAAACCTGAAAGGTAGAAGATAATTTAAATTTGTATTTGTTCTTGGTACCTGAAAATGTAATCAATCATTTTGGCCGATAGACAAGTTAAGTAAATTCAAATTGCAAACTTGGATTTATTTGACATCTTACTGGTATTTTCCAATGTAACAAATAGTGTTATGCAGGGGAGCATGTTTTTCTCATGACACCAATTATTTAGGGTAGAGTACTCAGTTTAGGAATCGATAAATAGTAGGAGAGAAAACTAGTTAATGATGTACCAGGAGATAATCTTTTAGAGAAGTACCTACAACCTCAGTTTTCTTACAGATATTTATTTGAGTTATAACTTGACAAGACTGCTTTATTTTTATATATAAAGAGTGAAAAGTAAAGTCTTATTAAATTCAGAGAAACCATTATTTCAGGCAGTACATATTTGTGTGGCTTCTATTTATATTTACTGTTTATTTTTTCATGACTGGGAAATAGCTAATGCATTCCATGCTTTTATTCATTAATGATATTGCATTCCAGTATCAAGAATGAAAGATACTTTTTGATAAAACAATGTTTGATGATTGAATCAAGGCAATTGAGACCTGGGGAAATACCCTGTTATTCAAGAAGCTAGAGAGGGTAAAAATAAAGAACTAAGTGCTTGCATGGCACTTTGGCCTTTCTGCTGGTGATCCAAAGACAAACATGACCACGTGTCCTTCAATCATGAAAGTCTCATAGAAAAGAGCAATGTGTGTCCAAAAACTATGAGAAGTACTGTGAAGGGGATTTCCCAAAGGGCAGATACCTTGAGACTGACATGGATGAGGGACCTATCACAGAAGAAATAGTCAACATGGTTTTTCTAGAGGGGTTACTCCTCTAGGATAATTGGAATTTAATATAGCAATGCCAAAAGAGAGCATTGCTTACCATTTCATAGTTTGTATTGAATGGCTAGTTTCAGGAATAAGCAGCTCTTACTGTCATATATCTTTCCACTTCTCTCATACTCTAAGCCCCAATTATGTACAACCACTGACATTTCTCCTAACACACCACACACTCTCCCAGCTCTGTATGTGTGCATAGGCCAGTGTCTTACTCTTGAATACCTTCACACCCCCATTGAGCTTATGAGATGATGAGTTTATCCAGGACCAGGATTAGGTATACCATTAACACATACTACAGTATCATAGGCACTGTAAGTTTTTGGTATTTGTGAAATGAATAAGAAGATGAAAAAGGAAGTGTGGAGCAGCGAGTAAAATCAGGTGCTCTGGAGGCATGCTGCTGAATTTGGATTCTGTTATCTTCTATTCACCATCTGAACAATATTGAGCAAGTTATATAACCTTCCAGTGATTCTACTTCCAAATTTATGGTAGGACTTTGGTGAGGATTAAATGTGATAATACATGAAAGTCTCCTATAATGGCATCTGACACATACTAACCATAACTGTTACGTGTGCATAACTTACAAAATTGTTGGATAGATGTTTGTGGCAGAGGCAATATTTATCCTCAAATATTATATTCGCTTATCTGAAATGCCTAGTACAGTTAGGCAGGGGTATATGATACATTCTAACTATCAGGCTATAATTAATGAGCTGAAATTTGAGTCTCTGTGCTCTATGTTGCCCTGCCACAGAAATGGTACAGGAATATATCAAGATGGAAGAGTCATGAAACTCAGGCAGTCTGGATAAACTTTGTTTTTTCTAACAGTTGAGATTTGGGAATTTATTGTTACATCAGCATTACATTATCCTGTTACATTATCCTGACCAATTCAGTATTACCCGAGAGTCATAACTGTCCACTTTATATATTTACCTTGCCTTTGATGAAAACAAGTGAGTAAGTGGAGACAGCAAGAGTGGCATTTCTTGCAATGGCTTGAGGAATAAAATGGGTGTAAAGACAGGCTGTGGTGGGGATAGAAGAGAGGAGGTAAGAGAAGGAACGATGTGGTGATGCCATCAGGAGTTAGGTATTGTTGGAATCAGTAAGACATTTTCTAAGCTTTTCAAAAGCCTTGTATAATGATCAAAGTGATGTCATGCTCTCTTATCTGGGTTGTGCTTTATTTTCCCCTATGAGTAAAATTAAAAACTCAATAATTTAGAAAATGTAATTATTTGCTGTTTTTATAAGATTATATTAGTAAACACAAATAAATAATTGCATTTTTTAACTTTCTCTAGAAATAGAGCATTGTGGTCATAGGTAGGTGTGGATCAATGGTTTCTTTGAAAATCTGATTAAAAATATGAACTTTTTCCTTAGGGAAAAGTGAAGATGCCCACATAAATACAATTTAAAAGAATCCTGGACCTAGAATTACAAACCTTGGGTTGTGAGTTTCTATATCAAATCCTGATTTGGAACTCAGAAATTCCTTGAAAGAAATTCCCTAATCATCTTCATTTACCAATTTGGCAACAGTTAGTAACAGTATAAGCACTGTGAGGAATACAGGTATGCCATGAACACTCCTGCTTTGGAGTGCAAGTAGTCAATATTCAACAAACTGAAAAATGGCCACACTCTCTGAGCCATCAATTCTATGAATAAGAATTATCCCTATAGATGCACTTGCAAATTTATGCCATATATATATATATATATATTTATTTATTTAAGGATCTTTATTGTAACATTGTTTGTAATAGCAAAAATACCTGAAAATAATGACCACTGACAAGGAACTGGTAAAAAATTATTGTAGTACATGTATATACAATATTATACTCTTTAGCTAGTAAAAAGAATGAAGTTGATGCATATGTACTAACCTGGGAAAATAACCTGTTTTCTTTAAATCAAGAAAGAACTTTGCCTATCAAATGGTTATATAATATTTACTAAGTGGTGTGTGTGTCTACACTGTATGAAAAAGAAAACATGAGCATTATACAATTCATACAGGAAAAACTTAAGAAAGCAAAACTTTAATTTCAAAAAATTAGGTATCTTTAAAATGTTATATATATACATAATTTCATATATATATATATGATTTCATATACATACATATACACACAAAGATACACATTCCTTACAGAGATATCACAAACTTCTTTCTCACAATTTTTGTTAATTGAGGGTAGAACAAGCTCTGAAAATACAACTTATTTATCAAGAACCAGATGATAAAACATCAAATTTAATTAATGTACCATGTATTCCACTAATTGTTTCTAGATGTGTAACATAAATACTTACATGACTTTAACCTTTCAAACACCAACACACTATATTTGGCAATGTTGGCAGCTTTATTAAGAGAGCTGTTAGTGATGCTAAGAAAGTATGCTTATTTTCAGCTGAGCCTGACAACATTTGATACATAGGCCCTGTTGACAATTGCACCAGCTGGATCATTTTTGGATCCTTACAGTAGAAAAATCCGTCAAACAAGTCAACTAGTCAGTGTGTGTATCTACATAGTCACAAGCGTGACTGACATTTTTTTAGTGATGCTAGGATCGTGTCTCTCTGGGGGAAAATACTGATATTTATAGTAGACTTATAAAGAAATGCTGTTTAAAATATCCTAAAACCCAGTAATATAATTATAGGAAAATCTATAGTAGATTTCTATTTCTACTAAGATAAATTTTTCTCAGAATGCACTTTATTTTATATGTTGATATCCAATTGTGATTGTGGTGGTACTGTTTGTTGTATTTTGTTCTGAAATAATACTAAATTTTTTTAGTGCATAAAATGTTTAGTGCATAAAAAGTGGCATTGAGGTTAGTTGGATAGAGTTGAGGCACACAAAATTGGACCTCTCAGCATTAGCCTCCAGTCTTCCCAGATGCACAGTCATTGACACAAGATGGGATGCTGGACTCTTGGTGAGATCCAAACACAAGGTTCATATTTACATATGAAGAGTAGGCAAGGCCTCCTCTCTTGGCTCTCACACCACAGTTCCACTTCTGTAAAATTTCTCTCTATGGGTTCATTTGCTGGATTGATCTGAGTATAAATCTGACTGGGAAGTGAGGGGGAAAAAAAAAGCACTTTATGGTACATGTGAGTGATTTGTTGGACTGCTTACCCACAATTGAGTTGACAGCTTTCTGTATTTTATCAGTTGCCTGGAAACTCTGAGAGAGAACTTGTCTTGGTAAAGCCATTTGCTCTAGGATTGCCCAATTAATCCATGAATTAAGCCAATCTTTTTTCTCCCAGTCTATGTTCTAAAGTCTCTTATTTAATACTATTCATTTCTACCATTTGTTTTAGAAAGTAAAGAATTGTGATATAGGTTATTAATTTAAATGAGAAATATCTCAGAGTTTCTGATAATTTATTGCCTATTTAGAAAAATGTTGTGCATCTCTATGATATTTCTCTCCTAGTATAAAGTGGAGCTCCTCAAGGAATACACAGATAAACAAATCTGTGAACTTCAGACTACCCATGGTGAGAGCAAAATGTGCATTGTGGCTAAACGAAAAGATAATTCTTTATTTCTGCACCTGGAGTTGTCTATTAATAGGATTCACCTAGTTGTTGGTAATACATAATTTTAAAATAGGAATACAAATTACTGGGTTAGGTAGGCCTCCTGCAGAAATCAGCAAGTGATATAACAGAAAAGACTTTTATTAAATTGAAATTTTTAATGCCTATCTAGTGGAGGATAAAATTGACATGATTGAAGAATTAATTAAGCCATTCCTGAAGCTCTCTTTTAGTTTCTAAATACAGGGGAAAAAAGTCAACTTAATCACAGGCAAATACTCTAAGAAACAGAATTATCTCATGCTAACTCACCTCTCTCACTTAACATCCAGCTACCACCCAGCAGCTGTCAAACATGTAGTTTGAATGATGGGATCTGCTCTAAGCAAAGAATTGGATTATTCCTAAGTCACTCAAAGTATATTAGATACACCTGGAAAAATTATGGAATTATTTTCAAATTTAATCTATATGGATACTCTAAGCTTTTGAGTTGGACAAGAAAGTCTACCATGATGATTCTGGAGCTGAAGTTTTTTGAGGTCTGAGTTCAGATATCACTAAGAGGTAATGGCAGATACTATAGTATAAGCCTTTTGCTTAGTCTCTGTATCAGTCCGTTTTCACACTGCTATAAAGATACTACCTGAGACTGGGTAATTTATGAACAAAAGAGGTTTAATTGACTCACTGTTCTGCATGGGTGGGGAGGCCTCAGGAAATTTACAATCATGGCAGAAGGGGAAGGGGAAGCAAGGTATGTCTTAACATGGCAGCAGGAGAGAAAGAGAGAGTGCAGAAGAAACTGCCACTTTTAAATCATCAGCTCTCATGAGAACTCCCTCACTATCAATAAAACAGCATGGGGGAAACCATCCCCATGATCCAATCACCTCCCACAGGGTCCCTCCCTCAATATGTGGAGATTACAACTTGAGATGAGATTTGAGTAGGAACACGGAGCAAAACTATATCATTCTGCCCTTGGCCCCTCCCAAATCTCATGTTCTCACATTTCAAAACCAATCATGCCTTCCCAGCAGTCCCCCAAAGTACTAACTCATTTCAGCATTAACTCAAAAGTCCATAGTCCAGAGCCTCATCCAAGACAAGGCAAGTACCTTCTGCCTATGAGCGTGTAAAATCAAAAGCAAGTTAGTTACTTCCTAGATACAATGGAAGTACAGGCATTGGGTAAATACAGGCATTCCAAATGGGAGAAATTGGCCAAAACAAAGGGGCTACAGGCCCCCTGCAAATCCAAAATCCAGAGGGGCAATCAAATCTTAAACCTCCAAAATGATCTCCTTTGACTCCATGTCTCACATTAAGGTCATGCTGATGCAAGAGGTAGGTTCCCACAGCCTGGGCAGCTCTGCCTCTGTAGCTTTGCAGGATATAGCTCCTCTGTTGGCTGCTTTCATGGGCAAGTGAGTGTCTGTGGCTTTTTCAAGCACACAGTGTAAGCTATCAGTGGATCTAGCATTTTGGGGTCTGGAAGACAGAGGCCCTCTTCTCACAGCTACACTAGGCAGTGACCCAGTATGGACTCTGTGTCGGGGCTCTGACCCCACATTTCTCTTCTGCATTCTAGCAGAATTTCTACATAAGAGCTTCACCCCTGCAGCAAATTACTGCCTAGGCAACCAGGCATTTCCATACATCCTCTGAAATCTAGATGGAGGTTCCCAAACCCCTATTCTTGACTTCTTGCACTAGCAAGCTCAAAACCATGTGGAAGTTGCCAGGGCTTGAGGCTTGCACCCTCTGAAGGCACAGCTCTATGTTGGCCCCTTTCAGCTATGGCTGGAGCAGCTGGGATGCAAGGCACCAAGTCCTTAGGCTGCACATTGCACAGGAACCCTGGTCCCAGCCCATGAAACAGTTTTTTTCCTCCTAGGTCTCCAGGGCTTTGATCGGAGGGGTTGCCATGAAGACCTCTGACTTGCCCTGGGAGACATTTTCCCCATTGTTTTGGGGATTAACATTCAGTTCCTTGTTACTTATGCAAATTTTTGCATAAGTGATTTGAATTTCTCCTCAGAAATTGGAATTATCTTTTCTATCACATTGTCAGGCTGCAAATTTTCCAAACGTTTATGCCTTGTTTCCCTTTTAAAACTGAATGCCTTTAACAGCACCCCAGTCACCTCTCAAATGCTTGGCTGCTTAGAAATTCCTTCTGCCAGATATCCTAAATCATCTCTCTCATGTTCAAAGTTCCACAAATCTCTAGGGCAGGGGCAAAATGCTGCCAGTATCTTTGCTAAAATATAACAAGAGTCACCTTTTCTCCAGGTCCCAACAAGCTCTTTCTCTCCATCTCAGACCACCTAGCCTGGATTTTATTGTCCATATTATTATCAACATTTTGGTCAAAGCCATTTGACAAGTGTCTAGGAAGTTCCAAACTTCCCACATTTTTCTTTCTTTGACTAATCCCTACAAACTCTTCCAACCCCTGCCTGTTATCCAGTTCCAAAGTCACTTCCACATATTCAGGTTTTTTTTTTTCAGCAACACCCCACTCTAGTGGTACCAATTTACTGTATTAGTCTGTTTTCATGCTGCTGATAAGGATATACTCAAGACTGGGTAATTTATGCAGGATAAAGGTTTTAATGGACTTACAGTTCCATGTGGCTGGGAAGCCTCACAATCATGGCAGAAGGCAAGGAGGAGTTAGTCACATCTTACATGGATGGCAGCAGGCAAAAAGAGAGAGCTTGTACAGGGAAACTCCCCCTTATAGAACCATTAGCTCTTGTGAGACAATCATGAGAACAGCAGAGGAAAGACCTGCCCCCATGATTCAATTACCTCCCACCAGGTCCGTCCCACAACATATGAGAATTTAAGATGAGATTTGGGTGGAGACACAGCCAAACCATATCACTTCACCTCCCAGGTTCAAGTGATTCTCCTGCCTCAGCCACCTGAGTAGCTGGGACTATAGGCATGTGCCACTATGCTTAGCTAATTTTTGTAATTTTAGTTGAGATGGAGTTTTGACATATTGGCCAGTCTGGTCTCAAACTCCTGGCCTCATGTGATCAGCCACCCTTGGCCTCCCAATGTGCTGGATTTACAGGCATGAGTCACCACACCCAGCCTCCCAAAGTCTTGACTCATTCTAGCATTAACCCAAAAGCCCAAGCCCAAAGTTTCATCTGAGACAAGCAAGTCCCTTGCACCTGTGAGCCTGTAAAATAAAAAACAAGTTAGTTATTTCCAAGATACAATGGGGGTACAGGCATTGGGCAAATGTTTCTATTCTGAATGGGAGAATTTGGCCAAAATAAAGAGGCCACAGGCCCCATGCAAGTCTGAAACCCAGTGGGGAGGTCATTTAATCTTAAAGCTCCAAAATCTTCTTTGACTCCATGTCTCACATCCAGGGCATGCTACTGCAAGCGATGGGCTCCCATGGCCTTTAGCAGCTTTGTCCATGTGGCTCTACAAGGTACAGCCCTTGTGGCTGTTTTCTTGGGCTAGTATTGAGTGCCTGCAACATTTCCAAGTACACGATGCAAGCTGGTGGTGGGTCTACCATTCTGGGGTCTGGAGGAACGTGGCCCTATTCTGACAGTTTCACTAGGCAGTGCCCCAGTGAGAACTCTGTGTCGGGGCTCCAACTCCACACTTCCCCTCTGAATTGCCCTAATAAAGGTTCTTCATGAGGGTTCCACCCCTGCAGCAGACTTATGTCGGGATATCCAGGTATTTCCATACCTCCTCTGAAATTTAGGCAGAGGTTCCCAAACCTTAACTCTTTTCTTCTGCACACTGAAGGCCCAACATCATGTAGAAACTGCCAAGGCTTGGGGCTTACACCATCTGAAGCAACAGCGTGAGCTGTACCTTGGCCCCTTTTAGCCACAGCTATAGCTGTAGCTGCTGGGACACAGGGCACCAAGTCCTGAGGCTGCACAAAGCAGAAGCCCCTGGGCCCAGCTCATAAAACAATTTTCCCTCCTAGGCCTCTGGGCTTGTGATGGGAGGGGCTGCTGCAAAGATCTCTGACATGCCCTGGAGACATTTTCCCCATTGTCTTAGCTATTAACATTTGAGTCCTCTTGCAAATTTCTGCAACCAGCTTGAATTCCAATTACTTCCCACAAAATGGGTTTTTCTTTTTTATGAAATGGTCAGGCTGCAGATTTTCCAAACTTTTATGCTCTTCTTCCCTTTTAAACTTAAGTTCCCATTTCAAACCATCTTTTTATGAACACATGTGAATGAATGCTTTCAGAATCAGCCAGGTCACCTCTTGAATGCTTTGCTGCTTAGGATTTTTTCTGCCAGATACCGTAAGTCATCTCTCTCAAGTTCAGAGTTCCATGGATCTCTAGGCCAGGGGCAAAATGCTGCCATTATGTTTGCTAAAGCATAGCATGAGTGACATTTACTCCAGTTCCCAAGAAGTAGCTCATCTCCATCTGAGACCACCTCAACCTGGACTTCATTGTCCATATCAGTATCAATATTTTGGTGAAAACCATTCAAAAAGTCTCTAAGAAGTTCCAGACTTTTCCACATCTTCCGAGCTCTCCAAACTGTTATAGCATCTGCCCGTTACCCAGTTCCAAAGTTGCTTCCACATTTTCAGGTTATCTTTATAGGAGTATCTCACTTTGCCAGTACCAGTTTTCTGTATTAGTCCATGCTCACACTGCTATAAGGATACTACATGAGATTAGGTAATTTATAAAGAAAAGAAGTTTAATTGACTCACAGGTCTGCATGGCTAGGGAGTCCTCAGGAAACTTACAATCATGGCTGAAGGTGAAGGGGAAGCAAGGCACCTCTTATACTGCAGCAGGTTAGAGATTTAGAGAGAGAGAGAGGTAGGGAGAGAATGCAGGGAAAACTGCCACTTTTAAACCATCATGGGAACTCCCTTACTATCATGAGAACAGCATGGAGGAAAACCATCCCCATGATACAATCACCTCCTGCCAGGCTCCTCCCTTGATATGCAGGGATTAAAATTCAAGATGAGATTTGGGTGAGGACACAAAGCCAAACCATATGGGCCTCATTAGGGAAGGAAACTTCACCATAAGCTGAGTTTGATGAGATGCCCCAAATTCAGCAAAGCAGCAAGGAGTTGATGTGATATTGATTCCATGATGTAATACAAAATTATTCTTTAATAATAACACCAATAATAATATCGATAAGGATATAATTTTTTTCATAAGTGCTGCACATTTGGAATTTCATTTGCATCATCACATTAATTCTGATAACACTCCTAGGAGTTGGATGATATTATTATTTTTACTATTATTATTTCATCTACTTTATAATTGAGGAAACTGAGGTTTTACACAAGTGAAGAAAATGGCCTAATATCACTTTGCATTTAAATGGCAGTGTCCAGCTTCTTAACACCAACTATATTTTCCCAAGCTGTCCACCTGCGGAAAGAAATTTTTCAGAGGCAAGAAATTTGATAAACCTGACTGAAAAAATGTGTAATGGAGTTGGCTACAGAGAGATTAAGCTGTTGAGAACTGTCAGTACTAGAAGTTCTTGCTAGAGTGACAAGTTCTCTCTAGTACTAGAAGTTCTCTAATGAGAACGTTGTTAATGGAAAACCTTCGAAAAGTATTACTAGAAAATGATGTTAGTTACGAAGCTCCTAAACACTTGCAACTCAAAATATGGTTTCCAGACTAGTTAATCATGTTTGTTATAAATTCAGAATCTTACAGCCCACCCTAGTCCCACTGAAACTGTATTATACCAGATTTTATTAATTTGCATAAAATAACTAGATGATCCACATAGAAAATAAAGTTTCAGAAGCCTGCCAAACATATCACCCATTGGATGTCATCTGAGATGGAAAATTACAGCTTTGTTTTCAATTTAACAAGACGATGTGGGGTGGGAATTGTTTAGATGAAAGTTTAACCTTTATAGAAAGGTAATTACAGTGGTATTAAGATAGGACACTCAAATTTGGCACAAGAAAGTCAGTGCCACTGTCTTTGACAGGAATTTCTAAGACTGAACATATACTACGTGTGTGGGGTTAGTTAACAATCCATGAGATTCTATTCTGTCTATAGAGAAGCTTCTCAAAGGCAGATGATACCACTGTGCCTTTTTAAGACAACTCAGATTCATCTTTAGGCAGCCAACCTAAAGTATAATCAATGAAAAATGTTATCATGGAGGAGCCAACCTAAAATGTAATTGATGAAAAATAATCTGTTCACTTGGGAATTGCAGGTTGAAATGTGGAAAGGTTGATGCCATAATAACAAATGCAAACTGAAAGTTGATGGTCTCAATAGAGTCTTGAAAAATGAAAGTCAGAAAGTAAGAATTTGTCATTGTCTTTTTAGCACCATTCAGAGGAGAAGGTGTCCTCACCATTCACCAGAAATATTCCTCCACTGGACAGCTACATCTATTTACAACAGACAGTGTCTCACCAACCCTCCATTGCTTGATGAACGATTGCTTAAGGCCACTCAACTATTTCTGTTCTAATCCCAAATTCATCAGGCAAACTTTTCTGATTTTAATTCCCCTCCTTGCGTCAGTTTCCCAACTGGTAAGAAGATGCATTTACCAGATGATGCATAAATCCAATCCTGGTTATAAATTATTTAAATGGCTTTCTGTTACAAGTCTCTTTGGGCAAATTTGGGTGGTGTTAACCTCTATCAAGTTGACCTAAAGATTCAAAAGTTGCTAAAATGAGACATTAAACCTTAGATGAAGAGTAGCTGTGATTGTGTTCAAAATTCTAAAAGAGTTGGTCTAAAATAATTGATCAACATTAATCGTTTAATCTATTCAACTATTTTTTAGTCGGTAATAGTGCAGAACCTTGAACTGCTAACAACCATACTAGATCTGTGCAGTCTTAAGCAGAGAAAACGTGGTGTGCATACTCCAGATAAAACTGTGTCTCCACAACTTCCACCCTGTTCTTAGTAACACTGAGGCTGGAGCTGAGTGCTCTGGGTGTTGTGGAAGAAGCCATTAGTCTATTTTTTCTATGCCATAGTAAATAAATTATTTTGTTCTGGGATTAAAGAGGGAGTCAAAGAGTTCCTGATTCTCCAAATGAGACTGCCCCACCACTGGCCTTCGTAACATCATTAGAAGATTGAAAGGGGTGTGGCTGTGCATTTTCTCTCATCGCTAGTATTTCTGGGCCTGAAGCGGGATGTTGATGTCTTCTTTGCTCTCATCCTGGTTTGTCTGGGACCTATGGATTTCCTGGGACCTGGGATTTTCCATGCTAAAATCGAGAAAGTCTGAGGCAAACTAGAATGAGTTGATTATCCTACTTCACTTCCAAGTTTGAATCATTCTCTTTTCTTTCTTCATATAATCCTCTAGCTTTCTCATCTCATCTTAGATTAGCCATAACTCTTTCTTACTGCAGTCAACTGCAGCAGTGCTTTTCAAACTATCTGTGAAGGACCAATCTCCAGCCTCTAATTTGCTTTGAATCAATATACACAAGAAAAAATAGGTTACAATGAATAGAATGGGTATAAAATGTAAGTAGAATTTTCTATTATTGCATTACATTGACATCAAAATGGTAAAATTGCTGTAAAGTGTGTAAATGATTACCCTCAATTTCTATACTTACCTTACTATGGATAAATAACAAAACATTGAGGACTACATTTTGAGGAACACTTTTTTACATAACCTTGGATTGTTCTCTCTCATCCTTTAAAGATTTTATTTCCTGGTTCTTGTTATTTTCTCCAAAATTGCCCTTGTCATGATTCTTCGTGATTTCAGTATGTGTGTAAGTGATTCTCTCAACAACCTAGCCTCTCAGGTATCTTACCTATAATAATCTTGTTCTTCATTCTTTCCAAGACTCCCAAGTCTGTGGATAGATTCTAAAACTTGTCATTATCAATATCAATAATTACTCTCTCTCTTCTCTGATTACCATATCCTTCTTTTTCAGGTTACTCTCTTTACTACCTTTATTGAAACACACATACACACACACACACACACACACACACACACACACACATCATATAAATGACCAGGTCAAATTGGACATTAAAAAAAAATAGCTTTTCTATGCAGTAAAGATGCCTTTTAAAACAGTAACAAAACACAAAACACCTAGAAATAAACCTAAGAAGACATTTTCAGGATATGTGTAAACATAATTTAAGATTGTATTGATACACAAAAGAAAACTTGAACTACAGTGATATCTTGTTCTTACATAGAGAAAGCCATACCATTTCATTGAAAATTCAAACGGAAATCACATGTTTACATCAAAATACCATAATTTTCCATCCTTCTACCTCTCCTTGTCCTTATTCTACTTCTTGATTTAGATCTTGATAAAGAAAGCTTTATGTGTATAAATAAATGCATAAAAATAAAAGAAAAAACAAAGATTTTTTTTAATGGTAGAGAATTACTCCCAAGTAATACTCAGCTGTACTAATTAAAATCATGTGATAATGTTTAGGGATTGACAAATCAATGGAACAGAAAAGAATACAAAAATAGAGTCATTTATATAGGCTATGTAGTACATGATAAGTATAGGTTTCCAAAAATCTACGATGGGAAAATAGATCACTCAATAAATTGGATTTGGATAACCAGCCATGTTTTGAGGGAAAAAATGGTGGACTCATGTTTATTAACAAAATAAATGCTAAATAGTACAATTATTCTAAATAATTCACTGTCAAGAAAAATTTTTAAAACATCAGACTCCAAATTATATTTGCAATACATATGGCAAAGCTATAATTTCCTTATGTATGAATAGATATTAATAATTTATTGAGAAAATAATTACATTAAATGGGCAAATAATCTGGAAAGCCAGTTTGCTCTCTGTTACACACATAAAACATATAAATGACTAACAATATGCAGAAAAGCTTACCTCACTAATTAAAATATGCCAATTAAAACAAAATTAGCTGCTTTTTTTTAACCCACTACCATGGTAAATATTGAAAATATTTATAACGTCCTGTATTATTTAAAATTTGGGAAAAATCTGTACTGTCATCTCCCTTTGCTGGAAGCATACACATGTTTCATATCAATGTTTGTAGAGAATGTTTGCAAAATTTCAAAAATTATATATTCATTTGAATTTAGTTAACAATATGATTTATCCAAGAAATGCTCATTAAGTGTACAAGGATTTTTATTGTAATACAAATGATATTGCACTGGATGCATAAATTAAACTAATATATTAGAATTAATATAATTAATTAAATTAAACTAATTTATGCATCCAGTGCAATATCGTGGAGCCATTAATAAAGATAAAGTTGTAACTATAAGGTTTGTCATGAGAATATATGCATAATTATATTTTTAAGCAAAAGCAGCAAGTTGGAGATTAGTATATATAGTTTGATTACATTAAAAATAGCATATACACATGCTTTTATATTTGCATATGCATGCAAAGGAGGGCTGGAAAAATACACCACAGACTGCTAACAATAACCTCAGGTGAGATGAGGAATTAAAACTGTAGTGGGTAGAGAGAGGAAATTTTCATTACTTTATTTTGAACACTTAAATATTTTCCTGAATTTTTTATTATGGTCATATATTACTTTTTAATAAAAGCTACTTAACATATAGTGGTGAATTAAATGCTGTAATGACATTTAGTCCTAATTGGATTTCTTAACAATATAACATTTGGAATAAATTAGATACATTTTCTCTCCAATAACGCATGGATTTCAGTAGGCAGTTTAGCAAACTTGTTGTGGAGGCATAAACAGCATGAGTAAGACAAATGTTAATATAACACATCTGTATCACTGCACAAGGAGCCCCTCCATATTTTTGACCTGAAAACTCAATGACTCAGTTAACTTTGTCAGGAATTTATTTATTCTAGAGATAGTAGTAAGTGATTAACATAACTCTATATCAAATATTTAACAAAATATGTTAAACAAAATTCTCTGATATTCTGTCTCTGGTTTCCTGCTGCTTACCAAGCAAACTTCTTAAGTTAGTTTGTCAAGAACTTCTACTTGCGTTGTAAATTAATAAATTGATATTCTCATTTATACTTCAGGTTTTGCAAACTTGATTAATATGAGTCTCATCTTCAGCAATTGACTCACTCCGGGAATGTTGACAAAATCAAATTTCTGAGCATGTGAAACTGACCCTATACCCTAGACCCGGGTGTCATCTCCAAGGCTCATGCTACTTTTAGAAGACTTTCATTCAAATTAAACAGACTTTTGCTGAACACAAATTCTCTAACTAAAATGCCTCATTTCTATTAAATTACAAGCATTATTCAAAGCTTGATCCAAACTTTACCTCTTACATTAAAACTTCCATCATCATAACTGACCTGCCTCTTTTTAGTATTTGTGAAATGATTTTCCTTATACTCTTTGGGCATTTATTTCACATTAATTGTATTTTTTCCATTACATGGTTTATATCTTGTACAAAATTAAGCTTGCTAATATCTTTTTCTACAACTGATGTTACCTGTCATCATTCTTTATACTCGCTGTGGTTAGAATTTAGTATATTTTTGTTGATTTAAGCCTTCTTGGTTTCCCTCTCCTGCTGTAGTCACTCCACTGAACTTATTTTCTGTAACATATTCCTTATTTAAACATATTCCTTATTTAATGTCTAATTTTTATTTTATATAGTTAACTTTCATAAGTATTTATTTTTCTTTTTGTTTATATACTCTTTGATTCTAGAAAACATTTAATAGTCCATGTAAAATAAATGCTTACTGAGTAATTCAAATGAATTATATACCTTTACATAACTGCAGTGATTAGTACCATGCTTTTAATAAAGGAGACCCCTTCTATGAGTATTAAATGAACAGATATCCATATTAACTTATAGGAGTTCCTAATATAAATTATTTGAATTAAAGTGATCCAGGAATCTTTTAAGATAAGAATTATTATATTTGTTTTAAAGAGAAACAAAAAAAAAAATCCAAGCCTGATTTTGAGATCAGGTTCACACTAAAGAGTGGTACTAAGCAGATGATAATCAAGGAGGCATTTACCTATCAGCAGTGCAATAATTGTTTTATTTATCTGCTGCCTATCTGCTTCCAGGGTTAAAGAAACTATTTTGTGAATTGATGTATTCTTTTTACATATTTGAAAAGCTACACTGACTTTCGTTAATTATCTTCTTACCATGACCCAGAAAAAAACAATCTTGCCTGAAATATTGGTCAGGACTGGAAAAGAGTAGGGAATACCGTATAGAAATAATACTTCCTATAGACCCTGTCTAGTGTTCTGACTTTATTGGTATTTGGGTCACCTTGCTTTATGGAATTTGATTATCTTTGGCTGCTTATTAAGCAGGTTATAAAAGTATAAATGTGATACACTAAACCTGCATAAAGAAAAAAGTCAAAAACAATAGATGCTGGTGAGGCTGCCAAGAAATGGGAATGCTTATACATTGTTGGTGGGAATGTAAATTAGTCCAGCCATTGCGGAAAGCAGCCTGGCAATTTCTCAAAGAACAGAAAATAGAGCTACTATTTGACACTGCAATCACAATACTGAGAACATACCCTCCCAAAAATGAGTCACTCTACCAAAAAGACACATACACTCATATGTTAATCTCTATGCTATTTATAGTAGCAAAGACATGGAATCAACCCAGGTGCCTGTCAGTGGTAGAGTGGATAAATAAAATATGGTACATATACACAATGGAATACCATGCAGCCATAAAAAAAGTGAAATTTGATGCAACATCAGTGGAACTGGTGGTCACAATCCTAAGCAAATTAATGGAAGAACAGAAAACAAAATATCACATGTTCTTACTTATAAGTGAGAGCTAAACATAGTGAACATGGATATAAATACAGGAAAAATAGACACTGTGGACTACTAGAAAGTAGAGGTGGAAGCTGGGTTTAAAAATTACCTATCAGGTACTATGCTTACTAACTGGGTGATGGTATCTGTACTCCAAACCTCAGCATCATGCAATATTCCCATGTAACAAATCTGCACATGTACTTTCTGTATCTGAAATTAAAGTTGAAATTTTTTAAAAAAGAAAACATTTCTGTAGAAAGCATAAATTAATTACTTTCAAAATTCTATTTAGGCAATCAGTTCTCAAATTCATTTACCAGTTACCTTTGGGTATTAATTATCAGAGAGGATTAATTCATGCATTTATAAAGGTTACATTTTCTATTTATATTTGTATCTATAATCATTGTTCATTTCTACCCCTCACTTAGGCTAAAAAATCAACTAGTTTCTCAACAAACTTTCCTCTATTTTGCAAGTTGAAAAACTGGGTACTGTCTTACCTTTTTCTTGAGCATTTGTGTCATAATCTTTTTCTCAGAAGTGATAGCTAAACTCTGAAATGCTTTCCTGCTGCTGCTGTAACAAGTTGTCCTTTTGAATGTCAACATGCTAAGGAATTGAGAGACAGCTGGCTGTTTACTCTTCATTGAGAGGAGGGTTGAGTTAATAAATCCCCCAACATAGGAGGTACCAATGCATGTGAGCTATAGTGGTCTCACTTGGCTTCCTGATGACAGTCCCCTATTTATGGCTTTGTAGAAGACAAGGAGTGATAGAAAAAAGGAAGTAAAGGGGAAGCAAGAAGATTTTGATAAATAGGCAATATGTTCCAGATCAGCATATACCATTTGATATGGTTTGGCTCTGTGTCCCTACCCAAATCTCATCAAATTATAATCCCCAAGTATTGGGAGAGGGACCTGGTGGGAGAGGTGATTGGGTCATAGGGGTGGTTTTCCCCAGGCTCTTCTCTTGATAGTGAGTTCTCATGAGATCTGATGGTTTAAAAGTGTGTGGTAGTTCCTCTTCCTCCTGCCACCATGTAAGATGTGCCTTGCTTCCCCTTTGCCTTCTGCCATGATTGCAAGTTTCCTGAGGCCTCCACAGCCATGCAGAACTGAGTCAAATAAGCTTATTTTCTTTATAAATTACCCAGCCTCAAGGCATTCTTTACAGCAGTGTGAGAACAGACTAATACAGAAAATTTGTAACAGGGAAATGGGGTACCGCTATAAAGATACCTGAAAATGTGGAAGTGACTTTGGAACTAGGTATTGGGCAAAGGTTAGAACAGTTTGGAGGGCTCAGAAGAAGACAAGAAGACATGGGAAAGTTTGGAATCTCCTAGAGACTTGTTGAATGGTTTTGACTAAAATGCTGATAGTGATATGGACAATGAAGTCCAGGATGAGGTGTTCTCAGATGGAGATGAGAAACTTATTGGGAACTGGAGTAAAGATCACCCTTCTTATGCTTTAGCAAAGAGACTGGCAGCATTTTGCCCCTGCCCTGGAGATCTGTGGAACTTTGAACTTGAGAGAGATGAGTTACAGTATCTGGCAGAAGAAATTCCTAAGCAGCAAGTGTTCAAGAAGTGACCTGGCTGTTCCTAACAGTGTACAGTCATATGTATCCACAAATAGATAGTCTGGAGTTGGAACTTAAGTTTAAAACGGAAGCAGAGCATAAAAGTTTGGAAAATTTGCAGCCTGACCATGTCATAGGAAAGAAAAACGCATTTTCTGGGGAGAAATTCAAGCCGCTGGCTGCAGAAATTAGCATAAGTAAAGAGAAGCTGAATGTTAATAACCAGACAATGGGGAACATGCCTCAGGAGCATTTCAGAGATCTTCATAGCAGCCCTTCCCATCAGAGACAGGGCGGCCTAGGAGGGAAAAATGATTTTTTGGCACAGGCCCAGGGCCCTACTGCTCTGTGCAGCGTTAGGGACCTGGTGCCTTGTGTCCCAGCCACTCCAGCTCTAGGCATTGCTAAAAGTGGCCAAGGTACAGCTTGAACAATGGCTTCAGAAGGTGCAAGCCCGAAGCCTTGGTGGCTTCCACTTGGTGTTGGGCCTGTGGTTGCACAGAAGGCAAGAGTATAGGAGCCTCCACCTGGATTTCAGAGGATGTATAGAAATGCCTGAATGTCCTGGCAGAAGTTTGCTGCAGGGGTAGAGCCCTCATGGAGAACCTCTACTAGTACAGTGCTAAAGGAAATGTGGGATTGTAGCCCCCACACAGAATCCCACATGGGCAGTGCCTATTGGAGCTGTGAGAAGAGGGCCTCCATCCTCCAGACCCCAGAAAGGTAGATCCACCAACAGCTTGCACCATGTGCCTGGGAAAGTTGTGGGCACTCAATGCCAGCCCATGAAAGCAGCTGTAGGGGCAGTACCCAGCAGAGCCACAAGGGTGGAGCTTCCTAAGGGTGTGGAAGCCCACCCCTTGCATCAGAATTCCCTGGATATGAGACATGGAGTCAAAGGATATTTTGGGGCTTTATGATTTAATGACTGCCCTGCAGGGTTTTGGACTTGGGTGGGACTTGCAGCCTCTTTGTTTTGTCCAATTTCTTCCATTCAGAATGGGAAGATTTACCCAATGCCTGTATCCCCATTGTATTTTGGAAGTAACTAACTTGTTTATTATTTTACAGCTCACAGGCAGAAGAAACTTGCCTGGTCTCAGATGAGATTTTGGACTTGGACTTTTGGGTTAAAGTTGAAATGAGTTGAGACCTTGGGGGACTGTTGGGAAAGCATGATTGGTGTTGAAATGTGAAAAGGGCATGAGATTTTGGAGGGGCCAGGAGAGGAATTATATGGTTTGGCTTTGTGTCCCCATCCAAATCTCATATCAAATTGTAATCTCCACATGTTGGGGAAAGACTTGGTGAGAGGTGATTGGATCATAGTGGTCATTTCTCCCATGCTATTCTCGTGATAGTGAGTGAGTTCTCATGAGATCTGATGCTTAAAAAGCATGTGGCAGGTTCCCTCCTCCTCCTGCCACCATGTAAGATGTATCTGGCTTCCCCTTTGCCTTTTGCCATGATTGTAAGTTTCCTGAGGCCTCCTCACCCATGCAGAACTGTGAGTCAATTAAACCTCTTTTCTTTATAAATTACCCAATCTCAGGTTATTCTTTATAGCAGTGTGAGAATAAACTAATGCACCACTCAAAGTGGAATTAATGCCCTGTAACAGGATCCTAAACACCTTTCCATTCCCCTCTTTCTATTGCCTCAGCACAGATATTAACGTGGTGAACCATATGCACTTCATTCAATGTAGTGTGGAGGAGAGGGGAAAAGTGAATATAAATGGAAAGGAAGGCTCTAAAACAGCACATCTATGATTCTTTGGCTTTGATTTAAGTGGTTGGTACAAAAGCCACAGTTATTTAAAAAAAAAAAAGAAAAATAATTTTGTCCAAAATTTGAGTTGTTAAAGGTTTTCACAGACTGAGTAAAAAACCCTTTTCTGAAGAAAAAAAATTACAGTGTAAATTTTGAGAAGGGAAATTGGGAAGCAGGCAGTTGTATCTGGTTCTGGGGCTACCTCCTAAGAGTGTTGGATATGTACACTGCAGAAGGGCACCACATTTAGGAATGTGCCATTTGTATCTTAAATACTTATTAACACATATGAGCATGTGGGTTTCCAGGCTATGTCCATGTTAGAAGAAATGTCTTCCACATAAGCCTGCACTTGCATAGATGGTTGTGTGCAAAAACCATGTTCTGGGCCTCTACTGAAGTTACTTCCTTCACCTAGCTGATGCTCTCAAATACTCTATAATTTCCATTCTCCACCCTTCTCACCCCAAACATAATTGACCCTGACATAATTGTCTGGTTTTGTCACCTTGGGCCAGGTCTAGCAGTAATCTCAGACTTGCATGCTGTGTGCTGGATCTATTGTACCAAAGGGGAGTGTGAGCCAGTGAGAGTTACTACAAAGCCCTCAAATACATCCATTTACTCTCCAAATATATCTGTGTAAGCATTGGTAACAGTATGAGTTAATGATTCCAACCCTGTCAAATGTGTGGAAGACTAACTATAAATAAATAACTCAGAATGGTTTCCTTCCATTGTTCCAAATAATTTGATATAGTCTATTCAGTAAATGAATAAAACAGGCCAATAACTTGGCTTCATCAAAATGTCAGAGTTGAAACCCTGGAATTATTTTAAAGTTTTCTCTCCTCCACCCCTTATTTTCAATCATTTCCACATCCTGTAAATTCTACCTCCTAAATAGTTCTCCAATCTATTCATGCTTCTCCAATCATTTATTTCATTTATTTATTAAATCATTTATTTGAGATTTATTTTAAATTCTCAGAATTACATGCTTTTTTATATTTTTATACCAGGTTATTTTATTATCTATTTTTGTTTACCACCCGTCTGTGAAATTTTTCAATAAACCCTGTGACAGGGAGGGAAGTGTGGAGAGAAAGGAGAGGAGGAGGAAGAGAGAAAATGAAGGCTTATTTTGTTCACTGTACTTCCATAATGTGTCACATTGCCTCACATGTAGTGGGTGAACAAAACATGTTTTGAATACACATATGCGTGGATGAATAAAAGGCTGCATGGGTAATTGGAAAGAGGTATTCAGGTTCACTATCCTACAGGCTGTTGCCACAGTGATTTTACAAATGTAAATCTAAGCATGTTACTTTCAATCTTAAACTTTTTTACTCCATGGCCTTAAATATGAGGCCTACCTGATGTGGGATTTATGAACATCTTTTAACTTAGCTTTCACCATATTTCCACATACCTAGTATCCAGCTCACTCTCAACCATTTGTTTTTGCCTCCTCTGAAAACATCATTTGCTTTCTCATCTCATGTCTTTATATATAATATTATTTTTGTCCAAAGATACCTACACCAATTATTTAAACATTCTCCTCATATAGGAATTTGAACCCATTGTTTATCTCTATCACAGGGCTACTGAGTCTATTGTGATTTCTGGTTCAGTGTCATCCTCCTAATGTTATTCAGAAGATGAGTACTTCCAAGGTAAGAACAGAGTTGCTCTATGCTTAGGGGCTTGTAGGCTTCCCTTCACTTAGTATATTGTTATATTGTTATTGGATTTAAAAAATAAATGGACCAACACATATAGCACAAAAGGTGCATTTGTGCATTGAAGTTCTTGAATGAGGTTTAATTTATGGTAGATATCTATCATTAAATTGAAGGTCTTCTCTTTTTCTTTTTCCTGGTATCCAGTTACTTAAATTACAGTTTTCATGTAAGGAAACTGATAGTTGAGACTTGAAGAAATTGAGAATTAATAATTCCATCTTGACTTGTTTTGATAAATAAAAATAAAATGTATTTCCAACCAATGTTTGGGATAATATGGCCACAGATGTTTCTCAGAAAATAGTACTTATTGCACTCACTTGCATATATTTTAGCTTGCAATTCTTCCTCAAAAAGTACTATCAATAATTATAAATGCATATTCAAACTACAAACCAATAATATGGCTCTACAAGGATATAGATGATTTTGGCAAATCTAGTATTTTATCTGTACAAAATTGGACCAGTTAATTAACTTCTCAGAGCCTCAATTTCCTTGAATGTAAACTAGTGATAGTAACATATAAGTTACAAGGTCAGTTCTGATGATGATAACGAATTTGATGTCATTTGTTAAACACTTCTTATGTGCCAGTTTCTATGATAAGTAATTAGTATGACCTATTTAGTCATTATCATACCTGAATGAATTATTGTCTTCTCTATCTGAGTGTAAAAAGATAGTTGCCTAAGATTTTATAGTAAGTGATAGTGTTAAAGCACAGATTAATCAGTAGTAGTACTTAATTGTGCTACATTATGGTAAAACTTCCTATGGCAAATCCTTTCATGAAAAATATACCTAATTTCTAGATGATTATGTCTATTGGGAAGAAAGCATTGATTTTTAAATAAAATTCCCTCCTGAGGACTAATAAGTGTGATTTATTAATGGATTATATAACTGCTTTCACTTCTTTCTCCTCGAAGAGGGTTATTACATGGATTTCTTTCTTATTTTACCATAGGGAGTTAACGTTCTATTATTTATTTAGTTCAGGTACACAAAAATGTAATACGGTAAAAGTGCATTGAAGTATTATAGGTAGAAAGCACATAATTAACGTTGTTTCAGCTGTGTTCTACTGAGTGAAAGAATGTGTTTCATGACTGAAAACAATTTTGACTTTTAAAATCTATCCATCTTCTTATATATAGTTATGTTATTCACAACCTTTCCCTGCTTTTGTTATTTCTTAACAAAATTTACACTGGCCATATTTCTACCCACCACAAATAAAATGGTTAGGTAATATTATGCTGGAATAGGACTAATACCTCTTGAGGGTCTCTCTGAGGTACACAAAATTTATCATTTGCAATTTCTTTTAGTTAGGTATGGTTTATGAATCATCATCATCATCATTATTTACTTTGGAAGCGTTTTTATTGCTACTTTTAAAATTGTGTGGGCTCCAATTTTGTCATCTACCTACATGTATTCCTGGACAAAATGCTGTAGAACAATGTGCTGCCTCACGGTGTGCAACGAAGCTTACTCTGAATTCTCTTGTGTCCAGGAGGTAGTGCGGTGATGGAGGCAAGGCATTGAATGAGACAGAAAAGAAAATAGGAAACAGGAAAAAGTAAAACAAAGTTCTAAAGTATGTCAGAAATGTTAATTCCAAAACCATATACATTATTTCATTACCAAAAACACAACACAACCCACCTCTTATTAACTTTTTAAAAGGTAGAACTATTGAATATTTCATTTTGCTATTTTACTATAAATATTTTAATCAAGCCAAATATACTTGGGAAAAATAAGGGAAACTTAAGCATAATTCATTGAAGTAATAAAACTTTGAAACTGTAGTTTAATCCCACTGTCTAACTATCCATAGTCACATCAGAGTTAACCATACCTGTGTATCAGTCAGAATAGGCTAGATAGTGAACTATTCATACCACAGTCATGTAAAACAACAGCAGTTTTGTTTCACTTGTGCTAAAGGTCCATGCCTACTGAGGCATTTAGGCACCCAGAACAACAAGGCAACCACCATTTAAACTTCAACAGTCTCCATGAAAGACTGTTATATACAGTTATATACAAAGTAAATGATGTTATTTCCAGTAACAGCCTAATGGTCCTGTTTACCCAAAGAGCATGAGATAGCACAGACCTACATGTTTTTAGATGGTGTAAGAACCAGAAATGTTGGCAAACAGCAATAATGACTGTTTTATTCTGATGTTGCTGTTTACATTTCTCATGCATACATGCATGTATATTAACTCCTTCTCCAAATATACTGCATGTGTCATAGCTTTTTAAACTTTACATAAATTGTATTTTACTCTATTATTTTTCTTCCCCCAATTTGTTTTACTTTTTTATTATGTCTACATTTATGACATTATGTTACATGTAGCTCAGAATTTTTTTTTCATTGAAAAAGATCACATTTTTATTTGTCCACTTTTCTGTTCATGGATATTTGAGACATTATTTCTTTTTTTGATTATTACAAAAACTTAAATATTTTTGTACATCAAACTGTATAAAATTATGTAAAATATTCTATCAAATACAAAATGTATAATAGTGTTTTGGGGTGCTAACAAACACATTATTCATATTTACTAAATAAGACCAAATTGTGCTTTAATCTGCTTGGAATTAATTTTTGCATATTTTAGAAAATAATGATTCAATTTAAAAAGTTTAGACATGAAAATCCATCTAGTAGTTTGTTCTTTCCCCATTAATGCAATGTCACTCCTATCATATATCAAGTTTACCTATTAATATGATTCTTTTCTTAAGGTTTCTATTTTGTCTAATGTACAGCATATCTTTGTTTTTTATCAAATCTACACTACATTCACAACAAGTATATGTAAGTTTTGATATCTGGTTGTACAGTATTAATATTTTGTTTCATTTATTCAAAATTGCTTTGGTGATTGTTGGTCTTATGAAGGACCCACGAAAATTTAGGATTCATTTGTTAACTTCCAGAAAACAGACTATCAGATTTTTTATTGTGATTAAATATAATTTATGGATTAATTTGAACAAATTTTTTCAATAATGAGTTTACCTATATGAGTAAATGTATCTCTATTTATTTAAAACTTACAATTCTTTGCATTTTCTTTTCATACAAAACTGCTAAAACCACCAGTACAATATCAGATGGAAGTAATAATAGTGAGCATCCTTAACATTCTCTAGAAATTTCAGTTCAAATTTTTGACCCCTAAAAGTGATGTTTGCTGGCCAGGAGCGGTGGCTCACACCAGTTAGCAGCACTTTGGGAGGCCGAGGTGGGCAGATCACGAGGTGAGGAGTTTGAGACCAGCCTGGCCAACATAATGAAACCCTGTCTCTACTAAAAATACAAAAATAAGTTGGGCATGGTGGCACGTGCTTGTAGTCTCAGGTACTCGGGAGGCTGAGGCGGGAAAATCACTTGAGCCTGGAAGGCAGAGGTTGCAGTGAGCCAAGATCACCCCACGGCACTCCAGCCTGGGTGACAGAGTGCGACTCTGACTCAAAAAAAAAAAAAAAAAAAGCGATGTTTGCTATTTGGTATTATACTCTTTATCGTCTTTCATCTTAATGAAATTCCTTCTATTTCAAATGTTTTATGATTTTTGTTGTTTTTTTTTGTGTTTTATTGTTGTTTTTGGTGGTTGGTGGGCTGTACTTTTGTTATAAGTGTACACCCTGAACCTTAGTTAGGGCCAGATGATTAAGAATTCTCAGGGTAAACTCTTCTCTCCAAATTTCATATAAAAACTTTCTCTTTCCTGAGTAGCAGATATTTTAAAGGTTTCTTTCTTTCTTTCCAGTCTACCCCTTTCTTGAGGTTATTCCAGTTGAGAATCCAGGCCTTATGGGAGCAATACATCTCACTTCTCAACATGAATAAGACTAAAGATTTGTCTTCTTTCCCTTAATGATTGTTAAAACCAAAGCTCCTTTTGATTTAGATTGGCAAATAATCAACTGAAGTATAATTATCAGTTTACCATGCTTATCTTCGGCTTCCTATGCATTTTTCTCATCTGGATATACGGATTACTTTCTTCTGACTTTTAATATGCCTTTAATACATGAATGGTGTATTGCATCTACAATTTTCCAGGCTTCATAATGAGATTTTAAAACGGTATCAATGATCAATGTAGTCAGTTTTGTACGATAGCCTTGGTATCACCTGGATGAGATCTATCTTAACAAAATATAATTTTATTCAAAGATTGATAAGGGAGATATAGAAAGAAAGCGGGGAAAGGAAAGATAGGAGTCAGTTCCTCAGCTTTCCCTTCCTGGCCATTTATTTATATATTTATTGAGAAAATATTAATTGAGGCTTGGCTATCAAGTAACAGTTTCTAATAAGGATTCTCAGTTGGAGTTAAATTTGAACCGATATGTGATAAGGAAGTGGGAGTTAATTAGAAAACTAAATGAAGGAGAAATGAGGCATGAGAAAACAGTGCAGGCAAAGAGATTGAAAGAATTTTAGAATTCTGGAGATTTCAAACTTAACATCTTTGTAATTACTTTTTTTGCCTTACGAAGCACATGTCTATTATTTCTTTTAAAGTTTATTGTTTTATTTTATTTTAAGAAATTCAGTAATCGCCAGTTTTGCTTACCTTGTAATACCAGGTATTTTATAATATACTGAAATTTGTGGCCCACTCATTCAGGATTTACTGACTTGGAGATTCAGTAGTACTGATTTTTGTTAAGTGTCCTTATACCTTTACTCCTGATTACAAATAACAGACAATTTTTGTCAGTTTACTTCAGAAAGTATTAAAGTGTCAAATATAGCTCATATAAACACCTGCCTTTAAATTCTCTGACTAGATTTAAATTTTGGTTATATTTATTTGTATATTTTCTAATACATTTATATGTATGTTTTCTCCAATATAAACCTATATTTAGCCATCTTTCCATTAGTTGTCCAGATGCATGCTGGCTTATATTATGCTAATTTTAACAGGAACTATCTGCTCTTCATTTGACAACAATATATGCATTCAAACCAGGGATTTTTGGCAACCCTCCAATTCAATGAAAACTAATTGTCTCAGTGGAGCCTATAAGATATGGTGAGTTTATGTCCCATGAGTTGTACTCATGCAGATTTTGGGCTCAGCTTTATACAGTAAGTAAGGCCTTATACTAATTATTCTAAGAATGTCCCAAGTTTGGATTAATAATTATACTGACAGTGCACAGGAGTTTGGAAAGCAATTTAAAGGTGACAATAATATATTTCCATATTAAAATATTAAAGCCTAAATATTTGTATAAAGCAAACCACAGGAATGCCTTAACAGTGCCCAAGGAAATCTTTAAACTATAATAAAGGACACAGACGATGGTCTGAATAAATGGAGAGGCATGTAATGATCTTGGATGCTCCAATTAATTTTATAATGATGTCAATGTTTACAAAATTTATTTTTAGATATTTTGGTATTTTTTGTGAAATATGATAGCCGTAATAAAATGTATATAGAAAATGTAAGGCGCCTGAGTAGCTAACTAAAAATTAAAGTAGGAGACTTTACTTGATGTTGATGGGGAGATGGTTCACTAAACATCACTAGTTTTCTCCTAACACTATAACTTAAGTGGACTTCATATTAAATAGATGTTAGGTTAAACTATGGGTAAGCATAAATTAACACTGAAATTAATAGAAGAAAGTGTAAACAAATGTATTTGTGACCCACCTCTCTTTCCCCCTTTGCACTCCTCTTTCTCATTTTGATTCTCTTCTGCCTTCTCTTCTTCCTTCTTAAGCAACTGATTTAGGCCATTTAAAAGGAGAACTAAAACACTTGCTCAATTCAGTTGCAATGTCAATCAATCTGATTGCATTGTTGATGAGTTGAATAAGTGTTTTACAGTGACCCTAGATTAAGAAGAAATATAATATTATTAAATACCTACATATTTGTTTAGTCCTATTACAGTTTTAAAAACTATAATTTTGTTTCTTTTAATTATTGCACATAATTTACATTATGCAATAGGTTAAGTGTCTAAATTTAAGTGAAACTAAATCATCCTGTACATATGAGTTTGTTATAAATTAAATAATTTATTCAGGAAAAAAATTGTATCCTATGTCAACATGTAGATTATCTTGTTTATTCCAACAGGGAGCACAGTCTCAAGTTGTTTTTCTAGTAGTAGAAAGCTATTCTAGCTCCCTAAGAGCCGCAAACAGAATGACACTACACTTGTCCTCAAAAGAATATACTTGTGACCATGACCTCATTATTAATTGTGTGGCATGCTCTAAGTTAACAAGGTATAGCCTAAATAATTCAGAATTGTATTTGCATATTAGAAATACTCTATTTTTTGCACATCAGGAAAAATAAATAGTCTTGGGCTCTGTTTACTCATTTTTATGAGGTTTTTACTGCCATTCTTTGTGTCAAGGGAATTCGTAGGTTCTTGGCCCCAGTTCTAACCTAACCTTCAATGTCCTTTCACTCTCTAGGAACTTAACCTCAGTTTCTCATTCCCTGTATATCTTGGTGGCTGAGAGAGCTCAGGATGTTGACTCTGTTTAAAATTCAAATTTTTGTTGAAATATCTTCTTCATCGTATAGCCTAAAACAATGCTAAATGATGGCATGTCTCCATGCCCATGACAATCCAACCCAGGCCAGTACTGAAGCTGTAACCCATAGATGACTTGTTAGTCAGCAACCAATTTTTCAGAGATAAAAGCATTTGCAACTCCATTAGCAACTAAGGTGATATTGCTTAAACTCTGTATTTAAACTACATGTTTTATATTCTTTCTATACATAAGAAACACACGGAAGAGAGACTAGGAGTTTAAGAAGCATCCTATTAAGAAATTTCAGCTGGGCGCTGTTGCTCATGCCTGTAATCCCAGCACTTTGGGAGGCCGAGGTGGGTGGATCACCAGAGGGCAGGAGTTCAAGACCAACCTGGCCAACATGGTGAAACCCCGTCTCTACTAAAAATACAAAAATTAACCAGGCATGATGGTGGGTGCCTGTAATCCCAGCGAATCTGGAGGCTGAGGCAGGAGAATCGCTTGAACCCGGGAAGTGGAAGTTGGAGTGAGCCAGGATCGCATCACTGCACTCCAGCCTGGGTGAGAGGGCTAGAGTCCATTTCAGAAAAAATAAATAAATAAATAAATAAATAAATAAATAAATAAATAAATAAATTTCTGGGCCATGCGTAAGTCATTTAAAGTATCTGGGTCTCAAGTTCCACAGATATAAATTTAAAGGGCTGGAGTAGGTGACTTTGAAGTTGCCTTCAAGCTCTTAGATTTATGATCTCAAAACCAGGGATGGGGGGAATCCCAATATCCTTTAAAAGCAAATTCTTTCAAGATTTCTATCAAAGTTTAGATTGAGTTAAAAGAGTACAACTTTAAGGAGGGACCTACTGCAATAGTTGCTAAGACAATCAGCTGCATGGTTCCCCAGATTATTAGTCAGTAATATCTTTCCAAGAAGTCAGCCATGATGGCAGAAATACCACTATTAGAGCCACATGTCTTTCAACTGAACTGTATATGTAGAGGTTTTTTATAAAATTCAAATATCTATAACAGTATTAATCTATTGTTAGCTATTAACAATTTATTACATCAATTTCAAGTGTTGGGACAACCTAGGCATTTTGAAAAAGGAAAATAATAAAACAAATATCTAGAATATGGTAGGTTTCCAGGAGGAGATTAGGTATAGCTTCAAAGGAAGGAATCTTAGTTTACAAGGAAGCTTGTAAATATCTTAGGGAATCCAGGGGAAAGAGGCACCATGATAAGGACAGAGATATGGTAAAACTGGAGGTAGAGGGTTACTGATGATAGCTTGCTTTGCAGTGGTACCCAGAATCAACATGCTCCAAAGTAGCATTTATAGGTAGAAAGAATAACAAAGTTCATTGTCTAAAAGCTCAGGATATTTTTTTTTCTAATTCAAGGTTTTACAGAAGGTGTTCTAAATATACTCTAATCTTTACTATTATTAAAATGCAGCAAATTTATTAGTGTAAGAATAAGGTTACATTTCTATGTTTATTTTATAAAGAATATCAAAACTTAATATCATGCCTTAAGAAGCTTCGTTTTTTTTAAAAAAATATTATTTTTATTTTTGATTGATGAGTCATGACTGTGAACATTTATGGAGTACAGTGTGGTATTTTGGCATGTGTTTACAATATGGCATGATTAAGCAAGCCAATTAACATATGAATCACCTTTCTTACCTATCATTTTTATAGCAAGATATTTGAAATTAGCCTTAGAAAAGAAGAAATGTGGTAAAATGAATAAACCTTGAGACTATTGTGCTAAGTGAAATACACCTGACACAGAAAGGCAAATACTGTGTAATTTTGATGCAGGTGAACCCCAAAATTGGGGCTCAGCTTGGGAGGATGCTTGGCTTTGCTCAGGAAAGAATTCAAGAGTGAGTCTGTGTCCAGAGTTGGTTTCTTCTGGTGGGTTCGTGGTCTTGCTGACTTTAAGAATGACCTAGAAGTCCAGCTAGCTTCGCCTCTCAAGTTGACAGTGAGAAAGTAAGTTTATTATAGCAACAGTGTACAGCAAAATGGCTGACCCATAGAGATACCAGGACTATCTCAGAGGCAGAGTGGTCCAGAGCAGCACTTGTGAATTGATTGTGAGCTACCTATATTTATATCCACTCTTAGTTATAAGCCAATTGAAGGGTATATTATTCAAAAACTTCCTGGAAAAGGGGCAGAGAGTTCTAGGAACCATATAGGGTAATTTCCTTGTTGTTGCCATGGCATTTTAAAACTGCCATGGTGCTGGCGGGAGTGTCTTTAAGCAAATGCATTATAATTCCTGGTCCTAGTTGGTTTTGGCTGGTTTCTTTGTTACATCTTGTTTACGTCAGCAGGGTCTCAAAAACAAGTCTTGCTGATCTCCTACCTCATTCTCCCTTTGGAGATTATATACTCATCCTTAATCATAAGGGGTTGTAAAAGGGTGGAGGTCTATATTCCGTAGCTGCTTCCTGCTGGTTTTACGGGTATAGACCCTGCTTAGCATTGGAGGAGTAAAAAATCTCTGGATTCCTGATCTAAGGGGCTCAAAGGCATGATGTCTTTATTTTCCAGGTCAGAGAATGGGATAGGTTGAAGCCTTGTGCCAGCATTGTTTTCACATGAGATTCTTTAATCTAGAAGACACAAACTTTACAAGGAGGTTAAACAAGCAAAGGCCAAAGATTAGTAGTAACAAGATAACTAATGAAGGTCATAGGAAGGGTAAAAACCATGTGAAGCTCGGGAGGGCATTTTTATAGTTGACCAGATATAACTGGGGTCAGTTCCCTGGTTATAGCTATGTAACCAGTAGCTTGTTTATATATTATTTATGCATTGGTAGTAAGTTACTTATCTGTCTGTTTGCCAAACAACAGTTTTAAGTTTTCTAGGGGTTAACTGTCCTCAGATCCTGAACAAATCTATATTTCTCATTTGGTTTCTGTACAGGCATAATGGGAGTGTTACATGGGGACTGACAGGGTTGTATTAGGCTGTACTTCAGAAACTTCACTCCCAGGGCCTGTATGCCCCATTGTGCTTCGGGTCTCAAAGGCTATTGTTTTTTCCGTGGGTAACTAACATTGGGTTTCAAAGTAACCTGAACTGCGGGTACATTAACAGCTGTACCAGGAACTTCTATATCCCAAACATAGGAGTCTCCTTGAGAAGTACTATGTAGTGGGAAGGAAGTCTTTTCTTTATCTTTATTAAGGCAAGCACTTAAAGCTAGAAGTAGTATCCCTTCCTGGCCTGTTACCTTTTTATTAGGCTCTCCAAATTGAACTGTGGTCTGTAATTGGGAAAGTAAGTCTCTTCCCAGTAAGGAATAGGGCATTCAGGCATAAGCAAGAACTTGTGAAAAAATTTGTGGTTTCCCATGGTACAACAAAGAGGGTGGGTGAATCACCTAATTTTTTGGCTAGTCATCAATCTCCTTAATGCTACAACAGTGGGAAGATAGTGGCCCTGAGAAATTTGTCAGAACCGAGAAGCCTGTTTCCATATCTAGTAAGGACTCAGTATTCTGACCTGCCACATCAAGGGTTACCTGAGACTATGCTATGGAGATGGAAGGTGTCTAGTGGGAGCCGTGGGGAAATTTGGGCCCTGTCAGTCTTCTGTTCTCTCAGCAATTAAAGGTTTGAATGGGCAAAAGTCCCTTCGGAATCTGGGGCAGTCCCTTTTCCAATGGGCCTCTTGCTTAAAGAAGGCACAGTGATTATGACCCAGGGGCTGAAGAGTCGTGGGCTATTGTCTGGACATCCCAGACACCACTCTCAAGACACTTCCTCAGGCTGGGTAACCTTGAGGTGGCATGTGGCTTAAGGACACCACTAACAATTGTGCTTTTTGGCTATTTCTTTTGGTTTTTCTCCACCTCCTCCATCCCGTTCCTATTGTTGTAAATACCTAAGGCCATGTTTAAGAGTGGGCTTATGGGGGTTTGAAGTCCCATTCTGCCTTTTGTAGCCTCCTGCTAATGTGAGTGGCAGATTGAGTGATAAAATATATACCCAGGAGAGCTTGTCCTTCCAAGGAGTCTGGGTTTGCATTAGTATATTTCCTGAGTGCATCAACCAAATGGTCCTGAAACAGAGTGGAATTTTCATCCTTCCCCTGAATTGCTTCTCTAAGCTTGTCATAATTAACTGGCTAAACCTCACAGCTTTTCATACTCCTATTAAACAAATTACAGATGATTTCTGTATTCAAAATATTGGATACCTCTCTGATAATCCTGCTTAAGGTTTAGATCTGGAACTTGATCTCCTCCCACACAGTAAGTGGCATGGCCATCTGAATATCCATGGGTAGTAACCAGAATCCTTTGTTTTTCCTCTACAGTACAGCAGGTGGACAATAATATTTGCAAGTCATACAAGTTAAGTCAGTGGACATGGTAAACATTCCACAGTTGTCCCTTAAGTCAGGATCCTAGTAAAAGACCATAAAAACCTATATTTGAGGGACTTCTCCCCATTTTCCTTCCTTTTTACAGAATAAATATATTTGTAAAATAGTATTATAATGTAAGAAACCATTTTTACGACAAATTTCTTCATTTCCCAAGTGGTATTGCATCTGAACAGTGTTGCAATAGAAAATGAGTTTCTTTCTCTTTAAACCATGTAATTTGAATTTGTTCCAATTGCCCAAAAGGCACCCTAGTGGTGAGTCTTTTGAATTGTTTGCCATTGTCACCATGTCTAACGAGGATCTATATTAGACACAGAAATTTTTCTAAGTCTAGCAAGAGCCCAGTTATTTTTCCTTTTAGATTTCCACCTCCCTTTTCCTCAAGAAAAGTCAGGAGGGTAATCATTACCAATTTCTGAAAAGAGGGTGTAAGTACATTTAACAGGGCATGGCAAAAGTGAATTATGAGATATGAGCGGGCAGTTGAGTGATGATTGCATCCATTAACAAATGGAATATGACAAAATAGGTGTTTTAATCAGCAAAGTATAGAAGGAGAGGTGAAAATAGGATGACAGTTTTCTCATATTGTGAATTCCACAAATAGCAATGAAAGAGGTTGCCGAAAATGGGCAGTGTGACAAAGACAAACAATGCAAACAGGGCACCAAATGCTGAAAAACATGGAGCATCTGGGCATTGGCCAATGAGGGTCCCCTCTCCAAGTGCTGAAAACCTGGCAGCATCTGCAAGGTGGCCAACAGTGAGCCCTAAAGGCATAAAACCTAACACAATTGTGGTCGCAGAACAAAGCAACTCTGGCATCCCAAAGTTAGGACAATGTGGGACCTCTTAAAATAAACAATTGCCCAAATAGTCTAAGCAAAGACCACAAATACGACAACAAAAAAGTGTTGAGAGTAAAACGGCCAGTCGTTAGAGACTAAAAAGAAAAGAAAGGTCCAAGGGAAAGGACAACAAGGATGTGCCAGGCATGCTCCTGTCAGGGCCACCCAAACAACAGGAAAAAATGAACTCCCAAGCCAGAGGCTCCATTCTGATTTTCTGGTTCACCCCAAAAAGTCAATATCGAGGGGCAACAAAGGGAACACTCACTGGTCCAAGGAAGTGATATGCTGTTGATTGGTCTTAATTTGGGGTCTGGGTGAAGGTTTCCCTCAGGTTCCCTTAGCTTTTTAGTCATCAGGAATAATGATGACTCTGAAAAGAGCCTTTGGCTCATGTACAGTTTTACAGCATTAGGAGCCCTATAGAGTTACAGCTTTACAGTGTTACAGCTCCACAGCTTCAATCTATCCTGAGCCCCTTATCTCATTTGTCTTGTTCATGTTGTTCATCACTTTGCCCCTTCATAATTGCCAGGATGATGCAGGTAAACCCCAAAATTGTGGCTCAGCTAGGGAGAGGTCTTGGCTTTGCTCAAGAAAGAATTCAAGAGTGAGCTGACAGTGAAAGAAGGCAAGTTTATTAGGCAACAATGTACACCAAAATGGCTGTGCTGTAGACAGAACAGGGCCATCCAACAGGCGGAGTGGTCCAGAGTAGCCCTCATGAATTGTAGCTAGCTATACTTCTTAGACCCACTCTTAATTATATGCTAATTGAAGGTCAGGTTATTCACAAACTTTGTAGTGGGAGGGCAGTGCAGAGCTCCAGGAACTATATAAGGTAAATTCTGGGTATTTGCCATGGCATTTTTAACTGTCATGGTGCTGGTGGGAGGGTCTTATGCAAATGCATTATAATTCCTAATCCTTGCTGGTTTTGGCTGGTTTCTTTGCTATATCCTGTCTAGATCAGCTGGGTTGTGAAAACATGTCCTGCTGTTCTCTTACCTCAATTTCACTAATATGAGGTATCTAAAATAGTCAAATTCATAGAACAGACAACAGAATGGTGGTTTCCAGGGGCTGGGAGAAGGGACAAGGGGAATTTCTAGTCAACAGGGTGGAATGGGGTGTCTAAAATTTTACTTAGGCAAGATGAGTAAGCCCTAGACATTTGCTGTGCCCACAGCTAACAATAGTACATTGTAGATGATATGGTTTGGCTATGTCCCCATCCAAATCTCATCTCAAATTGTAATCCGAATTGTAATCCCCATGTGTCAGGGGAGGGACCTGGTAGGAGGTGATTGCATCATAGGGATGATTTCCCCCATGCTGCTCTTGTGATAGTGAGTGAGTTCTCATGAGATCTGATAGTTTTATAAGTGGTGGTTTCCCCTTTCTCTCTCCTACCACCTTGTGAAGAAGGTGCCTGCTTTGCCTTCTTCCATGATTGTAAGTTTCCTGAGGCTTCCCCAGCCATGCAGAACTGTGAGTCAATTAAATCTTTTTCCTTCATAAATTACCCAGTTTCAGGGAGTTCTTTATAGCATTGTGGACTAATACAATACACTTAAAAATTTGTTAAGAGGATAGAGTTCATGTTGGGTGTTCTTACCACAATAAAAATTTGAAAAATTGGAAGCAAAAAGAATGCTGTGTACAACAAGAGCATTTTCTTCACAACCCAGCTCAAGAGTCATCAAAGAAAACGTTACTTTGGGCTGTGAAAAGAAGTAGGCTCTAAGGTAGGTGGTGGCGGGGTGGGGGGACAAGTGGTTTGCCATCAGGAGACTGATGATCCTGAGATAAACAGTCCAAGCAGAAGAAGTGCTCTTCTCAAGGAGCTGAATGTAAGACCCGTGTGCTCACCAGGTACAGGCAAGGAGGGAGTGCACTTCACAACAGCGTATTTTACGAGACAGCAGTGCTGGAAGAAGGGAGACATTAAAAGTAATTTTAAGCAGCTACAACTGGTGGGCAACTTTTTGGAGAGGAAGACATATTTAAAGAGGAATTTTCAGAAGTTTGCTTGTCATGTACATGCTGCCACTTTGAGAAAATCTACCTTGAAAATTTACATTACTCTTCACAAATAGTTTAGGATTCTGGGGGAGTTGATAAACTCTTGTTTTTTCATTGCAAAAATATAACTTCCTAGGCCAGGAGGGAGTTGGATAGTGCTTTTATTTTGTTCCCAATCACAGAATCACAAACTATATCTTTATCCAGGGCTTCCCTCTTTTCTTCTTTTGATCAGTGTTTCCCTAGTAGTATCTGTTCTCTCTGAAATGGACAAAACAGACATTAACTTTAGGGCAAGTGAGAAGGACTGTTATTCAATGACTTAAGAAAAGGATCTGACAAAAGTGACATTTTTCTGGGCATAGTGGCTCATGCCTATAATCCCAGCACTTTGGGAGGCCAAGGCAGGTAGATTGCTTGAGCCCAGGAGTTCGAGACCAGCCTGGGCTACATGGCAAAACTCTGTCTCTGCAAAAAATCTAAAAATTAGCCTGGTGTTGTGGCACATGGCTATATTCCCAACTACTCAGGAGGCTGAGGTGGTAGGGTCAATTGAACCTGGGAGGCGGAAAGTGCAGTGAGCCAAGATCCCTCCACTGTACTCCAACCTGGGTGACAGAGTGAGAAACCATCTCAAAGTAAAAAATAATGACATTTTACAGCATAGTGGAAGATATAAAATATTGTATATATAAAAAACATGATCTACTTCATTTCAAATTTAAATTTTTTATTCACTTACCTGTAATCACTTGTTTTGCTTGAGAATATGCTAGTTACCATCATCAAATAAGTATGTTTGCATTGTCACAAACTTTGGACCACGATGTGTAAAGTTGTCCACGTGAGGAGCAGCTCAACTACGAACTGGCTGCAGAGTTTGGAGGATCAGCCATTGAGGCTTTCAGTTTGCAGCTTATAGTTGGAATCACTGTTAGTTTTCCTTTTTGTGATGCCATGATTTATATGGATTTCATTGTAGGTTAGGAGGCACACCTCAGTAGCACATTTTCTGTCTTCTGAAAAATGACTGCTTATTCCTCTGAGGCGCCTGTGAGGATAACCTATAACAGAAGTGGTGAGCTTTTCATATGCCCTGTTCTAGAAACATACCATGAAATTTGATAATTATCCATCCAGATGTTTCAAGTTAATTCAGCAACCGAAATAGACAGAAACTTAATTTCGTGTTTACATTTGGCATATATTTTACTATATTTGAAACAAAAACAAATGTGAAGAATTTTTCAGAATGCCCTTCCAGTTTACATTGTTCTGACAAAAAGAGTCCAGAATGATACGCTTGGTATGATCTTTACAAACCACATATAAACATACCTTATTTTATGCTTTTATAGTACATGCATGTATGTATGTGTTGTGTGCATGTATACATTCACAAAATCAATCATTTCATTTATTGATTTTTTATTCTTCTAGTCTACATAAAGTGTTCACATCTGATAGATGGATAAGAGGACAGAAAGAACTATCTGTCCATGTTGAAGATATAGATTACTGAGAAGATGGTATGTGTATTGCCAAGAACACGGAGGAGCAGATAAGCCTGTGTTTTTCACTAAGTAGAGTAGGGCTTGACTGTAATGCTTTACCAGGGCTCCAGAGAATGGAGAAGCTTCATAAACCATTTTTATAATGAAATTCCTTGAGGGGACTCCTAGCATCCAATCCTTTCTACAGCAGCTCAGAATTTTCTGGTGTTCAGCTAACCCTGGTGAAGTCTGTCTTTCTCCAGTGCAGCAGAAAGTGAGTAGCAGAATCTTTATCCTTCCTTGTACTTCCTACGCCTTCCAATTTTCCATTTTCCTTTTTTTTTAAATTTCTTCTTAAATAAAAGGGATACATGTGCAGAACATACAGGTTTTTTACATAGGTCTACATACGCCATGGTGGTTTGCTGCATCTATTGTCCCATCCTCTAAGTTCCCTCTCCTCACTCCCCACCCCATAACATGCCCTGATGTGTGTTATTCCCCTCTCTGTGTCCATGTGTTCTCATTGTTCAACTCCCACTTATGAGTGAGAACATGTGGTATTTGATTTTCTGTTCCTGTGTTAGTTTGTTGAGGATGATGGCTTCCAGCTTCATCCATGTCCCTGAAAAGGACATGATCTCATTCCTTTTTATAGCTGCATAGTATTCCACGATGTATATGTACCACATTTTATTTATCCAGTCTATCATTGATGGGCATTTGGGTTGGTTCCATGTCTTTGCTATTGTAAATAGTGCTGCAATAAATGTAAGAGTGCATGTGTCTTTATAGTAGAATGATTTATATTCCTTTGGGTATATGCCCAGTAATGGGATTGCTGGGACAAATGGTATTCCTGGTTCTGTATCCCTGAGGAATTACCACACTGTCTTCCACAGTGGTTGAACTAATTTACATTCCCACAAACGGTGTAAAAGAATTCCTATTTCTCTATAGCCTCGCCAGCATCTATTGTTTCCTGACTTTTTAATAATCACCATTCTGACTGGCATGAGATGTTATCTCATTGTGGTTTTGATTTGCATTTCTCTGATGATCAGTGATGTTGTGCTTTTTTTCATATGTTCGTTGGCCACATAAATGTCTTCTTTTGAGAAGTGTCCATTCATATCCTTTACCCACTTTTTGATGGGGTTGTTTGTTGTTTTTACTTGTAAATTTGTTTAAGTTTCTTGTAAATTCTGGATATTAGACCTTTGTCAGATGGGTAGATTGCAAAAATTTTCTCCCATTCTGTAGGTTGCCTGTTCACTCTGATAAGTTTCTTTTGCTGTGCAGAAGCTCTTTAGCTTAATTAGATCCCATTTGTCAAATTTGGCTTTTGTTGCAATTGCTTTTGGCATTTTTGTCATGAAGTCTTTGCCCATGTTTATGACCTGAATGGTATTGCCTAGGTTTTCTTCTAGGATTTTTATGGTTTGGGGTTTTACATTTAAGTCTTTAATCCATCTTGAGTTAATTTTTGTATAAGGTGTAAAGAAGGGGTCCAGTTTCAGTTTTCTGCGTATGGCTAGTCAGTTTTCCCAGCACCATTTACAGAATAGGAGATCCTTTCCTCACTGCTTGTTTTTGGCAGGTTTTTCAAAGATCACATGGATGTAGATGTGTGGTGTGATTCTGAGGTCTCTGTTCTGATCCATTGGTCTATATGTCTGTTTTGGTTATTGTAGCCTTGTAGTATAGTTTGAACTCAGGTAGCACGAGGCCTCCAGCTTAGGATTGTCTTGGGGTCTTCCTTGATTCCATATGAAATTTTAAATAGTTTTTTCTAATTCTGTGAAGAATGTCAATGGTAGTTTGATGGGAATAGCATTGAATCTATAAACTACTTTGGGCAGTATGGCCATTTTCACAATATTGATTCTTCCTATCCTTGAGGATGGAAGTGGTTTGTAGTTCTTTTTGAAGAGATCCTTCACATCCCTTGTTAGCTGTATTCCTAGGTATTTTATTCTCTTTGTAGTGATTGTACATGGGCGTTCACTCATGATTTGGCTCTCTGCTTGTCTATTGTTGTGTAAAGAAATGCTTATGATTTTTGTACATTGATTTTGTATCCTGAGACTTTGCTGAAGTTGCTTATCAGTTTAAGGAGTTTAGGGGCTATGCTGATGGAGTTTTCTAAATATAGAATCATGTCATCCACAAACGGAGACAATTTGACTTTCTCTCTTTCTATTTGAATACCGTTTATTTCTTCTCTTGCCTGATTTCCCTGGCCAAAATTTCCAATACTATGTTGAATAGGAGTGGTGAGAGAGGGCATCCTTGTCTTGCACCGGTTTTCAAAAGGAATGCTTCCAGCTTTTGCCCATTCAATATGATGTGGGTTTGTCATAAATAGCTCTTATTATTTTGAGATATGTTCCATCAATAACTAGTTTATTGAGAGTTTTTAACCTGAAGGGATGTTGAATTTTATTAAAGGCCTTTTCTCCATCTATTGAGATACTCATGTAGTTTTTGTCTTTGGTTCTGTTTATGTGATGGATTACATTTGTAGATTTGCATATGCTGAACCAGGCTTATGTGTCAGGGATGAACCTGACTTGATTGCGGTGGATAAGTTTTTTGATGTGCTGCTGGATTCGCTTTGACAGTATTTTACTGAGGATTTTCACATAGATGTTCATCAGGGATATTGGCCTGAAGTTTTCTTTTTTGTGTGTGTCTCTTCCTGGTTTTGGTATCAGGATGATGCTGGCCTCATAAAAGGAGTTAGAGATGAGTCTCTCTCCTTTTAAATTGTTTGGAACAGTTTCAGAAGGAATGGTACCAGCTCCTCTTTGTATTTCTGGTAGAATTCAGCTGTGAATCCGTCTTGTCCTGGGCTTTTTTTGGTTGGTAGGCTATTAATTATTGACTCAATTTCAGAACTTGTTATTGGTCTATTCAGGAATTCAACTTCTTCCTGGTTTAGTCTTGGGAGGGTGTATGTGTCCTGGAATTTATACATTTCTTCTAGATTTTCTAGTTCATCTGCATAGAGGTGTTTATAGTATTCTCTGATGGTAGCTTGTATTTCTTTGGGATCAGCGATGATATCCCCTTTATTATTTTTTATTGTGTCTATTTGATTCTTCTCTGTTTTCTTCTTTATGAATCTAGCTAGTGATCTATATATTTTCTTAATTAAAAAAATACTTGCTCCTGGATTCATTGATATTTTTGAAGGGTTTTCCATGTCTCTGTCTCCTTCAATTCTTCTCTGATCTTAGTTATTTCTTGTCTTCTGCTGGCTTTTGGGTTAGTTTGTTCTTGCCTCTCTAACTCTTTTAATTCTGAT
Source organism: Homo sapiens (assembly GCF_000001405.40). Lineage (NCBI taxonomy): Eukaryota > Metazoa > Chordata > Mammalia > Primates > Hominidae > Homo > Homo sapiens. Next base: position 126,295,414 of record NC_000007.14, on the reverse strand, counting down.
GTTAGTGTGTCAATTTGAGGTCTTTCAAGCTTTCTGATGTCAGCATTTAGTGCTATAAATTTCCCTCTTAACACTGCTTTTGCTGTGTCCCAAAGATACGTTGTCTCTTTATTCTCATTGGTTTCAAATAACTTCTTGATTTCTGCCTTGATTTCATTATTTACCCAGGAGTCATTCAAGAGCAGGTTGTTCAATTTCCATGTAATTGTGTGGTTTTGAGTGAGTTTCTTAATATTGAGTTCTAATTTGATTGCACTGTGGTCTGAGAGACTGTTATGATTTCACTTCTTTTGCATTTGCTGAGGAGTGTTTTACTTCCAATTATGTGGTTGACTTTAGAATAAGGCCATGTGGCCTTGAGAACAATGTATATCCTGTTGATTTGGTGTAGAGAATTCTGTAGATGTCTACTAGTTCCACTTGATCCAGAGCTTAGTTCAAGTCCTGAATATCCTTGCTAATTTTCTGTCTCGTTTTCTGTCTAATACTGAGAATGGGGTGTTAAAGTCTCCCACTATTATTATGTGGGAGTCTAAGTCTCTTTGTAGATCTCTAAGAACTTGTTTTTATGAATCTGGGTGCTCCTGTATTGTGTGCTTATACATTTAGAGTAGTTAGCTCTTCTTATTGAATTGTTTCCTTTACCATTACATAATGCCCTTTTTTGATCTATATTGGTTTAAAGTCTGTTTTGTCAGAGACTAGGATTGCAACCCCTGCTTTTTTTTTGCTTTCCATTTGCTTTGTAAATTTTCCTCCATCCTTTTATTTTGAGCCTATGTGTGTCTTTGCACATGAGATGGATCTCCTGAATACAGCACACCCATAGGTCTTGACTCTATTCAATTTGCCACTCTGTGTCTTTTAATTGGAGTATTTAGCCCATTCACATTTAAGGTTAGTATTGTTATGTGTGAATTTGATCCTGTCATCATGCTGCTATTTGGTTATTTTGCACACTAGTTGATACAGTTTCTTCATAGTGTCATTGGTCCTTATATTTTGGTGTGTTTTTGCAGTGGCTGGTACCGGCTTTTCCTTACCATGTTTAGTACTTCTTTCAGGAGCTCTTGCAGGCCAGGCCTGCTGGTAATGAAATCCCTCAGCATTTGCTTGTCTGTAAAGGATTTTATTTTCTTTCACTTATGAAGTTTAGTTTGGCTGGATATGAAATTCTGGGTTGAAAATTGTTTTCTTTAACAATGTTGAATATTGTCCCTCAATCTCTTCTGGCTTGTAGAGTTACTGCTGAGAGGTCCACTGTTAGTCTGATGGTCTTCCCTTTGTAGGGGACCAGACCTTTCTCTCTGGCTGCCCTTAACAGTTTTTCCTTCATTTTGACCTTGGATAATCTGAGGATTACGTGTGTTGGGTTGATCTTCTCATGGAGTATCTTAATGGTGTTCTCTGTATTTCCTGAATTTGCATGTTGACCTGTCTTGCTAGGTTGGGGAAGTTCTCCTGGATAATATCATGAAGTGTGTTTTCCAGCTTGTATTTTCAGTCTCCCTGTCTCCTTTTGGTACTCCAATCAATCGTAGTTTTGGTCTTTTTATGAAGTGCCATATTTCTTGGAGGCTTTATTCATTCATTTTCATTCTTTTTTCTCTATTCTTGTCTGCATGCCTTATTAAGGCAAGGTGATTTCAAACTTTGATATCCTTTCTTCTGCTTGGTCGATTCAGCTATTGATACTTGTGTATGCTTCGTGAAATTCTCATGCTGTGTTTTTCAGCTCCACCAGGTCATTTATGTTCCTCTCTAAACTGTTTATTCTAGTTAGCAATTCCTCTAACCTTTTATCAAGGTTCTTAGCTTCTTTGCATTGGGTTAGAACATTCTCCTTTAGCTCAGCGTAGTTTTTTATCACCCATCTTCTGAAGCCTACTTCTGTCAATCCGTCTATCTGATCCTCCATCTAATTCTGTGCCCTTGATGGACAGACATTGTAATCATTTGGAGAAGAGGCACTCTGGCTTTTTGGGTTTTCAGCAATTTTTCATTGATTCTTTCTCCTCTTCATAAGTTTGTCTAGTTTTGGTCTTTGAGGCTGCTGACCTTTAGATGGGATTTTTTGGTGGCTTTTTTGTCATTGTTGATGCTGTTGTTGTTGCTTTCTGCTTGTTTGTTTCTCTTTCAATGGTCGGGTCCCTCCTCTGAAGGGCTGCTGCAGTTTTCTGGGGATTCAATTCAGGCCCTATTCATCTGATTTACTCCTGCACCTGGAGATGCCACTCAAGGGGGCTGGAGAGAAGCAAAGATGGGTGCCTGCTCCTTCTTCTGGGACCTCTGACGTCAAAGGGCACCAACCTGATGCCAGTAGGGTTGCTCCTGTATAAGGTGTCTGACAATCCCTGTTGGAGTGTCTCATCCAGTTGGGTGGCATGGGGAACAGGGCCCATTTAACAAAGCACTTTGTCGCTTGGTGGAGGGGGTGTGCCTCACTGGGAGGAAATCTACTTGTCTGGGCTGCCTGGACTCCTCAGAGCTACCAGGAGGAAAGACTAAGTCTACTGGTCTGCAGAGACTGTGGCCAACTCTCCTCCTGGGGGGTCAGACCCAGGGGGATCTGGATTCTGTCTCCGAGTCTGTGGCTGGAGTTGTTGGAGTTCCTGCAGGGAAGCCCCACCCAATGAGGAAGGATGGGTCAGAGTCAGGCCTAAAGAAGCACTCTGGCCGCAGACTGCCACCGCTGGTGTGTTGGGCTGTGGGGGACAAGTTTTGGGACCAAGCCGTCCAGCCTCCCTGGCTCCAGCAGGGGAAAAGCACAGCCTGGGGCTTTAGAGATGGGTGCTGCCCTTCCCCCACCCAGGGAGCTTAGCGTGTTAGGCAGTAGTGAGTTCCAGTGCTGGCTGCTGTCCCTCTCCCAAGTAGTTCAAATGGTTTAGACAGTGGGCAGCTGCAGCCATGGTGCTGGTTGCCCCTTCCTCCAGGAGTTCAGTAGGCTTAAGCAGATTCCAGCTGAGAGACTGTTAAGAATCAGCACCTTCTGGGGTTGGGACATTAGGCCTCGGTGGCATGGGTTTGTGAGAGGGAACTTCCGATCCGTGGGTTGCACAGTTCTGTGGAAAAAGCATGGTTTCCCCAGCTAGGTAGCACACTCACTCACTGCCTCCCTTGGCTGGGGGAAGGGGGCTCCTCTGCCCGTGTGGCTCTTAGGTGGCCTGCCACACCACATTGTTCTTCCTTCTCTCTATGGGTCATTCCAGCCTCCTAGTCTGTTCTGATGAGAGAACCTGGATACCCTGATTGCTAGTGAAGGATTCACACGTTTATTATGGTTTTTCTGATGGGAGCCTCCGAAGGCCACTGTTTCTAGTTGGCCATCTTGGCCCCACCCTCCCATTTTTCTTATTTTCATTTTTTTTTTTTCTGAGGCAAAATGGTGAAAAGAGGAACAAATAATAATGGCACATTACAGAAGCCACAACACTTCTGCTTGCATTTTTGTTTGATTTTAGTTGACCCTCGAGGTAAAACTGTCTGTCATGGGGAAGACATTTAAAAAAAATGTATGATTTTGAAATTTATATCCAAGAAAATATAGCACTTAAAGATTCTCAATCCATGGTAGTTTCCATGCCCACCTCAAACATAATTTGAAAGATATTGTGAAATGGTAAAATAGTAAAGGTTTTGCTCTATGAAAGACCTGGGGTTGAATCCTTATTGATCTACCTACTTCTCTGTGATACTTTGACAGTTTCTGCATCTGTATTAAGGAACCAATAAATTCTGAATGTAGAAAAGAGAGTGATAGAATTTAAACACACAGTGGCTTCTCAATAATTATTTGTTACCTCCCATTAAACACATAGGAGCACGACCTCTAATCTTCATGTTCTTCAAATTAAGGAATGAATTATAATATTTATTGAACATTCCCTATGTTCAAGGCACTAGACTAAGTGCTTTCATACATTAATTCATTTAATACTTATAGCAACTTTATTAATTAAGAACTATTATGATCTTATTTTGTGGTCAAGGAAAATGAGGCATGTAGAGTTGCAATAATTTGTCTGAGGTTTCACAACCAGCAGTCTCATTTTCCCATCTTATCTGTGCTGTTATCCACCAGACTACAAACTTAATCACTAAACCATCCAATCCAAACATTTATTTCAAATCAATATATAAAACTTAGGTAAATATTTGCCTCCCAAATAATAAGGCAGTTAATTAAAATATTTTAATCCTCTTCATCATTTGAATGTATTAAAGGATAAAGTTTAATTCAAGAGACAGATGAAAAATCATAAATTCCAATGCCAACACTAAAACTAGGTTGATCTTCAGATTACCAAATGTTATCTAGTCCATCCAGTTCCCTGCAGAACAGACACCAACATGGTCATCTCTGGAATGGGACATGCTTGATTATTGAAGTTAATCTCAGTAATCCCAAATTATCTTGATATAAATAAGTGAGAAATTTTATTTTTTTATTTTTTTTATTTTTATTTTTTTGAGACAGAGTCTCGCTCTGTCCCCCAGGCTGGAGTGCAGTGGCACAACGTTGGCTCACTGCAAGTTCCACCTCCCGGGTTCACGCCATTTTCCTGCCTCAGCCTCCCGAGTAGCTGGGACTACAGGCGCCCGCCACTGTGCCCGGCTATTGTTTTGTATTTTTTAGTAGAGACGGGGTTTCACCGTGTTAGTCAGGATGGTCTCGATTTCCTGACCTCGTGATCCGCCCGCCTCGGCCTCCCAAAGTGCTGGGATTACAGGCGTGAGCCACTGCGCCCGGCCGAGAAATTTTATTTAGAAGGATGCTAAACACATATGTATCTCATTAAGATTTAAAGATAATTAGGAATAGCTGAAAAGAAGGCATAAATATCTTGTTATTTCTAATAAGACATTTAAGTATATTAAAAAAATCTAAAAGTAGATGACAATTCAAATATATCAATTCTTTAGCAGTGGAGGGCAGATAATTATTTACTCTAAATGGTTTAGCCTTCACCTTCCTTTAGTTGGAGGTGTGTATGTCTCTCTCTCTCTCCCTCTCTATGTGTGTGTGTGTTTGTGTGTGTGTGTGTGTGTGTGTGTGTGTGATTGTTGGAGGTGAGATGGATGGTTAAAACTCTATAGGCCCACTCAGGTCTAGTAATTCTCTCAAGCTTCTTCAGCCATTGGTCTGAAGAAATTTCTCTGTGACCTAAGGCTGATGAATCTGATGACTGATTATACTTCTGCCTAGTAAGCTACCAGAGGTGAGAGATATGAGTATCCCTGAAACCCTTATCATCTTACACTCTATAGCTTTCCTGTATTTCTGGCACCGATATTGTACTTTGGCTCTTCAATCATCACCTTCACCTTCACATTCAAAACTCTTACTGGAGGGTTTCAAAATGTCACAAAGTTAAGAAACATGAATGCGTGGAGGAAATAGAGAATCCTCAGTTCTGTTTGTATTCACACTAATCCTTTCAATAAGAAGACATTGACACATATTACTTTCTGGCTGGCTAACTACAGCAAAGGGGGAATTTGGCAAAGGAACAGCTTTTTTTTTTTTTTTTTTTTTTTCGCCAGAAGAATAACGGATTTAAGCTTTTGAGAAATACCTCCTTTGTATGTGTGTGTAATAAATCCCAATAAATCCTAATTATAACAGAATATTGGTTTGTTGGTTGATTATCTAATTTACCAAAAAATTCTTAATATACTCTACTTAAAAAGAAATATTATTTTTAAGACGGGCTGATTTTGTTTCACTGTAGCACATATATTTCAGTATAGGTAACACTTTCTAGTTTTATTGTCAAGTGGATGTTAAGTAACACTTTTTGTGATGTGTATAAAATAGTTTAGACCAGATTATCTCTAAATTATCTTGGCAGGATTCATGTATCTTTGTGGAACTGGGCAACCAAAAGAAGGAAATTCAGAGGCTGGTCTGATTTTCCCATCGTTTGTCATGGTGGTTGTGGCATTTTTTCTTCATTTGACGTGGACATTGCTTTCTTCAAACTTCCAGGAGCCATCCTCAAAACATGTTTTGGATATCTTTGAGGATCTTTGTCAGGATGTAAAATCCTCCACTGGGAGAGTATTTCCAACTTGATAAACTCTTTCTTGTCTAACTTTCTGTTCTTCTCTCTTTCTGAATCTAGCACCTTCAGAATTCTGTCCCATTTATACTCTCATGACCCCTGCCCTTACAAGTTGGTTAGGCCCTGCAGCTTCTTCATTATCTAGTCCCATTCCTCCCTTAGCTGATTGCTCTTATCTCTGGACACCCTATATTGTTTCTCAACCACCTTATACATGTTACCCATCAGCACATTGCATTTCATTAGTATTCCATCTTAGCGTAACATTAGTGAAAAATGTGAAGTTAGATCACTACCTGGTTCCAAGGTGTATCTGTTCTCCATCTATCACCGCTGATGAGGTCTTCATTGCTAGGCAGGCTACAGGTGATCCAGGTCCAAAATTCTATCTTAGAATCTGCCTTCTTTAACCACATTATTTATTACCAACCAATGTAGCTTGGGGTTCTAGGAAAACAGACTTCAAGACATACATTAGCATGCAGGAGATTTATTGATGTGAGTTCTTGGAATCAATACCTACGATAAATGGAATAGAGCAAGAATGGGCAGATTAGAAATTGGGTGGAAGTGCAGTAAAAACAAAGCCTTAGCTAACCCATGGGAACCTTGAAACTGAATTAGCCTCTAGAGTTGACCTGATAGAGCAAGAAGAAGGCTAAATCAACCAGTCTTCTTGCATGAATGCAGCCTGCCTCTAGGATGAGCATGTTTCTTTGAAGAAGGTGACTCTTTTCAGCAGAGGGAAATTAGCAGAGAGGACTGATTTATATGATCTATTAGCCAGCAGCTAGAGGGATATATCCTTTAGTTTTAAGAAGAATCTGGGTAGCACAGAGAGTATTCACTGATCCATACTGTTTAAGTAGGAAATCTACAATTAACTTCTCTAATTTTGATTATTACATCTGTAAAGACTTTCTCTCTTTTTATCTCCATATTGCACACTCAATATCATTTTCACAAACTGCCAGGTTTTCTTTTCATTGAATAATATCACATTTTTTTCCCACTTTAGTCATACTGTGACTTCAGGGACACTTCATAACTTCAAGGACACTTCATGTCTGTATGAACACACATATTGAGAACTGATAGCATGGAGCAGTGTGTCAGTTCTACAGTGTTTTCTATAGAAATTACAAGTATAGGCACATTTTGGCTACTTGAGAGTTAGAATTGAGGAAGTCCTTTTGCACTCCCCAATTAAGAGACAGAAACCCAGAGTGAAATCTTCTTTTGTGGTCATTTCTTCTGTGTTGTTCTCCTGAATTAAGTTATGCTATTTAGCGAATAGTGTGCTGATTAAATTTTGCGATGTCTTTTTCTTACACAATTTTGTCTTCACCCTTTTCCTATTTTGATTCTAGTTTATGTAATTTTAATAGTCATCTGTTTTGTGGATGCCAACATGGTTAAGTATTCTAGTTATATCTCCATGGTGCCAAAAGATATTACCAAAAGCTTACAGTACAAAAGCTCAGAAAGAGAAGAAAAAATACAAACACTATGGTTTAATCACAGTCTCTGTGTCTATTTCACTCAACACGTGGACACACACACACAGAATTGCCCACATCTAATATATGCTTATTGATTAAAGATTATCCTGGTAGTTGGGATCTTGACTTATCTGAAGATAATAACCAAGAATAGATTTTTATTTGCGGATTTATTGATTTATTTTATATTTACATTTTTAATTATTATAAGATTTTCTATTTTAAAAAATTATAATTATTTAGCTATAGTTTTTATTTATTAAATCATTGATCAAAGCCTAGATTACAACAGTAACAATGTTATAATGTATATTTTTGACAAAAGTAATGAATGAAGGTCATCTGTCTCCTGTGCCCCAAATTAAATGATATTAAGAAAATATGTTTCTGACTACCACTTGGGGCTCATCTTTACAAAACTTTTTATTTTGATATATCACATTTATAAAAAGTTATAATATTACTAAGATTTCCCATGGATACTTTAAGTGAATTTCCCAGATGTTAACATTTTATAATATTTGTAGTATCTTTTCTCTCACCTACTTTCTCTTTATTATGTATAACTATCTTTTTCTGAACTATTTGAGAATAACTTCCAGACATGCTTCCTCTTTACTTCTAAATCCTTTAGTGTATCTTCCTATAAACTAGTACATTCTTTCATATAACCTCAGTGCAATTATAAAAGGTAGGAAATTAATATCGATACACCCATAGCACATGTGAATGGTAAATTTTCCTGACTGTCACAAAGGTGAGTTCATCTGTGTCTGTCCGAGGTACCTAGAGCATGCTAGTAGTTGAGTGAAGAGGGTATAGTCAATCAAATAAAAGGTCAGAGCTCTCATTCAGGAGACTTCACAAACCACAAGTGCTCGATACATTTTAGTTAAATAAATGATATTTGTATTGTCACTGATGTTCCACATTGGTTTGTATTTGGTATAGAAAAAATATAAATATCAATACGAACACTCCTAATTATGTTAAACATCTGAGGTGACATGCAGTTGCAATTACATGAATAGAAATAGAAAATGTCAAAAAGACTTCATAGAGTTGACCTCAATAGTTTTATTTATAAGAAATAAAAAAAATTCTTCAAAAGAATTGATTTTTTTCTATTTATTTTGTTAGTTTCTTTATATCAACAGAAATTTCATTTTTGTTTTTGGCCCAACTTACATTAAAGTGAAAATACGCATTTTGAGTCTGTGATCTGCATGCAAATGCAAACTTCTCTCAGGTTTTGTGAATATCTTCCAGCTGCTTTGTGATAGGAAGCCAATTATGTACAACATACCATAAAGAGGAAGCAATTATGTTCATTTTCTTGTGCACTGAGAAATTTGATAAGGTTGACACTTGGCACATTGAGCTGTGATAACGGTTAATTTTTTTAAAGGCATGAAATAAGGCCAGTTGAATTGAAGTCAGTTGTTTTTAAATTGCTGGAAATTACATTACCTTAGATGCTTTTAGATGATAAAGGGGGTGAAAAAATTAATTTAGAAAACATTCTACATGCAGAATGAGTACTAGGCTCACCCAATTAAAACAAAATCCTTCATTCCAAGAATAAAACAATTCCTAGAATCTTACAATAGCTTCAGATGGGGCTGGACCTTTGAAAAACTGTGAAGTCTTGTCTTTGGGCCTAATGCTTTTCAGAACTCTTATTTACTAATTAATATTTTATGTATAACTGATACATAATAATTGTATATATTTATACAGCATGATGTTCCAATGCGTGCATACACTGTATAATGGTCTGGACAATTACCATATCCATCACTTTCAACATTTATAATTTCTTTCTAATGATAACATTCAAAATCTTCTAACTGTCTTCAGATATACACTATATTGTTATTTGCTGTAGTCACCCTACTTTACAATAGAACACCAGAATTTATTCTTACTGTCTAACTGCAACTTTGTACACATTGAGAAACTTATCTTATTTCCCCTTTACCTCTTCCCTCCCTAGCCTCTGGTAATCACCATTCTACTCTATGTTTTAGTGAAATTAACTTTCTTAGATTCTGAATATAAGTGAGATCATGTGATGTTTGCCTTTCTATGTCTGCTTTATTTCATTAACATAAAGTGCTCCAGATTCATTCAGGTTGCTACAAGTGACAGGACTTCATTTTCTCTTATGGATGAATAGTATTCCATTGTGTGTATGTGTGTGTGTGTATAGATATTTCACATTTTCTTTATTCATCTGTAGATGGGCATTTAAACTGATTCCATATCTTGGCTATTGCGAATAGTGTTAAAATAAACATGGGGGTGCAGATATCTCTTTGACATACTGATTTCATTTTCTTTGGATACATACCCAGCAATGGAATTGCTGGATCATATGGTAGTTCTATTTTTCACTTTTTGAGGAAAGTTCCATATTGTTTTCCATAGTGGAAGTACTAATTTCCACCAACGGTGCATGGGAGTTCCTACTTTAACATAACTTCTTTTCCTTTGTCTGCAAGGCATACAATACCCACATTTCTTCTCTTCATTAAACTATTTCCCCAGTGAGACCAGCAACATTTGTTAATAATTTGAGATTAATGACTCGCACTTCTAAGTGCATGAGGTATGTTTCCATCCATTTATTTATTGGGCATCTTTAAGGGACAAATGATATACTTTACAATATATTCACCACACCATGTGTATGTTGAGAGGTCATGCATTAAGCACAGAAGTGGCACAGAAAGGGCTTGAAGCAAATTTGTCACACATGTGTGTTAAAATGAGGGGTGCGGTTCAGCCGAAGGGAGTAGCAGGATCAATGACATAGAGATGGGAACAGTGTGATGCATTCAGGGTATTATAAGTGATTCATGTCGGCTGGAAAAAGACACAATGTCCTGATCTTTCTGGGATCATCATTGTTTATACCTGTTGACCTCAGGAACATAGTTAATAAGAGTAGTCACTTTTTCTCCCAATATTTAGGTTTGGACACTATATTATATGATCACTTTGAGCATAGAAAAAAATTTGAGCAAGATGGATGATGAAGTTAAAGAGCCAGGCAAGGACTGTATTGTGGGTACATAATATGTCAAAGTAAAGTATTTGGGCTTATTTGAAGATAGCAGATAGCTTCTCTTTCATTTAAACTAAAACAAAATGAACTAAAAAAAGAAAATGACACATCTCATAGTGAGGTGTCAGGCATTAATAAAATGATGTAGGCATTTTATTGAAAGATCACTTCCTGACAACATCAGTGCATGCCACATAAATAACCTCTCATTTCAAATACTGATTTTCCTATAGTTATTTCTATCTTCACATACAAACATTAAATAAAGCCTTGCAACTTGGTTGTTGGCTTTCTTATTTTAAATGCTAAGTGTTTAAAATTTTCTTGGAATAAATAAGAAACAATTTTTTGTGTGTTGTTTTCTGGTATATTACGTATGGAAAGTACATGTCAGTGAATTGTTAAAGAACATTAACATTGATTTAAACAGCAATGGAGTATTGTATTCAATTCATCTTAATAAATATTTAAAATAAAGAGAAAAATTACAAATCATTTTCAGTATTTCCTTATCTTTCTCTAACATGAAGTTCACAGGTCCCCTGTAATCAGGTCTCCTTGGTTGCCTTGGTTGAGACTCATCTTGTTTTGGATTTCATTAAGGCTCTGCTGTGAAAAATATCTCCTTTCCAGTGAATGCAGAGAGTTCAGTGGACGCTGTACAAAATGAATAGGATAAAGACTGAGTAGCACTGACCATTTTATAATAACAATTCCAATGATGTCTTACTGACTTGACACTGGCATTTACTAAATACGGTCTGCTGACCCATGACAAGAATTTTGCTGCAACAGCAGCAAATTACACCTACGTGTACAGAAAACCAAATACAGTGGGTATATTATAAAACCACAGACATATTTACATGTGAAGAAATTTAGAGATCATAATTAGATGTAATGGTAGGACTGATCTGTGTCTTATTTGAGTCTTATACGACTTTGTTTGTTCTCTCAGGCATATATGTTTTTAGATTCTTCCATAAAATTCATATTATCATTTGTTTTCTTCACATAAATTATTTGCAATGAGATAAAGAAGAATGTTATTTTGAGATTATTTCTGTCTATTCCTTCAATAGAAGAAAGGAAATGAAGGGGGAGGCAGGATAATGGTGATCCACAGTGTAATTTGGAGATCTGAGTTTATCCACTGAACATTTCTTAGAGGTAGGTTGAACTGTGCCTTCAAATTTGTCCATTGTCAAGCTTTATTAGCCTATATTCACCCATGAGCATTCTTTTTTTGTAGACATTTTATTTACCATTATATACTTAGGTCTGCAGTAAAAGTAGCTTGCGTGGCATGAATTCGATAGAATACAAATGGGGCTTAAAATATAAAGACATGAATTTTAACATGTAGGGACAATGTCAACAAATGCCACAAAATAACACTGAAACTAACACAGATCTGCACTCTGTGATTAGAATTTACTATCCTCACAAATGTAGAATGAATTACTCATTCTACAATGTTCAGATGCAATGATGATGACTTTCTTTCTTTGGGGCAGCCATATTTAAAACCTAATCAATAGCAAGTACATATTAAATTATTACAAATGTTAAATACAGTAAAAGTAATATTTGAACTATTTGATATTAACATTTGAAGTAAATATTGAATGTTTACTTTTAGATGGGATCGGGTGTGTTCAGAGTGATACGGCCGTAGACCACATTTACTTTTAGATAGTGTATGTTACTTTTAGATAGTGAAAAAGTAATAAAACTTAGCAGAGCACAAACACCTCAACAGAAAAAGAGTCTAGACCGAAATAAGAAAAAAAAAAACAACAAATTACTAACAAATATCCAAAATATGATAAACAGTTGAAAGAAAATCAATTGAAAACAATAAAATACTAGTTTTCATTCATGAAGTCAGAAAAACCCAGAAAAATAAAAACAATGATCCTCAATTCCGGTAAAGGTATAGTGAATTGGACACTTTTGTACATTGCAACAAGCAGTATGAAATAGTACAACTTTCATATAATAATAAAAAAAGATTTTAAAAAATGGGCATATCCTTAATACCTGTAATTATATCCCTAAGAATCAAATAGTGATCTGAGATGTGTACAAATATAAATATAAAAAGACCACTGTATTATGTAGATATGAAATTTCTTCTCAACAAAAATAAACAATAAAAAAATCCTCAAAGAATGGTCTTTTCATTTAATAAGAAGCTTATGCTGACATTATGCATGCTGTTCATAAAAAAATTTTGGCATGAGAAATACTCAGAAAAAGTGTTAAAATAAAAATAGCAAACTATAATATAACATATAAAGTATAAATAAAGCACTAACAAATACAAAAGAGAGGAAATATGTCAAATTTTGAAATTTTTTTATGTTGGTTAAAGAAGCATAAATTGTTTAAATATTCTACTTGAAATTTGTGTATTTTTTTAGTTTTTGACAATGTGAATGTTTTCTTCATAACATAAAAATTTGATTAAAATATAAAGTACAGTCTTGAAATTGAAATAAAATATGTTGAAATTAATGATTAGAGGAAATAGTTGAGAGGACTGTTGTAGGGAATAGCTGGAATTATTAATAGATGTTCCTGGAAGCCCATAGACTTCTGAAAAGTATATCTAAATTTAGAAGGAAGAAAAATTAATGGTAATTTTATCAATGCTACTTAACTTTACACTTCTCTAGTTGTTTCTTCCATTTCTCTTTCTTACAAGACCACATGCTTTCTATGTCATAGGTAATTCAGAATTTGGCATGAGCTTTTGAGCTGTAATAAGTGCTTTACATTTTTGACTTACTGTACTAAACAAAATTGTCTACATTTCTGATTCTTCTTGTAGTTTTGAATTCCTTTAATTTCTGACACATTTTCAGATATGTTTCAAGACTCTAAGTCATTACTAGATACTTAGTTTGGTGTTTCAGGATAATATTCATTTTACTCTTCAGAGTCACTATTTTCTGAATTTCATTCAGAACCCATAGGGTTACATCAACTAAGTTATGGAAGAGCATAACTTGAGTTTTTGAACTATACATGGTAGAGTCAAAGATAATGATAAAGACTATTGTTAATAAAAATAAATTTGTAGATTTTATTGCCAAAAGTGAAAGGTCTTAAACAAATTAAAAAAAGCAGGGTTTGCAATCCTAGTCTCTGATAAAACAGACTTTAAACCACAAAGATCAAGAGAGACAAAGAAGGCCATTACATAATGGTAAAGAGATCAATTCAACAAGAAGAGCTAACTATCCTAAATATATATACACCCAATACAGAAGCACCCAGATTCATAAAGCAAGTCCTCAGAGACCTTCAAAGAGACTTAGACTCCCACACAATAATAATGGGAGTCTTTAACACCCCACTGTCAATATTAGACAGATCAATGAGACAGAAGGTTAACAAGGATATCCAGGGCTTGAACTCAGCTCTGCACTAAGCAGATCTAATAGGCATCTACAGAACTCTCCACTCCAAATCAACAGAATATATATTCTTCTCAGCACCACCTCACACTTATTCTAAAATTGACCACATAATTGGAAGTAAAGCACTCCTCAGCAAATGTAAAAGAACAGAAATCATAACAAACTGTCTCTCAGACCACAGTACAATCAAATTAGACCTCAGGATTAAGAAACTCATTCAAAACCACACAACTACATGGAAGCTGAACAACCTGCTCCTGAATGACTACTGGGTAAATAATGAAATGAAGGCAGAAATAAAGATGTTCTTTGAAACCAATGAGAAAAAAGACACAATGTATCAGAATCTCTAGGACACATTTAAAGCAGTGAGTAGAGGAAAATTCATAGCACTAAATGCCCACAAGAGAAAGCAGGAATGATCTAAAATTGACACCCTAACTTCACAATTAAAAGAACTACAGAAGCAAGAGCAAACACATTCAAAAGCTAGCAGAAGGCAAGAAATAACTAAGAGCAGAGCAGAACTGAAGGAGATAGAGACACAAAAAACCCTTCACAAAATCAACGAATCCAGGAGCTGGTTTTTTGAAACAATCAACAAAATTGATAGACCGCTAGCAAGACTAACAAAGAAGAAAAGAGAGAAGAATCAAATAGACACAATAAAAAATGATAAAGGGGATATCACCACCAATCCCACAGAAATACAAGCTACCATCAGAGAATACTATAAACACCTCTATGCAGATAAACTAGAAAATATAGAAGAAATGGATAAATTCCTGGACACATACACCCTCCCAAGACTAAACCAGGAAGAAGTTGAATCTCTGAATAGACCAATAACTGGCTCTGAAATTGAGGCAGTAATTAATAGCCTACCAACCAAAAAAGTCCATAACCAGATGGATTCACAGCTGAATTTTACCACAGGTACAAAGAAGAGCTGGTACCATTCCTTCTGAAACTATTCCAATCAATAGAAAAAGAGGGAATCCTCCCTAACTCATTTTATGAGGCCAGCATTATCCTGATACCAAAGCCTGCCAGAGACACAACAAAAAAAGAGAATTTTAGACCAATATCCCTGATGAATATTGCTGTGAAAATTCTCAATAAAATACTGGCAAACCAAATCCAGAAGCACATCAAAAAGCTTATCCACCATGATCAAGCTGGCTTCATCCCAGGGATGCAAGGTTGGTTGAACATATACAAATCAATAAACATAATCCATCACATAAACAGAACCAAAGACAAAAACCACATGATTTTCTCAATAGATGCAGAAAAGGCCTTTGACAAAATTCAACAGCCCTTCATGCTAAAAACTCTCAATAAATTAGGTATTGATGGGACATATCTCAAAATAATAAGAGCTATTTATGACAAACCCATGGCCAACATCATACTGAATGGGCAGAAACTGGAAGCATTCCCTTTGAAAACTGGCACAAGACAAGGATGCCCTCTTTCACCACTCCTACTCAAAATAGTGTTGGAAGTTCTGGCCAGGGCAATCCGTCAAGAGAAAGAAATAAAGGGTATTCAATTAGTAAAAGAGGAAGTCAAATTGTCCCTGTTTGCAGATGGCATGATGGTATATTTAGAAGACCCCATCGTCTCAACCTGAAATCTCCTTAAGCTGATAAGCAACTTCAGCAAAGTCTCAGGATACAAAATCAATGTGCAAAAATCACACGCATTCCTATACACCAATAACAGACAAACAGAGAGCCAAATCAGCTCTGAAGAGAGCAGTGGTTCTCCCAGCATGGTGACTGTGCTCTGAGAATGGACAGACTGCCTCCTCAAGTGGGTGCCTGACCCCCGTGTAGACTAACTGGGAGACACCTCCCAGTAGGGGTGACAGACACCTCATACAAGTGGGTGTCCCTCTGGGACACAGCTTCCAGAGGAAGGATCAGGCAGCAATATTTGCTGTTCTGCAATATTTGGTGTGCTGCAGCCTCCGCTGATGATACCCAGGCAAATAGGGTCTGGAGTGGATCTCCAGCAAACTCCAACAGACCTGCAGCTGAGGGACCTGACTGTTAGAAGGAAAACTAACAAACAGAAAGGAATAGCATCAACATCAACAAAAAGGACATTCACTCAAAAACCCCATCGGTAGGTCACCAACATCAAAGACCAAAGTTAGATAAAACCACAAAGATGGGTAGAAACCAGAGCAGAAAAGCTGAAAATTCTAAAAATTAGAGTGCGTCTTCTCCTCCAAACGATTGCAGCTCCTCGCCAGCAATGGAACAAAGCTGGATGGAGAATGAATTTGATGAGCTGACAGAAGTAGGCTTCAGAAGGCTGGTAATAACAAACTTCTCCAACCTAAGGAAGCATGTTCTAACCCATGACAAGGAAGCTAAAAACCTTGAAAAAAGGTTAGACAAATGGCCAACCAGTATGAACAGTGTAGAGAAGACCTTAAATGACCTCATGGAGCTGAAAACCATGGCACAAGAACTTTGTGACGCATACACAAGCTTCAACAGTTGATTCTAAAGTGGAAGAAAGGATATCAGTGATTGCAGATCAAATTAATGAAATAAAGCAATAAGAAAAGTTTAGAGAAAAAAAGAGTGAAAATAAATGAACAAAGGAATGAATGAAGCCTCCAAGAAATATGAGACTATGTGAAAGAACAAATCTAAGTTTGATTGGTGTCCCTGAAAGTGACGGGGAGAATGGTACCAAGTTGGAAAACACTCTTCAGGATATTATCCAGGAGAACTTCTCCAATCTAGCAAATCAGGCCAAAGTTCAAATTCAGGAAATACAGAGAATACCACAAAGATACTCCTCAAGAAGAGCAACCCCAAGATACATAATTATCAGATTCACCAAGGTTGAAATGAAGGAAAAAATGTTTATTTCATATCCAGCCAAACTAAGCTTCAAAAGTGAAGGAGAAATAAAATCCTTTACAGACAAGCAAATGCTGAGAGATTTTGTCACCATCAGCCCTGCCTTACAAGAGCTCCTGAAGGAAGCACTAGACATGGAAAGGAATAACCTGTACCAGCCACTGCAAAAACATGCCAAATTGTAAAGACCACCGATACTATGAAGAAACTGCATCAATTAACTTGCAAAATAACCAGCTAACATCATAATGACAGGATAAATTTCACACATAACAATATTAACCTTAAATGTAAATGGGCTAAATGCCCCAATTAAAAGACACACACTGGCAAATTGGATAAAGAGTCAAGACCCATCAGTGTGCTGTATTCAGGAGGCCCATCTCACGTGCAGACACACATAGACTCAAAATAAAGGGATGGAGGAAGATCTACCAAGCAAATAAAAAAATTCTTAATTATTTAAAGGAGATGAGGAGTCACAAAAGTATTAATACGAGGGGAAAATATTATAATGTCTATTAATATGAAAAGAATATCATGGAAAAAGGACTATAAATGACTAGTACCTTTTATAAAAAAAAAATTCTGAGGGTAAATAACCTATTCACCATCCTATTGAATCTTGAAGAATACCTTTAGTAATACTAGATCTCTCTTGTTCTGATTCCACATTCATAATAGAATTATGATTCAACCTAATTTGGGGTTTTGTTCGAACTGTCCATCAGAAAGAGCCATGTGCAAGTGGTAATATCTAAGTTTGCTGGCAAGTTTAATATGCCTTATCATCAGCTGGATCACAAATCAATTTTTTATGAGCCTTCTTATAATCAGGTAGCCTCTCGTGACCTCTTCAAGCAGGTATATCCTGATACAGTCAAACACAATATTGTGGTTAAGAGCATAGGCCCTTGAGTCTGATTTTCTGTGTTAATAGTCTATTTACTAGTTAAGTGAGCTTAAGAAAAATAATAAACTATTTATCTGAGAGAGATAACAATATAATAATACATACTTTAAGAGATTGTTGTGAGAATTACATAACAGAAGACATAACTTAGTACACATAAAATTTGTAGAAAGGTATCTGGCACATAGTAAGAGCTCAGTAAATATGAAACTGCTGCTATTTTATAAATGCTATGTTATCATCTAAATCTGCTTCTGTATTTACTATAACCAGAAATAAATAGCTTTGATTGTTCTCTGCTTAAATAGCCTGTTAGTTTTACCAACACATTAATAAGTGGAATTTGGGATGGAATGAGATCTACACTTTAGTAAAACCATTCTATGTGAGGTTTTGCTCTTTATATAGTTATTAAAGTAGCTGGCTGGAATTAGGTTTAAAAATCATATATATTGGCACATTCATATTTTAGTTTAGCTTTTAATCATTTAATGATAAGCTTTGGGTTCTATAACCTATGATTTGTTTTTTGGCATTGATATGGTTTGACTGTGTCCTCACCCACATTCTCATCTTGAAATGTAATCCTCATAATTCTCATAATGCCCATGTATCAAGGGTGGGACCAAGGGTAGAAGTGATTGGATCAGGGGGGTGGTTTCCCCCATGCTGTTCTTGTGATAGTGAGTGAGTCTCATGAGATCTGATGGTTCAATAAGCATCTGGCATTTCCCCTGCTTGTACTCACTCTGTCCTGCCATCCTGTGAAGAAGGTGCCTGTTTCTCCTTTGCCTTCTGCCATAATTATAAGTTTCCTGAGGCTTCTGCAGCCATGCATAACTGTGAGTGAATTAAACCTTTTTCCTTTATAAATTACCCAGTCTCTGTCTCTGGTATTTCTTCATAGCAGTGTGAGAACAGACTAATAAATTGTTACCAGAAGTGGGGTGCTGCTATAAATATATCCAAAAAGGTGGAAGCAACTTTAGAACTGGGAAACAGGCAGAGGTTGGAGCAGCTTGGAAGGCTCAGAAAAAGAGAGGCAAAGTTTGGGACTTCCTGGAGACTTGTTGAATGGCTTTGACCAAAATGCTCATAATGATATGGACAATGAAGTCCAAGCTGAGGTGCTGTCAGATGGAGATGAGAAACTTGTTGGGAACTAGAGTAAAGGTGACTCTTGCTATGCTTTAGCAAAGAGACTGGTGACATTTTGCCCCTGCCCTAGAGATCTGTGGAACTTTGAACTTGAGAGAATGATTTAGGGTATCCGGTGGAAGATATTTCTAAGCCAGAAAGTGTTCAAGAGAGGAAGCAGAGCATAAAAGTTTGAAAAATTTGCAGCCTGATGATGTGACAGAAAAAACAAACAAACATTTTCTAATGAGAAATTCAAGTAGGTGGCAGAAATTTGCATAAGTAACTAGGAGCCAAATGTTAATTGACAAGACAATAGGGAAAATGTCTCCAGGGCATATCAGAGGCTTTCATGACAGTCCCTCCCATCACAGGCCCAGAGACCTAGGAGCAAAAAATGGTTTCATGGGCTAGGCCCAGGGCTTTGCTGCTTTGTGCAGTCTTAGGACTTGGTGCTCTACATCCCAGCCACAGCTAAAAGGGGAAAACATATATCTCAGGCCATTGTTTCAGGTGGTGCAAGCCCCAAGGCTTGGTGGCTTATACATGGTGTTGGACCTGCAGGTGCACAGAAGTCATGAATTGAGATTTGGGAACCTCTGCCTAGATTTCAGAGGATGTATGGAAAGGCCTGGATGTTCAGACAGAAGTTTGCTGCAGAGTTGGAGACCTCATGGAGAAACTCTGCTAGAGCAGTGCAAAGGGGACATGTGGGGTCAGAGCCCCCACACAGAGTCCCCTTTGTGGCACTGCCTAGGGGAGCTGTGAGAAGAGGACCACTGTCCTCCAGACCCCAGAACTGTAGATCCACCAACAGCTTACACTGTGCACCTGGAAAAGATGCAAGCATTCAACACTGGCTCATGAAAGCAGCGGGAGGGGTGCTGTATCCTGCAAAGCCACAAGGGTGGAGCTCTCCAAGGCTGTGGGAGCCCACCTATTGGCTTAGTGTCACTTGGATATGAGTGATGAAGTCAAAGGAGATTATTTCGGAGGTTTAAGATTTGACTGCTTCACTGTATTTTGGAATTGCATGGAGCCTATAGCTCCTTCATTTTGGCCAATTTCTCCCATTTGAAATGGGTATATTTACTCAATGCCTGTACCCTCATTGTATCTAGGAAGTTACTGCTTGCTTTTGGTTTTACAGGCTTGTAGGTGGAAGGGACTTGCTTTGTCTCAGTTGAGACTTTGGACTTGGACATTTGGGTTAATGCTGGAATAATTTAAGACTTTGGGGGACTGTTAGAAAGGCTTGATTGTGTTTTGAAATATGAGGACATGAGATTTGGGAGGGGCCAGAGGTCGAATGATATGGTTTGGAGGTGTCCCCACCCAAAATCTCATCTGGAATTGTAATCCCCATAATTCCCATAATCTCCATATGTTAAGGGTGGGACCAAGGGTGGAAGTGATTGGATCATGGGAGTGGTTTCCCCCATGCTGTTCTTGTGATAGTGAGTGAGTCTCATGAAATCTGATCATTTAATAAGCATCTGGTGTTTTCCCTGCTTTCACTTACACTGTCCAGCCACCCTGTGAAGAAGGTGTCTGTTTCTCCTTTGCCTTCTGCATTGATTGTAAATTTCCTGAGGTCTCTCCAGCACTGCAGAACTGTGAGTCAATTAAGCCTCTTTCCTTTATAAATTACCCAGTCTCTGGTATTTCTTCATAGTAGTGTGTGAGCAGACAAATACAGGTATCCTCAAATTGTAAGAAATATATATATACATATATATATATATTACAATTTGAATAATAATAAAGTAGAACCAGCATAAATAAGTTCACTGTATCACAATCTCAGGCTGCTTCAATGAGACTGGCACTTGCTGAACATTTTATGATATCACTCTGAAAATTTGCTTTGATTTATGTCACTTAAGAGAGATTTCCATATTTATTTCAAGCTTTAATTAATAGTATTTATTTCAATAAATGCCCCCAAATTACATTTCAATGCTTTACAAATTAAATCATTTGTACCACTAAGTGGAAATTTAAGTCAAAATTATTTCCGTTTCGTATTTTGGTATCCTAATTATTCATATATTTGTGCTCTGAAAACACTGAAGAAACTTGCAGGGTTAGGCCCCTTGCAATGTGAGCAAAGCAGCATCTCAGAGAAGGTTTATCACAGTCACAATCCTAAGAGACCCCTTCCATTCCACACTGCTGCCTAATCAGACAGTTATCTCTTTTCCTCTTATTTCCTGATAATTGCATTGAAATATCACTCACTTATAGTGTAAGGTTGTGAAAAAGAAAGATAATTGCACAGTGATGTAATGGACTAGAATTGGAGTTTGCAATATTAGCCCTAGAAGAAAAGTAGTTCTATGTTGCTTCATATACAATGAAATAGTTAATAGGCAAAACGTGAGATAGACATTTTAAAAACTTAAAGGTTCATCAATTTTGTTTCTTAAACAGAGAATTGGACTCTTAAAGTATCAATTTTTAAATTCACTTATGGAACAAATATTTGTTTTAATTTTAGGCAGAGAGCTCAGCAGTTGCAAGGATTAATGGTAAACTTGCAAAACCGAGTGAAACTGATATGGTTTGGCTCTGTGTCCCCACCCAAATCTCATCTGAAATTGTAATCCCCATAATTCCCACTTATTGAGGGCAAGACGTGATGGGAGGTGATTTGATCAAGGGAGCAGTTTCTCCCATGCTGTTCTCACGACAGGGAGTGAATTCTCATGAGATCTGATGGTTTTATAAGGACCTCTTCCCCTTTCACTTGTTCACTCTCTCTCTAGGCTGCCTCCATGTAAGATGTGCCTTTGCTTCTCTATCCCCTTCCACCATAATTGTAAGTTTTCTGAGGCCTCCCTTGCCATGCAGAACTGTGAGTCATTTAAATCTCTTTGCTTTATAAATTACCCAGTCTTGGGTATGTCTTTATAGCAGTGTGAGAACAGGCTAATACAGAAACCGAAGATATGAACAGAGGCCCCAACATCAAGGGGCTTTTGGGGGCAGGTTAAAGGGTAAAAACATGGAGAAGCTACTAACTATAAAGGAGGAGAGCAACTTAACCAGACAAGAAAGAATGAAAAAAATTTTAATTATGGTTTTAAAGCAAATTTTCACTATATTAGTTACATGGCTAACTGTTAGTTAGGTGTTTAACTATTAGTTAGATATTTTCAAACTAGAGCTAATTATAAAGTTTGTATCTTATATAAAAGAGTTTGTATCTTATGTACAAGACACATCACCCAATTTGAAACCTGAGAACTGGAATGCATGCATCAATGTCAACATTTATTTCCTTTCTCATTTGCTCTTATTAATAAATAAGAACAAGGTCTTGTTAGATGCCTTACACTGTACTAGGTGGTGTGGATAGATAAGGAAAAGTAAACATGAAGGTGCCTGCCCCTCTAAATCTTCCTGGCTCACTACCTTCACTGTGGTGGAAAGCAAGAGCTGGGAAGCTAGAGACCCATGTCTTTTTGCATTATACTGTGGTGATTACTGTCCCACTTTTACCCACATAGTAAATTTTCTGCAAGAAAATCCTATGTGGGTAAAACCAATAATAAAAATGAAAGTGAATCTCATTTTTAGGGCAGCAAACAATTTCCTAGAATTATTTTTTGTTACTACAATTTGTTATCCAATATTAGTTATACATTTAATATTTCTTTCCTACCAATTGGTTGCTAGGTTAATGGTTAGATATAAAAATATTAAATATAGCACACATTTGTAGCCCAAGCTACTCAGGAGGCTGAGACAGGAGGATCATTTGAGCCCAGGAGTTCAGGGCTGTAGTGTGCAACAATCATGCCTAGGAATAGCCAGTGCACTCTAGCCTGGGCAACATTGTGAAACCCTGTCTCTAGAAAAACAAATAAATAAAAATGAACTTGATTTGCTCTCATGGAGTTCACTTAATACATTGATTCATGTATAAAATTATATGTTTGAAATTGAAAAATATTTTGATTAGGTAATTACAACACTAAGAAGGAGGAAATTCTAATTTACCCTGATACTTTGTTTTGTCTCACACATGTTGTTATTCAAAAATTGGCCACTCAGTGTGCTGGACTCTCAGTTCCTGAGCACATTCTAGATTCTGAAAAAAAATTATCAAATACTTGTGATGCCTAAAAGTGATAAAAATTGTCCAAAGAGCTACCAATACAAAATTTATAAAACATTGTCAACTCTTTCATAATAATACTAGTCAATATCATCATCAGTTTATGATAAAAACCAGCACTTATAGATCCATTTTTAAAGACCAGGCATTTATCTTTATTGCTTTACTTATATTTCCTTATATAAATTCACAAACCTGACTGAGACAAAAAACGTCTCTAAATGTTTTGTGACTTTATTTTAATTCTCTCCAACCTAAGATTTTAAGATAGTTTATTATTAATATTATTATTGTTGTTATCATTATTACCAGATGGAGCATTTTCACATGTTTATTCATTTCCTTTGCTCTATAATAATGCTAGTAATTTCTGGTTACCTTATGTGATGATCACATAATGCCATTTATACTATTTCTACTTTGGTAAATTAATTGATGATGTACTTATATTTTAATACGAGGTTGATTTTCGTGAATGTTTTAGAACAGCTGAACATAAAGGTTAGAAATTTTTGTGGATTATACCTTTACTATTATAAATTTTATAAGCCATTTCCTAATGTGATTTGTTCTGAGTTTAAACCTTCGTATTGTACCAAGAAGTGATATTTGAATATTTGCTCTTGTCTCCTGTATATATTCATTAGACATATCCTTTGAATTTTAACCTTTTGATTAATTTAGACTCAGATTGTTTTTTTTTTTTCTTTTGAGAGAGAGTCCTTCTCTGTCGCCCAAGCTGGACTGCAGTGGCGTGATCTCGGCTCACTGCAACCTCCATTTCCCGGGTTCTAGTGATTCTCCTGCCTCAGCCTCCCCAGTAGCTGGGATTAAAGGCATGTGCCACCACACCCAGCTAATTTTGATCTGGATATTTTTAGGGTGATAAACTCTAATGCCCTGAAGGAGGCTCATCTCCTGTCACCTTTAGGTAGTTGAGCAAGAAGCTGGATCAGTAAATTTAAATTTAATCTGAGATAGAGACACACACACACACACACGTATATGTGTGTGTGTGTGTGTGTGTATATATATATATATATATATATATAGAGAGAGAGAGAGAGAGAGAGAGAGAGAGAGAGACAGAGAAAGAGAGAGAGAGAGAGAGCTTTATCCCCAAGATAGGAGATGGGACTTTTGGGAGAGAATTAGGTTTAGATGAGGTCATGTGAGTGGAGGCCCATGATAAATGCCCTTATAAAAAGAGGGAAAGATGTAAGACCTCACCTTGGCATCAAGGAATGACCATGTGAGAACATAAGCAAAAAGAGGGGCCTCATCAAGAACCTGACCTTCTAGGCACCCTGATCTCAGGTTTCCAGTCCCCAGAACCATGAGAAATAAATGTTTTCAAGCAGCCCAAACTGACTAATACGTATTTCTAATATTTAATTGATCTGACTGAACAAACAAATTGATGTAAGTTAGAGCTGTGGAGACCTTGCTTAGTAAGGCCATTTCCTTGATTAGAAGATTCCCCATGGTTGCTTCCCACCTTTCTCTGTAAATATGAAAGTGTTTTGGGACATGTTTCCTCTCATATAACCTTTACAATGGTGTGTCAAGCCCAGAAATATTCTTTGCTACAAAATGGCGAAAAGATGAGGTCTAAAGCACTTTGTTTCTTCTCTGCCTATGAGTTTTGTTGACAATTCATATTTCATTTCACATTTTCAGAATGTAGTGCCACTGTTGTACATGTGTCCTCGTGACCATGTCACGACACTACCTCTTACCTGAACCACATAGCTTGGTTTTACTGTGTAAGCTAAGCTTAATCTCCACATGTATATATTAGAATAACATATTTATCTAATTTTTATTATAGGTGAATTTGACCGAAGCATTATCATCTTTCTTTTTGTTGTCTTCTTTATGCTACTTTCTTTTTTCAACTTTATTAAGGTATAATTGACAAATAAAAATTGTTTGCATTTAAGGTGTAAAACATGATGATTTGATATAGTGAAAAGATTTGATATGGTGAAATGATTACCATAATCAGGCTAACACATTCATCACCTCACAAAGTTACCATTTGTGTGTGTGAGCATCTAAGACCTACTTTCAGCAAATTTTGAGTATACAATACAGTATTCTTTTTTTTTTTTTTTTTTTTTTTTAGACGGAGTCTAGCTCTGTCACCAGGCTGGAGTGAAGTGGCACCATCTCAGCTCATTATAACCTTTGTCTCCTAGGTTCAAGCAATTCTCCTGCCTCAGCCTCCCGAGTAGCTGGGACTACAGGCATGCGCCACCACACCCAGCTAATTTTTGTATTTTTAGTAGAGATGGGGTTTCACCATATTGGCCAGGATGGTCTCAATCTCTCGACCTCGTGATCCACCAGCCTCAGCCTCCCAAAGTGCTGGAATTACAGGCGTG
This sequence comes from Homo sapiens, assembly GCF_000001405.40. Classification (NCBI taxonomy): domain Eukaryota; kingdom Metazoa; phylum Chordata; class Mammalia; order Primates; family Hominidae; genus Homo; species Homo sapiens. The sequence goes on along the minus strand of NC_000007.14, from coordinate 126,269,904 downwards.
AGCCACTCCACCCGGCCTATAATACTTTATTCTTAACTAAAGTCACCATGCTGTACGTTAGATTCCTAGAATTTATTCATCTTACAACTTGTACCCTTTGACCAACACCTCCCCATTCCCTCACACCCAGTCCCTGGCATTCACCATTCTACTCTCTGTTTCTGTGGGTTTCCCTTTTTAAAACCCCACAATACATGAGACAGTACAGTATTTTTTATTTCTCTCCTTGACTTATTTCACTTAACATAGTAGCCTCCAGGTTCATCCATGTTGTCGCAAATGGTAGGGGTTCCCTTTTTATGGATAAATAGTTTTATTTTGCATATGTGTGTGTATATATGTATGTATTTTATTTATTCATTCATCCATTGACAAACAGATTGTTTTTGCATGTCGGATATTATGAATAATGCTGCAGTGAATGTGGGAGTAAGAATGCCCCTTTGAGATAATGATTTTATTTCCTTTGGCTATATACCCAGAAGTGGAATTGCTGAATCATATATTAGTGTTATTTTTATTTTTTTGAGAAATATCCATACTGTTTTCTATAATTACTGCACTAATTTAAATTCCTGCTAACAGTGTACACAGGCTCCCTATTCTTCACACTCTAGTCTTCACTTATCTATTGATTTGCTTGTTTGTTTTGATAATAGCTGTCCTAACAAATGTAGGATATTGTCTTATGGTGGTTTTGAGTTGTATTTCTCTGATGATTAGTGATGCTAAGGATGCTTTCATAAGCATGTTGGCTATTTGTATGTCTTCTTTTGAAAAGTGTCTATTCAGATCCTTTTCCCTTTTTAAAATTAGGTTATTTGGGTTTTGTTTGTTGGTTTGCTGTTAAGTTGTATTCATTCTTTATATATTTTGGATATTAACACCTTATTAGATATATAGTCTGCAAGTATTTTCTTTTATTCTGTGGGTTGACATTTTAATTTTGTTGATTGTTTCCATTTCTGTACAGAAATTTTTAGTTTGATATAGCTTATACATTTTTCCTTTTCTTTCCTGCACTTTTGGTGTCATATCCAAAAATCGCTGTCAAGACCAATGTCAAAGAGATTATTTATTATGTTTCCTTTTAGGAGTTTTATGGCTTCAGATTTTTACTTTTAAGTCTTTAACCCATTACAAGCTCATTTTTGTGTATGGTACACAATAAAAATCCAATTTCATTCTTTTATACGTGAACATCCAGTTTTCTCAACACTATTTATTGAAGAGACTGTCTTTTCAAATTATCTTTTATTGGCGCCTTTGTCAAAAATCACTTGACTGCATATGTACGGGTATAATTCTGGCATCTCTGTTTTGCTCCATTGACCTATGTGTCTTTGTGACAGGAACATACTGTTTTAAATTACTGTTGCTTTGTAATATATTTTGAAATCAGAAAATGTACTGCTTCCAGTTTTTTCTTTTTTCTCTAGATCACTTTGCCTCTCCTGGGTCTTTTGTGGTTCCACATAAATTTTAGCATTTTTTTTTCTATTTCTGTACAAAATATGATTGGATTTTTTTATGGGGTAATATTGAATCTGTAGATTGTTTTTGATGGTATGAACATTTTTTTAAGTCTTCCAACCCATGAACACAGGAGGCCTTTTCATTTTATTTGTGTCTCATTTAATTTCTTTCATCAGGGTTTTATAGTTTTCAGTGTACAGGTCTTTCACCTTCTTGGTTAAGTTTATTCCTACATATTTGCTTTTTGGGATGCTATTGAAATTTCATTTTTGGATAGTTCATAACAGAAACACAGCTGATTTTTATATGTTAATTTTGTACCCTGCAATTCATTTATTAGTTCTAATTGTTTTGGGTGGAGTTTCAGGAAATTTTATATATAAAGTCGTATCATCAGTACACAGAAGATTTAGCTTTTTTCTTTTAAATTTGGATGACTTTCCTTTCTTTTTCTTGCCAACTTCTCTGTCCAGGGAGTTTACTACTATGTTGAATAAAATAAATAAGAGTGAGTACCCTTGTATTATTCCAGATCTTAGGAGAAATATTTTTCTCCATTGAGTATAGTATTAGCTATGGGCTTGTTTTATAAGGTGTTTATTAGGTTAGGGTACATTATTTCTATTCTTAACTTGTTGAGAATTTTTCTCATAAAAGGATGTTGAATTTTGTCAAATGTTTTTTCTGCATCTATTGAGATGCTCATGTGATTTGTATCTTGCATTCTCTTAAGGTAGTGTATTATTTTTATTGATTTGTATATGTCAAAACATCCTTGCACTCCAGGGATAAAACCCAATTGATCATGGTGTATCATCATTTTATCATGCTGTTGAACTTGATTTGCTGGTATTTTGTTGAAGCTTTTTGCATCTATGTTAATGAGGAACATTGGCCTGCAATTTTTTTTATTGTACTGTCCTTATCTGGCTTTGGTATGAAGGTAATGCTGACTTCATAAAATTAGTTTGGAAGTGTTCCCCTTCTTTAGATTTTGAAAAATTGAGAAGGATTGGCATTAATTCTTTAACTGTTGGGTAAAATTCATCTGTGAGGCCATCTGGTCCTGTACTTTTCTTTGTTGGAAGGTTTTTGATTACTGCTTTGATCTCTTTAGTTATTATTGCTCTGGTTCAGATTTTCTATTTTTTTCATAATTTAGTCTTGGTTAGTTGTATTTAAAACATCCATTATTGTGGAAGTTATTGATGTTTTCCTGGATTATCCAATTTGTTGGAATATAATTTTCATAGTAGTCTCATGATTTTTTGTATTTCTATTGAATAAATTATAGTATCTCCTCTTGCAATATAATTTTATTCTTTTTCATTAGTCAAGCTAAAGACTTGTCTTTGTGTTTATCTTTTTTAAAAAACACAGTTTAAAAAAAAATCTTTTCAGTTGTCTTCCTACTCTCTATTTATTTCTGCTTTAATCTTTATTACTTTCTCCTGTTAACTGTGGGCTTAGTTTGTTATTTTTCTAGTTTCTTGACATATAAAGAGATGCTGTTTTTTTGAGATATTTCTTTTTTAATGTAGACATTTATCATTATGTATTTCTCTTTCATGCTACTTTTGCTGCTTCCCATTAGTTTTGGTATGTTATGTTTTCACTTTTATTTGTCTCAAGATACATTGTTACTTCCCACTTGAGTTCTTTGACCTATTGGTTGTTCAGGAGGGTGTTGTTTAATTTCCACTTATTTGTGAATTTTCCAAGAGTCCTCCTGTTATTTATTTCCAGTATTATACCATTGTGGTCAAAAAAGATACTCCATGAGATTTCAATCTTCTTAAATTTTTTAAGAGTTGTTTTGTGGCCTAACACATGATCTCTCTTGGAAAGTGTTCCAGATGTGCTTCAGGAAAATGTATATTCTGCTGCTGTTTCATGCAATGCTCTGTAACGTCTGTTAGGTGCTTTTGGTCTATAGTACTTAAGTTCTCTGTTTTTTAAATTGATTTTCTTTATGAATGATTTATCTACTGGTGAAAGTGGAATATTGTAGGTCCCTACTACTGTTATATTGCTGCCTACCTCTCACTTCAGTTCTGTTAATATTTTTGTTTGTATTTGGCTGTTCCAGTGTTGTATGCCTATATGTTTACAATTGATATATCCTCTGGCAATAATTACCACTTTATCATTATAAAGAGATATTCTTTGTCTCTTGTTACAGTTTTTGATTTAAAGTCTATTTTGTCTGAGATAAGTATTCCCACCATTGCTCTGTTTTGGTTACCATTTGAATAAAACATCATTTTCCATGCCTTCCCTTTCAGTTTATGTGTGTTCTTTAAGCTAAGGTGAATGTCTTGTAGGCAACATATTGTTGGATCTTGTTTATTATTTCATTCATCCATTCTGTATTTTTTATTAAAAATTTAATGCACTTATATTTAAATAATTATTCATATGTAAGGATATACAATTGCCACTTTGTTTTCTGACTGCTTTGTTGCTTCCCTCCAGCAACCCACTGCCTTTTTTTCTGGCTGTCTTCTTTTGACATTATTGATATTTTGTAGTAATACACTTTAATTCTTTTTTCTTTATCTTTTCTGTATCTGCTTGAAGTTTTCTTTGTGATTACTATGAGGCTTACATAGAGCATTTTATAGTTACAGAGTTTATTTTAAACTGAAAACAGCTAAACTTCAATCACATACAAAAGCTTGACACTTTTACTCCTCCCCACATTTTATGCTGTTGCTGTCACACCATATATCTTTCATATTGTGTATCCATCAACAAATTATTGCAGCCACAGTTATTATTAATACTCTTGACTTTTAATTTTTATGCTAGAGTTAAAATTGATTTATGCAACACTATTACGCTATTATTCTAAATTTGAGTATACGTTTATGTTTAACAATGATTTTTATAATTTCATGGTTTTCATGTTGTTACTTAGCATCCTTTTGTTTTAAGGCAGGTCTAGTGGAAATGAACTCCCTTAGCTTTTGTTTATAGGGAACTTTGTTTTTTTTTTTGAGACAGAGTCTTGCTTTGTCACACAGGCTGGAGTGCAGTGGTGCAATTTCGGGTCACTGCAATCTTCACCTCCTGGGTTCAAGCAATTCTCCTGCCTCCCTTTGGGAGAGGAGACAGGCAGGACTTCTGGCAGGTTCATGGGTAGGGGAAACAGGACTTCCCCCAGACAATGGCTGAATGGGGCTGGTGGTGGGTCAGAGGGCTGCTTCTGTAGGCAGAGGTCTGTGGGGCTTAGGTGTAGAGTTATGAATGAGTGCATCTCCATTCAGGTCTCTGGATGAGCAGGGCTGCGTCCAGGCTGCAGCTGAGAAGGACTGAACCAGAGTCACGAGCTGCTTCGTGTTCTATGGCCAGAACAGAGTTTGGTGGACCTGTTACCCAAGACATGGGCAGGTATAGCTTCTCCAAGGTCTTTTATTGGAGGTTGCTGGTGGCAGAGCACGGAAAATTAAGGCTACATCTGAGTTCACATGGGGACAGAACTGTTTTTGTGTCTGCAGCCAAGGCCATCATCAGCAAGTCTGCCATTTGGACACAGGCCTACCTTCTCAAATCGACCTTCCTCATTCTTGGACTCACCTGGGTTTTGCACCCTCCTACCTGGATCCCAAAGCTCCCACAAGGCACTTTGATTTGGTGGCTGACTGTCAAATTATTATTGTGAGAGTTTACAGGTGGAGGACCTCTTATTATACCATCTTGCTGACCTCACTTCGATACTAGTGTTTCTTGCTTTTGATTCCCCCCAACCTTCTCTTCTTACCTTTCTTCTTCATCTTTCTTTCACTGTAAGATGGTTCTTATTTTGCTTTGTTTTGTGCCATGTGCTCTTACAGAAAATTTCAGTTTTTTTTTTTTTTTGGTGAACTTTATAGAGCAATATTATAGTGTATAATTTTTTATTTTTTGAGAGTATGTATTAATTCTCCACTCTAGGTAATGACATAAGTATACTTCTACTGCCTTCTACCTTACTTTCTCCCCTTCCTGAGGCTAATTTATTATATTCTTAGGATGTTATATTTTTAGTTCACTAGTGGCTTCCTGTAGAGATAAAATATATGTCCATATTTGTAATGCTTAATTTGCTAATTTTAAATATATTTGCCTCTCCCTTCCTATACCTCATCCCTCTCACCTTTTCTATATTTTCAGAATATAAATTATAAAACATAAATTTGTAATTTCTAAAATTTTATTTTTATGTAAGAAAAATTTCCATTGAAATTTAAACTTAGCCCTATATTTAAATATATTCAATGTTTACTGCCAGTTTTCTGTCACCAATTTCTTTATTCATGTCACAGATCTCTTTATTCCTTTGTCACAGATTTGTTTATTCATGTGTTCCATGGCTGATTTGTCCTCTTGGTCTTTTCAAGGAGGACTTATGATCACTATATTTTATAGCATTTTTATAAAATTATTTTTAATTTACATAGTAATTTTACATATCTATGGGGGTCCAGTGATATTTTTATACCTGTATACAATGTGTAATGATCAAATTAGGGTAATTAGAATATACATAATCTCAAATAGTTAGTTCTTTATAATGAACATTCAAAATCCTCTCTTTTAGCTATTAAAAATAGAGAATAAATAATTGTTAACTATAATCACCCTACAGTGCTGTAGAATACCAACATTTATTCCTTTTATCTAGTTGTAATTTTATATCCATTAGCCAAATTCTTATCCCCTCCTCCCTGCTAGCCTTATCAGCCTCCAGTTACCACTATTCTACTCTCCACTTCTATGAGATTACTTATTTAGCTTCCACATATGATTGAAAACAAAAAATGCAAAAATCCTCAAGAAAATACTAGCAAACTGAATCCATCAGTACATCAAGAAGATAATATACTATGACTAAGTGCAATTTGTCTCACGGGGCAAGGATGATTCATTGATAAATATGCTACATCATCACATCCACAGAATAAAGAAAAAAATTATATGATCATCTCAAAGACGCAGAAAAAGCATTTTATAAAATTAAACTTTCCTTTATGTAAGAACTTTAAACAAATTAGGTATAGAAATATGTACCTCAACACAATAAAGGCCATATATTACAAACCTGTAGGTAGTGTCACACTGAACAAGAAATAACTTGAAAAGACAAAGGTGCTCAATTTTACCACTCTTATTCAATATAGTACTGGAAGTTCTTGCAGAGCAATTAGGCAGAAGAAAGACATAGAGTGCATCCAACTTGGGAAGAAGGAAGTCATATTGCCCCTCTGGAGACATCATTTTTTATCTATCGAAAAACCTAGATCCCACAAAATATGCTTAGAACTGATGAATACATTCAGTAAAGTCATAGCGTACAAAATCAACACATAAAAGTTAGCATTTCTTTTGACCAATAACAGGATTTACCTGAAAAAGGTATCAATAAAGCAATCCCATTTACAACAGTCACACAAAATAATTGCTAGGAATACATTTAATTAAAGAGGTGAAATATCTCTACAATGAAAATCATAAAGTTCTGATTAAAAAAATGAAGAGAACACAAAAAATTGAAATATATTCCTGGTTCATAGATTGGAAAAATAATTATTGTAAAACGACTATACTACCAAAAGCAATCTACAGATTCAATGTAATCCCTATCAAAACACCAATGATGTTCTTCACAAAAATAAAAAAAAGTCTGAAATTTCATGTAACCATGAAAAACATCAAATAACAAACACAATTCTGAACAAAAAGAACAAAGCTAGAGGCATCACACTACCTGACCTCAAAATGTACTGTAATACAAAAAGCACAAAGCTATAGTAAGCAAACAGCATGGTATTGGTATAAAAACAAACACATAGACCCATGGAAAAAAATAAAGAACCCAGAAATAAGTCCACGTATTTCTAGCAAACTGATTTTCAATTAAGGTGCCAAGAACATACACTGGGGAAAAGATACTTTTCTCAATAAGTAGTGTTGGGGAAAATAGAAAGTCTCATGCCGAAGAATAAAACTAGACCCTTATCTCTCACCACATACAAAAATCATTGCATCTTGAATGAGTAAATGTATTGTCTATTGCTTCTTCTCTTATTCAGGATAGGAAATTCTGAGGGACTCACACTTTCTTTCCATGAGGATTTTGTAATAATTACCCTGCTATTTTCTATATTAACAAAAGTCTGATTATTTTATTTAAGTTCTTTGTCTAAATGTCCAAATATTTTTTAAAAAATCTTTAAAACCCTATATGTCTATTAATTTATACCTCAGTTTGATTTCTCTCTGTCACTTTTTCTTTGAACATGTTGCATTCTTTTAATCTCCTAGCTCTAAGCTCAAGAAAATTTCATCTAGTTGAATCTTTACATATTTTTCTTTCATTTTTTTAGTTTTCTTTTGTGGAGACACCTTTTACATGTGAGTTAGCTGTCACCTGTTGGCTCTAGTGATTGCTATTAATCTATTCTTTTTACTTTTGTATTATTTTTCATTTCATTTTCAATTTCATTTTCTCTGAGGCTTGTTCTACGTGGCCTTATTGTATAGTTTAAAAGTGCTTGTTTTCCATTGCGTTGCTTCTTATATGGTATTAATTACTGTGATGATTTTTCCTTCTTTCTCTGTTTCTTGAACTTCACCAGTATCTATTTTCACATTCTGTTTTCTTCTTACTTTTTTCTTGAGCCTTGTAGCTTTATGTTGCAATCTTATTTTATATAGTCACCCTTCCTCCTTTAAGCAGATATATTTAAAAACAAATTAGGGATTTTATTGCGAATAAATTAATGTATGTTCAAAATATTATGTTGTTTTAAATATTTCAAGTTTAATAATTTCTAAAATATAGAATATACTTATGTATGTATATTTAGAATAAGTCTCTCTTATAGTTAAGAAAAAAGGATTATGTCGTGTTTATTATTTTCTTTAAAAAGCTTTCATAAGAGACTGTTTTTCCATAATATAGAAAATTCTCAGAATATTTAACTCATTGAAGGTGTCTGATTTCTATCTCTGCTTTGCTAGTGACTGTCTATGGAAACAGACAATTTCTTATTCCTTTCCATTGCTTGAACTACATTGTGAAGGACATAATTAATAATTTCTGTCAAACAATATCAGTTTTAACCTTTGCATAAATTAAATAGTTATATAAATTGAAATCACTTTTCAAATGGCTAGAGCCTGGCATCTTTCTCTGATAATTTAACATAACGTAACTTTAAGGATTTGGGATATAGATATTTTCAAATTTGAAATGATGTTGGGAGCAGACAACTTTATGGCATTGCCTCCATAGCTGTATTGTTCTGGTCCAGTTAACTTGAATTGCAAGCCTGAAGAATAGTTTCTTCTTTCTCACTTATGTGGAGTTGCTTTGGGCATTATAATCTTGTCTAACAAATGATTCACTATCCCTCAAACTGCTATGTGGTAAAGCAAACATAGATAATTTGCTACTGGCTAGCTGTCTGCATAAATTTCAAGGTAGATTTGAAACCTAGAACTGGCTACATAGAACTTTAGGGAATGTGAAAAATTAGTGAAAATATCAGAATAGAGAAAAAAGCAAGAAAACTACTAGAAAAAAAAAAAAGAAAAACTCTTGTATGATCAAAAGTGTCACCTCCTGCAAAGGGGATTCCAGGATTGAAAAGAGGCTTAGAGGCAAAATGTACAAACATCTAATGGATCACAAAAAGTTTCTGTACTGATACACTTGAAAATTTACATTGTTTTATACAAAGATAATCAATGAAAAGTTGAAAGATCTTTTTATGATTCTTGTTAAGTCTTCCCGTGAATTTTTTAGTTTTAGGGATTTTTTTTTTTAATTTTCAAAGTCAATCCATTTACTTTATGACTAACTGTCTTGAATGAAAAGTCCAGATGAATATAACAGACCATTCTCAGCAGAAAAGAAGAGTGGGAGGGGCTATGACAGGTAGAGCCAGTCTTAAGAAAAATTCCTTGTTTTGCCCATTAGAATCAAGCTAAATCTCCATAAAAGGCACAAGGATTGATAAAGATAGAAAGAACAGGATATGCTAATGGATCTCCTTCCCTATGGAAAAGAAACATCTGAAATAAGAAATATTTGTTTCACTGTCAATATATAGCACATGCAGAAAACTTAGAAAAATTTTAGAATTCAGGGCTAAGAATTGAGTATCTGGGGACATTCTCACTTATGGATGTGAGAAGGAAAGCAAGCCTGCAGAAGATGTACAGAATACCCTTTATGGTCTCAGAAAAATAATCAAGATTATTTAAGTACCAGTAAAAGAACATATGAGAGTGAAGGATAATATTTCAAGACTGGGAGCTGCTAAATACAGAACAGTGTCACTCATTTGAAGTCATCTAGCTCATTGTAATTATTTGTTTGGCTTAAGCTAGTGAAAGACCAGAATATCACCTTACCCCTACCAATTCTCTACCAGTCATATACATTAGAGACTATAGAATCTGCACTAAGACTTCAAAATTGACAAATATGTTAGCTTTTCTTTGGAGCGGTAATGTTATGTGCAACTCATCATGTAATTAGTTTCTACCTTGAAAAATTTACTATTTGAGGTTATTTGGTTGGTGCATATTCTAAGAGAGCAAACAGTGTAAAATGGACCTGTAATATGTTTCGTATCATATGGATTTCAAGATGTGCTTCTTTTTTTTTTTTTTTTTTTTTTTTGAGACGGAGTCTCACTCTGTCGCCCAGGATGGAGTGCGGTGGCCTGATCTTGGCTCACTGCAAGCTCCGCCTCCCAGGTTCACGCCATTCTCCTGCCTCAGCCTCCCAGGTAGCCGGTACTACAGGTGCCCGCCACCACGCCTAGCTAATTTTTTTTTGTATTTTTAGTAGAGATGGGGTTTCACCATGTTAACCAGGATCGTCTCAATCTCCTGACCTCGTGATCCACCCACCTCGGCCTCCCAAAGTGCTGGGATTACAGGCGTGAGCCACCACGCCCAGCCGTTAAGATGTACTTCTTAATTGAATAATGACATAATTCCCTTTTGGCCACAATTATTTGCGTGGGCAGTTGACAGTGCAGTGGCAGACAGAATTTTGGAAAGAACACAACCGGGTGACCATAATGGAGATGCAACTTAACATAGTAATCCTAGGTGGGTTTTTAGAAATGAGACCAATAATTGGGTAAGTGCAGAATGTTCACTTCACGCTAAGTATATGTTCACTTAAGCTGTTCCTCAGATTGAGTATTCCTACTCCTAAAAAAGGCATGGCTTTATGGATTTCACATGATGCTCAAAGGAGACAAACTAGTTCTCACTCACCTCAGTAGATCACATACTTTGAATGTGGCCTAGTGACTTAAACTTACTTGATTTTACCCTGAATAAAGAAGGACATGTTAAGAAATGATTACTGAGCAGTCAGTTTGTGCATTAATGCTGTTAATATCATGATTTCATGATTTTGCCTGGAGCAATCCTGGCAACAGTTGATGTGGTTTGAGTCTCTTAGTCACACCCTGAGAAAAGAGATGAGACAGACATGACAGCATCTCCTTGTCTCTCTTTTGCCCCAAAGACCATATTTCAACTTTCTTTTTTTTTCTTGAGATGGAGTCTCGCTCTGTCACCCAGGCTGGAGTGCAGTGGTGAGATCTCAGTTCACAGCAAGCTCCACTTCCCGGGTTCACGCCATTCTCCTGCCTCAGCCTCCCCAGCAGCTGGGACTACAGGCGCACGCCGCCACGCCCGGCTATTTTTTTTTGTATTTTTAGTAGAGACGGGGTTTCACCGTGTGAGCCAGGATGGTCTCCATCTCCTGATCTCGTGATCTGCCCGCCTCAGCTTCCCAAAGTGCTGGGATTACAGGCGTGAGCCACTGCGCCCAGCTCTTCATGCTCTGCAACTTTCTGCAGAGCATGAAGAAAAAAAAATTATTTGGTTGGAAAAAATAAATGATACTAAAAACTAACTTTGAACTTATCTGTCTCATTTTTCTTCACTCAGATACTAATATCTGTACAACATGGATAAAGAAAAAAATTTATACATACTTAGATCGTATCAGTTGGAACCAAGCACAATCTGAACATAAAAATACCTGTATTATATAGAGGGATGAATCAGGAAGCTCCCTTGTTCAGCAAAGATTAAGCAGCCAGAATGCTGAGTGAAATAGCACACTGGTATCTCTCTATGATCTGGCAATGTCATAGATTCAAGTGTTGCCTTAAAGACATGTAAGCAGGAATAAATGCTGCATCAAATATGATGAAAACATATAAATGCTGCATCAAATTGTTCAGCTATTATTGACTTGCATACATATAGACTGAAGAGATGAATCCAAAAACATCTCTAAAATAATTCTGTAACATCTGCAAAACTGTAAAATATGCCCCAGCTTTGAGGCATGCAAAATTTATTTTAAGTTTTTATTTTCATCCTTCTGTATCCTCTTTTTCTGCTCCCTACTCTTTCTGCCTGATGGGTCTTCTAAAGTTGGCCATAAATGCTCAGCCTTTAGGGATAATCCCCAAAGATGCTACTCTACTGTACTCGTCTTGCCTTCTGTTCTATCAAAACTGATAAGCAAGTCTCTAAGATCCTGCCAAATATTGAGTAGATGGCTGAAATAAGTAGATGGCTGAAAAAATGACTTAAAGCTTACCTTCTCAGATAACATGTATATGTCATACAAAGGACTCCCATTTTTAAAATGGGAGTTGTATATGTGAGTAGTATCTGGATTGTAATTCAGCTGGTAAAGTCAATCAAGGAAGGGTTTGTATGTGCCACTTTCTCCAAGCACTTCAAATCACACAAGATAGGAAGCTATTGATTTTGCTTTTATGCACTGAAGGCCTTGTTCCTTGGTGGCCATTTAGATTTGATTAAGCCCATCCAAAAAGCATTTCTATTATCAAATCTTAATCTTGCCAAAGAAAGGTATGCAAATGGGAACCAACTTTACTTCTATAAAAGAAATCTTAACATATTCTTACTGAAGTTGAAGTTCTGTTTTCTCTCCGAGATTTACTGATGATATCAACTAGTTCTCAAGAAGTACAAGAACTGAGTGGACGAGGTGATCACCTATTGTGGGTTCATTAACTGAAACAGATTTTTAGGAGGTCATATTAACATGTAAGTGGTTTGGGGATCTCATTCTATCCTAGAATGGAATGGTAGAAATCTACCAGCAGACATCAAAAGAAGGAACTGTAAAGTTGGGTCCAGAAATAGGTGCATTACCAAAGCACAAGTTGTAAATATTGGAGTTGGGGAAGTTGGTATCAACAAGAAGTGAAACTAAGGCTAGTCTTAATCCAGGTAAATTGAGGTCATATCAGTCTGGGAAAATCATGATCAGACCCTGGGAAATTTCATGCAATGCAGGATCTAAAAAGTACACCAGAGCCAGGATGATGAACTTAATATGAGTATTTGATTTAGTAGCTAAACATTTTTCCCCCCAGGTAACAAAGATCTAGTCTTTATCACTACTGGTATCTTCACTATTTATTTATTTATTTATTTATTTATTTCGAGACGGACTCTCGCTTTGTCACCCATACTGTAGTGCAATGGTGCAGTCGCAGCTCACTGCAACCTCTGCCTCCCAGGTTCAAGCGATTCTCCTGACTCAGCCTCCCAAGTAGCTGGGATTACAGGTGCCCACCACCACAC